>NC_000001.11:97053835-98303835 GCF_000001405.40 Homo sapiens
CTAGTCAGTAGGAATGTATTATATTTGAGATAACAACATCACTGCTACTACCAACAGCAACACAACAGCAACAATAATTCAATTTTAAAAACTCACTGGAACATAGTAATGTAAGTGGCAGAGTTTGTTCTATAGGCCTATTAATGTTGTTTATAGGTCCACTGCAATTTGCCAAATATATTATACCAGTAATCCAACCCTGGTTGTAGATGAATTTCAGGCTCTGATAAAGACTCATGTAATATTTCAGCTTCATTGATGAATCTCTTCCTTACCTTCTTTTTGGCCCTGGAAGGTCACCTAGATTTCTTTGTCTTCCTCATCTCCCTTCTTCATAGGTCTCTACAAGAACTGTCCTCCCTCCTCTATTCCATATTCTTAGCTCAGGTACTCACAGTTTCTCTCCTGGATTACTGTGATCGAACAGGCCTCCAATTCATTCTCCAGCCAAATGTCAAAGTAATCTTTCTAAAACATAAGTGAAATCATGTCCCTTCTCTTAAAATCTTTCAGATTTCCTCCCTTTTCTGTCTGAGAAAAATCAAAAGTTCTTAGTATGGCTTAGAAGAGGCTTCACGTGAACCTTAGCAACTTCACCCTCATCTCCTCTGATGCCCCACTTGCTCTGTAGTCAAAAAGACCTTCTGAAGTTTTCTGAATGGGCATTATGTTTACGATTTCTATATCATTTTATAGCTGACTGTCCTTTACTTTGAATGTCCCTTTTTGCTTTCCCATGTAATGATTTCCAATTTGTAGTTGTAAATTTAACTCATATTTTCAAGGGTGAGCAATATAGTGCTTTATATATAATAGTTTTTGAAAAGGTCAAAATTAAAATATTCCACAGTTAAATAAATTGTAGCACAGCCATAATATCAAGCCATTACACACCATGCTAGAGATACACATGTAGTGATATAAAAAACTATTGTTGCTCTTTTTTAAGGTTATTATTGGGTTAAAATCAGTATATGCTAGGTGATTCAATTTTTTCAAAATTAACTTTATTGATGTATAGTTTACATAGTATAAAATACTCACATTTAAAAAGTACAGTTTGATGGTTTTTAAAAAAGTGTATACTACCACGTAACCACAATCACAATCAATATATAGAATATTTTCTGCTATTCCCTTCTAGTTATTCCTCATGTTCATCCCTGGCCCCAGGCAACCACTGATTTGACTTCTATCACTATAGACTAGATTTTTTTTCTGGAGTTTCACATGAATGGAACTTAGAGCATGTTTTTTTGTGTGTGTCTGGATTTTTTCTTTTAGCATAATGACTTTGAGATTCACCCATGTTGTCCTGTGTACCAGTAGTCCCTTTACTTTTATTGGTGATTCGCATTTGATTTGGACATTCAGTAATTTATTCACATGTTGATGGATGCTTGGGTCATTTCCGGTTTTGGCCTATCATGAATAAAACTTCTATAAACATTCAAGTACAAGTCTTTACATAGACATTTGTTTTCATTTCTCCTGGATAAATATGTAAGAGTGGAATTGCTCAGTTGACTGGTGTCTTAGTTCATTTGGGCTGCTATAACAAAAATACTATACACTGGATAGCTTAAAAAACAAACATTTATTTCTTACAGTCCTGGAAGCTGGGAAGTCCTGGATCAAGACACCAATAGATTTGGTACCTGGTGAGAGCTCTCTTTTCAGTTTGTAGATGGCCATCTTCTTGCTGTGGCAAGGGACAAAGGGTTCTCTCTGGGGTCTCTTTTATCAAAGCATAAATCGCATTCATGAAGGCTGATGTGGTTTGGCTGTGTACCCACCCAAATCTCATCTTGAATTGTAGTTCCCATAATCCCCATGTGTTGTGGGAGGGACCTGATGTGAGGTAATTGAATCATGGGGTGGTTACCTCCATGCTGTTCTCATGTTAGTGTCTTGTCATGAGATCTGATGGTTTTATAAGGGGCTTTCCCCTTTTGCTCAGCACTTCTCCTTGTTGCTGCAATGTGAAGAAGGGCATGTTTTCTTCCCCTTCTGCCATGATTGTAAGTTTCCTGAGGCCCCCCTAGCCCTGTGCAATTGTGGGTCAATTAAACCTCTTTCCTTTTAAATTACCCTGTCTTGGGTGTTTTTTCATAGCATCGTGAGAATGAACTAATACAGTAAATTGGTACTAGGGTGTGGAGTGCTGCTGTAAACATACCCCAAAATCTGGAAGCGACTTTTGAAGTGGGTAATGGGCAGAGGTTGGAATAGTTTGGAGGGCTCAGAAGACAGGAAGATTGGGAAAGTTTGGAACTTCCTAGACACTTGTTGAGTGGCTTTGACCTAAATTCTGATAGTGATATGGATAACAAAGTCCAGGCTGCGGTGCTGTCAGATGGAGATGAGGAACTTGTTGGGAACAGCAGTAAAGATCAGTCTTGCCATGCAAAAAGACTGTCAACATTTTGCCCCTGCCCTAGAGACTTGTGGAACTTTGAACTTGAGAGAGATAATTCAGGATATCTGGTGGAAGAAATTTCTAAGTAGCAAAACGTTCAAAAGGAAGCAGAATATAAAAATTTGGAAAACTTGCAGCCTGATGATGCAGTAGGAAAGAAAAACCCATTTTCTGGAGAGAAATTCAAGCCAGCAGCAGAAATTTGCCTAAGTATCTGGGAGTCAAATGGTAATCACAAAGTCAATGGGGAAAATTCAGAAGCATGTCAGAGGTCTTCACGGCAGCCCCTCCCATCACAGGCCTGGAAGCCTAGGAGGAAAAAATGGTTTTGTGGGCCAGGCCCAAGGTCCCCCTGCAGTGTGCAGCCTTGGGACTTGGTGCCCTGCATCCCAGCTGCTCTAGCCATGGCTAAGAGGGGCCAAAATACAGCTCAAGCCATAGTTTCAGAGGATGCAAGCCCCAGACCTTGACAGCCTCCACGTGGTGTTGAGATTGCATGCACCAAAGTCAATAATTGAGGTTTGGGAAGCTCTGCCTAGATTTCAGAGGACGCATGGAATTACCTGGATGTCCAGGCAGAAGTTTTCTGCATGGGTGGAGCCCTCAAGGAGAACCTTTGCTAGGGCAGGGTGGAAGGGAAATGTGGGATAGGAGCCCCCACACAGAATCCCCACTGGGGCACTGCCTAGTGGAGCTGTGAGATGAGGGTCACTTCCTTCCAGACTCCAGAATGGTAGATCCACTGACAGCTTGCACTGTGCACTTGGAAAAGCTGCAGATACTCAATGCCAGCCCACGAAGGCAGCTGGGAGGGGGTTGTACCCTGCAAGGCCACAGGGGCAGAGCTGCTCAAGGCCATGGGAGCCCACTTCTTGCATCAGCATAACCTCGATGTGAGACATGGAGTCAAAGGAGATCATTTCAGAGCTTTAAGATTTGACTGTCCCATTGGATTTTGGACTTGCTTGGGCACTGCAGCCCCTTTGTTTTGGCCAATTTCTCCCTTTTGGAATGGGTGTATTTACCCAATGCCTGTACCCCCATTGTATCTAGGAAGTAACTAACTTGCTTTTGATTTTATAGGCTCATAGTTGAAAGGGACTTGCCTTGTCTTAGATAAGACTTTGGACTTAGACTTTTGGGTTAATTCTGGAAAGAGTTAAGCCTTTGGGAACTGTTGGAAAGGCATGCTCGTGTTTTGAAATATGAGAACATGAGATTTGAGAGGTGCCAGGAAAGGAGTGATATGGTTTGGCTGTGTCCCCACCCAAATCTCATCTTGAATTTTAGTTCCCATAATCCCCATGTGTCATGGGAGGGACCTGATGGGAGGTAACTGAATCATGGGGGCAGATACCTCCATGCTGTTCTCGTGATAGTGAGTGAGTTCGCACAAGATCTGATGGTCTTATAAGGAGTTTTTCCCCTTTTGCTCAGCAATTCCTCTTGCTGCCACCATGTGAAGAAGAATGTGTTTGCTTCCCCTTCCACCATGATTGTAAGCTTCCTGAAGCTTCCCCAGCCATGCAGAACTGTGAGTCAATTAAACCTTTTCTTTATAAATTACTCAGTCTCAGGTATTTCTTCATAGCAGCATGAGAACAGACTAATACAAAGGCTCTACCCTCATCACCTCCAGAAGCTAAATCACCTCCCAGAAGCCTCATCTCCTAATACCATCTCATTGGGGGTTATAATTTCAACGTACAAATTTTGGGAAGACACAAACATTCAGCCTATAAGAATTGGTCAGTATATGATTACAGGGTACTGTCAAATTGTTTTTAAAAGTGATTGAGTGATTTTATATCTTCTCTTGGTGAATGTTTGTTTAAATCTTTGGCCACTGTTAATTTTCCTTTTTCTGGAGTTGTAACGTTTTAGAATTTTTTTTTCTGAAAATAAGTTCTCTGTCTTATGTTTGTATCACTCAATATTATGTAATATTTTCTCCCTGTCTATGGCTTCCTCTTTACTTTCTTAATAGTTTCTTTTAAAAATAGAAAGGTTTTGTGTGATTATATTTTTGTAAAAAGTGAAACATAGACATGCACACACCCCTTTGAAATACAGAAAAGAACCTGGAAAGATATACACATGGTACATACCTCTGGGTAATCAAAGTGATTACCTCTAGGTGGTATAATTATAGTTCATTTAAAATTTTCTTTTTTTCCCCTAACTTTCCTTAATATACATGAATAGCTTTTATAATTCAAAAAATATTACATGATATGTGAATAACATTATAATAATTATATATATATATCATTAAGTGACACTCCTCCGCTTCTTGATCTTCTGAATGTGTCTTTCTTTCATCTTTGTATTCCTGGTGACTGTCTCAGCATCTGATAAAACTGGTGCACAATATAATTTGATCAAATTCATTTAGCAAATATTTATTGAGAACCTACTATGTGCCAGGAATGTACTGGGTACTGGGAATGCAAATTGTATATGAAACACAGATCTCGCAAATAAGTAATTTACAGTTGGATAATCTCTCTATTGCCTATGCCTATTATAATGCCTAACACTTACTAGCTACTTGAAAAATGTGTCAATGAATGAAATGAAGAGATTGTAATTGAGTCTTGTATTTCTTAGCATGATATTTTTTCCCAGTTATATTATCTATTTATTTGACACTGATTTTTTGGCTTATCTATTAGAGTTCAGCATGAACAATTCAAATAAATTGTCTGTACAAAGGGTTTTGCCTGAAATGGCCGAATCAAGTGGGATATAATTCTGAGCCCTCTGAAGAGCTGATGAATTTTAAAAAGAGAGGTATAGGGAGGGGTTTGGAAGATGAAAACTTTTTCATTACGTTTTTCTAGGTGAGCTCATCTTAAATAAAAGTAGAGTTCGAGTCATCTGCCTGGCATGGTAACATTTTCCTTTTTATTAGAAGTGGTCAGATCAGATCTCAAGTCACTTAAGATTATCTTAATTATTAACATGACTACAATCATTCTTTACATAGATGTTGCATATGTATTACTTGGTCATTAGACTCAGGACAAACAGTGTCATCCACATAATCAAATTGAATGATTTCATTCTCTGGCTCCAATCTCATGATACTATTAAATAATTTCCTGTGAAATATCAACTACCAAATATTGGATATATTTTTGTTGGTTACTATGTTTGGTAACTGTGTATGATATTGTCAGCTATGGTTACTGTGTTTGAACCTTTTTCTAATAAGGGCAAATAGAAATGGTGATTGCAAGAAGTCTCAAGACCTGTGAATAAGGAAAATAATTGTTCTTTCAGCAGATACATTCTAGTTAGCTACATTCATGTGTAAATAGAATAAAAGGGGGGCAGGGAGATATTACTGCATAAATTGAACATTGACTACCTTTTTAGTAGTGGAATGTCTTTTTTTATAAGCTAATATTTGAAGGGCAGGATTTTTGGGTGTTAAGCAGTTATGACTGGAGATTAAAGCACATTTATTTTAATTTTATGGTGGCATTCCACAGGGTCAGAATTTTTGCAAATGTAAGTTTCATTCTGAATTTTACTTCTATCTTCTGCTTTGAGGATAAATCATTACCTGTAGGTGGAAATATATACCTTAACACATTTGATAATGACTTTGGAGCAGGAAAAAACCACTTTTTTGAGTACAAACATAAAAAATTCTCATAATGTTTAGCTTTTCTAGACAGAAACATGTTTCTAGGAAACACAAGAGAGTTGTCTAATTATTTGTGAGTTCCGAACTGCTTGTCAACTTATGTTAAATTGAACTGGAGTCATCCTTTAATCTGATCAATAAATTGCCCTATTACATTTACTAAACATTGCTGGCTAGCTCATGATCACTGCTTTAGTCCTTTTACAGGGCAACTGATTATAAAGTTCCTTTAAGCAAGAGGACTTTTCTTACACTTTCTAATTTCATCCAGTAGTTGATGGGAACAGTGGTGGAAAGTCTGTGGAGACACCAGTGAAATTTGCCTGTTTTAGTTCTATATAAGAGAACTCCGAAAGGGAGACAAATGTTTTCCATATGGTTAGAAATTGCTGGAATAAGTCAATCAACCACTTGGGGAAAGGTGGCTTCTATTGTTCTGCTATAGTTTCCTCTAAAACTTAATGATCGAAGAGCAGTTTTTGGAGGGAAGGAGTGACGTAGATTTCTATCTTCAACAATTAAAAACCAGTAAGCTGAGACCACAGTCTAATCCAACTGTAACATTACCATCTCACCAATAAAGTCAGGGTTTGTTAAAGTTTCTAAGTTTGTAAATTTGTAAATTAACGTTTGTAAATTTGTAAATTAACCTATCAATACCTCAATATCCTTATTTGTAAAATTGAGATAATCCTAGTATCTATGTCATTGACTTATTTTGCAGTTCCATGAAATCATGTAAATAAAGCTGTCAGGGCAATGGATGACACATAATGGCAGAATAAGTATTAATAATTATTATTACTGTTAGTACCATTGTTACTGCTATTATTTCCCACTTTTATTATTATTACTATTACTGATATCTCACCAATTCACCTCTGGGTCCCCATAATGTTTGGCAGTAAAATTTATAAAATCAACAATGCTCACTCTTCATTATTGAAGAAAATCAAAAGGTAGCATTTCCCTTCTGGGAGAAAGCATCCTCAAACATTACTGAATGTTGAATCTCACTTAATGAGTAGAGGAAAACAGTCTAAGCCTTCTGGGCCTGCAGATTGGAGGCAACAAGTGCCATGGGAACCTCTCTGTGCCTGAACCAAGGTCCTGAGGCACAACAATGTTTCCCACTGGGCTGAGATAGCACTAAAGATGAGCTAAAGTTGATGCTAATCAATTTATAGATTTATTTGGCAGTACAGGTCCATGATCTCTTTCCCACAATTCTGAAATCTAAAGAACTCCAAAAATAAAGAGGGTTTTTGGGGATGGGGCAGTCACTTATTAGTAAAACTAACTTGATCAGCACTCATTTGGGGGCAAAATCTGAACTCATGTGAGTCTACTGTAGAGTCTTCATTAACCTTAGAATGAATATTATATGCAATGATTCAGAAGCATTTAATGACCTTGCATATGGAGTGTTGCCCTAGACCCCACTGGGGGTATATATAACATAAAGCGTATACATTTTTTTTTCCTAAAATGTGAAAAATTCTGAAGTTGGAAACACATGTGGCCCCAAGCTTTGTGGGTAGGAATTAAGAACTACACCTACTCACAGATTTACTTTGGTTTAGCAATGTGAGCAGACCCAGTGTCACCATCATTTCCTCCTCCAGCCTCCAACTCTGAATGCCTGCTCCTTGAGAGTCTGTCCCTGATAGAGGCAGAAGGCAGACAGATGCCTAGGCAGATAGGTAAGTGTCCCCGGCAAAACCCCACCTTCAAGCCTAAAACAGCCTGAAGGCTGAAAGACCAGATGAAACCTGTGACCCAGAGGAAGAACTGCCCCTGTTTGCCTGCTCTTTCCCAACTGATTCTTTCTGAATAGTCCCTTTTAACCAATTGAATGTTACCTTTTTCTATACAACCTATGGCTTGCCTGGGCATGCCTGCATGCACACTGGGAGAATAGGGTAGAGCCACCAGGAATTCATGCTTTATGCTGGGGAGGAGCCTAGCCTCTTCAGCTCGTATGTGAAAGTCCTAGCACTCCACCATGAGATTGGAGGCTGCTGGCCAGACCCCTCTCTTTGTTGAGAGCTCCCCTTTTACTTAATAAATTCCACCCTCCTCACCCTTCAATGTGTCTATGTGCCTAATTCTTCTTGGTCATGAGACAAGATACTGGATTTAACTGAGCTAAAGAGCAGAAAATCCTGCATCATCTTTCACCTCTACACAGAGCCCTGATGGGCTCCCAGAGAAAAGGAAGGCCATTGAACCAAGGTCAACAGCCATGACAGACTGTGATGGGTTTTTTTTTTTTTTTTTTTTTTTGCACTAGAGAAAGCCATCCCTTCCTGCTCTTTTGAAGCCAGGGATCAAAATTTAGAGACTGTTTGGGTGATTATAATTCAAACTGAAGGATAATCTCCCCAGTGAAATTAGACTATAAGCCCATGGACCTAGCATTTCTGATTCCAGCAGGCCATTGCATGTTGGAGATTTGGTTTCTTCTCTCTCTGTGGTTTTCAGTTTGGTGTTCAGTTTAGCTGCTCTAGCGTGCTGACTCTACCTTGTCCTACTTCAGTTATGCAGCTAGCTCTTGGGACAACTCTGGGGTGACTCTCTGACATTTCTTTCTGTTCATCTTGAAAATAAAATAGCTCTGAGATTTAGGTTGGAAGATCTGTATTTACTAATCAAACCAGAGATATAAGGCCATGGTAAAGAGATAGCAGTTTCCTAGGCCTAATTAAGGAATGGATGCTAACAATGACATGTTTTACAAAAGAAATATTACACTGGAAAGGCATTTGTTTAGTAATGAAATCCCAGAAATGATTTCAAAAGACAGAAATTGTTAAAGTACCATGGAGGAAGGGAACCCTGGTCATGGGAGGTGACTTGCCAGCCTCAGTGCTCTGGACTCTTTGAAACTGATGTCAGCAAACATTCCAACCATCTAACCAACTTCCCTTGCTTTATTCCTACGTTTTCCCTGCCTAGAGGAAAAAAATACACTGGTCAGAAGACGCAAGAGTCCAAGTTCCTCGGTTGTTCTAGTTCTTATTGCACGTTCTATTTTATATAACTATGTTTGTGAATTGAGGTAGTCAGAGTTTGCCCCAAGGCAGGGAGCTAGTCATGGTGTGTGTGCTAACAAGCCCTCATAACTGAGAGGCTGAGGCTGCCACCCAGAGAGGACTTCTTGCAGGCAGACATGGCTTCTCCTGAGGCACCCTGCCCTTGCTTCCAGAGGGTAGACAGGTGGTCAGGTGAAGCAGACAACAGGTGACTCCCCTTGTTGTGCATCTTCCCCTAGAGTTTTTCTTTCTGAAGCAAAAACATGTATTTTAGTACTCTTTATTTGTTTCTGAGGTTAGAGTACATCAGGTTGACAACAATAAGTCAAATAAAAAATATTTACTAAGTATCTACTATTTTATTCACATTGCACCAGGCCTTAGGGAAATGCAAAAGAAGCAAAGAAATGTTCCTGCCCTGGAGAGACAAAACTAACAAACTTTGCACAGGAAGAAAACATTTCTGCAGCAAAACCAGGGCAGATAAATGTGGCTGTTTTGATTGACAGTGGGGAGAATCTGGGTCTAACTTGGTTAAAGGAGAGAGAAAGAAAAGCATGAGCTAACATGTTAAGAGATTCTAAAAACTGTAAACAGAGAAGAGACTTCCAGGTCTACAGGGGACAGGCAGGCAACTGGAGATATGACAGCCTTTGTGTAGGTGGTGGGATGGTCTGTTGACCTGGAAAACTCATGTCCTACTTAAAGAGGCAGTTGCTTCAGGCCTAGTTCAGGGGTTGGGAAATGTTTCCTTGTAATGTGACAGATAGCAAATATTTATTCTTTTCAAGGCCCTCCTGTCTCTGTTGCAACTCAGCTCTGCAACTCTGTTACCCATGGAAGCAGCCATTGACCACATGATTACTGGATGGGTGTGACTGTGTTCCAGTAAAATTTTATTTGCAAAAACTAGAGGCCATGGTGTGGTCACCATAGTTTTCCAACCTCTGCTCTAGAGCTGATGGCTGTTGGATCTGAGTTTTCAAAGGGATTTAGAAGTCAAGATTGTGATGTGAAATATCTTGATTTTAACATGTTGAATCAAAACACATTTAATGTCATCTGATACAAGCAAAATCCTTTCTATGACCTCATTTGCAGCTAATTTGCATACTTTGGGTAAGATTTGATATGGATTTTAAAGATAAGTAGGATTTGATAACTGAACAGGAGAAAGGAGGGTTTCTGAGAAGGGGGAATAGCATGATATTCAAATTAGCTTAAGTTCATACTGACATTGTTTGATTAGCACAGCACCAATAGTTCAGCTTCTCTATCCATCTAAGCAGCCCTCACTAAAATCCTGGCCTTCTTGCAATAGTTCTCTTTAACTATGCTTTGTTATTTTTTGGATGAGGTTTTCTAAGAATCTATTGTATTAGGGAGCCCCAAATCTGCAATTTCCTTCTAATGAGGCCTGTTAATTTGATGATAGCATAATCAAATATAAACACCACCCTCCCTTGGTCTGTAGGGTGCTTCATAATGAGATGGATCCAGAGGGGCAGAGAGTTGCCAGACACATGAAAGAAGCCTGTGTCCCTAACTAAGGAAGGACTTATTAATGACTTTAGTCCCAAAGGAAGAGACACACAGAAAATCTTCAGAAAAGAGAAATGGCGATGGTGAAATCAAAGCAACCCAGATGGCCTATAAACAGGCTAATTATGTGGAAGACCCAGAAGCAGCTCTGAAGTTTCTTTCCCAGCTGCCTATGGAGTCTGCCAGGTAGCCAGATGCTGGCAGGGAAAATGCCTTCCACAGGTCATCAGCAAAGTGGTGCTCCACATTAAAGCAAAGGATAACCCCAGTACTTTCCTTTATGCAACAAAAGAAGATTTCAGATCTTTATGAGAAAAATTTTAGAGAACTTGTAAACCTCCATATTATTCAATGAATAAGAATTATGCTGATTGTTTTTGTTGATGGAAAAACACAATTTCAGAATACCACATATGTTTTTGTGCATGTACATATACATATTAGAATAAAGAAAGAAAATGATTCCGGGGTATCTTGTTAATACATTGTAGTTTAGAGATAAATGTCAAAATTTTGATGAATAATGTCATTTCATGTCAATATTTTCTTTATCATCTTAGAAGTACCAAACTCAAAGCTCGGCTCAGATGCTGAAATAAGATGCTGTGATTGAAAAGCTCTGCTCGTTCTTAAGCCTTCCTTATAGGCTTTGGGACACCTTCTGCCAGGCATCTGAGGGTAGGTAGTGTAGGTCTTTCTTGCTAATTGAGTATGGTGATTTCAGCAATATCTGCAGAGAAGCCAGGCACTCAGATTCAGAATGGAAAACAAGATAGAAGAGTAAAAAAGGGCAATGTGGTGGCTTTTTATTTAAAGCTAAAAAAATTAATTTATCTGTGACCAGGAGGATATCATAAAAGATAATGGGACTTGTGTTTCAAGAGACCTACCTCAGTTTCCTAGCTATTTTTTAGTTTTAATAACACTTAAGATTTTCTTCTTTTTAAATCGAGACATCTCCATCTTCCTCTGTGCTTTTATTCTTGGTGTCTATTAATTGTTGAGAATTGCATATGAGTGGAGACAATAGAGGCATTATGCAGGTGTCATTTTAATTATATATCATAGGAAGAGAGAATCATTGTTTGTAAGTAACTCTATGTTCAATATCGGGGCTCAGTTCGGAAACTTGAAGAAGACATTCCTAGCCAGCTCTTGCACTCTTTTGGGCTCACACATCGCTATGTTGCATTGCCATGTTGCATTGCCACTTTTTCATGTATCTACCAGTCTCCATCACAGTACTATGCATTCCCTGAAGGCAGAGGTGGCGTAGTATGGAGTTTAATTCTAAATTTTCTTATGAGGGAAAGATTGGTCTTTTCATCAAATGGGCTGGTACATCTGGAAATCTACATGCAAATGAATGAAGCTGGATTCCTACTCACCATCTAAAAAAAATTAACTCAAACGGATCAAAAACCCAAATGTAAAGGTAAAAATATAAATAGAAGAAAGCCTTGGTGTAAATTTTGTGAACTCTCATTAGCTAATAGTTATTTAGATAAATTATACCAAAAATAAAAGTAACACAATTTTAAAAAATAGATAAATTGGGCATCACCAAATTAAAAACTTTTGTGCTTCAAAGGACACTATCAAGAAAGTGAAAAGACAACCCACAGAATGTGAAACATTTTTGCAAATCATACAGTTGATAAGGGACTTGAGTCTAGAATGTACAAAGAACTCCTGCAACTCAATAATAAGACAATCCAATTAAAAATAAGCAGACAATATAAGTACACATTTGTCTTAAGAAGGGACAGAAAAAGTCAACGAACACATGAAAAGTTGTTCAGCATCATAAGCTGTCAGTAAAATGCAAACCAAAGCTACAATGAGATACCATCTCATGTCATTAGGATAGCTATGATCCAAAGTACAGATAATAATAAGTGTTGGCAAGGATGTGGATAAATTAGAACACTCATTCCCTGTTGGTGGAAATGTAAGTTGGTGTAGCTGCTTTAGAAGACAGTCTGGCACTTCCATAAAAGGTTAAAAAGAGTTACCACATGACCCAGCAATTTCACTTTTAGGTATATATTCAACAGAAATGAAAATATATGTCCATAACAAAATTTCTACATGAATGTTCACAGAAGCTTTATTCATAATAGCCAAAAAGTAAAAACCACCCAAATATCCACCAACTGATGAATGGGTAAATAAAATATGTCATATCCATCAAATGGAATATTATACGGCCATAGAAAAAATGAACTATTAATACATGCTAATATATGAATTAACCTTGAAAATAGCATGCTAAGCAAAAGAAGCCACTCACAAAGTACAGTGGTAATATCCACACTATATTGCATGATTCTATTTTTGAAATGTCCAGAATAGGCAAATCCATAGAGATCAGAGGCAGATTAGTGTTTCCCTAGGGTTGGGCAGAGAGGAATGTGGAGTGACTGCTAATTGACTGAGTTTCTTTTTTTTGGTGTCATAAAAATGGATTCTGGTGATGGTTGCATAAATGTAAATGCACTATAACCTATTGAATTGTACACTTTAGATGGCTGTTACATGAATTACAGCTCAATACAGCTGTTATAAAGGATAATTTATTATGTACCTAGGCTACTACATGCCAGGCTCTGCACCTGGCTCTGGGAATGCAAAGATGAATATGACAACTGCTTTTACTCTGATGCACTAATAGGCATATGCATAAGGAGTAGAGATATTACCAGGAGTGAATGATTAATTCTTGCAATTGGGGATATCCTCAGAGATATCAGAGAGGAGGTCCCAGCTGCTTGAGATAGTATTTGAAGAAAAAAAAAAAGTTTCCTCCAAGTGTGGCATGATTAAGAGCAATACAGAATGAGGAAGTAGCACATGCTAAGACGTGGAGGTATTTTACACATTTATTTTGATATAATTTATTTTTGAAAAACTCTATGCTACAAAAAGGAAAAAAAGAAGTTTAAAAAGCACTTTTTGGGCAATTGCTTTAGTATTGATGAAAGGTGGCAAGGACGCAAGTTGAGGTCACACATGTGGGATGGTGTGGAGAGTTGGGAATAAGCAAAGGGCACATTTATAGAGCCCCTGCCCTGTTCCTACAGGTCTTGCCTCTCTTTGTCTGCACACAACCCTATAAAATCTGCTTACTCTTCTTCATTTTATTGACAAGAGAAATGAGGCACAGAGAAGTAAGGTGACTTGCCCAAAGTCTCAAGTGGCCAATTGGCAGAGTTAGTATTCAACCTGGAAAATCTGTCTCCAGAACCTGAGCTCTAAGCCACTAATCTTATTTTGAAGGCGTTATTCCAATTGTGTATTCCCCATGAAACCTGGCCCAAGGCCTGACCCATTGCTGGACCTTTGAAAATGATTATTGTTTGAATAAATCCATGCTCTCCTATCTGTTTATTTCAAAGATTCCATGCTATGAAGCATGAAGCATAGGCATGAGCACAGGCAATCCCACTGCCTACAAGTAGAGAAGCTGGAAATGGAGGTCCTGGCCTTCTGCTTCAAGACAGCTGCCTTTTTCCCTCCTTCGTACTCTTTATAGTGCCTAACTAGCAGATCCAACCACCCAGTGACACCAATCTGAAGAGCCAATATTTATTAATATTTAATTTTATGAGTATAAAATTAAGCTAATACTTATCAAGCAAGTTCTACATGCAGGCACTGTGCTAAGCACTTTACGTGCATTTTCCCCTTTGGATCTCTTGATAATGCTAAGCAGCTGATCCTTGGGAAAGTGGCATATTGATCAACAGCATGGATTCGGGAGGCGAACTGCATGGGTTCAGATCTTAGCTCTGCCATTTACCAGCAGTGTGGTGTGTGAAATCTGTTTAATATATCAGTACCTCAGTTTCCTCATCTAATAATAGTACCTACTTCGTAAGATTGCTGTGATGGCTAAATAAATTATTGGCTGTTGAGTATTTGGAATAGTACCTGACATGGTGACTGCTAAGTGGTAGCTGTTATCAGTAATTTTCTTTCTACATCTGTTTACAATTGAGAAAAGTGAGGTTTACATTATTAAGTACCTTCCACACAAAGACACAGCTAAGAGCCAGAGCCAGGATTCAAACACAGGGAATTTGATTCCAGAATCTGCATTCTGAACCAACTCCAGAAAATTCAGTTCCCATGGTATATAACCTCTGTGAAGCATCCTTTGTCTTCCCAGACGAATTTAAGGATGGCTTTATCTATACTTGCATAATAGCAATAAAATAAAATGTTCAACATTTTGTTAGAAATGTAGGACACCGTATTGCTATATTTTCCATTTTCACAGTGGCTGGTATCTAGTAGGCTCTTAATAAATATATGTTGTTAGTCTAAACCCTATTGCTAAATATTTCTTCAATCCATTCCCTCCTCCCTAACCCTATTACTGCTACCTTATTAGTCCAGGCACTCAAAATTTCTTGCTTGAGCAGATGTAACAGCATCCTAATTAGACTTTGTGCTGCCTACCCTGCACCATACCCTGTGATATGAGATAATATTAGTGATCTTTTTTCTGTGCGACCAAAAGAATCTACAGTTTTCCAGCTGATAAAATTGATCCAAAAGCTAAATGTTTATACATACAGCCCAATAATTTCATGATAATTTGGGCAGCCTTGCCACCCGAAAGTCCTTAATAATTGCTATTTGTTGAGTGTAGAACTATCTCTGTTATTTAAAGCATGGTGAAGAAGAGTGTTGATTTGTAAACACCAATGTAAAAACAGTTGACCTGATAGTCATATGCAAAATATGGTTTGTTTGTTTTTTACTGTTGCTGTACCAAATAACTCATCTTAAAATTTTAACTATATGACAAGTTCCATGTAGGTCTGTTCATGATCATGAACATCCTCTTTAAGGAAGGTGTCTTGGTCCATTCAAGCTACTATAACAAAGTAGCATAGACTGGATGGCTTATAAACAACAAAAAGGTATTTCTCACAGTTCTGGAGGCTGAGAGGTCCAAGGTCAAGTTGTCTGTAGATTCTGTGTCTGGTGAGGGCCTATTTCCTGGTTCGTAGATAGCAACTTCTTGCTGTGTTCTCACACCCTGTAAGGGGTGAGTAAGCTCCCTAGGCCCTCTTTTATAAGGGCACTAATCCCATTCACGAGGGCTCTGCTCTTATAACCTAAGCATCCCTTAAAAGGCCCCACTTCCTAATACCATCACCTTGTTGGTTAGGATTTCACCATGCAAATTCCTGCTTGCCATGGTATTTAATATATTCACAGGTTTCAGGGATTAGGATATAGGTAACTTTGGGGGCAGTGGGGGGGGGGGAGCATTATTCTGTCTACTATGCAGAACAATAAAGATAATATGAACTTTCAGCTACAGGGGTTACATGTGGCCTGAAAATAAAGCCACATAAAGAAGAACAGAGAGATGAAGGGAAACAGTTCTGATGATGCCACTGTTTGAAATTCTGAATTCAGTAAAAACTTCAGTGAACTCTATTCCTGGGCTTTTAAGTTATGTGAGGCAATAAAATTCTTTTTTCTTTTCCTAAACCAGTTTGAGTTGGTTTTCTGTCACTTGAAATCAAACATCCTTACTGATATGGGGCAGGAAAGAAAAGGAAGAGGTAGGGGGGAAAGAGAAGAAAGAGTTCATTGCAAATTTAATGATCAATCCTAAGCAAATGTGAGAAGGCTGAAGCGGTTATACATGTAGAAGGCTGAGAAGATATGAACTTAGGAAGAGATAGAGTAAACTTTAGACATATTGAGTTTAGGGTTTGTTATATGAATATACATTGTATTTGAATAAAATATACATTTGTATTCAAATATATACATATAGGTTTGGGTTTTAGAGAAGTCAGGATGAAAGAAAGATTTGGGGATATCTAATATTTTTCCCTTTATCTTTAATATGCATGTTTTTATCTACGGTGTTCTTGGTTTTCTAGATCCTTGGATTCCTATACTTCCATGTTCAGCAGAGGAGAGCATAAAGACATCACATTCTTGTCTTTAAGAAACTTTCAAAGTTTTAAGGGTTAGCTCATGTTTATATTGTGATGGAAAGCAATGTTATTGGCCATAATTGTTGGCAAGACTTTGTAGTGTGATAAAAATGACTCATGCGCGTAGTCTCAAAAGAGAAAGAGAAAATGAGGTGTCACTGTTTCCCCCCACCCCAACCACATATGCTGGTTGAAGTCTCATTGAAACATCCTAGCCTATAAGAAAGAAGAGCAAGATGTGGTCTCCGAAATGTTGCAAAACTGAAATGGAGTGTAAAAATATTCATGATTTGTTTTCTACAGTCCTATCCCAAATCCCTAACCCCTTTCTACCTATTTTACTCAAAAGCGGCTCTTCTAAAATTGAGGAAATAAGCATCTTTGAGTTTCTTGCCTGAAGACATAAATCAAATTGAAAGGCTCTTATCTTCCACTCAGGTTCTTATGCTTCCAAGACAAAACATGCAGACTTAACCTTTTCATTCATCTTAAATTTTAACATACATGTATATATGCACACTCATGGATGTGTATATGCATATATATTAATATATTTGGTCCTTTATTATTGACCAAATACCTAGGTTTCATAGAGATGGATATCATAGAAGCCAGGAAAGATGAATAAGCCAACACTATTAATAGGCAGGTAGATCTCATTTTCAGTAGAAACACATAAAGGAAAATTACTGGTGAGAGAGGAGGTCTTGATCCATATGTTGATTAATGCAAATCTTTGAAAACTGCCAAAAGCGTATAAACTTGAATGCATCAATGGTAGTGGAATAAGGAAGGCAGGGCCATAGAAAGACAGAAACAGACAGAAGGCTCTTGGTGCTTGCAGAATACAGCATACAAAAAAGCACGATATAAATTCTGTAAACAAGTAACTGCACAGATTCATAAATCAATATGACTCACTACTATAGACTATTTGCCAGTGACAAAATAACTTGGATTCTTTTATAATGTAGAAGTTTATAGTGCATACCAGAAGAATAGTAAATGAAAGACAGTATCAAAGTTTATAAATGCTCTAGATCAGCTAACGAAAGGTTAACACACTCAACAAGACAGTCAGCCATGCTTGTTTCCAATGCAAATAGCACTATCCAATTTAAAGGTGTCATCTGTAATTTTAAAAATTTAAGCAGAAAATCCATATTAATTAATAAAAGATGTGCCATATTAATTAATGCTACCATATTAATTAACAAAGGGGAGCACTATAGACTACAGGAACTTCCCAGAACCATTAAGGGTCTGGGTCCAAATTTTCACCCGGCAGGCAGTTTGCTGAATTTTGCACATATGTGAGTAAGTGGAAAATGTTACAGCTCTGGGTAGATACTAGTGTGTTTAATGGCTTTCCTGTTAATTGGATTAACTTCATGGGATAGAAGCAGACCAAATCCTGCCAGGTAACAAACTCATTCCTAAGGGCAGTACCTTTCAGACAATATTATTACATGATTTTGCCAGCCCATTTGCTGGTAACCTAAGACCATGCAAAAGTGAAAAATGCATCTCCAAATATCCATATTACAGCAAACTATCTAATGCTCAGAAAGATTATCTGACAAAGGGCATTGCCTGAATATCAAGTCAATTTAACTTCATTTCCAAATACAGTTCCAATTAAACATGTCAGTTTATGTAAGTCATTTATTTGCTTTGTCTTTTAATTTCCTTTTTAAAAAACATAGAAATAACCAGCTTATAGAATTAGGGAGGTAAAATGAGATCATTTAATATTTATATATTTTCATATTTATATACTAATATATAAATATATAAACATGTTCATTTTAATCACATTCACCTTTTCAATTATATATATTTTATTACTAAGATCTTTTATTTTTGACAGAATTGGTTAACTTACTCTTTTTTTTTTTGTGACAGAGTCTCACACTGTTGCCCTAGCTGGAGTGCAGTGGCGCAATCTCAGCTCACTGCAACCTCTGTCTCCCAGGTTGAAGCAATTCTCCTGCCTCAGCCTCCCAGGTAGCTGGGATTACAGGCATGTGCCACCACGCCCAGCTAATTTTTGTATTTTTAGTAGAGACAGGGTTTCACTATGTTGGCCAGGCTGGTCTAGAACACCTGACCTCGTGATTCACCCACCTCGGCCTCCCAAAGTACTGGGATTACAGGCGTGAGCCACCGTGCCCAGTTGATTAACTTACTCTTAAAAAAAAATCTTGATCTTTCCATTGCATGGAGTACTTTTTTTTTTCCAGATTGCCATGACAAATGTTAGCCTAGGAAGTCATACTATCAGTTACTACTATGACCATCTGACTTTGAGTCTAGCAAATGTAGATTTTAGTTAGTGGCCGTATATCTTTTAAAACTGTATTTGAAATTTCTACGCTCATGAACAACAGTAATTATATCTAACTTATTAAGTGTATGACTATTATCTTCTCCATTTTATAGATGAGGAAATTGAGGCTGAGCAGTCTAGTTAATGTATCCAAGTTCAGCAAGTGGCAGATATAGATTCTACTATCCTGTGTGTGTAAGGTGAATAACTATTTTCATATTAGTAGGAAGTTTTAAGAGACTCCAGTGAAGATGGGGATCATGCACTATGGACTGTATAGTGAGTGATTGAAGGAGCAGGTTTAAATATAAACTCTGCCCTTGGCAACGTATGGTCTTGGGAAAATCACAGAAACTCCTAAGCCTTGTTTTTTCATCTGTGAAATGGAGCTGATAACCTCTACCTGACTACATTTCTGTGCAGTTAAATGAGATGTTTCATTACATTTCAATTTTGGCATTTTTTTGGTCAATGAAGTTTTAAAACAAAGCTAGATTTTTTTTTTCAGCATTAAAAACATAAGATTTATATAAAAATTCTCAAGTATCTACAAGTAATTTATTTCTTGACATTATACAAAGTCAGCATAAAATTTTAAGCCATTTCAATGTATTGACAAAGCTCTACCATAAGTATTTTATAAGATAAAGTTGTGATGCTGTCATAGGATAATGTAACATCTTAGTTACTGTTTTCTTATTATTGAAATTATCCATATGTTATAAAGTATAATTTGATTAGATGAGTTCTGATACAAACATTTTTTAACTGAATACATATTAAACATTGTATTTAACTCACTATTAATGAGGGAATGGTTAAGATTTACAAGTAGTCCCGGTATGAACATTTTAATCTTAAAAATACATGAGACAAAATATGAAATATATTCAAAACATTTGTTTTTTAGTGTTTCACTATAGGATGTTTTTAAATGAGAAAAACAGTAATTGAATACTTATTCATTGAAGAGTCACTATTTCATTTTATCCTCACAATAACCTTAACCTTAGGTGGTACAAACTATTTTAATACCAACTTTACAGATTGGGAAGTTGAGGTTTGGATGTCTGAGGTGACAAGCAATTAAGAGGCAGCAGGGTGTCAAACTTCAAATACATACTAATCCTCAAACTTTGGGGGTAAGGAAGGTCACATATAGTTGGAATAGTAGTGGGAGGCCTTCCTAGGAGGGTCTTGAATTCCATTTTAATTTGTTAAAACGTGGAGAAATCTTGAGGGTTTTATAACAATGGAGAAATATGATAGGATATGCAGGTTGGCAAGCAATCTAGGAGAGTGCTTGCATGAGTGGGAGTGAGATATTCCTACAAGAGCTGGATAATACATAATGGAAGAATGAATCATGGCAGTGTGTACGATGGAAAACTGGAGAAAGCCTTAGGAGATGTTTTAGAGGTAAAATTGTTAGACATGGTAACTGACTGGATGGAACAGTATGGAACAGAAAAAGTAGGGAAATAACTATTTTGATATTGGAATTAAGTTAAAAATATTTAAATACAGCAAGTGCTCAGGTACTCAGAAGTCCAACTTACAGGTATAGATGTTGGCATTAACTGTACAGAAAAGGTGATAACACCAGTCAGAGTGGGAGAGGGGGAAGACATCCCAAGGAGCATCTTGCAGATTGCTTCTGGTTCATGGTTCCTATAGATTTTAGCTATTGTCTTTTACTATCCTACCTCAGCTTACCTTTGCAGTCATTTAAGTAACTCAGGCTCTCCAATCTCTTGACGTTTGCAATTGCTGTTTCACCTCTGGAACACACTCTCTATTCTTCATGCCATTGGTTTCTTCCCACCCATCAGGACTTACCTGCCCACACTAGAAGGAATAAGTACCTTCCTCAACTCCATCTCAGGCCTTGTTGTTACTGCCAGAGCACTTATCATAGTTTGCACTTAATTTATTTGCTTGATTTTTGTATCATCCACTAAGGGGCCCACCCAGTAAGGCAGGAGCCATGTTTGTCTTGTTCATAGTTGAATCCCTATCAGCTAGGAAGTTCTTGGCATAAAGAAGTTACTTAATATTTTTGAATGAGTGAACAAAGTGCGGATTCTGATTCCTTGAGGGATTCTAGTGTGATCCAAACCTGTCTCTCTGTCTCCACCTTACTTCCAACCACGTTCCTTTTGTCCTAGCTAATTCAAGCTTTTGTGGTTTTCCAAACATTCCAGACTTCTCAAACTTCTGTGCTCTCTCTTGTTTTCACTGCTTGAGGTGTCCTTCTCTTGTTACCTATTTAGGAAATTCCTTTATGAGCTCATATTCAGAAAGATTAAATAATCTGTCCAAGATGATACAGATAATGAGTGGCAGCTGTCATATTCAATCCAGTTCTGTTTATTTCAAAGCCCAAATTTTAATCACTGTGCAATACTGATAATCACGTTAAAAATATTATATTTTATGAAAAATCAATGTATCCCAAATTAAAGAGATATGTTTTAATCAAGTTGTTGAATACATGAGAAAACTTCTAAATAAAAGAGCCAAAGTTTAAAAAAAAAACAAACTTGGCTTAATTGTCACCTTGTTAAGACAGTATACCTTTGATGTCCCTGCTCTCAAGATTGCTTTCCTAGCATTTACCATATGTTACCTACTATTTCCCCTGTACATTGTAAGCACCTTGAAGTTAGGGAGTGCCGTGGTCTGAATGTCTATGTTTCCTCAAAATTCATATGTTGAAATTTCCATATCCAAGGCGATGGTATTAAGAGGTACAGCTTTTGAGAGGTGATTAAATCAGGAAGGTGGAACCCTCCTTAATGACATTAGTGCCCTCATAAATAGGCCCAAGGGAGCCTGTTCATCCCTCTACCATGTGAGGACACAGCCATAAGGTGCAATCTCTGTACCATAAAACAGTCCCTCGCCAGACCTCGAATCTACTGGCACCTTGATCTTGGAATTCCCAGCCTCTGGAACTGTGAGAAATGTTTTTTTTTGTTGTTGTTGTTTGTTTTTTGCTGTTTATAAGCTACATAATTTATGGTAATTTGTTATAGCAGCCCTAACAGATTAAGACAAGGAGCATTCATCATTCGAGTTCATACCCTCAGCCCTTAGTCCAGTGCTTGGTTCACTGTATAATAGCTGCTTCATAAATATTTGTTGAATAAATAAATGGTTGGTTGAACAAAAGGATGAAGGCATGTAGCATATTAGACATAACCAAGGGCACCTACAAACATATCTAAACAGTTATATGACCTGGAACAAGTTAGTTAGACTCTTTAAGCACCTATGTCTTCATTTTTAAATGGAAAAAAATATAGCACTTACCTGTGATCTTTATAACATTCCAATGTAATAACACATGTTGTATTAGTCATGATTGTCCAGAGAAACATAACTGATACACTTTATTTAGTTAAAAAAATTCATTTGTTATTTTAAGGAATGAACACACATAATTGTGGAAGCTTGATGAGTCCCAACTTTGACAGGGGAAGCCTGCAAGCTGGCCTCTCAGAAAAGAGCTATAGTTCAAGTCCAAAGGCAGTCTGATATACAACCAGAAAGAGCCAATGATGTAGATGAAGGCTGAAGGTAGTCTGCTGGAGAATTCCTTCCTGCTCGAGGGAGGTCAGCCTTTGTTCTAGCCAGGCCTTCCACTGGTTGGATGAGGCCCACCCACATTATGAAGGGCAATTTGCTTTCCTCAGAGTCCACTAATTTTAATGTAAATCTAACCCCAAAACACACACCTTCACAGAAACATGGAGAGTAATGCTTGACTAAGTGTCTGGGTACTGCAGCCCAGCTAAGCTGACACATAAAATTAACTATCATATATGTAGAACATTTAGTACAGCTTCTCAGACATTCGTTAGGAAGTGCTCACTAACCACACTCTCTGGTCCGGTCTTATGTCCCCAATCATGTCTGGAGGTAAGGTGCCATGAGAATGTGTGTGTTAGGGTCAATGGCTCCTGGTGTGTTGCTGGATGGGAATAATGTGGTTTTCATTCTTCCTTATTCTGAGTCTCTCTGTAAATAACATATGTAAAATTGAGTTATGTTTTCTACACACAACATGGATAAGAAAGACTTCTTGGTATGAAATAGAAAGTGAATACAACAGAAAGAAATGTGTGTAAGGAAGAAACTAGTATAAAATCATGGATTGCCATGGCCTAACCCTGGTCACTTGTAGTTCTCCACAGTAGTTACAGAAACAGTTAAAGTATTTTGCCCTCTCTTTCTCAGAAAAAAATGCAAAGGTCATGATTATTTCTTTAATCTCGATCAAGGAAATTTCTGCCTGGCATTTGGCATTCAGTATCTTGAAGAGGACTCAGGTGTGTACATACATGGGATATCTTTTATAATATTCCCAGAAGGCTACTAAACTCCCAGAACTCCCAGAGTGAAAAACTCTCATCAGATTCAGGTAGGGGGTAAGACATTATGATGGCATCCACGTAGCCCTGGTAAATCTCTTTTCTAGATTACTGGAACTGTTTTCTAAGTGTTACCAACTCCAAAAGTTAAAATCCCTCACCACGACAAGAGTGCAAAGAGAGTCAATTTATATGAGTCAATAATATCACATAACTATCTAAGCAGTAATATTAAGTGAGGTGTGTACTTCCTACAGTGAGACTGGCACTTTCAGACAGGCAGGCAGGCTGCCACTTTCCATTTGTCCCTGCCCATGGGCCATTGCAAGAATCCTGGCCTGTTCCCAGTAAAAGATGCCTTTTGGCAGAATAGAATCTAATTCAGTAGGTAAAGATGGGTAAGAAGGACAGGAAGTGAAACATTTGAGTGACTGCACTATTATCACCCTTATTTTACTTAAACTAACATGAGTTTTATATCTGGATGGAATGCTCTATAGGACTAACCAAAAACTGCTCTATCTCAAAATCTAAATTGTTTATATGAAATTATATTTGCAAATGAGGCAGCAAAAGACCATATTTAAAATGCTTTATGATATTTTATTTGATATTATTCAGTAATACAGGTTTTGTGGCAAATATGCATTTCTAAAAGTGCATAATGAAACATTTTATTTTTCTAGCTCTTGAATTTGTCATAGAAATAAGCCATAGATTGTTACTTTCTGATTTACTACTTATAGATTCATATTGAAGATGCCATGAAGAGGAGATAAATGAGTTTATATGACACTATTTACTGATTATGAAAATAGAGAAATACAAAAATATTATCTAATAATAACAAAAAATATATTTCTTTTAAACATAAACACTAAAACAGAGAGTAGTCAAACTGATTTGGCACACTTAATATATATTATCAACATTATATTTTTCATTCTTGAATAATGAAGCATTGCATACTTTGAGCTTTGTTCAAACATTAGTTGCTATAATCATGAAGGTGACTATTAAAACCAGTCAGAGCCCGTATGTGCACAGCAAAAGAGTGGTAACCAGGATCTATCCTATCATCTCATTTTGTTAGGAACATAGTTTAAAGAGAAATGCCATTAAAAGAGGATGAGTTTGTACACCCATCTCACGCATGAGTAGTGAATGGTATTTAGTTAGTAAATATTCTCCCTATCCTCTATCCAACACCAAAAATAAGCAATTTCAGCGAAGGGGATTTTACTTAATAAAGTTCTACAAACTCAATTTTAGGCTTTCTTATCCTGCCATAGCAAATAATTTTTTGACTTTCTTCATTTGTACTTTATGGAGCTAACTACATTTTCTTAGAAACAGCATTAAAATTAAAGGTAATTTTTAATGATAAAATGTTTCCTTGGATACATTTTCTTGTATGTTAAAGAGTACTTTGTTTCAAAATGCTTAATTTCACTTACAATTAGAAATCAAATATGGAGCACAGCATAGGGCAATTTGGAAACTGTCACACTAATTGCCACAAAAAAGTTAATTTTTCACATAAGACAACTGGCAGTGAACATCCAATTAACTGCCACACAGTTATTTAACTACTATCCTCAGAAAAGAATTATTCTATTTTATGACCACTAATTGAATGGTCATTGACATGAGACATTTTTTACACTTACAAATGTATTTTGAAATTACATATTTTTATTTAGAAAATGTATATTTGTTTTAATTTGGAAAGAGCTGAACACAAGGATCATGATTTTAAAAGATCAGCATATGTAGGTGACATGAAAGTTCACAGCAACTGTTTCACAAATCACCTTAACACACCGGATTCACAGATAAGGGTACGCCTCTCTTTGGTTCATAAGGTGTTGTCCTGGAAACCATTTTGATGCAGTCGACAATAGGGCAAACACTGAGACACAGAGTACAGCCTGTACAAGTGTCGGTTATGGTGGGCAGGTGGGTTTCTGGATCAAACTGTATAGCCTGCAAACAGAAATAGAGGGTATTGATGTCACTGACCACAAAGGTCAACAATGTCCCCATTTTAGCGTTAACATTTTTCTCTGCTGCAGAGGAGCCACACTATGAGACAACTACGTCCAGCTCTATGGTGCAACTATAGCAACAGTTGAGCTGACAGAGGAGGAAAAAAAGAGCGAGAAAAGAAATCCTTTTAAATTAAAAACACAATGTTTAAAATTCCTTAGGGGTATTTTTCTTCATTGTGTGAGGAAAATATGTCATAACATAGTCACTCTCTAGTTTTCTTTGTTCTGAGCAGAGTTCGGGTCTTTCCAGTTCTACCAGGATGGGGCGTCTTCTACCTGTGGATTTTGGGGGACTTTCACACGTCCTCCTTTTCCTCTTCACACTCTTTGTTCTTGACAGTGGAAAAGTGTTACTGTCAGATTCTGAGGCAATGAATACATTTGTTTGGATTTCAAATAATGCATGTAGTTTTTAGAAGAAAGCAGAAGAAAAAAATTAGCTTAACAGTCAGCTTTGAGTTTTGAAGATTTCCAAGCTGACTCTAGTCATTGTCCACCACGAAGGGGAAAAACACTGAATGGAGAGCCAGGAAAACTGATGTCCAGTCCTGGCCCTGACACTATTGAGCCCAGATTACCACAGCCAGGCCTCCAGCTCTGAAACGGCTTAGGATTTTGAGAAATTTTACAATTTTCCTTCCCCCGTCTTCCTCTATTCCCTCCCTCCCTTCCTCCCTCCCTTCCTCTCTTTTTCTTTCCATGAAGCAATGTAGAATAAGCAATTAAGAATACCTAGTATGAAATTCAGGACCGAGTTTTTTTTAAAAAAAGATATGATGATTATTTTCCCATTAAAGAGAAACATTTCAATGATGAAAAATGACATGTAAGACCTCAGCGGAAGTTACAGGATTTCTATCTAGGAGGGATTTCAGGGCAGCTACGTAGGGGTGGATCATGGTGTCAGAGGGGATTTAGGAAACTTGCCTGGCAGTCTCACTTGCAAAAAAAATACAAGAGTTTTACTCAGACTGTGTACTACTTTGAAGTGACTAAGTCGGGGCTGAGGAAATTACAAGGGACAATAAGTGTCTCTCCACCCCCATGGTACCCCTTGAGGCCAGGTCTACAAATCTTACATTTTCAAGGAATTGCATTATTTTGATTTTTTTCCTGTCTCATACCAATGTTATAATTCAATTATATATGTGTGTATATATATATATAGTTGTTTAAAAAATTCCCCCCTCCAAATGAAGCTGCATGCAACTATATTTTTTCTCTTTTATGCACATATAAATGAAAATAATATTTTCAGAGTAAATCATGATAGTTGCTTAATATTTTTAAAAAGTCTGATCTGTAAGGAAATAAACATATATTTGAACAAGAACTATAGCTATAGCAAGTCATGAGAATATCTGTCCACACAAATTGGTGCTATGTTTTGTAAAACAACATTTTAAGGTGCTGTTTGGATGAGTAAAAACGATTTATCTTCCTTAGGTACCCTTTTATATAAATGGAAACTCAATGAAGTAACTGATAAAAATTAAGACTAATGCTTAGAAATATACTTTGAAAATCTGCAAAGATATAAAACTTTATGTTCAATTAAAAATTTTGGCTTTCTATTTTTATCTTCTGAGACAGAAGAATCAAAGAACTTTCTAAGTCTTTTAAAATGCATACTTGTGATTTTCTTTCTCATTACTAAGAAGATTTTTCTAAAGTTGTTCCAAGTCTAGAATTCCACGGTGGGAGCCATAAGTTCTAAGATTTAAGATATTAGAGAGCTGATGCTCTGATAGTTATAGGACTTCCTGATTGATCTCTGATTGGTTAATTTGAAAGACGACATGAAAGTAAATGTGATATGGCTAGCACTTTATAAAAATAACGGTTAAGACAGCTTTTAGCTAGAAAAAAGGTGATGAATTGAGTAAAAATTTGGTGTAGAACTGTGGAACTAGGAAGAAAAATTAATAGTTTTTTTTTAAATTAAAATATGTCTGTCATAAGAATATGCAAAATCCCACCATGAGCAGTATGGAATCTGCCCCTAGGTTGAATAAGGTACACAAACTTCTCTTTTTAAACATGGGGACATTTTATTATGAATTTAGAACATTCCATTGATCATTTCTTAAAAAGATCTTTTTTTACTTATAGCTTGAAAAATATAATAAAAACAATATTGTATAGTTTTTAGCAATTTTTAATAGTTTAGTAGTTTTCCAAAACTTTAAAATTTGCTTTCTCCAAACTCTACTTCTTAAGAAATTCTTTAACTTTCACAATAAATCAGGCTTTTGAGAAGAAACTTATGTTTAAAAGTATTGTTATGATCATTTTTTCATTCATTTCTAAAATTCAACCAGTTAAAAGTCATAGTTGTGCCAAACTCTTTAAAAAATAGCAGGTTATAAATATATAGGAAGTAAATGAAGAAGCAAATTATAAGCCAAAGAGAAATTCACAGAATGTGTTTTCAAGAGAATAGCCCACTAGAAGGAGTCAAATCCCCAATTTTTCTTTCTTTTTCTTTTTCTTTTCTTTTCTTTTCTTTTTTTTTTTTTTTTTCCTGCATGGTAGATGCTCTGCTGAGGACTGAGGAGCTGGAAAGTAGCTATGGCTCACTTCATGAGGGAAGAATACATCTCTTAGGCTTTTCCAGCTTCAGAGGAATTCCTGGGACCAACCTATACAACTCGTTGGTGGGAAAGTGCTTCTTTCTGACTGTAGTAAAAGCCTAATCAATACTGAATGGAAGAGAACTCTCTTTTGGCAGAAGGAATCATAGCCTTTCAGAGTAATGGCCATAAATGGTAGTTCTGTTCCCTTTCCTCTGTATTAAAGCATAATGCTTTCCTAGTATTCCTAATTTTGTGTGCATTTCTCTTTTCAGTTGGATTTTTCTCTCTAATGTTGTGGCTGATGAAATGGTATAAAAATAATTCTGTGCATTAAATGCTGGCATAGTTAGTAAAAGTTACAAGTTTCCTTTTAAAAAAAGACCATATTATAAGGGTGACAGGACAGAAAGATGTACTGTTGCAGAAGAGCAATATTTGGCACCACTGGTTTAAATTTCACACATAGCAACAGAAAATGCTTTCTGCCGTAAAAACAAGAAGAAACATGTCTCATAGCATTCTAATTCCAGCAGGATTCTTACCTGGTAGCCAGAATCATTACAGGTCATGTAGCATTTACCACAGTTGATACACATTTCTTCATCAATCATAGCCACAACTTGCTCTACGTTGCTCAATTCACCAAATGTTCCAAGGTACTGCAGTGCTTTTCCTATTACATCCTAAAAATAGCCACTGAATTACTTAGCAAGCTCATTTTAAAACATTTTCATGTAATAATTAATATCACTCAGCATTTTCCTGTTTTTATACAATGTTGCATTATATTAACTTGGGAGACTGGATAGTATAATTCTCATAGATAAGCTTTTTATGATAATTATAGCTTAGATGTTTGTCTTCTGAAAGATGGGCAATATGCATGCCTGGCTTAGAAATACGAGACCTAATTAACTGCATTCAATAGGTTTTTGACTGGATAATTTAAAACAGCATTTCTGTGGACAGAAAGAATAAATGACACCCGTGTGAGTTGTTATGGCTAACTTTTTCTCATTTTTGGACCTTGAAGGACCAAAAGTAATACAAAGTGACAAAGGGTAATACACTATGCTAGAAAAGTTTAGATTGCTCATAATGAAGGGAATACGAGTGTGAATGTTATGCATTTATTTCACTGCATGAGGATTTTAGATTTTAATTTAAAAAGTGCTGTGATAGAATACTCACCTGTCATGTCTTGAAGAGTATGCAACATTATTTAAAAATTCTAATTTATGTTAATCGCTTAGGTTGATCCAATAATTAAGTCAGATGCTCTTTTACTTTAAAGAACTAGAATTTTCTTCATTCACCATTGAAGATCTTTCATGTGATTACACATTGCTTTGTTCTTCATACTAATTGGGAGTGTGCCTAATATGTGAAGCACAGACTATGTTTCATCAACAATAAGAAACATTTTGCTTCATAAAACAAAACAAAAGAATGTAGCAATGTCAAATTAGCATGCTGTCAAGATTTTTGCTTTTGTTTTTAACTATTAACATGAGAATCTTGTTTGAATTCAAGGTCCATGTTCAAGGAGGTTTGACTCTTAGTTAAAATCATCTTTCCATATTCTCTTTGGTATTGCATTTTCTGCTATTTTTATAATCTTGCTTACTCTTCTTTACTTTTTTTTCTATTTGATCTCTAAATTATAATATACTCATTATCATGGAATTTCAAACTGAGACAAAGTTTACATTTTTATACAGTTCCTTTGTGTATCTTTCAAGTGATAAGATGCTAGAAAACTTCCAATATTGTCTTCCCTATTTTCTTTATAATGCATTGAAGTTATAATTTCAACTACACTGCAGTCTGTTTGTAGGTGGGCACTTGACATCCAAATCAATATTTCCATTTTGAAATGCTCCCATAAACTCAAGATCTACATTTATCAGCTGCATAATGAGCACTGTCATTAGAGATTGGTACTTCAGATTCTCTACTCACTGAACTTATCATCAACAACACGAACTGGGTCTTCCTTTGTATTTCTTTAGTTTTGTGAATAGCATTACGATTTTTCCAATCACGGAGTCTTGGAATTTCATAGTTATATGTCACTACATAACTTGCTCCAATATCTCCTATCTGTTGCCAAGTCTGGGTTCCAGATGTGCAATATCTTTTGAATCCTTTCCATGTTTACTGCCATCTTTAAACATTATTAATGAATTTCTCATTAATTTTAATGCAATTGTAAGAGACTACTTGATAAGTTTCATCCTCACATTCTTCCTTTCCCACTCTACCCTGGGCAATGCTGCCACCTTAATCTAGGATGTAAGACACAGACTAAATTTCTCACTACCTTATTCAAAAATCTGTTGAATTAGGCACAGGCTTACCACGCTGGCATTTAAGGCTTTCTGCAAACATGTCTTTTTCTATCTTATTTCTCAGTTTCAAACACCATGCACTTCAGCTACACTGGAGGACACACTTTTCAACTGACCCATCTGAGATCTAACATTAGGTTAAATCCTCTGTCTAAGATACCTTTCATTCCTAACTCCACTTTGCAAAATCCCAAGCATCCTTCAAAGACATCTCGAATGCCACTACTTCATGAAGATTTCCTTAATCCTTCCTTCTTCTTTCCTAACCAAATGTGAGGACGTGATCTCTCTTTCTTCCTCTTTCTCACCTTTTCCCCTTTTCCTCCCTTCCTTGCCCTCTCTCCTCCATATCCTCTTTCTTAAAAATTTTTTTTGATGGCCAATATCTATTATATGGAACTAATGACAACAGATACCTTTTGAGTTCTTAATATATTTCAGGCCAGTGCCATATGTTTTACACATTTTCTCACTTAAACCTCATGCATTTAATAGTTGATGATGTGACTGAGATTTAAAGTACCCAATTAAGTAAATGATGAAGCAGGGATTGAGAACCAGTGTTGCCTGACTTTAAATACCACGATCATCAGCACTCTGCTATGCTGACTCATTTGTTATTCTGTATTTAGCAAATTCTAATTCATGTTATGGATATTTTCTACATTTAGCTTCCCATGTTGTGGTCTCTTAGTAAGCTTTAATTCATCTGTGTATCTCATGTGGTGTATCCTGTTTCTGGAGATCATTGAAACACAATGGGTACGCAAATATTTGTTAACATAAATATAAATTTTATATATCTATACACTAAACCTATAATATGGTAGTAGGCACATAGTGGGATGAAGTAATAGCTATTTTACTGAACATTTTTATTGATATGAGTATTTTAAATACAAAATAATCATAGTCAAAGTATCTGAATATGTGTAATATTTCCCAGTACTATTTTAAAATAATAAATTCAAGAGGTCACTATCTGGCTGTAAAAGCCCATTTATATGTGATAGAAAATAATTTTTTAAATCTAGTAAATAAATCAACCCAAAGAGTTGTTTCACTGAATCAGATAATGGTGACTAAAATCATCAATAAATATTCAAATGATGATTATACAGGAAACTCTCTAGGCAGTCAACAAGTGTATAAGCCTTCTTCAAAAGAAACGTTGTATATGCCTTAGAAATTTTACGTGGAGCAAGTCCACATTCTGTGTACATTAAATATGCCTTTTCCTCTAAATTGGAGATTTGCTTTTGTCATTTATTAAAACATCATTGTTTAATGTGAAGCCAATGTGGAGCCTCTAGAAGTTATTAGCACATGGTGTTAACAATTCATCCCTTATTAAGTACAATTTTTTAAGAAAATTATATTTTTTTCTTTATCTGGAAGAGGATAAAAGAATGACAACTATTTTAAATCATTTTGGGAAAGAGTAGCAAAAAAAATTATTCCATGTGGCTAAGAATGTGGACATTTGTTTTAATCCCAAAGCCTCCAGGTAGTACTACCAGCTTATGAATACCCTTGAGTAGATGTCCTGGAATCTGGAGTTGGCTGAAAGATGCATAAAATCAGTAAGTCACATATGGCTAGTCTCCAGCCCCTCTTGTACACACATCTGTGGAGATCAGGGAACCCATATTCATTATTCCAATTCATTATTACACCCATTTGGATGTATGAAGGTTCAGCAGTATGGTGTAGCCATCCCTGATTAGTGGAAATGGTTATATGTAGATATGTATGTGGAGAAAGCAATGTTAAATCTTTTAAATTATAGATGATAACACTTAATTTTAATGTAGGTGTTCAAGGAATGGATGTTGCAAAGTACTACAGAATTCCAAGATCCCATTATTATCAATTTATTACTTGTTTGAGATAATTAAAAGTTGTCGTTGTTTTGTTTTGTTTTGTTTTGTTTGAGACAGAGTCTCGCTCTGTTGCCCAGGCTGGAGTGCAGTGGCGTGATCTCGGCTCACTGCAAGCTCTGCCTCCTGGGTTCAAGCGATTCTCCTCCCTCAGCCTCCCAAGTAGCTGGGGCTACAGGCGCCCGCCACCACGCCCGGCTAATTTTTGTATTTTTAGTAGAGCCGGGTTTCACCATATTGGCCCGGCTGGTCTCAAACTCTTGACCTTGTGTCCACCCGCCTTGGCCTCCCAAAGTGCTGGGATTACAGGCGTGAGCCACGGCGCCTGGCCAAGTTTTTTTTTTTTTTTTTAATAGACCAGTCAATGTTTCTGTTTGATATAAAGTTTAAGGCCAAAGAGTGAGGAACTAGACAGCCCTGATTCCGTCCCTGATGTTTCATTCTGAATTTATTACGACTAATATTAATTTATTAGTTTTGGTCTATTTTTAATAGCTGATGGAAGTATTTTCAAACTGTGATTATCTAGCATGTTAGCTGTTCTTTCTAGCTTCAAGTCTTCATATTTGATTAGCATGTATCATATCAGTTTCTACTGCATGCCTATGGCTCTCGCCCTATCTTAAAGTAAAACAAAAGTCATAAGATGAACCATTGTAAGTCACACTGTCGTAAAGTAGAAAGAAAAATCATAAGATGAACCATTGTTAAGTTCTTAATATGAACCATTGTAAAATAAAAAAAAAATCATAAGATAAACCATTGTAGGTCAGGACTGTCTGCACTTTGTACAACTTCTGCAAATAAGTATCCTTCAAAAACCAGGACCCAGAACAGCATGCTGTGGGCAGTCACTATGACTTCTAACCCAAAAACATTCAATATTTAAATTATTTGGATGTAGCTATTTAATCATTTAACTATTTCCTTATCTGTACCATTACCAATGTCATATCTTTTTATGGTATATTCACTTCTTGCCTAATGCATCTTTCAAAACAGAAAATGAGATAATTCAGTTTGCTCTTACTGAATTTATGCTGATTTTTAACTTCTTCCTTTACTAATGCTCCCAAGTCAAAAGCTGAATGACGTTTGTAGGATTCCTTTGGGGTTAGATCTCAATCTTTCTGATTTGTTTCCATCTTTTCCCTACTTCCCCTACAACATCCACCTTTTTCTTTGGGAAAGAACCTGGAGCAACATTTATTTTTCATCAGTGTGGTATAGTGATCTCTTACAAAAGCACTTAAAAATATAGCAGGTGCCTTATTCTGGATATTCTATATATGCCCTCTGAGCAGAAGGCAGACAGGAGTACTGTACAGTAAGAAAAGGACATCTTAAGTTTAAATTTGGCAGAACTCTAATAACTAAGGACTCGGCTTGAATATGCTGAGAGCAGAGGGCAGAGACAAAGTATGATCCAGAAAATGAAGTATTAGATTGGCCGGCGAGGGTGAGAGAAGCAAGTAAATCAAGAGATGGAATAGCGGCAAGTGAGACTTTTGGAACCAAAGTAGTGAGAGCGGCTTGGGTGAGAGGGAGATTATTAGTGAGAGAGTCAGATGAGTAAGGATTGGCCAGGAGCAAAGTTGGTTCAGTACCTGTCTGTGGCCCTGATCACTGTATTTTTTCTATCTGGGATGAGCTCAGGCTTTAAAGTGGTAATGTCTTGCAAGACACTTTGGATTTAAATTCATTTAATGAAGGTAAGTGTATTTCTACAATATCCTTAGGTATCTTAGGTTTTAACTCTCAAATATATTTTCTCTACTCTTTTTAGTTCTGATAAAATTCTTTATGGGATTCTAGAAAGATAATAGGAGTCAAACAGTTCTCTCTAATTATAATTTAACAGTGTACCACCTGCTCTAAGTAGTGAGTATTAATAGACAAAATATGTTGCTATTTTTCCTAATATTTTCTCCAAACTCAGATCATTTGAGGCTTTAGCACTTCTGACCTGTCCTTAAATCTTGATGCCACCCTTTTATTTCATCATTGGTAATGTGATCTGTCTTTTCTCATATAAGCACCAAACACTGAGTTATCTAAATGCATAACCTTTTTCTTACTTCTTAGGAAACTTAGTGATTATATAATCAAATTTGTACTTGTCAGCTTCTCATTTTTCTTGATCCATCTTCAGGTTAGAGTTGCTGACTATAAGATAATATCTATTGTTTTCTCTGAACTTCCTGAAATTAGGTTTACTAAAGGTGGGATACTTGCATTTCTAAGCTCAGACTTCCTTTCATTGGCCTAATAAACTCTAAGTTAACGTGGAATGGTTACTTTCCTTCAAGATTCCTTTAGCTGCCATTTTCTTCAAACAGACTTTTTTAGCCAGAAATAAGCCAAAGCAGCAAGTCCCCTCATTACTTGTCTCTCTTTTGTGAGACTGAATTTCCAACAAGGCAATTCAATAATTTTTCCGATGTTTTGCCTTTAGTGGAGTGGGATTTCCATCTGAAGTTTGCAAAGGCTTTCATCACTCCTCTGTCTTGCCTGTCCCTATTAACCATCTGGTTACAAGGTCTCTGAGGCAGTCCCAGGGTAACATTTTGTTTTTCTTTCATTTCACTCTCCTGCAGCTGCTTCCTCCATACTCCACCCTGAGGTTTGTGGATTTCCATGCATGTGTATAATTTTTTTGATAGATACTGCTTCTCCCCTAGCCCTTCCATCAGACCCATTTATTCCAGACAAGATACACCTTTCCATGCCATAATCTGGTCAGGAATCACATTTCTACAAATCCCCATAAGACTTAAGGGATTATTTTACCAAATTCTCTTCAGTTTTTAAAGTTCAGTTTGATAATTTTCATCTGCTATGTGTTGGTACAGGGACAAGTGAGAATATTAACCTTGTTCCCAGCCCATTTCTCTGGTATCTTTTGGAAATTGCTGGGCAAGGCCTCCACTATTTTTCTTTCTGTTCCCTCCTGTTTATGCTCCATAGTATCCAATATGGTCTTGCAGTTTTATCTGAGTACTCTTCTCTTTCCTTTCACAATTCAATTGAAATAATAAAGCACTCGATCAGGCTGACTGGTGTCCCGCCAACACTGTCTTGCCAGTCTTATGAGATGCAGTCCATCTCTTACTAGAAGCAGCAGGAAGAAGAGATGAAAACATCACTAGTGCCCCTAAACCATTCATTTTCCTACGCAGAAATTCAAAGACGTTAGAGATACATTCCCGGCTTCATAAAGAGAATGAGAATTCATTCTCATATATATCAACAGAAGTGGAAAGCATTCGGGGGACTTTATAAGTCTTGGCAGACTCTCAAGTCTCTGTTATATGCTGCCTGGGAATAAAGCACGTTTCTCATTTAACTGGGCCAAATGTGCACACTGTCACTTCAGTTCTCTCAGCGAGGAAACGAAACTGCCTCCTGTAGGAGGCATTGTCTGGTTTCTTTTCTCTAGCACAGGTGAACCTGTAGAATATGTCAGGAGCTTCTTCAGAAGGTCCTTGTTCATCTTTTAGAAGGAAATCTTTATACTCATTGCAGGAGGCCAGGTTTCTTTTTCTTCTTTTATCTCATTCTTTCCCATCAGCCTTCCAGTACTTCTTTTGATACCCTCTTCTTCCTCAGAATCTTTTTCTTTCTGTTTCCCTTATGGAATTGGTAGCTTCATAATATGGGCCATACGCATGGTAAATGCTATGCTATTATGCATTGGAAATGAAGATGTGGTGTTGATAAAAGGGAAATCATGCAGATGCCAGGCTGTCCCCAGGGCCCCAGATCATTCCCAGGGGTAGGACGGAGGGCCTCTGAGGCCATTTTGTTTGTTTTTTTTTTTTTTTTTTTTTTACTTTCAAGGGGCTAGGAGAATCAGGATGTATGTTGTCTAGCAAAGATTTCTGGTTCTCAAGGACTCTCTAGTCCCTGGATAACACTGGGCATAACCATGCTTGATGTTCAAATGAAATTCATAGCAGTTTAATCAGTTGATCCCATTGCTTTTTTATATTCTGTTATTAATACTGATTTATAAAACCCAGTTATTTTCCTCATTATTGCTTCTCAGTTCTGTGCTTTCTATGAATTCCAATTTAACAAAAGAATGAGTTTACCATTTTGATGTCACTATCTGCTTGATCCAGGGATTATGTATTGGATTTAAGGTCCCATGGCTGCAGGTTATTACAAGTATGTTTGAATACTGTGCTTTGCAAACATACTGATTTGCTTGAAATGCCACCTTCCTTTTCTTTCTTATTTCTATGTTTCATGAGAGACAGCAGAGGACAGTGCTTAAGGGCCCAAGGTTTAGAGCTACCCTTTGGAATCAAATCTTGGCTTTGATATCTTCCTAGCTGTGTGACCTTAGGAAAGTTATTTAACCTTTCTGTTTATCAATTGCTTACTCCATAATAGCACAGAGGGTTATTGTGAGGATTAAATGAGCTAATTCGCAAGCACGTAGTGATGCTTGAAACCTCATAAGTACTCAATAAATATTAGCTTTTATTATTAATTCTCTGCTTAATTAACACTAATTTATTAAACTCCATTTTAAATATCACCATCTCTGTGAAGCTTTCCACAATTACCCAAGGCAGAACTAATCCCTTTCACTCCTCTGTTTTCCCAGAGCATTTTGTACATATTTGATTGAACTGTAAATAATTTTTAACATGTGTCTTTCTCCCTTGCTAGACTATGAGCTCCATAAGGATAGACGTCTTTCTTTTTAAAATTCACGTTGTATTCCTAGTTTCTAGCACAATTTCTGGATTGCAGCAAGTGCATAATAAATATATGTTAGCACTACATCTCCATCGAGATTACAAACATCCTGAGCCTTGGACCATGCCGTGTCTGTTTTTTTGAATCTCCTGCAGTCCTTAGCACACTGCTGGTCACACAGCAAATACTAAATACATACTTGCTGATTGACTGATATTGAAACTGCCTACCTCTGAAGAAATAGACCATTAAGTCATTAAGGCATTTGAAAGGAAAAAAGAACAAAAGATGAGATCTACTGAGCATAGCTTGCTTAGAAATATTATTGTTGCATTCCCAACCAGGGAAGATGGGGTAGATCAGAAACTTGAATGCATGACTGAAAAACTTGTTCAGACAAGAGGGGCTTAGTTAACTTTGTGGGACACTGGGGTTCTTTCTACAGCAGATGGGGAATAATGTGCTGTGGAAGCTGAGAGGATAAACAAAGCAGTGTCATGGAGTTTAAACTATCGAACAGAGGAATCTATAAAGAGGCCAGCAGAGAGGAGGGAAGAAACAAGCTAAAATAAACAGATGGGTGGACAGAGAAAATATTAAGCATGAAAACAGATAACCCAGGTCCTCCAGGAAAAAGGGAAGTAGGAAAAATGGTATGTCAAGAAAGAAGAAACACTCTAGGGAAAACACTGAAGTAATCATGTAGCAGCAATTACATGGCGTGCCTGGGTGTGTGCTAAAAAACAGCAATAACAACCACAATAAAAGGACAAGAAGCAATGTCTGATTCATGTGCAGACAGAAAATGACTTTAAAGGGAATGTGGCCGTTAATATCAACGTGGACTGAAAAATCACACAGCCACATCATCTAGATGTGGTCTGAAATAATGGGCAAAATGGCAGGGACTTGTATAAAAATGACAATAACTGTGGCTCCTAGAATTTGAATAGAGCTGTGCTGTGTATAATACTTTCACACATATCTTTTCATTTAAAACAATGGAGTTGAGGCCTTCTGACATTATCCAGTATATATTTTCCCTCCTGCCAATCCCTTGCCTGGACTGTTACAATAGCTTCTAACTGGTCTCCTTGTTTCTGCCCTTGCCCCTCTAGCAAACTGTATCAACACTGCAGCCAGAAAGATCCTTTGCAAAAATAAGCCAGATCATATCAGTCTTCCTTTCTAAAAGCCTTACTGGTTTCCTGCCAAGGACTTTGCTATTTCAGGGTCTTTGCACTTTCTGTTCATTCTGAATGCAGTGTTCTTCCCCTGGATACCCACATCATTCATTCCCTCACTTTTTTAGGTGTTTGCCCATATGCCATTAAACAGGCAGGTGTTCCCTGGCCAGTCTCTCTAGTAATTTTTATTCTCCTAAGCTTGTTCTATTTTCTCCATTACACTTGTCACCATCTGACATATTATGTATTCATCTGTTTATTTGTCATTGTCTGTTTCTCCCTACTAAACTGTGAGCTCCATGAGAGCTGGGATTTTCACTACTGGATTGTGCCAATGACTGCTATAGTACCGGAACATAGTGGTTGCACATTAAAGATTATTGGACAAATTAAGAAACATACATGGATGAATTTGACAACTGTTGCCAACTAGAGGTGGAATTTCATTGATTGCATATGCGAGACAAAATGAAACAATACAAAGTATTGGTAAAACAATCGGTGCTTTCTGACCTTGTGGACCACTTTCCTATTCTTAAGACTTCCTTTTTGTATTTCTTCCACACTATCATTTTATTTTGGTTATCCTTCTCTTTCTTTGATCACTTCTTCACATTTGTTCCTCCAGAACTCCCTACTTCTTCATAGAGTATTAGGTTAAGTAAGAAATAAGAAAATACATGTGCAGCTTCTATCTTGGGTCTGGAACACAGTGGGCGTTGGAAATGTCAGCTCTTTCTCCTTTATATCCTCCAGCATAGGCCCATAATTCCTTTATCAATTTCAATACATTCAAATCTAAGTTTTTCATGCTACACCCCAAACTCCCCTCAAACCTAAAACACTAACATCAAAACCTTAACTCATTATCTTTTATTTTTCTTTATCTCTGTGGAACCATAAAAAAGCTGGACATCTTAGTCTTCTTATTATCAGCTCTTTACTATACCTATGCCTAATATAATGAGAATCACTGACTCTTGGAGGAAGAATTAACAAGACTTTATTAATTTCATCTCTGTTTCCATTACCATAGCCAATTACCAAATCCAGGACCACATTATGGCATACCTGAAATATTCTCAGTTCCCCATTCCCTTCTAATCTCTACTTAGTCTACAGGGCTCCTTAAATGTCACTTCCTCAAGGAGGCTTTCATTGGCCCCTTCAATCTAAATTAGGTCTCACTATGAAACAGATTCTATATATCTTGCATTTTTTCTATGTAGCTCATATCAAAAAATAATTTTATCTTGTTAGTGTGATTCCTTAATATCTGTCTCTTTCTATATTCTGTATGCTTTATGAGGACAGAAGCTGTGTATGTTTTATTTATTGCCCTGCAGAAGCTCAATTCCTAGTGCATTGCTTATCTCATGGTAGGTATGCAATAAAGATTTCCTGAAAAATACATAGGCTTCTTCAAAACTTCCAACTTTTTTGGCCTCCAGAGCTTTATGTATTTCTATTTTCATTCTTCAGTTCATTTTATTGGACAAAATGGAAATGAATAGTCATCTTAACGTGGATTTCTTTCAAACTGTTCATTTCAAATATTATAGCTAATAGTAACATTTATTTAGGACACATTTGGTGCAGGCACCATGCTAAAAGCACTTCACACATCATCTAATTTATAACTCTATGAGGCAGATACTTTTATTATTTCCATTTCACAGATTAGTTAGCTGAGGCAAGTTCATGCAGCTATGAAACGGCAATGCCATAGTTTGAACCTAGGCAGTGTGACAGAGTAGTCCCATGCCTAATTCAGGAAATTCTTTCACCATAAATATAATCTGTTAAAATTTTACAAACTTTGCTTTGTATTTCAATGAGGGCAATAGTTTCTGAAGACATTTTTATGGTCACTTTCTTTAAATATGTCTGCTTGTTAAAATGACACTGGGAAGTCCAAATTCAGCTTCATGACACGTCTCTCCTCTTATGCAAGATATCTTAATATATTGTTTAGACTCCTTTCCCTCTCTGCTTGCCAAAGATGTAGTTTCCTTAATCATGCCCTTTCTGGCAGCTTCAGCTATTCTCTCCCAAACATATGCAAGCATATGCAAGCCTGGATCGTTCTCATATAAACAAAACAATCTTTTCCTCTACTCGATTCCTCTTCTTATCCCTTTCCTACTGACCTTTCTCAAGTTACTGAAAGTGTATTCTGCACACTTTGTTGTTACTTTCTCAGTCTTCATTCATTCCTCAAATTATCACCTCCTGGATTCTACTTCTCATCATTCCATTGAAGCTGCTTCTTGGGTCAGGAAAAGCTAAAATGTGATGGGTCTGAAGGTTATGCTAAGGAGCTTACCTTAGGATTACGGTTACAATGGGGGAATTTTAAGCAAGGGATAAAACAAACAGTCCTACATTTTTAAAAGACTCCTTCATAATAGTTGGAGAATGGATTAGATAAGGAGGACAAAAGAAAGCAGGACAGTTAATATAATGTTTTAGAATTCCAGGAAAGAATACGTAAGCAACACACTGAGGCCTCAGCATTATGTAAAGAATGTAAGAGGAGGGAGATGTAAGAGATAAGAACAATAGTCATTGCTGACTAGCTTGTGAATAGGATGAGTAATAAGATGACATCCAGGCTGAACTGCAGCTTTTTGAGTTAGGTAAGATGGGGTTCATTGAGACAGAGGACTCAGGAGGAAGAGCAGGTTTGGAAGGAATGGGAATCAGTTTAGTTCTAAGTATGATGGCTACTGGGTTCCTTGGTCAGACGATGCAGGTGGAGGTGACCCCAAGATATGGTGACACAAGTCTGAAGTATAGAAAAGATGTCTCGGATGGAGAATAGTTGAGTCATTGTGTAGGAAACGTTTAGATTTATCATAAAGGAAGATTATACAGAGAGAAGGAAGCAGAGAGGTGAATACAGACACCAACATCATGTTCTTTCAATCCTTTTCTACTTTCCCCAACCTGTTCTTCAGCTTCCATCATATGAGACTACACGCTGCTCTCTGAACTCAGTGATTTTCTCAAGGCCCACCTTCCCCTACCTCTTCCATGAGGTTAATATCAGAAGGAAAAAGGAATCATATTAAACATATTTCAAAGTAAAGGATCAAAGCTACAGGACAAGAAATAATTTTGTTTTGTAGAAGTGTAAAAGGGGTATTTTAAGTTTGGTATTAATTAAATAAGGAGTTTAGAACCCAGAATTTTGAATTTAATTAGAAGTTTTCATTTATAAAGATTTAAAAATTGTTTATTATGGCACAAATAATTACTTACGGCATAAAACTTTTTTCTAGAGATTGACCATCCTTATTAGAACCTTGTCTAATTCATTTTTGATTTGTCCTTGAAAAGTTTTGGAAAACTTTGAGAGGTTGAAAATTTGAATATAAAGTAAATGATGCAATTTATGGTACATTTTTGTCACTGAATTATAATTTGAGAGATGAAAGGGATCCCTTTAAAATGCAAATATTGAGGTCTTGGAACAACTGTCTATTTGGAAAAAAATAAAGTTATAACTGTACATGATACTTTAGAGCCAAACAAATTTTAGAGAAATTGAAGTAAAATACAAATATTAAAATCCTAAAACAACTAGATGGGGTAAATACTGATATAATCTTATGGTAGAAAAGGTTAACCTAAGCAAACAAACGGCAAAAATCACAAAATGAGCCTTTGCTAGAGATGATTACACAAATTAAAGCTTCTGTGTGTGTATGTATATGTATATATATACATATATACACACACACAGTTTTATAGTATAATATAAATATAAATACACAGTTTTATATTTATAATACAGTTATTTGTTATAACAGATTTAATCTCTAATTTTCTAAAGAGATAACTGCATTTATAAAAACTGAAAATGCTTGCTTCCCCGAAAACCTCGCCACTATCAGCTACTATTTTGTTTTTTGACAGGGCACAGCATCTGCCTAGAAATGACAACAGGTGGAATGAGTATGGACATTCTGGGGAGAAGGCCAAGGTAGTGGAAAATCCACCAGACATTGAGAAAATCTACCACAGCTGCCCATTAAGATGTTGACACTGATAAGGTCTAAGATGCTGGTAAGATGGTATCTACAATGTCTTGAGGCTTATGTAACATGTAACACCAAGGACATTTCACTCTGGATAACCTCCAAAGTAAGACAACTTAGGAGAGGAACATAAACTTGCACTATTTTTAATAAGATGCCTTATTCCTCTTTGATACTTCAGAAATCTTTATCTACATCCAAGACTTCACAATTCTTTGGTTTAATTCTGACTTTGATTTTTTTTTGATTAATGATCTACAGGCTTTCATGCAACCACAGATTTTTTGTTTGCTCTGTTTTGTTTTTTGTCTAAGTTATCAATATTTAATATACAATCTCTGAAAGATTTGAGGGCTAGAAAAGGTAAAAATGCTTTCATAATCATATTGCACTTCTTTTATTTCAAATATAAATAATATCTTCCTTTAGAAATTTTTACACCTAAGGAAAAGATGCCTAGAGATGGAGATTTTACATTTAATTCAAATTGATTAAGAAGAGAGAGAAAGCTGGGAGAATTCCTATTGAGAGGTGAAGCCAGCTGGACTTCCTGGGTCCAGTGGGACTTGGAGAACTTTTCTTACAAGAGGATTGTAAAATGCACCAATCAGCACTCTGTAACTAGGATTGTAAAATGCATCAATCAGTGCTCTGTAAAAACATACCAATCAGCACTCTGTAAAATGCACAAATCAGTGCTCTGTAAAACGCACGAATCAGCAGGGTCCTAAAAGTAGCCAATCACAGGGAGGATTGAAAAAAGGGCACTCTGATAGGACAAAAACAGAATATGGGAGGGGACAATAAGGGAATAAAAGCTGGCCACCCCAACCAGCAGTGGCAACCTGCTGGGGTCCCTTTCCATGCTGTGGAAGCTTTGTTCTTTCGCTCTTCGGAATAAATCTTGCTGCTGCTCACTCTTTGGGTCCTTGCCACATTTAAGAGCTGTAACACTCACTGCGAAGGTCCACGGCTTCATTCTCGAAGTCAGCGAGACCATGAACCCCTGGGCAGGAACCAATTCCAGACACACTATATCTCCAAATCATATAGTAGTCATAGCCACACATTGGCAAAAAGGCTCGTGAAGGGCTGTAGGTTCTGGCCTTCGCATTCCATTAGTGTTCAGTTTGTTCAGTTCATACTTTTAGTGGCACAAAAATAATTTAACATGAACAACTCAAGAGACGATTTGGGGCTTTTATGCTGTTAAAAGTCCCAAATGTTCATTTTATTTAGAATGATGGCATTGAAGTGCTGGCACGCTTTGTGGTCAGCCACTCCCTTTGCCCTTTCGGAACTCTGTATTGCTGAAATTTTGGAACATTGAGTCTGGACCACTGTTTTTAGCATGAGATACATTTTTTTTTTCTTCATAGGTAGAAGGAATTTTTAAGGGTTCCAGTCTCCAGTTGACTGCTAAAGATGAATTTCAGTGAGGTCTACTTGAGAACACATAAAAGCAAGCTTTTCAGCTGATATTTCAAACAGAAAATGGAGATGTAGGAGTAGAGTGTCATCAAACACAGAAGAATGAATTTCAGTAACTGCAAACTACATTTTAGTGATGATGATTTCAGACAGAATGCCATCCAGTAACACCTCCATTTTTCTCATTATGACTGCTTGGAAACAATACTGTCTTGAGGGTGACAGAAAAAAAGAAGGCGTGGTTACAAAAGGGTTACCTGAGGAATCCTGGTGGTGATGTCACTGTTTTGCATCTTGACTGTGGTGGTGGATACATGAACCTCCATACATGACAAAATTGTACAGAACTAAATACAACACACACATAGAAGTAAAACTGGAAAAACTTGAATAGGATTGGTAGATTGTGTCTGTGTCAGTATGCTGGTTGTGTTATCATACTATAGTTTTGCAACATGCAAAACAGGTGAAACTGGATAAAGGGTACACAAGACCTCTCTGTATTATTTCTTACAACTACATGTGAATCTACATTTCTGTCAAAATGAAAAGTTTAAGGAAAAAAATCAAGAAAGGTAACACATACTCATAATTCTATCTTAGTGTAATTTTTGTTATTACCAGAAAATAATCTCCTGAGACCCAAATAAATGTCCAGGCTTTCCAGAGGCCAAACCAGAGAAAGTTTTTCCAAAACTTTCAAGTGATCACATTGATATTGATGTGCTTATTGATAATTGAGTTGTACTACATGACTAATACAAGATATCTTGGAGTTAATTATGTATTAAAATAATTTTTAAGTGACTATAAGAAAACTAGGAATTTCATCTTAATATCTCCTGATACATTTAATGTATATAAAAATTTCCATGACATGCATGCTTGCCAGTGTTCTAAAAAGTATAAAATATGCAAATAAAAAAGGTTATTTTATAATTTAAATGCAGTTTTCACCATGGACAGATGTTTTTAAAACTTTCATTATAATTCTAAAACCAAATTAGTGATACATTTAAGCAGTAAATAAACATTTTAACTATATTTGTATATTTAACCAGTAAAGTAGGCATACTTATATAGTTGGCATAATTTTTACCTTGATGGTAGGAATAGGCCTTTTGGGGATAAAACAGTTTCTCTTAAGTGGTGAAAAAGCTACATTTTGTTCTTTCAGTCTAATCTTGTTTTCTGCTATGATTTTCTTGCGCTGTTCCAGATAAGGTCCAAAACTTGGCAGTTTCTAAAAGGAAAACACACAAATAAGGAAGCATGTTAGCTCAGAGAAGAGAAAAATGGGAAGATATAAACATATAAATATTATCAACAAACAAATGTGTGTCTAGGGATTGTTTCATGTATACTGTAACTAGGTCTTCACTCATTGTTTTGGACCACTAGTCTTCTCGGTATCAGGTTCCGTTAATTATTAAAAAGAACACAACAGTACAATACTTTTACCAAATATGTATGTATTACATATACAAATGTTAATTAAAATACATTTCTAAATGGAAGAAAGTTCACAATGGCAAACCAAACCCATTCACATAAAACAACAGCTATTAGTTAAACCATTTGTTTGGTTTGTATAGACAGAAGGTGAAACCTATTGATGCTTTTTTCCCCTTCATCAGGTTTTTAGCATGATATAGACACAGTTGTAGTCCCTGACAAATGCTTTTGTCAATAGCAAAGGTACTTCGCCAAAGTTCTCATCTGTATCTCTATTTTATTGTGTTCAAATTCTTACTACATCTCTTTAAAGATTGTAACTAATGTTGATTGCAACTTACTGGAATAGCTGAAAAACAAAAATGGTAAAAATATTGATTTCTCTGTACAGAAAACAAATTTTATTTTGCATGGAGGCAAAAATAGAAATGAAAAGGAGAGGAAATATTACAGTGCTTAAACAAACTCCATCAGTATTCAAAATCACATCACGGAGCTTTAAATTTCAAGGTTATCCAATTGTACTTTACAAAGTTCATTTAGAAAGATACCTGGGCGTCATGGAAAAATGCTAAGTGGTTTCAAGTTAACACGAAAATGCCCTCATACCATTCATTATCCCACAATTATTTTCTCTTCACTTTGTCCTTCCCCTCTTCTAGAAACTTTGATCTTCACTTTTACTGACACATACTGCTGGTGATAGACATCACTGAATTCCAAATGTTTTGTGTCGGCCTGTAACCTGGAATTGGTAGGTCTCTTTCATAAGACTGCAAAAATACCCTCTCTCTCCTGCAGAATAAAGTCCATTTATCTAGCTGATGGAGGTTTGGAAAACTACAGCACTCGAAGGTCATCCTGATCTCTGACCTAGCAAGTATTTTGGTGAAAAATCACACTTGTTTCAAAACACTGGCCTCCACATTTCAGCTTGCATAACGCCCCAGGAAAATGAGTTCTCTGGTCCTCTAGAGACCTCAGTAGAGTAGGTAAGCTAAACTTAAACCATGTTCCAATTAAGCCGAACTGCAAACTGCAACTGTAATTCATGTTAGCAAAGAACATACTTATGTAGAAATATCTAAGATTGTTACTTCCATTATCAATTCATTATAATTATGTCAACAAGTCAAGTAAATGGAAACAATGTTATGAATGCCAAACTAATTTATATACAATGAGACTAGAACTGAGTACTTCATCTCTACACCTTAATGCTTTCTTAATTTGTAATATTTAATTGTTGCAGTAATATGAAATGATAGGATGGAGGGAGATAGTATTTTGTATCCATTTTGCTATAAAACAAGTGATACTGACTTGCTAAAAGCATAAAATAAATAAGAGTATAAAACAAGTCCTTATCACATATATAAGCATCCTTAAAAGACAATGCTTTTATGAAATGGCTTTTTCTTGGGGCATATGAGGTATATGAGGTGTTAGGGATTACACTTGGTGCCAAAAAAATGCCTTTGGGGTCAGATAACACCACATAAGGTGGCGAGCACACGTCCACATGATATAAATCTTCAGAATGTCACCCCCTGCGTGCTTCTCTTATACCTCAGGGGCATCTCAATCCTAATCTAATATACTCAAAGACTATCAAGAACGGTTAAGTGTTGAAACATATGACCTCTGGTTCTAGCAGATGCCTCAGGTTAGCAGGCTCCATGAAAATCGGAACCATTATTTTCCCTGTTGGGGTTTACATGGTTCTCTGTTTGGACTTTACCTTACTCAACATCATCTAATTTCACCTAAGAGTTTTGTAAAGGCCATTCAAAAGAAATCATTCTTGCAACCTTTTAATCTATCTTCCTTTAAATGTACATCAGAGGATAGTATATTTTTTCATTTAGATTATTATTTATCCAAATGCAGACAATGAATGTAGTTAAATTTAAACCATAATGATTTCAAATTATTTCAACAATGGTAATAAGAACAATAAATTTTTGAAAATCTTTTGATGCTGAATATAATACAGCCTGTGTAAATATCCAACAGCCTGATATTTTCTGTCATTTTTTGCAATGATTGACCACATTTGCCATACATAAATTATGTTACACAGCCTTCCCCTGGCTAACATGCTAAGTTTCTAATGTGCTAATTGGTTTTATAATTAGTCCTAAAGAGAGAATCTCAATTTAACATAAAGATTCCTACAGGATTTTCTTTGTGCATTGGTTAGAAGAATTAATGGACTAAAAGGAAAACTTGCCAATTTTTTTTAATTGAAAGCAAAAAAAAAAATACCAAATATCAGTGACTGCTCCTTCCACCTTCCACCAAGCATCTCCACATCAAATTGGGTTCATTTTTGTTTAATTCCTCACTGCTACATGGAGCTCTCAGAGACTAAGGTATAGTACCAGCTTCCAAAACTTCAAGGCTGCTGTAGACATTTTGCTTTCCTTATTAGTTTGAAAATTTAAGTGCTTTAAAAAATATGTTGTATATATTAAAGTGGTCCTAAGGCTATTTAAGTACTGAACATTTTAAAAGTAAAGTTTTCCGAAAACAAAAAAACATCAATTCTCTCCCGCAACAAAGGATCAACCGATCACCTTTACACATACTACATTTAGGCATACATTTGTGTTTTGATCTTGCAAAAAAAAAAAAAAAAAAAAAAAGGAAGAAGGATAAAGCAAGCAAGCAAGCAAAACAAAGCTAAGAAAGAGTGAAGATGAATGCATAGTTGGCCACTGTGTGTGTGTGCAATCAGTGATGATTAATAAAGCATTTAGTTCAAATCTCTGCCTGAACATATAGTTAATTGATTTCCTATTGCAGGAGGAGAAGCAGCAGGACCTGACAGTGCCAGCAGCAGGAGCTTTTCCTCTTCATTCATTATTTTCTTACAGAAAAGTTGTAGCCTGCGGTAACTCAAAGTGAGAGGTTTTGAGCGTCATGCTATATTTCTTAAACAAAGGAAAAAGTTCTTTAGGACTATCAAAAGCTGCTTTGTAACTGATGAACTGAACAAAGCTCAGAAATGGTGTGAGTTTTGTTTCAATAGTTTCTCCAGGGATTCATCATTGATGAATTTGTTCTCACCAGAAAGGCTAAATCCTACTCATTTAAAGATAACAGTATCTTACACTAAAACTGTCTCTATCCAGATATAAAAAAAGCATTACATTGCCGATAGAAAAGTGACAACATAATGAATCAACAATGATACCTTAAGCCAGCAAAGCTTTAAGGTAAAGAAGTCTATTTGGATTATAATTTATTCATGGATCAATCTAAAGTTAATTGAGCATATTATGAAGTAGAAAAGCGTTCTTGTTTGTAATAGAAGCAAGCACTTGTATCTTCCAGTTTAAACTGCATAATTTTTATGAGAATGGCAGCAAGTTGCCTAATAGCACTAGTCTGTAGTACTGTAATGGATCAACTTTATTTTCTTAATCACACTCTCTTATCTAATTGGAAACCATAACAAGAAGACAAGTAATTACTTTGATATCTAAATTGTAATATGTGAAAGATGAAAATATTTCCGGCTTATATCAGAATATATCACTCAGTATCATATATATATATATATATATATATGTATATATGTATCTTATTCAGTATAAACCTGAAATCTATTATCTATCTATCTATCTATCTATCTATCTATCTATCTCCTTTATACCTATTTCGTGTGTGTGTGTGTGTGTGTCTATACAACTGACAGACTAAAGGATAAGTTACATGTAAAGGATATCTAAAAGTTGACTTTTTTTTCCCAAAAGACATGTTTGCATATGACATAGCTCTATTATTTATCAGTCTTTTGACATTTATTCAACAAATACAGTATTGAATATCCACTCTGGGCCAGGAACTGTCCTGTGCTACACTAAAGGCTAAACAATTTCCAGACAGTGTAGTACAAATTATCATTGTTATTAATTTTGTAAGTATCTTTTGCTATTCATTAAGGGCTAGTGTCAGATTGAATTATATGTCAAATATACCTGGTTGTTGCAGTTATCTCAAGGAATAATATGCCAGACTCCTTGGAAAACTGTTTGAACTCAATAAAATGACCAATAATTGCAGAGAAAAATGAAGAAAATAAATGTTCAAAGAGTTGATCTTTAAAAACCTCAAAAAGCTAATTGAAGTAGTTCTTGGATACCTAAAATAAAAAATATGGGAGCAGTGTGGTATAATGGTTGAGAGCATGGGTTCTCTGAGTCTGTTTCATTATCTATAAAATGGCCATTGTGAGGTTTAAATAAAGTAATCCAGGTAAAGTTCCTAACTCACCCTAATTTCAATCTCTGCTCAGCATGATTCAAGGTAGCACAGGAGATAGAGATGAGAAGTATCTTTTCTGTTCTGTAGTTTCTGAATTCAGTTACTTTTCTTCTTTCCTCTTTTCAATTATGAAAGTAATCAGTTACTTACATTTGATGCTGATTTTTATTTCAAAATCAGTTTTAGCATGGTTTAGAATCAGAAGCTCAGATTTTCCCATATGTAAGTGGCATGTAATGCTTAATCACCGATATAACAGTAAGCAATGTTTCATGATATTATCAAATTTGGACAGTGGAACACAATAAAAAGACAGAGACAGAAAGTCCATCTACATATTACACGTTACCATAGTGCTATGTGATGGCTAATGATGCAAATCAGTACACTGGCATTGGACATGTAAAATATATGAAATATGAGTATTAGTTTAACCTGATAAATGTAAGCTACAACTTTTGATCAAATATGTGATATCTAAATTGGTCAAAAGCAGAGATAGTTCATGTTTCATAGTGAAAGTAGAAAGTCAACATTCACATAGTGATGAGGGAAATAATTTAGAAGTCAAATTTGCATTAAAATCAGTTTTGCACTCATTAGCTGTGTGACTATGAGCCAATTACTTTACTATTCTGCTACTAATTTTCCTTATCAATGAAATGAGAATGACAGTATCAAACTCACGATGTTGGTATAAGCATTAAATGGAATAATATTTGCAAAATGCATGCCTGCCAATTTATTCCCATAAGCCTTAACTGCTTCTATTGCATTGTGTACTGTGCTCTGTGTTTCCATGTTTGCTCATGCATCCCCTCTGCCAGAATACCCCATCTTGTCTTTTTCACCTGGTACATGCCAATTAGGCTATTTAGTTTCAGCTCAGTCTTCATAACACCTAAGTAATCTCCTTTACCGATTACCCTCCCTGCCCAGTGGTTTAGAATATCCTGGGCATATTTTAATCTCTGTGCCTACTGCACTGCCTTATCATCATTAGCTTATGTGTCCATCTGCCCAGCTTGAGATCCTAGACAGGTAACTTTGATCCAGCACATAATAGGTGCTGAATATAATTTTTCAAAGCTTAATGAATGAATGAATAAATGAATGAATGAATATCTTGAATATATTTACAAAATCTTTCTGGTTGTTTGAATTGTCAAACAATCCCAAACAATTACTTTCAGAAACAAATTAAAGTATATAAATAGGTTTTCAAATATGACATGAAGTAAAAAATCGTACTTACAGAAAAGCTGTGATTCATACATTCAGAAAACATTTATAAGGAGCCAGACACTTGAAATTTATATAGAAAGGATAGTGTGTGACCTTAAAGAGACTATATTAATAACAATTGCAATACCCTGTGGGCTGTGGCAGAAGTGACACAAACTGTTATATGAGCAGTGACAATGTGTATCTAACGCAGGCTGAGGGGTCAGAGATTTTCTAGAAGAGGTGTCATCCGAGCTAAACTCTGAAGGATAAGGTGAAGGTAGGATGGCAAGTGGTGCAGTGGAGGCGTGAGGTCAGGAAAGGTGAAGAGAATCCTCCAGGTGGAATAAACAGCAGAGGGAGAAGGGTGACAATTTGGAAAAGGCACCGGGGAGCCAATGGACTGCTAACCCTCTGTTCCATCGTTCATAAGCTACAAGAGGGTGAGGCACTTCACCTGTGAAAAGCAGGCAGAACACATTTTGTTGTGAAGTGATGAAGTCGGATCATGAATTAGGAATAATGTCAATCAAGAGAAGAAAGTCTAACATTCATGGAATGCCAGCAAAGGATGATGGAAATAAGACTTGCTTTCTGCTAAGTGCTGTGCAGGTGCTGGGGCCCAGGCCACAAAGAGGACCAGGAGGCTGTTCCTTCCAAAAGCAGTTTATAGCCTTATGAAGAGGATTGAGTCATATTCAAAGGAACTCAGATAAGAACATTATTATTTTCATATTGAAACAATTTAAATAACTCATATCAGGTCTCTCTTTAAAAACTGTCATTTTTTAAAGTAAGTATTTTTGAAGAAATACCTCTAGGTTGGGATTTAGGAAATGTGGTATTGATGGCATGTTTTAGGAGAAACCAGAACAAAGAGATGGTCCAAGCATTATGCATGGAGAAATGTAGAATTTTGAAGGAGAGGGGGAATAGAAAAGAGAGGAGAGGGTAAAAGGAAGTGTGAAAAGAGAGGGCAAGAGAGAAGGAGCACAGCCTGTTGGTATGAGGCTGAAGGACTTTTATAAACAGGGAGAGCCACTATTTAATTTTAAGATGTTTGCATTGCTCCAATCTAAATCCTCCTCCATAGTCTTTATCTAAGAACATCTGCTACACACTTACATGTCTTGGTGAGACATTTGGAGGAAAATCAGGGAAACAGGGTTGAGTTTCATGGTTGGGTTGGCATATAGCTGAAAAGAATAGAAACCAACAGGAGGGAGGTTTGAGGGAGATTCAGAATTCAATGACAGCTGGAATTTATAGCCAGAAGCAACCTAGAGAACAGAATCTCTGGGGATTTGGTAGCAATTTCCAGAAGGACAGGACTGGGTAAAGTCAGCTGACATGTGGCTTACATACGTCATTGTAAGGAGAAATAAGTAGAGGACGACATGCACAAACAATCTGATGTAACCCAGATCCAATGAGCAATTAATTCCAACTCAGAGGTTAATACAATCTTTACAGTGAAGGAGGAATTTAAACTATGCTGAAAAATTCTGAAAGGGGAAAGCAGTGCCTAGTTGTAGGAGGAGAAGAGAAGTAAGGAAATGAAGTGAAGGAACTACAGGATGAGCTTATCCTTATATGGCTAAAATATACTAAATGTCAGGGAGATAGTGGGGGATGAAGCTGGAATATCTATAGATAGGGCTCTGAATTCTGGGCAAAGTGTTTGGATTTTATTCTTTAGGGTGTATGGGAACACCAGATATTTGAAAATGTGTGACCAGATCCTCATAGTGGCAGAAGGAAGGGTGGACTGTAGGATGATGGCGGTAGCAAAAAGGGAGAATCATCCAGAATGTTGGAGATGGGATTCTGGTAGTGGTAGGAAAGTGAACTAGATGAGTTCTAAGGTCATCATTATTTTCAAAGCTGTTATAGTAGAAAATTAAAAAAGGGTTCTATGGTGTAACGGTTAATTTTATGTATCATCTTGACTGGGTTAAGAGATGATGCCCAGGGAGCTGGTAAAACATTATTTGTGGGTGTGTTTGTCAGAGTGTTTCCAGAAGCAGTTAGCATTTGGATCAGTAGACCAAGTAAAGAAAATACGCCCTGAGTAAAGAGAATGTGGGCGGGCATCCCCCAATTGGTTGATGGACTGCATAGAACAGAAAGGTGGAGGAAAGGCAAATTATTCTTTCTTCTGGAGTGAGAGCTAGGACATCCATCTTCGCATGCTCTTGGATATCAGAGCTCTAGGTTCTTGGGCCTTTGGACTGTAGGCCTTATAGCACTCGCCCAGCCATCTCCTCCACCATCTGCTGCCCCCCTCATCTCCCAGTCCTGAGGCCTGCAGATTCAGGCATAGAGTTAAGTATGCCATTGGCTCCCCCAGTTTTTAGGCCTTCAGAGTCAGGCTGAATTACACTACAAGCTTTCCTTGTTCTCCAGCTTGCAGATGGCACGTCATGGGACTTCCTGGCCTCTATAACAACGTGAGCCAATTCCCATATTAAATTCCCTTTTACATACCTATATATAACCAATGGGTTACATACAGATATAACCTATAACCTGTTGGCTATAATAATATAACCAATTGGCTGCATATAGATATATGAGGGAATTGAATATATAACCTATTAGTTATGTATGGATATATAAGAGGGAATCTAATATGTTAAATTGGCTCTGTTTCTCTGGAGAACTCTAATACACGTAGTATTCGGGAAACAGAGAACCAACACTGACTACCTGTCCCCACACCAAGGCTCCAATATTGATCTTCACTCCCACACTGCCTGCTGACTGCCTCACCCTGACTCACAATGGCTTCTGCCTTGAAACTCCTGCATGCTGTCATTCTTCCTGACAGACTTCTATTTCCACCTCTTTGTTGGTCATCTTTCTGCAGATGACCCCTCCTTTATCACCATCCCCTGCTCAATCAGATTCTTGACTTTTAAAATTACATAGGAACTTTGTTAACTGGGGCCTGCATAGTCTATGAGCTGCCAAAGACTTACTTCTTAGTCAAAAGGAACATAAAGCAATGTTGGTGGACAACCTGGGAAGGGTAAAATGACTTAGTTTTACTTTCCTTGCATTCTAAAGGACCTTTGCTTATATTTTGTAGAGATGATGAGGTAGGGGAGGTGACATGGGGAAAATCAATTTCCTCAAAAATGGCTGAGAGGGGATTATAAATTTAACAAGGGAGAGGGAAGGAACTGCACCATCATCATCACCTTCACGAATATATCAGCTTATTAACTGATCATGGCTATATACCAGACACTTTGCAAAGCACATGAGTACATTATCTCTTCCTTATTGCAAAGAAGATAAAGAATATCCATGAGTTGGGTATTCTAGTGTCCATTTATACACAACAACACTGAGGGGCATAAAGACTAAGTAACTTGCTACAATTAATTCAAATCCAAGTCTGCCTGATAGACTCTGTGCTATCCTGCCACTCATACTTCTTTGTAGTCCTCACAAAGTTTTGTATAAGGTAGGTGTTTAATATGCTCTTTATTTATTTAAAGAAGCATACTACCTACATACTCCATTCCTTGAAATCTATGCTTCCTGTTTTACTTATTCCACAAATTTTGAAGGGAAAATGTTTCACACAGTAGAAACCATTAAAAAAAATGCTGAACACATACCAAGCAAAATATCTGAATTAGTTTGGTCCTGTTTATTACTGGCCTCAAGTTTAATGAGCTCAAGTTAATACAGGTGAAAGGCCAGGGTGTTACATGCAGAAGTTAATGAAATACCATAGAGCTGCTGAGAAAACGATTAGCAGCCAAATGTGAATTTAATATACTTCATCTTCAAGAAGCAATGCCCCATGGGAGGCATCTTGCTGGGGGAGGTAATGTGGCATATTGGAAACAGCACTCACTTGGGAATTAGGAGATGGGGCTCTGATCTTCACTTTGCTGTCAGCTGGTTTTGTGACCTATGGCAGCCTGATGACTCCCTCTGTGTCTCAGTTTTCTCACCGGTAACATGAGGGGGTTTGACTACATGATCTATGAGGTCCCTCCCAGTGATATGATCTGTTTTGTTTTCAAATTCACAATTAGAATTCCTTAGGGTTTATGCCTAGGTGGCATCACATTGTCTGTGAATGAAACATCAGATTGAGTCATAAATTATAACTCTTTCCATCCTACTTAACTATAGAACATTCTGAGTCTATTAGGCTATAACATATGGATATCATGGATCATGTTTATCAAACTTCCAAGGTTGGATGGGTTCATAAACTGTTTTAGACTTCATTAGTAAAAGGTAAAACTAAAGATATTGTAGCTATTTTACCTCATTACTAAATAATGAAATCTGTATAGAAAATTAATAGAACTAAAAATATTTTTTTAATGAAAGCTATTATAAATCTGTATGAATTGGGAAATTCATACAGTTCATAACTAACATTACACTGTAATTATCTTGACAAAGTTTGATGTCTAGTTACAAACTCATCTGAGACACACTCTATAGAAAATCAACCACAAATATTAGAAGTGAATATAAATGATAACAGGCATGAAATTACTAAAGAGGTAAGAATAAAATATAGATACACATGTGGATGCATTTGGTACATATTAGAGTTTTAGGATTTGGGAGAAAAAATAGAACCTTCTACTAAAGCAATGCAATATGCAGAATGATCATTGATCTTAGAACGCAGAAACTAGCTGAATGACCTGGGGCAAGCCACTTGCCCTCTGTAAGCCTCAATTTTCATCTGTATAAAACAGAAATAACAATGATCACCTTGCCCATTTGTTCTTCACCACAACTATTTAAAATAGGAAAAGCATTAATAGATGATTAAAATACAGACAGCTGTTACTATTTTGAAAACTCTAAAGCATTATAGAACCAAAGTATTATTACATTGTGCATAAATCTCATTTATGCACAATATAATAAATAATGTAAAGATGTGAGTGCTCTGAATTATAAAAATGTCACAGAGTATTAACAATACATAAAGAAAGATTTTCTCAGCAACAGTCCTTCCAGTGCCTTAGGAGTACTTGGATGAAATAATTTGCTTTTGAAACCCACCTTCAAAATGCTACTGCTTTCATGGCTAAATGTTGCATAGAATGTCAAGGGCAAAAACCAATGAGGGAAAATGGAATAAAAATTGCCTTACACAATGGAATGGAAGCAAAGGAAAACAGAAAAATGAGGTGATGAGGAAAATGGGACTGCTATAAATATGGAGTAAAAAAGCATACAGGATTCAGGCTATATTTGGAGCAAGACTAGGTTAATCAATTTTCTTCCATATTTATGCAATATGATACCTAATATCCTCCTATGCAGAAACACCTGTTTTAATCCCTTTTACAGCACAGGACATAAAATATTACATTTTGATCCATCTAAAACCCTATTTAGAGTTACAGTTCAGAGCATACTGGAATGAAATGATCATCATTTTGAAAGTCAATTTTTAGTAGTTCTATGCTAAGCAGCAGATTTATATTGGAAAGAAAATAAAAGGAAGTATAAGTTTTTTAATATAAAAAATATCTTTCTAATATAATTAATTAGCATACATGTATGAAATATTAAACATGGGAAAATATATTTTATACATTTGGCAGAGTGCTCCACAAATAATAGCTTCTCCATGCAGCTACAGAATACAGTAACAAACATCCATAAATCAGAATTCATCTCAAATCTAGGTCTCCCAACTCCAAGCCTAGTGCCACTCCCTCTACATTGGCCATGAACTTCCTGAAGTTTTTGGGCTACTGTTTTGCCCAACAATACTTAAAGTTTTTGGTGTTTTAGGAAAAGATACTGAGGGAAGGACCTAATAAACTACATCCTTGGGAAAGACTCCTTCTTTCAGATGTATTTGTTGAGTATTTACAATTTGTCTAGTACATGCTATGCGCTGACCATTGAAGACATAATGGAGAATAAAACAGATATGATCTCCTTCCTCAGGGAATATGTAATCACTTTTAGTGCAATAGAATTAAACATAAACAATCCCACTCACCTGCACTTTCACCCTCTGTCTTCTCTTCCACTACTAAGAGAGGTATCCTATGTCCTTTAAAAGACTCCACTCATGGACTCCACCTCACGTACCCTGTGATCATCTGAAGGAATTTGCTTCTGTCATTTTTATCTTTGACTATTCAACAATTCACCCTCATTTTTACATTATTTTCATTAGCACACAGATATACTTTAGCGTCTGTCATCCTAAAAACAAATATGCTAAGCATAACAAAACAATTTCTGTGACCCTACAGCCACTTTCAGGCATCATTAATTTACTTCCCTTCAAACTTCTTTTAAGCATTTTTAATAGTGTCTGTCTTCACACCTTCACCTCCTATTCACTCCTCAACATATCCTTTTCAGGAATTTGTCCTCCATTCCAAACAATTGAAATGCTTCCATAATGAAGCTAACAACAATCTTTATTGTGCAAATCCTGTGGCCACATTTTTGTTTGTGCTCATCTAACTTTATCTCTCAGCATCATTAAACTTAGTTGACCCTTCTTTCTTTCTTAAAACACTATCCTATGGCTGGGCACAGTGATTTATTCCTGTAATCCCAGCACTTCATAGGCTGAGGCGGGAGGATAACTTGAGCCTAGGGGTTTGAGACCAGCCTGGGCAACATAGAGAGACCCCATCTCTATTTAAAAAAAATAAACAAAACCCCCACTATTCTGTTTTTCATCCTACGTCACTTCTAAGTGTCTCCTTTGCTGGGTAGTACATACACCCCAAATCTCTCTACTTTTCACCATTTCCATTGATATGGCTCTAGTCCAAGGCTCAATTGCCTCATCCTTGGGCTACTGCAATAGCCTCCTAACCAATCTACCTGCTTTCTCTTTTGACTTGGTATAACGTATCCTCCTTATAGTAGCCTGAGAAGTTGTCTTAAATAGAAACTATGACAGATGATTCCTCTGCTTAAAATCCTTCAATGATTTCATTGCTCTTAGAATAAAATTGGAAAACATCACCATGACTGTAGGTTTATCTGGCCCCTGCCCACCTCTTCAATATATTTTAACCACTGTCCCCTTTATTCACTACACTCCAGCCATATTGTTCTTGCTATTCTTGACAAGTCTTATAAGATCATATGACCTTAGGGCCTTTACATTTACTGGGTTTTTTTTTTTGGTCTGCATCCAGATCTTTGCATAGTTGGATCCTTCACATGTTTTAGGACTCAGATAAAATGTCACCTCCTCAGAGAGGCACTCTCGGACCACCCAATCTAGAGTAGGCCTTTCAAATCACACTCTTCACATCTCCTTTTTAAAAATATTCACATCGTTTATTTGCTTACTTTTAAAAATCTCCAACCCCTCTAAAAGGTACTAGATTAAAATGTTCACTAATCTTATTTACTAATTTCCAGAACCTTGAGCAATGCCTGGCTCATTGCACACTCTTGAATGAATGAAGGTACTGGGTAATTGTACATTTATACACAGTACAGTCTTGAACTTAGCTTGGCTTCCAATTCTGGCTCCATTTTTACTAGGTTTTTGACTTAGTCGTGTTTTACTTAACTTTTGTAAGATCTCAGTTTCCTCACTCATAAAATGGGAATAATATTTTATAAGGTTGTAAAGATTATATAATTTATATAAATTGTATAGAGTGAAGCCAGAGCTTCATACACAATAGGCACTTAATAGGCCTCTTTGCCATCATTATAGAAATTCTTATCATCAACATTATTTTTATTATAGAAATTCTAGCAATGTCTCATAGCTTTTTATTAACTTTGTGAATTACTTATGTACACAGTGACACTATATTAATGTATTTATTTTTTAAAAATGTGCTTTTAAAATATTTTGCCTTGTGCTTAATATTACGATATAGTAAACATTTCCCATCCCTTCAGCAAACCATTTCTCCAGCATTTATAAGGGAAGTCAATGGATTAAGCATGTTGTACGTGATGGAGAACTGCTTATTTCACATTTAGACTGCATACACTGTATAAAGTCAGGATTGCTCATACAGTTATGTAATTTTGTGCTCCACATGTTTAAATAAGTAAAATTAAGAAAATGAAGATTTGATAGTTGACAAGTAAATGTAAACACTAGTGCTTAAAGAATGAAAGCAAGACCATTCTGTAGCCTAAACTAGATGCTGTCATCTGTGGGGGTTAGGGAAGATGCTAAGATCTGAGCCTGCTACCATGCTACTTCACGAACATCTGGCAGTGTGTCACTTCACAGGCAACAACATCTTCTCTAAACAGAAGAGACTTGAATTCATCAGGGATTCCTGTAGTACAGTATATGCTTAAGTTAAGTACCTGCTTTCCCGTGATTTCCATAGATTATCATATTCATGACACTGTGGAGTGAAAGCATTCTTCTCACTCTCTAACTAGAACATGAAAAAGAAATTAAAACATTGGCAGGCACTTTGTCTCCAGTTTGTTGGACAAGTAAGAAAAGGACTTTCCATCCATTAATGTAAATGAAATTCGGTCAACTTAGAGCATTTAAACAAAGATGACATCAGCCTGTCTATTAATAAATTCTTGACAGGATAACAATTACATTTGTAGTTGACTGTTTTTCTTTCAATAAATGTAGGTCAGTGGGTATTTTTAAGGAATGTATTTAAAATAAATTCGCAAACCCCAATAACTTTTCTCCTCATCTCTGTTAACCCAGAAAGTAACTTTAACATGCACATTCTTGCTTCTTAAGAGTGGTTTTCAGAACATTGTGGTCAAAGCCTTTTTAACACATGTGACTGTGTAATTAAATATGTGTGTGCCTACTGTGCATATACACACATATACATACAATGCATATCCATAATACATATATGGTATCTATATTCTACCCCAATATTTTGAACTGAATCCTATAGAAAGATTTAAAGCTACAGCGGGCTCTCTGTTATCTAGGGATGGTTTTTCCATTTAGGGATAATCTGGGCCCTTGTGTTACTGCTTCTTTCTGACTTGTGCATTTCTTTCATTATTGACTATCAGAAAGGAAAGGTAAGAAAAGGTAATAAATTGATCTAGCTGGTTAGTCCTCTAGCCTTAGGAATCCATTTCGTAGAGGAAGAAGAAGTGAATTTAATGAATAAATTGAGTTTGGGGGGATTATGTGTGGAATTCACTAATCTACCTGGCCCAATACCCCATTAGTTAGATTTGAGAAAGTAAGTTTCTAAACAGAATCAGGATGAGATTTTCAATTTCATTTTGTGGAACGTCTTTCCAAGACAATGTGTTTTCTTTGTCTAGGGGAGTTTTGGAGATGGTATATGTTGATATATTTGAATATCAGTTATAAGTACTACCAAAACAGTGAATAATTTTACCTTCATTTATTACAAATTAAAAGCACAGCTCTATATTTCATCACATTTAAGATGCTATCATACATTGTTTATTAATACAATAAACAAGAAAATATAAGGAAAATATGTTGTTTAAAATATTACTAAAACTTTTTCACATTCAGCATCTGGTAACTTGACGATATAATCAATTGTAAGACAAACTGATTCAGAGGTATTAAAAATGAAAAAATGCATGTCTTAGATTTGGTAAAATGCATTGTGTTTTCTAAATACTTACTGGCTCAGTTCTAAGTCTCCTTCTCATCATTGTTAGTAGCCATAATACAGTAATGGCATCTCATTACTCCTAGGGCGATGCTACATGGAAATTACATCATCATTCCTAAAACCCTATTTATGAATGAAAGTCCACATTTTGGATTATAAAACTTCAAAATTTGCCATCATAGAAAAGCAAAGAATAAACCTTGTTCTACTTCCAGCATTATCCCAGAAAACGATGAGTGACTATCACAAAGAAAGAGAGGTGAGGGTGGACATTACCGTATGTTCTTGAGTCGGGTTAAGTCCATACCTGAAAACTTCTGAGACAGGTGTCTTTATTGTTTCTTGACTCCATTTTCCTATCCATATCTCTTCTACTCTTCTAGAGGTATGTGGTGCTAAAGAATTTTTTAGGTTAAAGACTATGTACATTATATATTTGTATTTGTGTCTTCTAATGTGAATTCAAGGAGAAAATAGCATAAGCAATATTTGTTCCTTCAAAGAAACTCAGGATGTCCTAACCATTTTATAAGAGAATGATTTCCCTCTTGTATTTCTCCATGAATGTCTTTGCATGAGTTAAATATTTGAAAGGTTGACAGACTTAGTTATTTCTAGAAGAAGTTTCTGTTGATCAGTGTGCAGGGGTTAATTCTGGCACTGCCCCTTAGAGATATTTTTCTAGGGCAGAATGAGCCACAAAGAGAAAGATACACAGGACAGTGTCAATACAGCATCACTACGTCATTTAATGGCTGATGGTGGTTATGGCAGCCAATAGTCTGAGGAAAGCAGATTTTCCCTGAATGATGAAAAAAAACCCATCATATTCAATAAAATCACAAACAAATACCATATATTCCTGTTAACCATCCAATGATGAAACTGTATATGTGAATACACTAATGCATTCCTTAAATGCAAATTACTGCTAAATTTCTAAGTAAACTGTCTTCCACTTCAGAGCCATTGTAATCCATCTCTTATGTCAGATGAACTGTGAGACTTATCCTTCTGATCGCATAGGATTTACTGCTTTTTGTCATTCATCTCTCACACTTGGTAATCCTTTTACCTCTTCCTTCCAAGTTTGTAATTTAAATGCACTCTATTCACAACTGAAAAAAGGACCATAGTGTAAATAGGATGTCTTTAAGTTACGGCCAAAGAAGTCATTACTGCTTATACAATGGTGTGGGTTCTATTACACAGAGGACAATATGAGGAGGCTCACTCTTCACTTGCTTTCATCAATGTTTTGTGTCAACACACAGAATAAAGGGTGGGTGCTGAATTTGGGGTCTTCCCTTGCTTTGACTTGTTTCTTATGGTATTGCAACATTTTGTGTTTGAGAGAAAAGTCCTTGACTACCAGCATTGGCCCCCATGAGTTCTTCAGTTTGTCATCAACATGGATTCTGATTTTATTGTTTGAAAGTTCTAAAATAGCAAATTGACAAAATTGGTATTTACTCCTGAAAATCCTACGTGGCCATTTCAAAGAGAAGCACGTTTAGAAGAATTAAAAGGTGCATGTAAAATGCTTCCATAATATATTTTTAAGTGAAAGAGAAAGCAGGATTACAGCAGCACATACAGTATGATCCTAATATAGTTTTTATTATACTTATGTATTTTCCTAATTTTCTACAGTGAGCACACACTACTTTTATAATGAGGAAAATGTTCTTAAAAGTATTGTCTTAAAAGTCACACTAACAGAAATGGTTATAAAAACCTATGCAGGAAGAAAATTACAATCATTATTATGGTCACAATTGTTACCTTATATGTTTTTAAAATATGAATCTCAAATCGTAATTTAGAATGGTAGATATCAAAGAAATGTATGCTGTGGGAGGATGCATATGTAATGACTACACAGATGGAAATATGATAAGTAGACCTGAGGCCCACTTCTAAAATATGGTTAAATACATAATAAGTAAGAAATGCTCATTCAGTTCAGCAAAGCACTGCATATGTTTGAGGATATAGATTTTTTTTATTCCTGAGAATATGAAACTCCTACATTTTAGGTCTATATGGGGTGTTGGCAAATTAATATCCTCCAAGAATTAAACTGTGATGCTAACTTTCCAAGAATTAAAACTATAATGTTAGCTTTTATTAGAGTGAGTTCTTTTCTATTTGCAGCTCTCAAAGAAGAAATACATTTAGGAGGATATACATATGAGAATATTTATATACAAAAACACAGATTAAAAGTTTGTCTTCCCAAATAAGTTAAACATTTAACTTAAACCAATGTTTGCTGAGCACCTACAATTTTTTAGGTATTGATCCCTCTAGCTGGCTCCCTATTCAATGAGCACACCCAAACTGCCTGCACCACGACTGCCTTTTAACGGGGGGGCTATAGTGCATCTTACCAAGACACAAGCTTAGGAGGTCCAGATATAAACTATAGCTGATGTAAAATGACAAATTGGTCATGCACAGTGGCACACACCTATAGTCCCAGAACTTCGGGGGGCCAAGGAAGGCAGATTACTTGAGCCCAGGAGTTGAAAACCAGCCTGGGCAACATGGTGAAACCTGTCTCTACAAAAAATACAAAACTTAGCTGGGTGTGGTGGCATGCACCTGTAGTTCCAGCTACTCGGAAGGCTGAGGTGGAAGGATTGCTTGAGCCCAGGAGGTCAAGGCTGCAGGGAGCCAGGATTGTGTCACTGCACCCCAGCCTGGGCAGCAGAGGAAGACCCTGTCTCAAAATAAATAAATAAATAAAAGATACAAATATATAAATATACAAATAAAATGACAAATCATGGATTTACTATGGAAATGGGTAGTTTTTCTCACAGGATTAATTTTTGTACACAATCTCCTTTCTGCAGTGTTTTATATACAGATAAATTTGAGTTGTCTTTAGATATCTACCTCAGAAAATGCTCAAAAAGGCAACTCCAGGCCAGTGACTCACACCTGTAATTCTAGCACTTCGGGAGGCCGAGGTGGGTGGATCACCTGAGGTCAGGAGTTCGAGACCAGCCTAGCCAACATGGCGAAACCCCATGTCTACTAAAAATACAAAAAAAAAAAAAAAAAAAATTAGCCAGGCATAGTGGTGTGTATCTGTAATCCCAGCTACTCAGGAGGCTGAGGTAAGAGAATCGCTTGAACCCTGGAGGCAGAGGTTGCAGTGAGCAGAGATCACACCACTGCATTCCAGCCTGGACAACAGAGCAGGACTCCATAAAAAAAAAATGCAACTCCAGACCCCTGGAATAAAAGCATATGACAGGTTGAATGTGCTAACACTACAAAGTTTCCAAAATAAAATCTTTATTGATTGATTGACTGAATGCCTTGTAATTATCAAGTGTCGCTCATTTATCTGCTGCTTTCAACTATATGTGAACGTATGGATGAAGAAAGACTTCCTGAACAATCTTCACTAGAAGATCGTTTCAGAACCATATGCTAAAGCAAAGCTTTTTTATTGCTATATAACTGCAGAGGACATTTACAGGAAGCTGGGTCAAGCACTCTTATCATGTTTCTTATGTACTAATTCAACCTATTTCCTAAGGTTTACCCACATTCATTCTATAAAGTTAATACAGAGACAATTAGGAGAAAGACAATCCATTGTATACATATTGCAAGAAACTTTTAGTGTCGCTAGAATGTCGAAGATGCAATTTATCATACTTTCTTTAGAACTTTTGCATCTTTATTCATAAGTGAAAATGGTCTATAATTTTGGTCTACAATTTTCTGGGTTGTACTATTGTCAGGATTTAGTATTAAAGTTGGTCAAGGTTCATAAATTTATTAGGGAGTTTTCTGTACCTTTCTATAAGTTGTAATTGTTGAAATAACATAGAAACTCTGATAAAACAATTAGCTAGTCAGATGTGAAATCACTTGTGCCTGATATCTTTTTAATAATAAATTTTAAAATTTGCTTCCAATTCTATGGATGATTATTGACTACATAATCAATTTTAGTAGTTTTTATTTGACAAGAAATTACTCCTCTCTCTAGATTTTCTGACCAAATAATTATATATAACACCTTTTCACTATTTAATTCTCTCCTGCGTTTGAGGTAACAGTAGAGAATTAAAGGATTCTGTTTTCATTCTTATAGAATACATTTTTGCTTCCTTTTTGCTTGAGATTTCATTGTAATTGTATATATCTATTGATCTTTTCTTTTCAAATGTCACCTTTTGTTTTATTTTTCCTTTTCTTTCGGTTCTTCCTAAGACTGACCTTGCTGATGCAAGGGGGAAGTGACATCCCTTAGAGGCCAGCACATCGTCTCCCAGTCCAGGCGGGTCTTCCACCCAGACTCTGGGCACCCTGAGCTCTCTTGATAATCTTCAGATTTTATTGTGATAACACCTTCTTTTTCCCCCTTTTGTTTCCCACCCTGTCGTTAACCTTCTGCTTAAACTCTCTTTCCATTTCTCTTTCTTTTTAACATTTTTTTTTCTAAGCCAGAAACTTTTCCAACATACAAAGCCATTTAAAAACACACAGGTAGAAAGCAAGAGATAACTATAAAGTAGATTCCATGCTTCCTGGCTTCTGCATGGGGCAGGAACTGAGGAGGGCATCAAAAAAACATGGTTCAACAATATAAGCTGCATTGCTGTTTAAGTGCCTGGAAACAGCAGTGCCCATTGAAGAGTACTGAACGTGGAATCAATACTCAATAAGGAGATTCAGGTTCTAGGGCTTTGTTTTAAATATTTTTTCTGCCAGATTCAAAAATTAACTCTTATCTAAGGAATCAGTCACCAAATTTCCCTTTTACTGTCGACTCAGAAGTTTAGATAACTACATAGAACCAAATGGAAGAAAAATATTCTAAGTTTTATAATCACATTTATTTGCTTCAAAACTTTCAAAAAACTTGTTTGTTTGTCTTTAATAACTCACATTTTGGTGGTTTAGCGCATATCATCTGAGGATTGATGTTGAATGAGTAAATTACTGTGCCAGTTGCAAACAGGAAAGAAAAAAAATAATGGAAGAGGATACAATAATATAATAATATTTAGTGACAACGGGAGAAAATCCCTCATTTTTTTTCACAGACTTTGGGGACAGAAGGTTCTTTCCTTCAGGTATTGGGAATTTTGAACAACAAGCATTCATTAGAAAGCATACTAAGTGTGTGATTTATTGTGACTTCCAGTGACATAACAGAGCTCAAACAGAACAATATTTATTTGAAAAAAAAGCCATATGGCAGTGCATTCTATAATTCTGGCTTATGAACATTGAGAAGTGAATTTTTAGGCCATCTACAATGGGTCTCAGCACTTTAGTATGTCTCCAGAAGTCAGGTAACAGCTCTCCATGCTAGAAAACCATTCAAAGCAATGACATGGAAATTAGCACACGAGTGTCCCGCTTTGCAGCCCAGTCCCTTGATTTCTGTGATTTGACAGGAAGATGATATCAAAGACTGCAGAAAAGTGTTAAGGGACAGCTCAAATGCTGGTGTGTGTGTGTGGTGGAGCAGGTGAGCAGTTAGGATTGTGTGTCATGGGCTGACAGGAGAGGGAGTGTCAGGCTACCACGTGGGTGAACATGGGCCCTATCATAGAAAATATGCTTTTTGTTAGGATTCTCAATATCTAGAAGGAGGGGCAACCTTTCTGGCATGAATGTGCAACTGCTGTGAGGATCCAGTAAAAGGTCTTCTCAGGATTTGTTTAAAAAGGTCAGCTCAGGAACTACTGACCCCTCTGACTTCATCCTGACAGTTTCAGCCCTCTCACAAAATCACTCTTGTCACTTCTAGCCTCCTGTGCTTTTCTGAAAACAAAACCCTCTACCACCTGCCATCCATTATTCCACCAGCAAGCAACATGCGCTCTCTTCAGCTGATATTTCAATTTATTCGTGGTTAGATGTGCAGTAATCCTCTGACTGAAGCTGAGGGAGCAGTTTAAAGATTTAAAACAAAACAAAGCCAGTGCTTCAAACATCTCTTCATGCAAAGCTTACCAGATGCAGAAATGTGGCTAATTCTCATCCACACAAAAGCTAAACGAAGACCCGCAGATGGTCAGTGCCTGCCCTCTGCAGAGGGAGAGGCAGGGTTGGCTCCAAGTAACAAATAATTATCCAGGCCCTTTGTAAATCAAGTTGTACCACTTCTCCTGTGAGCATCCACAAAGACGGCTGCATATATTTGCTATTAGCTCCTTCTTTGTCTGGGGATTTTGTTAATGCCCTTTCTTCATATAAGTTTGTGTCGCCTTGTTCTCACATTTGACACCAACTGAAATAGCCTTGCAGAACCTTTGTTTCTATTTTCTTCAAAATGTGTATTCCTCAATGAGGTTTCATCTTAATCTCTTCTTTTCAAAAGGATATGAATTGAACATGCAGAGAATCAGCCTAACAGGACCGATTATCAATTTCCATTTCCTTTCAGCGCCTTTGCCACCCATGGGCCACCTAGACAGCTTTCCTTGAAGACAAAGGGTGTCTGAAATGGACAACTTTATTTTATATACCAGTCTCTTAGCGGACGACAGAGCCTCATCGCCAGTAATAAATCCTTCTCCTGACCCTTTTATATAATGCACAGCTGAGCTAAAAAGGAAATCAATGTTGCAATTTTAATTTAGCACTTTCATTCTGTTAATTTATCTAAAAAATCCTATGCCACGACTTTACCTTGTCAAAACAGCCAATTTGTGTCAATAGGAAAATGTGAAAATGCTCTGAGTCTCTCCTCTGCACCCCCAACCACGTTTTTAGTAGTATGGCTGTAAAAACCATGGGGCACATACTAAGCCCTCCATGTTTTCCTGTAAGTACAAAGCTTCTTTTGCAAATGGTGTGAGCTCAGCAAGTTGAAGAAATATGGAGGGTCTTTAGCGAGAAAATAATCTGGGACCACAGTGTTAGTTAGCTTTGCTAAAGATGTTTGTGAAACTACTAAAATGGAATGCCAAGTGTCTAAGTATGTATTAATGGTGATGCCTGAGCATATTAGTCAACTAGGGATATTAAATCTTGATTAATCTCTGGGGAGAGTTCTAAGTAATAAATAACACTGTGTTTTCTGTCAGGGGATCATAAAATAACTCTGGTTTTACTCTTTTCTCTCTGTATTTCACAACTCTAGAATAAGCCAGGGATAGAAACTTAATTTACTCTGGGAATGATGCTGCCACAGGAGAATGAGGTCAACTCCACACCACACTGCACTAGTGCCATGGTGGAGATGCAGAGGGGTGGAGCCCCTGAGCAGGTGAGGACCTGCTACCTTTCCAGTAGGAATCTTGTGTCAAGAAATTGTTTCTTCAAGCCTTTATTCAAATATCACATTCTCAGTGGGAACTTTCCTAATCATCCCATTGACATTAAAATTCTTCCCTGCCTCCTGCCACTCATTGGCCTTCACTATATCCCTTCCATGACTTTTTCCCCTCTTGGCACTTCTGACTTTCAATATCACTTTATAATTTACTTATTTTATTATCTATCCCCATTCCAATGATATGTAAGTATACTGCTGTTTACTAAATAATCCTCAGGGTATGGGACTGTTTTTAACATACTGCAGGTGCTCAAAAACATGTTTCCCAAAGAATTATCATGAGGTCACTTCTGGCCAGTTGTTTCTTGGGTGCAGGAATGGCTGCATTATATAGGTTGATGCATGTAACAACTCTGTTGGAAAGAAAACCACCTCTTGCTTTCAGGGTGCTTTTGAACTCTACAAGAGCTGAACTTGGTACGGGAGAAGGAGCCAAACTCCAAATCCAGGGTAAGGAATTAGCCCAAAGGTGGGCTTATAAACAGAGTCAGATCCTGGGACTTATGTGTGGCTGAAATAAAAAATAAACCTAGTTGGTTTGGGCTCGAAAAAAGGCTTCAGCTATTAGTCCAGCATGCTGTAAGCAAAGTAATTCAATGAGGGCCATTATAGCATAGGTACCATGCTTGGCACTGTAAGACAGACAACATCCTGGCCTGGGTCTGCAAGTAGATTATGATCTAGGGAAGTTTACATACATGTTTCAGTCTAGAGCAGGGCATGGAATGTATTATCATGGGAAATCAAGGAGGGTTTGTCCAAGATTCTTGAATCTTGAAGGATGGAAATGTTTTCAGTACCAGAGATGAGATAAATGGCATTCAAGGCAATGAGAATGCTGTTAAGGGAAGCAGAATGCATTTGAGGAGTAGCAATTAGCCTCATGTAGCCTACTTCCTTTGTAGATGTTTGCTGGAGTACGGATGAAAAGAGAGATAATTCTAGAAAGATAGGTGACTATCATATAGAGGCTGGGTTTTACATGTTGTATTATTTTATTGGGTAACCAGGAATAGCTCTTAAAGAGGAGACAGACTTCATTCAGAAGCCTGTGCTGTAGGAAGGATGCTCTATTTTGGTTTTGTGGCAGTGATGGGGCTAGGGATAAATATGCTTAGTCAAGTAAATAAGTATTTAGAAGTACTAGGCTATAAAGCTTAAGAACTATGGAATCTATCCAACTTATAACTGTAAAGCAGTAAATGTAGAATATTCTAGAATAAAGAGTCATACACTTACATTTCAAAGACTTCCCATCAGAGACTTTGCAATTTTGCTCCTTATTCTTTCTAGTATTCTTAATCTGAATGGTTAAGAATTCTTCAAATGAAATCTCTTTAACTTAATTATAACCAATTTCATCTTATTTCCTCATATATGTACGCAGATAATTACCACATGGCATTGCGAAAAGTCAGCCTGTTACATGCCTGATGATACTAAGCAAGTCTACTGTTCTTTAAAAAAATGTTGCTTTAATCTTTCCTTATATCACTTACTCTATCCCTTCAGTTAAAAAAAGAAACTCTTCTCTTTACTCCTTGCTATCTTTATTTTTTTTTCCTGAATATTGACAATAAAACTGTATGTGGACCTGAGAAGAATGTGACTACTGGAGAGACTAGTGGATGATCATTTCTTGACTCTTTTATGCAATTGACTTTTTAGTTCTCAATTGCACTGCTCTGATTAGTCAAATTAAATATAAGGTTGCCTATACTCTCAGATATTTTTCTTCTATACTTGGATCTCGTTAGATCAGACCATCCTCTATTATCTTTAAAGTAAAGGTTAACTACCATGTGGCCAGGGAATAGTAAAACATGATGCTGACACATTTATTTCAGTTTTAAAGGAAAAACCTCAGTTTTCAGCTGATGAAACATAGGCTGAAAATCCTAATGCTAACCATAACATTGTAGGTTCTCATTTGAATTCCAAAAATTGGGTATCTTTACATAGAAGAAACATATTTACTCTATATGTCGGTCAGTACTAAGATATACACACAAACAGTTTACCACACTTCCTGTAGACAAAATTTATTTTTTTCTAATAAACTCTGCTTCTAACATTAAGGTTAAATTTAACTAGTTCATTGAGACTTTGTTCTTTATTGTCCTCTGAAATTGGTATTATGCTATCAAATAAATATAAGAAAAACAGTAAAAATTCATCTGAGTAGGGTTTGAAATATAGTACCTTCAATAGCCCAGAGGACTCACTTACTTTTGAATCTGATAAACAAAGTAAATATATGAAGAAAAATATATATGCTCCTTGGCATCACATTTATACACTAGCTTATTTACAAAATTTTTCTTTATTGGTCCTTTGAATGTAAGAAAATCCACAATCTAGATGCTTAAAAAATGGATGAGAACATTTATTAAGTAAGAAAATATACATGGACACATATATATGAATGCATATCAACATTTACTTTTGGTTTTAATTCTCTCATTTATCTTTCCCAAATTTATTTTATAGTCTATCTAATCTTTAACAGATTTTTTGTTGTTGTTGTTAGCTTCATTACAACATCTGAAATATCCAATTTCCTCTATAGTTGCTGCTGTGTTTCGGCAGACACCTTTATTGAGTTATCAGAGGACTGTGCAGGTTCTGAGCCCTGCAGCATACAGAGTAGCCTGGGTGATTCAGGTCAATGTGCAATAATGAATCTGGGTCCCTGCCAAATATGGTCTGCCATTGTGAAGTTCTATCTCTCTGCATTTTAAATCATGATGGTTTTTTGCATTTCACTTTTCCATGGATTTTGCTTCATTAAACAACTTTGGAAGGAGTATTTTGCACTCTCAATTTTTGCGTGAAAGTCACTGATTAACTGGTGAATTTATGGTTTGAAATGATGCAAGGCCTGATCTGTAGGAACCAGAGGAAAATTTCCTAATGGACTTCTTCCTGATTTTACCAAAGCAAATGCCCTCCACCCCCGCCCTGCTCTAAATAGCACAGATTTCTGGTATTTTAATGTGTCATTAGTTTGACCAGACAGATTTTAGTCCCTAATAAAATAATTCTCCTAACTCTTAGGTTATTTATTTCTTAATACTTTGTTGTGAGATAAGGCAGAAAGACATGCTAACTGAGCTGCAATGCTTCAACATTATGACTTTAGTAACTTTTCTGAGTAATTTTAAAAACATGGAGAGCTACAGTTACCCAAAAAAACAGTTCAAGGAAACAAAAGGACTAGATTTATTCCAAGCACAGGTTCAGTAGGTCAGTGTCCACATAATAATCTGTGCTTTGTATTTTCCATTATTTCTTTTAACATGCTTTAGTGTCTACAAAGGATGAAAGAATATAGACTCCATTGTCCACTTGGAATTTAACCTTCCTATTTGGCCAGCTACTAGGCACAAAATGTTTGGGTTCAGTGGATATAAGTCCACTGAGGAAAGTTAGATGCTACTAAAATTTTCCTGCATCTTTGCACACCCCGGATGATCTATCCCACCCCAAATATTTGTGCATCCACACAGTGAATAGTTTATCTGATCTCCTCATAGTGATTTTCTGGATTACCTTTGCTTTATGAATTTAAGAAAGTCACTTACTTCTTTTTATCTGCTAACCAAGAGGTTCATAAATATTCTCTAAAAACCTGTGGGCTCTAACATGGGAAGTTAGAGAGTACGTACTTTTCCTAGTGGGTATGAAAGAAAAACTCTAGGTTCACCCTGAATAGCATCTGGAGGGACTGAATTAATACAGTAAAACTGCAACTTCAAAACTCTTTTTTTAGAATGTTAATTTAATTTTGAAACCTTTTTAAAAGGCTTAAAGGATTCTTTTTAGATAAACTAACAAGTGGGGAAGAAATAAGCCACTTCTTTTGGGAAGTTATCAGTGGTTTCAGGACCTTGCAGTGGCAACTGGATTTTCAGAAAAGAAGAAATATTTTAAAATAATCCCCCATTTTTGACTAAGATAAGACTGTTTGCTTGTGAATGGAGACTCAACATGTATAACATGTCTCCTATTTATGTGGATGAATCTTGTTTTCAAAAGACTATCTTGATCACATGAGATCGTTTTTCTCAACAAAAAAACAGAAAAAGTATTACACCATAGATGTTCTGATGCATTTTTTCTCACTCATATCCAACATCTCATTTGTTATAGAAAATTAAGTAGATTTGAGTAAAAAGGTATAAAAAAGAAATTCCAGTTTTATGACTTTCTAGTACTTATAATTATTGTAACTATGCTGAATACTTGCAAAGGCCTGGAGAATGAGACTCAGTTTACTCAACAGGCCAGAATAAGCCAGAGAAGCAATTGCTATGGTCTGACTGTGTCCTCCCCCAATTCATATATTGAAACCCCAACCTCCAAAGTGATGGTAGTAGGAGGTAGGGACTTTGGGAAGTGATTAGGTCATGAGGGTGAAGTCCTAAAAACTGAAATTAATGCCTTCATAAAAAAGATCTTAGAAAGACCCCTTCCTCTTTCTACCATGTGAAGTTATAGTGAAAAGATGGCTGTTTAGGAACCAGATAATAGGCCCTCACCAGACACCAAACCTGCTAGCACCTATATTTTGGAATAAATTTCTGTGGTTTATAAGCCTGATTTATAATATTTTGACATAGCAGTCTAAACTACTAAGCAAAAAATTATTTTTATATGAATAGGTACTTTTAAGATAGTTTAAAATGGTTAATTCGGTTTAGTTTAGAAATAATTTATATCATTCCTTTCTTTTGAGATCATTACTGGCTAAGTACAAAAAGTAATTTCAAAAGTAAAACTTTTGAGATTAATAGTACAATGATAAACTTCAGCCATGCTCTTGTCTGACTTGTCAGAAATTCCCAATTTTTAAAAACAAGTGAGATTTGCTGTGCGTGTGAGGCTCTTTCCAGAACTGCTCTTTTGGCCCTCATTCTTATGGATGTGGTATTCAGTGGTGAATCCAACCTCCACACATGAGTATTTGATAAATTTGCTCAAGTAGAACTTCTAGATGTATCTGACACTTGTTCCCATCCTACTTGTTTTTTAATTACCTATAGATTATAAGGCATTTTTATATACATGTTTTATTGAAAGCTCTGGATCTTAACAAAGCAAGCACTTGCTTGGATTTGCCTCCCTGGCCCCTTTCTCCACTTGTTCACACTCAAGCTTGTACCAAATCAAATTCCTTGCAGGCCCCTAATGTTCCATTACATATCATGCCCCTCAGTCTATGCACGTGCATGCTGGGTCTCATATACCCTTCCTCCAACATAATCTAATAGGTGAATCCTTACTATGTCCTAGGTCCCACCTTGATATGGCCTTCTCCAGGAAGCACTCCCTGATGACACTCACTTCTATCACATCTGAGATTAACTCATTCTTAGTATTTACTACACTATACTGAGTACCTGACTTTCCCTCAGGCCTAGGACAGAATCTTGTAATATTAATAGCATGCTGTCTGTCACAGACAACTGTTCAAATACATTCGTTGAGTAAATGAACAGGTGAATGGTAGCTAAAACTTCATTTTCTCTTTAGCGTGTCTTTTGCACATGATTTCCACATTTCAGTTTTTCTTAAAATTCCCTGGGAACAGCATCTTGAAATTTTCTCAAATTTTATATTTTCTTTAGGACTTTTGTACCTTGCTCTGCCTGGGCAGTCCTTTATTCATTCAACAAATATTTTTGAGTTGTGTTTATGTACAAAGTACTTTACAAGGTTTTCTAAGGAACCCAAAGATAAATAGTACTTGGATGTTGCTCACAAAGGGCTTACAGTCTAATTGAAAAGGGAAGACAAGTATAAACGTAGCAAATGGCAAGCTTCATACAAGGGAAGTGACACATTCAATTGGAGGATAAGGCAGGCCTTCTTGGACACGAACAAGGCCTGACAGCATATGCAAAGTCTGGACATTACAGCATAAAGAGAAAAGACATTCCAAGCCGTGAGATGATGTTTGTGACAAAGAGGAAAACAGAACATGGAAACTACAGATCAAAGCCTGACTGGACCTCAGTGTTTATGAAGAAGGGTAGCAATGCTGATGGTATGTTGAAAAGGGAGCCTGGGTTGGTCCAGGTAGGGGAGGGTCTTGGAAGTTACATTTTTGTAGGCAAAGGAGACTAGTAAAAGCTTCTGTGCAGAGTTGTACATCTCTCATTGGCTGACTCTTGCTTCATCTTCCTACGCAGCATTTCTGTACCTAACTCCTTTTTCTATGAAGCTACAGAAACCCCTCGTATCCCATTCCACCTCCTTTTCCTATTATTTTATGACATTCTAAATAATTCTAGAAATTCCAACTTGAAGGTTGCTAGAAAGGTATTCATCAACTCATTTTCCCCCATCCTCATTAAGCTCTATTACTTACATCAGGCTCAAAATCCCAACAATTAGTTTCTGCAGTAGTCCCCTACTGGCATCTTTCCAGTACTAATTTACTTGCTACAGATTATATATTTTTTTAGTTATTTTGAGACCTTTGACATCAACATTTCCATTTCTGGAGCCATTTCCTTGTCTTACAGCTCCTGTATTGTTTCTTTTTTGAAACACCAACTCATGGCTAAACTCCACTGAGCATCTTCTTGGATTATGGGAAGAGTATATTAAACAGAGGCCATTATCTTCCACACACGGTTCCATGTACTGCAATAACAAACCATGTATGTATTGCTAATCTTGCACAGACCAAGTACATAGCAGTCGGCACTCAATAAATTTGTTGAGTGCTTAATAAATGTGTGAATGAATAAGTGTTGGTTCATGCTGGAGTGCAGGTTCCTCAGTATCAAGTATTAGTATTTCTATTCTGTATCCTTGAACACTCTCACTGAAACAGGCACTAAATAATTCTGATTAAATGAATGCATTAATCCCTTCAGAAAAAGGATGCCTGCAGAAAAATCCCAAGGAATTGCAAACAAGATGCAATGCAATAAGTTTTCTCACCCCAAAATATGTAGAGCATCATATATATTATTTAGGCTATTACAGAAACATACATATTCTTGAGTTCTCATTTACTGATGCCTGGCATATATGCTTTCAATAAAGTATAGCCATTGCTGATTTTTTTTTAAGCCTGACTCAAAGGCTTCATGTCTTTGAACTAAACAAGAGTTCCGGGTTTTTATGACTTATACAAACAAACAAGCTGAGTGTGGTTAGAGTTATCCGTGCCTAATATTTTAATTCCATTGTTCAATAATTCCAATTCCTTTGCATTAGTTTTGCTTTAGTATACCCTTATAATACTTTCAAATATATCTATAAAACTTTACAGCCCTTTTCCAATGGCATATGGTGTGTGTTCTGAAGAGAAACATGTTTATGAGCTGAAAGATGGGAAGAAAATGTAAAATGCTCTTACGGGACTCGGGGAGGGATTGCTGCCTGCCTGTGTAGCAGGAACACTGCAGTATATCAAGACTCTTGCAGACTGAACAGAAGCCCTTCTATTTCAACAATGAGCAGAAGTCTGGAATTGTGCTATGCTAACTTTGATGCTATTAGGGTATTTTTGTTTTTTGCTTTTTTCTCTCCTAAAGATTAAAGTAAATATTTCCTGAAACAATATTTGAATACTGTATGTTGTAGGATAGTATCAACTGAGATGGAGGGAAGGAGAGAAAAGTAGAGTGTGGATGGAGGAGTGACAAAAAATACCATTTTTCTGTCCTCTCCCACTGAAGCCCACCCAAACTTTGTCCAAGCCGGAGCTTGCAACATTGTTCCTTACAGAGCTTATCTGTAGTTATTCTTGGAAACATGCAAATACTCATTCTAAAAGGTCCTGCTGTATTCTTTTTTTTTTTTTTTTATGGAGTCTTGCTCTGTCACCCAGGATGGAGTGCAATGGCATGATTTTGGATCACTGCAACCTCCACCTCCCAGTTCAAGAGATTCTCCTGCCTCAGCCTTGCAAGTAGCTGGGACTACAGGCACGTGCCACCACACCCAGCTAATTTTTTGTATTTTTTAGTATAGACAGGGTTTCACCATGTTGGCCAGGCTGGTCTCGAACTCCTAACCTCAGGTGATCCTCCTGCCTTGGCCTCCCAAAGTGCTGGGATTACAGGTGTGAGCCACCACACCCGGTCCTGCTGTATTCTTAAAATGGTCATTTGCTGAGTGCTAGATTCAAATTTTCAGTTGCCTCATATATTCCATCTTGGTCTTCCTTGTCACGATCATTGATATATAGTAACACAGCTGCAGAGACTAGAAAGCTTCGTGTGACCTCTGACTTCTTTGCTGTTGCCCCTAGTTGGTCACCAAGCACAGTCATTTTCCTCTCCCATCTCTCTCACTCACTCTTCCCCTTCATTTCCGTGGCTCTTCCGCAGGTTTCAGGCCCTTGAACTGATCTCACATGGCCTATTCCAATAGTTTCTTAGTCAGTCTCTTTTAATGCTAGGCTTCCTCACTCAAATTACCCTCTAACATGCCACCACAAGATGGTTATTTCTTTTAGAAAGTCTACTGTCATTGCATCCTATTGTAGCATTTTTATTCTGCTTTTTATTATACTTTGCAGTTTTAACTCCTGTTTGCACCCAGTGACTGTAAACTGCATCTTCATGTCATCTTCAACATCTCCGTTACCCATTTCACAGTGTGTTTTAAATAGACTCAGGATTATCTTTACACAGAATGTTGGTTTTGCTCACGAGGATTCTCCTGGTCCATACCCTGACATTTCTAAATGTCCAGCCTTTCCTGTTGATATTCTATTAGAAGGTAAAATAAAAAGGCACTCACTGCCTTTAAATAGCAATACAGGAAAATTTCACTGCTACTCTCATGTTGTCCACCACCGAGTCTTGAGCAAACATAGATGTGAAAATAAAATATTTAAGGAGAATACTTTGAAGGATCCACTTTTCTGAATTCTCTAAATTTTATTTCTAGGTGTTCTAAATTTAAGCTAGATCTTTAGAGATCTGGTTAGCTGGAGAGTCCTTTGCAAAATTCTTTCCATGGTTACGAGTGAGAAAAGAAAGTATAAAATGCTACATTATGGAACCTGTTGTTGCATTTGTATCAGAGATGTGGTTCTAGAACAAAGTATCTTCTTTGTATGGACACATCAGACATTTCTTGAGGGAATCCTACCAGAAGGAGATGCTCTTTACCTCTTCTATTGGTTTATACCTGTAGGTCCTGTGGTCTGCATGTGATCTATATGTGATTGCTCCACTTTTTGCATTAGTTACTAGGCTGCTCAGAGTATTATTTTTAAACTCCCTTTATTAGGGATATCATCCCTACTACTGATAATATTTAGCTTATGACTTACATACACATAGATACTAACTCTATTCCATCTCCATTTTATCTTTTTCACTCTAATTCCTACCATCTGATCTTTTCCTTTCCTTTCCTCTCCTCTATCCTTTTCTTTTTTCCTTCCTTCCTTCCTTTCCTTCCCTCCTTCCCTCTCTCCCTCTCTCTTTCTTTCTTTCTTCCTTTCTTTCTTCTTTCTCCCTTCCTTCCTTCCTTCCTTCCTTCCTTTCCTTCCCTCCTTCCCTCTCTCCCTCTTTCTTTCTTTCTTCCTTTCTTTCTTCTTTCTCCTTCCTTCCTTCCTTCCTTCCTTCCTTCCTTCCTTCCTTCCTTCCTTCTTTCCTCCCTCCCTCCCTCACTCCCTCCCTCCCTCTTTCTCTCTCTCTATCTATCTATCTATCTATCTAACTTCTGCATGCCCAGTTATTACTTAATTACTGAAAATCATTATGACAAGTTTTAAGTATGAACAGTGTTTGGGAATAAATGAATATGCTAGTAAGTTCTATTTCCTGTAAAGGCAGCACTTTACACATAGAAGATGCTCAAGAATTTCCTGATTGGATTCCCAAAATTTCAAAGCACTAAAATATATCAAAAAGAAAAAAAAAAGGAACGCTACAGGTCAGAGGTAACTAGTCATTTGAAATAACCTAAATTGGCTTTTGGTCAAAGTTGAGCACAACAATATGGTACTCATCCTTATTGGCTTTCATCTATTCTTAGTGAGTTATATTCCCTAACTTGAGGTAAAAAGTGAGGTAATGTGTGGTATTTTTCCCTGCTATAATCCTCATACAGAATATCTGAAAGAGAATGGTACTTTTCATGCATGTAATAATACCCAGGCACCACTATATCAGCTAACTTTGCTAGATAGCAGTCACAAAAAGGCCATTAATATCTCTCTTACCTCCACCTGAGAAAGGTTAGTGCTATGGGATGTGCACAAGAAGAAGATCAAAGAGCATGCATTGCTGGTCCCTGCTATATGTCAGAGCAAGACAACTGAAATACACTGAGAAGGTCAAGAGCAGTGGAAGCTGAAGAGATAACTATTTGTGTGTGTGTGTGAATGTTTATAGGATCTGAAGAAACCTGAGCACAAACGTCAGTCTTCATGACCTGATCACATATGACTCAATACAGAGGTGAAATCAAGGTGCTCCTACTGAGGAGTTCAAAGTAGAGACTCCGAAGAATGAAGAGTGCAATACGCCAAGGCATCCAGGTCCTAACAGGAAGAAAATCCATGAACAAAACCAGCAATGAAGAAAAAAAGATCATTCAAAATGGAATAATTTTAGTTTCTAGGGTTACCTTTTTTTGTATTTTTCACATAACAAAAACTTTTTTGTCACTTATTTTCCTTTACTTAAATGATTTTGAAATGAAGACAAATGGTTGCCAGGGTGCCTACAATTTAAAATATGTCTGAAAAGGTTTCTGTGGCAGTCCCAATTACTGAGCTATTAAAAGTAAACACAACTAAAAATTTGAAGAATATGCAGAAAGAAGCCTAGGAAAATGTTGATTTTGAAAAAGCAAAAACAAACCACAAACATATTTTTAAAAACACACATACACAATGTAATTCCTTTATGATCCTCATCAGACTTTCCTACATCTCAGCATTCTTTAGGTCAGTCAGTCAAATCATCGCTAAAGCTTTCACCAACAGGAACATCGTTCCTGGCGTTAATACTTCAGTGTAAGAACTGTTACTAATAATAAAATTTTATATACTAAGAATTTTTTCCTCAAGTGATATACAAATGCCTCTACAGATAAATACAATGTTGTATCTTATCACTAATCTATTCTACCCCACATTCATTAACATAGCTACGGTACAGTGTATTGGGTTAGGAAATGAATCAGATGGAGGAAATCTTCACAGCTCCATATTTCTAATATAAAATAGGAATTGTGCATAAACATTTTGTCTTTATATTTTTCAAATATAACAATAATAACTATAGAACATTTGACAAATGGAGAAATGTAAACAACAACTACTACATAAATTTAGCACTCTAAAAATTCTATCATAAATTCTATCATTCTTATAGGTCCTTCTTCCATCTTTTTCATGTGCAAATCATCAAGATGAAAAATGACTTGCATATGTTTGATCATTTTGCATTTTATCATTAAAACACCTGATCCAATAAATTTACTGTAATTTAATCAATTATTTTCTATATTGCTCCCAAGTTTTTATAATGACTACTATTTCATTAGTAAGCAATGATGAAGAGAACTTCTATATGCACATTAAAATATATTTTGGATTATTTACTTAGAGTTAATTCAAATACTTTAAAGAATTTCTTTTCCAAAGAGCTGAACCTATTTCTAAAGTCATCAATATTTATGACATCAACAGTTTCAAACCAATACTTGATATTTCTTAATATAACATGAATATTATTTTTTTTGCTCCGTTGGTATGTGATGAAAAAGTAAGGCCTTAGTTTTCCTTTCAATTTTTTAAAAAACTAGTTAGCTTGAACATTTTCTAGGTTCTTTTTTAGATGTATTTCTTGTTTTGTAAACTGACTATAGAGTACTAAGATATTTTTTAAAAAAATTTAGCTTAGCCTTTTATAAAATAAAAGCATTAATTCTGCCACACTTATTATATTTTTCCCGAAATCTGTTGCTAGCCTTTTTGGATTTGGGTTATATATTACATACATAAATTTTACAATTTATTAAAGCAGATAAATATATTTTTGGTCTTCTCCTTTTTTAATTGCTTTCTGATAGTGATAACATACAATGGTATCATAGCTTTATTTTATTCTACTTTTTTTATTTGAAAAAATAACTTTTTTCTCTAACTTATGCAGGGGAATCTGCTTGTTAGTGTCTTTTTCCTTTTTGTTGCTTTTAAAAATTGATTACCTATAGAAGCTTGGTAAATATTCAGTTTTATTTTCTTCTACATGTACTTTGGTTTGTTTTTATATCTAACTATCTAATCCTTTGAAATTTGTTTTGGTATATGGTATGAGACACTTTTGATCTTTTTCTTCTGTAATTGCTATACCATATCACAGAGCACACTGCAATTTAAAAAATCCTTTCCCATTGTTGTATGAAAACTTCTATGATACACATTGACCTATTAGGTTACATTTTTTATTTAAAATTATATTGTAGGCCTGGTGCGGTGGTTCACACCTGTAATCTCAGCACTTTGGGAAGCTGAGGTGGGCAGATCACTTGAAGTCAGGAGTTCGAGACCAGCCTGGCCAACATGGTGAAATCCCGTCTCTACTAAAAATACAAAAAATTAGCCAGGTGTTACGGCATGCGCCTGTAGTCCCAGCTACTCAGGAGGCTGAGGTGGGGGAATCGCTGAAACCCGGGAGGTGGAGGTTGCAGTGAGCTGAGATCACGCCACTGTACTCCAGCCTGGGTCACAGAGCCAGACTCTGTTTCAAAAAAAAAAAAAAAAATATATATATATATATATATATATATATATATATATATATATATATATATATATTCTAATTATATTAGGTAGAGACTGTTAAGGTGTAAGTGTGAGCAGCAATAATAAGCTGATAATAATGTCTTTATCTTTTAGGTAAAGACTTATGGCCAAGCTAGGGTTTTATATAGCTGGCTCTAGGCTGACCATAAGTTTTCAAAAAATGGGAAGAACATCACTTTCAACATTTAAATTGAGTTATTAATGTATTTCCATAGCGAAAATAACCCTATTAAACCTGAGTATAAATATTTGCTTTCCTCTGAAAAATGATCAGATTAAAATAAGCCAGAATTTGGTATTCTCACATCGTATGTATGAGCATGAGTTCTGAAACAGATTGCCTGAGTCTAGCTCTCTGGTCTGCTACCGACAGGCTGGATAGTTTGGCAAATTATATACCACCTTTGTATGCTACTTTCCTCATACGTGACAGGATGGTAATAATAGTCATGATTTCTTGCAGTTGTGATAAGAATTAAATGAATTGAATTAACATTTATGCCATTTTACCAAGTTTGGGGAGGAAGAGGAGGAAACGTGTCAACAAAGGCTTCCTTAAAGAGGGTGACCATTTGGTTAAATCTTAAAATATCAGTAGATTTTCACTATTTGAATGTTCTATTTTGACACGACTTTCTGAAGTTGGTGGTGGCCCAGTTAGCAGAGAATTTTTACTACATACTTTTAAAGGTTCAGCGCAGCTCTGCAGGGCCACGTGAGATGTTGCTTCTTATTAGTAGCCCTCGGCATAATGATGAAGTAAGTTAACGTTGCCTTTGACACTTAACCTCCTCTCAGTGAAACCAAGGTATGGATTTGAAAGTACCTCAGTGTTGGGAGTTTAAATAGAAAAAGATCTGATAAAATAATTTACGCAAAGGTGAACAGTACCTAGTGGGTTACTCTTTCCAGGTGGGGTCTTATATATATATATTTTTTTTATTTAAAAAGTGTTTTGGAGATAATTGATATTTTAAAAAATCAGCCTAAAAGACAGCTTAATCCACCATTTTTCTGAGTTTCCCTAAGCATTAAGTTTGGTCACCAAGAAGCAACGTTCTTAGATTTTATTAGCTTAGGTTCACTCGAGCATACTTCTTTTGAGTTGATTTAGCTAATCCTTAGCTTTCACTAAAAATTGATATGGTATAGGTATTTGAAAGACACTTTTGTATTTTTCACAAAACCCCGGCTATAGGCATTGTACAGTAAATTATTAAGTGTTCATTAAATATGGATCCATGTAACAAAATTTTCCCAATATTTACTGCCAGGAGCAAAGTGTTGTCTCTTAAGACAAACCTAGACATCCCCTTTTATCAGACCATGAGAGCTATAAAACTCATGAATTTCTTTAGTTTCTTGGCTACCAATAAGTTTACAGCAAAACATGATGTCCTGTTTTAATAATATAGCTTATCTTTTGTTTCCCATACAAGCACTTCTTGCTTTCTAAATAATTTCTGCTGTGTCTTAAATTTTAAAAATTTTATTACCTTTAATGTTTTAAATTGGTAAACTACTTTAAAAGACATGTAGGAACATGAGTGGAATAGTTGTTGCCTGTGTTCCTCATTTGACCCTTACTAAATATTAATTTTTAAAAAATAGTGTCTTTTTTCTTTCCAAGTAGATTTCAAGGTTTTATGGTAGAACAGGATTTCTTGTTTTCTATCCTCTATACTCACCCCACATGGGTACTCAATAGCTAAATTGATTGATTGATAGCTGTCTTTTAAAAGCAGATGTCTAGACAGGATTTTTAATGATGGACCTTGTTAAAAAATGATGGACTAATAGTGGAAATACTAGGCTGAGAGAGTGTTTCTGTTATTTTTCAAAATTCCTCTACAATGGACTATGGCCATTTTCTGCATGCAAGGAAGAACACAGCCAGGATCACCGTTCTTTAAATCAGAAAGGACTTTGATAGAGTCCAGTTCCCTCAGTTCAAATGAGGAAACCAAGGCCCGAGGAGTTACTATCATTCCCAGAAGTAGCGAGCTGAGTCAATATAACGTTAAGACTGAAATTTAGGCCTCCCTGTTGCCAGTCTGATGTTGTTTGATGCCAATCCATTTATTCACTTTCTGCTTCCACACAAGAATGACTTGCATAATTTTAAAGGTTGGAAATCCAGCATGATCCTAAATCAGAGTCTCCATTCATAAAACTCTAAGCTTTAAAAATGCTAGGAATCATTACACAAATAAAATCCTGAGCACTCATTGTGCTATGCTTTGTGCTAAACATGTTTCTTTTTTCCATATAGTCTTCGCAATCACCCTATGAGGTCAGTACTGTTATTATTCCTGTTTTAAAGACGAGAAAATGAGAGGCATGTCTCATGTTTAGCACTGGGATTCAGTGGCACTCTCCTACACTGTGTGGACTGCCTCGCGAATCCAGTCATGTATACACATGTGTGTGTTTTTCCTTTTGGACACGTAATGAGATTTTTTTTCCCATGCCAGACTGGGGTATCTTAGTATCTCTCTCATGGAATTCTCAATTCCTACCCACCTAGGTTTTTCCCTGGAAACTTCCTGCCATCAAAGCAGGAATGATATTTAGTGCTTCAGTATTAGAAGGTCACAAATTGTGCTGGAATCCAAGGGAGAATCACGTATTTGGATGAATCACGAACGAATAGTCTGAACTTCCCCAAAAACACTGTCAGTAAAAATAAGGTGCTGCCATTAAATGACACCTTTAAAGAAGGCAAGAACGCAAATTTATGACAAGAAGAAAGAACTTCTGAGCCAAAATCAGCTAGATCTTTTTTGTTTTTTTCAATGCCATCCTTGACACTGGTAAAGAGTAGTCAGCTAGGTATTTGTCGACTAGAAAGAATCGTTAAAATGGACAACTAAAACCATCATATTTACAAGTGACACAAATCAGAAATTGTTGGCTAACAAATCTCCTTATTCCATCACTGTGATATTTGCTAAAGCTGACCACCTATTAATTTTTCCAGTGGAGCCTAAGGATATAGCAAATGCCAAGTAAATAGTTCAATCTGAACCAGGTTTATTGTTCATCGGCTGGTGCTGTGGTACTGTGCCGTGCTTGTGTCTTTTGTTGCTGTGGAACAGCAGGCCTTCCGGGAATGCTAAGAATACAGTGTCTTCCCAGAGCTGATTACACCAGACACGGGCCTCAATGATGCATGGACCAGCTAACACAGTGCCACACAACCCCACAATGCTTTCAGCATATTCAGTCATCTGCCTCGGAGAGACTGAAAATATTACTATTGATTTGGCTTGGTGTTTAATGTGGTTGTTAAATTTTAAATCCCTGTACAATGACCAATACTTTGGGTAGTAATGTAATTCTTCCAGGTTTATCATCTCTCTTGAAACCTGACTATTTAGTACATTGTGTAGCATTAAATTTCAGACAGGGGAATAGGTTTTAATAACACAAACACTTAATAAAATAACTTTCCATGAGCTTTCTCATAATGGTATTAACAGGGAAAGACAATTTCTCTCATTGCGCTTCTCTGCAGACATTCTGTCGGCTCTGTATCTCCATCAGTTTTTTCATAATGTGCTCTTGGCACACTTACTTTAATATTGCTGGTTTGAGAGCACTGTCTTTTTTATCCTTGTCACTAAATGTGATATTTTGAGCACTCAAGATGCGCTGCAAGCAGGCCTAAAGTATTTATATTGAAACTACAATGGCAAAGCATGTAGGATGATCTACCTCTCTGAAATGAGCCTTTAGGAAACAACTTCATCTTGGGAACATCTCTGGCTACACAATTGTAAAAATGGGCTGATAATTAAAGTACCAGGGAACACTCCTTCCATATTCACTGTTTATAAGCAGAGTGGTCTTGGTGGGTGCACACCTTAACATAAAGGAAGTAATACTTACATCTTGCTTTTGTCACACCGAGGCTGATATCTCCACTAAGTACACATCCCTAATCCAAGACGTTAGCAAACATATCTCTTATCAGCAGTACGGCTTTCACAGGCTTTTTTCAGTGTCCACCAACCACTTTCCATTCTGGATAAAGGATGTTAGCTAGGTAAGAGGATAAGCACAGTTGTAATCTGGATATTCAAGCTGACCTAATGGTAGATGCTGGATGCACACTGAACCTGGCCTGGCGGAAACCTGTTTCTATATGAGAATGGCATGTGGAAACAGGGACAGATGGTGGGGTCAGTAATAAAGAACTTGTTTGTTGTTGCTGATTGGAGGCCATTTCTTCTGCCAGCATGACTCCACAGATTTATCCTGGCATTGGTGACCAAGGGGAGACAAACAATGTTGTTCAACAAGCATTCTGAAAGCTACCATATGGCCAGAAGGAAATCTCTGGAGAATACTAGGATGTGCTGTGTTGTGCTACACTGTGGTAGTATTGCTCTTAAGCAGTAGGGGGCATGGTGAGTTCATCCGGTTAGAAGTATAAATAGAAGTAACTGAAAACAGCAGGAAATATAATCCGGTGAGCTTGCGAGCTGGTGAGCAGTTGTGTTGTGGGCTGCTTTTAAGATTATTTGCTTAATAAACTGCATTAGTTTCATTCTTTTGCATTTTTCTCGCAAAAAATGTTCATAAAGGTTGGGTTCTAGGGTGACAAAGTGTTGGGAAATTTTGTTGATTTAAAAAACATAAATATGAACTAATAAGAGAGAAGAATTCATGTTAGTCTAGAAGCTTAGTTAATTGGGAGTCTCTAGAGGAGTCACTCAAGATAGTGTTTGCTAATTAAGGCAATGCATTTTCCAGGGATTTGGAGAAGGAAGAGCTCTCCTCTGGCTTTCTGTCTGCTTATGAGTTACTGTGCAGCACCAGTGACGAGCTTTCACTGATTCCAGTCACATGACTGACTTGGGTAGATGTATTCCACCCTCATAACAAAGGCTTGTGGGTAGTAAATATTACCTATCAAATAAAACACCAAGGTAATTCCAGTTAACTCTTTTCAGGAATTCTAAAATTTTGTCATTGAGTTTGGTCCTTTCGAAAAAGAAGTCTGCCAGAATTGGATATTTCTTTTTTAAGTTTTTGGATTAGTAAATCTTATCCAAAATGTAAATTAATTTCCTATAATAGCTCCAAATTAAGAATTCTACAATTCTGTTGATCCTATTCTGATCGATGCCAGATTCGGTTCATCGGTGATGAACAAGTCAGTCATGGTGCCTCAGATTCCTTCCATCTCATTTCTGATGCTGTAGCTGGATTTCTCTAATTATAATTGGATCACGCCAGTGGGATTTTTAGAAAACTGCAAAGTGTTTTTTGTTCTTCTGAGAAACAAGTTATAAAAATAAAAAAAAATTTATGTATTCTGAAAATGGCTTCACAAGATGAATCTTTTAAAGAAAAATCAAAACATTATGAAAAACCTAATAACACTCATAAGTTTAGATATGCAAAAGAAAATGAAACAGTATTAAACCCCAAGACTGGGTTCTATTCATGGATTTAAAAAATCTTGGACCTGTCTTTACAAAACTTGAGTTTAACCAACTGAAGTATCATTACATCCTTGGTTTTAAACGTCATTACCACACTACCAGATATTTCTAGACTGAAAAGATTTTTTATGTTTACGAACAACAGATTAAAGGCAAAGGCAGCATTATTGTAATAGGATGTCATAAGATGTTTCTCAGTCTTAGATGAGGCCCCAACTATGAAAGGAATGTTGGCAAATCTCCTTCTTTCTAAAGGTGGATCAGGCAGGACTTGGTGAGATGTGATTCAAATTTACTCTGTAGGTCTGGGATCTTTCCCTGTCACCCATAGCTCTAAGGAGAGGCAGAGAAGACACTGGAGAAAAGATTATGTATTGATAGCCCAGAAAAAGTGCTGTAATTTTCTCTGCTCTCTCCTGTAGAATGTTCTGTTTCCGCTACCTCAAGCCAAGTGACAGAAGACACTCTAAATACAATCAAGAGTGGGGTACTTGCCCAAAGAGGCAACTGACATTTTTTTTTTTTTTTACTCTGGGCTACCTATTTGCTACTTGGAAAAAATCTGCCTTTATGGGACACTTGCTGACTGTAGTGATACCAGTCTTAGCAACCTGAACATGGACATGCCCCTGGGTGCTTGGGTGGGTAGCTGTGGAGGGTTAAAGTAAGGAGGCTGGTGTCTGACTACTGCTGAGAAAGGCCTGTATGTCAGAGGTTGGTTGTGAGGGTTCCCTGATAGTAGGGCCAGTAGAGGTGTTTGCTTATGATGACAGAGACAGGAGTTTTTTTTGGGGACACTCTGGAAAGCTGCTGCAATATAACTACATTGAAAGCCCTGCCAAGGAGAGGTAATCCCAGTAGAAAGAGACTTCAGGGGTGAAATGCCGAAGCATAGGAAATCATAATGGGCAGAGCAGAAGGTATCACCAGGGAGACAGAATGGGAGGCTCTGAAGATCCCACAGAGGTATCCTTTAAGAAAAAGAGTTGGCACCTGCCCTGATTGCATCAATATCACAACCATGCCATAAGAGCACTACACAATCATCTTTTAGCCTCATATGCTTCATCCTTTCCCAGCACAATGGAGGAATCACAGGTGACATGGAGAAGTGGAGAAGAAGGATGGGAGAGGGAGGCAGAAGATAATCACAGACGACCTAAGCATCCGGCCTTTTCTCTACTGATGCTATAGGGCCTAGTGCAGGTTAAAGCAGAGATTGTTTAAATAAGAGGAGAGCCACAAGTTTCCTGGCTGGACTCTTTATTATCTGAGGGTGTTCTAATGTCTGGAAGTGATCAGAAAAACTCTGGGATTTTATCCATAGCCAAGAAGAGGAGCTTAGTGGGTTTTAAGAGAATAAAGATGTTTCTGGCTTGTTTTGAAAGTGCAGCTCATTTGGTACACTATAATACTGTTTTTTCCCAATAATCAAGTAATTAATTTTTGTGTGATGACATGAAGCCAAATGTAAGTGTGAGCTGAGTGGATCATACGTCTAATAGATCTGTAAACATGAGGAGGTAGGGAAAGTTCACTTCTGAGTACATATCACATCTGCAAACCTTGTCATAGTGATCCAAAATGGAATGGGAAGTACTGAAGATGTATAGTGATCTCGCTTCATGTAGGATTGTGCTTGCATTTTCTAACACAGTCCCTGGCATATAATGGAAGCTTAATAAGTGTATGCCAGACCGAACTGGGAAGCTGGGAAGACCAAGCGAGGCACGAGGTGCATAGAAGGTGACTAACAGGTTCTTGAATTAGAAGGGAACTAAGTTAGAGCATGAGCATGGCCACTATTCCTCTACTCTACCTTACTTACCTCCCTGACTTTGTCTCTTATTACTCCCCCTATCTACTCTACTCCAGACACCCTACTCTTGGCTGATCCTTAAGGCTTTTTTACTCGCTATTCCTTCTGCCTGGAAATCTCTTCTCACAGACATCCACGAGGCTTATTTCTCATTTCCTTCACATTTTGCTCATATGAGACTTTCTCTAAAAGGTCCATACTCACTGCTGTCTAACCTTTAAAATGCAACCTGTCTCCTGACTTCCATACTTTTGAGCTCCCTTGCCTTCTCCACCCTTCCTGTTTACATAGCCCTTATCACCGAATATACTATCATTTATTATCTTTACTGTTTGTTCATTTTTATCTCTTTTACTTAAATATAAGTTCTACAAGGGTAGGTTCCTTTTTTAAATGGATAAATCCCAAGTGTCTAGAACAGTGGCTGACACATGGTAGGAATTTCAGTCATCTTAGCTGAATGAATGGATGGCAATAGATGCCCAGAGGCCTCTGTGTCGTGTTAACTGGATTCCATTTGAGGCATTACAGAACCCTCCGGGGTCAGGGGAGGAGTTACTGACTCCTTTGCCAAGTAGCCGCAGTACATATCCACAGCCTCCTACCAAAATCAGCATTCTGGGTATTCTAGAACCACACACGAAAACTGCTTAGGAACTCTCAAATCAAGTAGCAGGTCAAAGAACTCCTTTGATTGACTCTTTGTTAGGCTGTTTGGAGTAGGATGTACTAATTAGATTTGGAAGCACTCAAGGTTTATACTTTGAGCTTTATCCCCATAGAATGCAGAGAGAATAGAAATGTAAACCCTAGTAAAAATTAAAATAAATTAACAGAATCAATCTAGATAGTTCTTCAAGTCAACTTGCACTCAAAGAGTATTGGGCCTTTTATGGTGCAAATAATCATATTGTACATTAGGGATAAGTAAATCTATCTTCAGTTAGACTTTGGCAAGCATTTCTGCTTTTAAATGTGAAAAGCCAACTTGAAAATTCTGACAAATATATTTTATAGAAAACTTCATGTAACATTAGAAAAGAAAAAGAAACTAGTTTCCTTCATATGGTTCTACTACACATATAGAATTATAAATACATGCGAATCTCTCTTTTTCTCAAGGACCAAAGAAGAGAAATGAAAAGAAAAACAAGAAAAAAGAAACAAAAGATTCCAGAGATGTTGTCAGTCTCTTTCAAACAGCTCATTCTTTGGAAAGCATATCTCCGTCAGATTTCATTCTTCATACTTGTTTCACTTTCCTTCATCAGTAGTAGACTTAAAACACTGTTACTCTCTTTATAAAACTTTACATAATAATCTGTTATTTTTTTTTACAGAAAAATAGCAATTCCTCCTCAGCCATTCTTTGTTGGCTAAACTAATTTAATTTATTCTGTAAGCTAAATAATGCCAGCTCTTTATGCCCTTCCTGACTTTCCTGCTTGGCACTTGAATAGTCTTGATTCTTTTAAATTTGGTTCTTCTAAGATTTTCTGATGAAATTTGATGAAATATTTTGATGAAATATTTGATCAATAATTCTTTAGAGACTTATAGAAAACTTTCAAAAGCTATTGCTTTCATTTTTAGTTTTTCTCAGTATAAAATACATGTTCCTTAAAGAAAACTGAGGAAATATAGAAAAGAAAAAGAAAGAAAAATTACCAAGAATTTCTGCTTTCAGAAATGTCTGGTAATATATGGGTATTATCATAGCTTTTTTTTCCTGTCCACAAATGCATGCTTTTTTTAAATAACAAAAACAGGAATTATATTTAGATATAGCAAGGTTTCTTGTTTTTTTAACTTAATAACATGAGCATTTCTAAGGGCCATAATATACTATTTTTAATATTATTATGATTATTTTGAAAATAAGTCACTTTCATTCTACCAGGGATGTTTGGAACAAGGTGTGTTTTGGAATTCCTTCTTGCTAGAATGGCTATATTGGAATCCTGTAGGGCATCTTGACATCTGCTTTAGGCACACTGAAATGTTCAATGGCAAGAGTATTTAGGACTGAGAACATCTGACCACTCAGAGCAAATTATTTGAACTTCTAAGTGAATTAACCCACAAAAATGACTTGATAACCACTATCTAATGCTGATTGAGATATCGAAACCACTTGTCCACAGGTGGAAAGAGCCTCCAAGATAAGTGAATCTAGATTCCTGAGTAAGGAAATTTAGTATTACCCAGTGACTGTACCAATTAGATAGACCCTTCTACCTACAGACTCAGTGTCAACCTCTATAAAATAGTAAATATAATCCTCACCTCTTTTCACACAGGAGTTTCTTAGAATTTAAGTTTGGCAAACACTATAAAAAATAGCTCTGAGTCACAAGAAATTGCCATATTGCCAGGCTACTTAGCTATTTATTACCTCACACTTTTAGTGTCTGAGGTGAGTCAACTTTAAACAAAAAAGCATTTTGAAAATGGATTTTACAGCCCATCTTCGTAAGGCCATTTCTTATATCTCATCTTTCAAATTTCATTTGACCAGAATTTGGGCAAAGAGAATTATTCTTAATACATTTGTAACGGCTGCTTTTATGTGTCATCAAGAAGAGTTGTTCACCAGCCAATGGTAACTGACTCTTCTGACTCTTTATCCCCAGTTACAGACCTTCCGAACAAGGAAATTATTATTCTTGCCATGATTCTCTGGTCATCAAACCCTGCTATGCATCACCATGAAACAAATATCAAATAAAGGATAAGTCTCAGGAAAACCCCAGAACTGGATTTCAATGCTCAGATCCTGAAAAAGTATTCTCTGATTTTAAGACATTTGCTGATTCAAGTGACTTTTTAAAGCAAAAAGACAACAAATGGGTACGCTTCCTTAATGCAGAGACATAGGCAAATGCCTTTCTTTCAGCTTTACGCAAAGATAGAAGAAGAATCTCTTACATTCTGGGCAACCATCTGGAACTCTATTAATTGGTGTATGAAGCAAGCTAAACTATAAGCTCAGATGTAACATGAAACAAATATACTCAATTAATGGAAGGTAAAATTACAGTCCCCAAATGGAAAGAACTACAAGTTCTCTGGTCATTCTACACGAAAAGTTCATTTTGACATTTCAGTTATATTAACAATCTGTTCCTGCTTTGGTGGTCTGGAAAGAATGAACAGCAATATTCATAATCTCTACTATCAACTTTGCTAAATTTTTTCCCCAAAGACCATCTTTATTACCCTGTAACTTTCACTACTTGAAGTGTTCCCATTTCTACAATAAATAGATTAAAATCAACAGAGAAAAGCTTCAAAAAGTGACAGGGTTGTTGGAATTTTTCTTGGGATTGTTATGACTCCTTCTTTATACACAGGTCATCTGAGTCATAATGAAACACCAACTATTCAGAGTCACATGCTGTGCTTTGTGCTTTTGGTTGATCAGAAAAGCAGTGAACTTGATCCCATCACTATAATCTGATGCAGCAAGGAAGAGTGATAACAATTATTCTTAGCTGATTTATTTTTTTCTTACAAATCACTTTCTTATGCACACAGAACTGCCAAAATGGCATCAGTTCTCTCACTAAATCTTGCAAATAAAACAGTATACCTTTCAACGTGGTGGCTGAGATTGTGTGATGTGGAGAAAAGGAAGATATGCAGAGATGTTAGCATGGCCACAGGGTGATGGTGGTGGTGGTGCTGGGGCAAGTGTGCACTACTAATAGGAGAAGATGTCAAAAAAAATGAAGCATAATAATAGTGCAATTTATCCTTGCTAAACGTACTGCAGTGTGCTATAATTAAATATGAAAACCTAAATTTATCTCTATGTTCGGTTGTCATTAATTTAACAGGGAGTGCACATGTTCTAATCTAATGGTTGATTTTTTTTCTCCATGTGCAGCATATTAAAATGTATATTAGCCTCAAGGTGCATAAACACAAAATAATAGACCAAAGGTTTTGGCCTGTGGAGAAAAAAAATCCATGCTCAAAGGCCGTCAAGTAGCTGTGATGCAGGGGAGACACTCACTTAGCCTCATTAAGCCAAAGCTCTCTTTTGCTTGTCTTTTGTTCTGCATGACAGCAGCCTCTTTGTTGTATAATAATTCATTCCAAGTTCGTTCCAAGCTACCGAAACTGGTGAACTGTGGCCATTTTAATGAGAAGTATTGGTGGTATGCATAATCTGGAAGCCACGTGGGCCAGACAATCACAGAGCACTGCAGCCAGCAAAATGAGATATTGTCGAAATCACAAATTTGTCAAGTTGTTTTTGGACAGGGTATTATAATAAGCACTAAAATATGCATCCTATTACTCTGCATCTGCCAGTCAAAGATCACTGTAATGAATGCGTGCTGCAGGGTATAACCAGGCCGTTTTCCTAAGTAAAACAAACCACAGAGTACAGAAAAGAATTGTGTGGGTTTTTTTTTTTTTTTTTGGCATTGTTTGACTTTTTTTTTTTTCCTAATCCTTTTGCACCAGGAGTCAGGTTCTCCTGGCATGGTGTCCACTGCTAGCAGTGAATACACAGGCCCTGCTGGTGCCAGGGAGTTAACATGAATACATTGCTTTTTTAATAGGTGTGCTTACCATCTGAGAATACAAAACCTCAAACTCAAGGCTTCAATTGAGTCTACTGAAGAATTCCTGGGAGAGAAAAGGGAAAAAGGAGGAGAAAAAAATATCTCTCCCAATGATCCTAAGCCTTATGTTTTATCCTTTTCTACTTCAAATGGCTTAGCCTTTGGGACTTGTTTTGTTGTTTGTTTTTCTGTTTGTTTATTTTTGCTTTTTTGTCTGTCTGTTGATTTATTTGCTTTTTAGATGAACCTAAAGCTTTGGGAAGAAATGGGTGAGATGCTAATCTATCCCAGTTCTATAATATTAATAGTTTGTATAAGAAAACTAATACAATGTTGACAAGTAGAGAGAGTATTTTCACTTGCCCATAAAAATGGTCCTTAGGGAGAGTGACCATATACTTTCTCATCTAAACCAGAACTCTTTTGAGAGTGAAGGGAAGATATTATCGATAATTACAGGCACAAAAAGCAAGACTGTCAGAGACAAACTGGCCTATATGATCATCCCAACCATAAGCTCTTGAATTGGCAAATGTAAAGGAAGCACACCATGTCCAAAGGCCATACAATACATCCTGTTATTCTGGGCAGTCTCTATGAAACATTCAGGGTTATTTGTTTGTTTGTTTGTCTGTTCTGTTTTCAGCCAATGGACTTTCCATAAGGTCTGGATGGAAATAAAATGATTGTTAAATCTAAGAATACGGAGAATACTCTTCCATTCTTTTCTAGCCATTTTTTAAACCTTACGGAACCTTTTTTGTGTGTGTGATCAGGAGGCATGATGTGAGACAGAGACATATAAAAGTATGGTCCATATGGTATTTATAATTGGGGCTGCAGTAGAAAGATGGGTAAAACCAAGTACAATTACTCAAATAAATGTGGATTTGGATGGTAAATATGAATATATGTATAAAATAGATGCTTTCTTAGTTTAGAGGAGATAAATATATCCAGTGGGAAAAATAAACAAAGCTTCCTGGGGTAGGTGAGAATTAGTAGAATTTCAATGGCAAGGAAAATAAAGAGTCAGAAGAACTGCATGCCATGAGCCAATGTATTGAGGCTGTTATAGGAAGGAGGAGAGCATGTTTGAAAACCACTTTACTGAAAGATAATTTACATGGAAGGAAGTAACAAAAGTAAGACTGACAAAATAGGCCAGGTGCAGTGGCTCACGCCTGTAATCCCAGCACTTTGGGAGGCCGAGGCCAGTGGACCATGAGGTCAAGAGATGGAGACCATCCTGGCCAACATGGTGAAACGCTGTCTCTTCTGAAACTACAAAAATTAGCTGGGCATGGGGGCATGCTCGTAGTCCCAGCTACTCAGGAGGCTGAGGCAGGAGAAGAATCGCCTGAACTCAGGAGGCAGAGATTGCAGTGAGCTGAGATCGCGCCACTGACTCCAGCCTGGTGACAGAGTGAGACTCTGTCTCAAAAAACAAACAAACAAACAAACGAACAAACAAACAAAAAACTGGCAAAATAGGTTGCAGGGAGATCACAAACAGCCTTGAATGCCAGATGAAAGAATCCCTTACATTTGTTGGTCAAGAAGTATCACTGAATGCTCTGAATCAGAAAATAAGCTTTGGAAAAAATAAACTGGCAGTGATATGTAAAGGGTCTGGAGAAGGAGAAGCTGGGAGAAGAAAGTCTACAGTTATAGCGCAGAAGAGTGGTCCTAAAAGCCTAAACCAGGATATTGATATTTGAGATAAAGATAAGACTATCCAAAATGCTCCTTCCTTTTCCTAAATATCCCAACTGTAAGACTTACACATATTTCTCAAGTTGTATAAAATCTTCTCAATGTCCTCTACGTCCTTAGCCCATCAGTCCATCTTATTTTCATGTTAAACTCTTCTGTGCATCATGTCAGGCTCAGTGATTGTGGAGCGAGTAATAGCTCTCTTTTACTGTACTTTGAGAATGGGTAGAATCAAGAGGGTGAGTGCAATATTGGTTTATACAACTTGGTATAGCCTAAGTTGGTAAGCATTTTCTTTTACCCTAAGTTACAAAGTGTGTGCACTTTGGATAGATACATGACTACTTTATTGTAGAGGCACAGGTTTGAGAAGGGAGATAAGTGCAAGGCAAACCAGATCCCTGAGTAGGTCTCGGGAGATATAAGCTAGAAACTCTGCCCACAGCCTGAATTATGGAAGCCTGCAACTGTAACAAATGTCCTGGGATGAAATGTCTGGAGCCTTAAGCTGTCATGCATGACAAGAACAGCTCTTTAGTGCCAGAGGTCTCTGTCTCTGGGGCACTGGTATATCCCTCCATTGCCCATGTGTTCTTCTGTTTGGTGTATGTGTAGGGTGTGTGTGTGTGTGTGGGGGGGGTGTGTGTGTTCTTTTGGGATATCTGCTTTGAAATTTCATCATCAAACTAGGCTTTTCCCTGATGAAAGTTCCATACTATAGAGAAAACATCCACATTTGCTTGCAGTTTGTGCAGCTTAAACTGAAGACAGATGTCTTGTGCAGCAACCACAATATTTTCATTTATCTCTTAATAGATTTCCATCTAGGAATCAAAAGTCTGATTTTATTTTTCAACTCTGATGATGAATACTAAGAATTATTTTAATTATAGATCTATTTCATTCTGCAGGAAATAAGGAGAGGCATTTTGAAGTTTTTTTCTTTAAAGACCTCAATAATATTTATCTTCTAAATGGGATTTTCATACATACCATGACAATCTTATGGATTACTACATATTGGGAGATACCTACTATGGAATCCCTGGCAATATCTAGTTTTAATTAAAATGAAATGTCATAATAATGTCATCCCACATTCTGGTGTCACGACAAACATCTTTGAACTCCTGTGATTAAATAAGCAGAAACACTTGATAAAACTTCTAATGATTCTTCTAAAGAAACGAAAAATCTTACAGTTCATTGTTTGTATCTCCTTTACAAGTATATCCTTTCTTGTATTATAGCTATTTAGATCTTAACTTTCAACTCAGTTATAAGCTCTTAATAGAAAATACCTGCATCACTCTAAGTTTACAACAGAGTCTTTTGTACGCTTTGGGCTTGATAGATATTAATGAAATGGAAAGGTAAAGGTAAATGTTTCACGCCCTTTGGAATTAATCTCTATTGTACATACATAACATGCAGATGCACTAACAGAAGATGACAAAAATTAGCAATCTTTTGAAAACTAGTATTTACTAAATGGATGTAATATGTGTTGATTATCATAAGTTAGGATTGAGTAAACAATTAAAATGCTCTACTTGGACCAAATTGAAAGCCCATATTACTGGCAATCTGATACAGAATTATAGCTGTGTTTCACTTGTGAAATAGAGATAACTTTTTTTATTTTTTTGTAACAGAGTCTCGCTCTGTCACCCACGCTGGAGTGCAGTGGCATGATCTTGGCTCACTGCAAACTCTGCCTCCTGGGTTCAAGTGGATTCTCCTGCCTCAACATCCCAAGTAGCTGGGATTACAGGCATGCACTGCCACGCCCAGCTAATTTTTGTATTTTTAGTAGAGACAGGGTTTCACCATGTTGGCCAGGCTGGCCTCAAACTCCTGACCTCAGGTGATCTGCCCATCTCAGCCTCCCAAAGTGCTAGGATTACAAGCCTGACTCACCGCGTCCAGCTGATAACTTTTGTCTTTCTCCAGTGTCATTATCCTAGTTTATAACATCATCTTGCAACTCGATTTCTATAGTAGACAGTATTAGCTACATAATTTGGGGACCCAATGAAAAGTAAAAATCCAAGCCTCCCAGTTTAAAAATTATTATGAATTTCAAGATGGAGTTGTCAGAGCATTAATCCAAGAGCAGGACCTTCTGAGAGGGAAGCTTTGTGCTATGGCACAGATTGCATACCCACAAAGCCAATTCTGCTAACCACCTCATAATGATGTCTGTAACTTCATTGCATCACATTTCCTATATATTTTCACATAGTAACATTACGATGTATTTGTATATTTTCACCATTTCTGTGTAAAACCATTTGGCAGTTTCCCTTTGCACATTTAATAAAATCCAAATTCTTTGTCATGGTCAACGAGCCTCCACATAATGTGGCCATTGTCAACCTTTCTAATACCATGTGGCGTTACTTCCTCTTTTTTTCTCTAACTTGTGCCACAAAGGCCGTCCTTCAGGTTTTTGCACACCTTCACAAATGCTACTCTCACCAGTGGAACGCTGTTCCCTGGCTCCTCATCCTTCACATATCATTCCAAATATCTCTTTCTCACAGAACGCTTCCCTGATACCCAAATTAAAGTAGCTCCACATTCTCTATTTTTCTTCTAAGCATGCCTTTTCCTCCTGCAAATGTTTAGTACACACTGTATCTTAAAAAAAAAAAACTAAAATAGTTTCTGTCCATGATTAGCTTGTAATCTCCAAGAGAACAAGGACCAGTCTCTCTTCTTCGCTACAGTATGACAATGTTTAGCACATTGCCTACTTCACAGTAGGTGCTTAATAAACATTTGCTGGATGGATGAATAAATGAATGAATGAAAGCACCATTCAAATGTTCAAGAACATTTTTCTCACTATTACTATTATTTTCACGTAGGTAAAATATAATTTGCTTGGGCAACCAGAACTATAATAAGCTCACCCAGGCATTTTCTTGTGGGCACTGGGCTCTCTCTGGGTTCTCCTCTGAAGAAGCCCTCTTCTCAGATATACTGTATATATGAATATTTATTTCTCTTATACAAAAGAGGACCTCAGAGCTAGGTACATCACTGCATCATCTGCTTTCATGACTTCTGGATGGAGTGAGACATGCTTCTTTCTAGGTCCTTCTCTTTTCCATTTTCTATTTTACTTAAAGAGAAGGAGCTGTTAACATATTGAAACTAACCATCCTGTTCTTCTTTAGCTTCAAATAGAACTAAGGCTGTTTATAAGAAACTACACACAAATAGAATATATTGCATCTTCCTGGAATTCTAGTACATTATAATGACAAATGTTTTTCATTGCAATATTCATTGCATTATGTTCAATTGTTTTTGTTGTTGGTCTGGAAACACCAGAAGTGTAATTACTAGCTTTGATAAAGTAATAAAGTCAATGGAATAAACTATGCTTGGATTATGGCCTCTTGTTATAAGATAAGCAAAGCTAAGTCAATACCCAATAAAAATTAATACTGATATCAAATCCAGCTATCTTATGTTCAAAATGAGAAATCATTACCTTCTCGTAACATTCTTCTATGAAATGTGTTCCTTTTAAAACATTAAAACTGTAGAAACATTAAAATACTTTACATATATTTACATATACCTTACTGTATTTGAGAACATATATAGAGATTATACAGATATAATCGTACATATATATGAGCTCTTTTGATTCTTTACAACAGTGCTGTGAAGTCAACTGGGAAGACTGAATTATCTCCAGTCTCTAGATGAGAAAATCAAGAATCAGAAAGATTATCTGGGGCTGGGTGCAGTGGGGCTGGGTGCAGTGGCTCATGCCTGTAATCCCAGCACTTTGGGAGGCCGAGGCAGGCAGATCACCTGAGGTCAGGAGTTCGAGACCAACCTGGTCAACATGGTGAAATCCCCGTCTCTACTAAAAATACAAAAATTAGCCAGGCATGGTGGTGGGCGCCTGTAATCCCAGCTACTCGGCAGGCTGAGGCAGGACAATCGATTGAACCTGGGAGGCGGAATTTGCAGTGAGCCGAGATTGTGCCATTGCACTCCAGCCTGGGCTACAAGAGTGAAAGTCTGTCTCAAAAATAAAAAAATAAAAAAATAAAAAAATTAAAAAATGAAAGAAAAGAAGAGAAAAAGAAAGATTATCTGGTACTATGCAATCAGCTATTAATACAGACAGAATCCAAATCTTCAAATCCCTGTTCTTTCAATTTTACTGTTAATATGTTCCAAAATGCATTTTAAATTAAAAACATACTAATGGTCATACTCTACTATTCCATAGAAGAATTTAAAAATGGAAAGTTATTCATGGAACAGTTTTGAAGTAGTATATTATCTGAATTTGTCTAGTATATTTTATTAAGCTCTCTTCAGCCTGTCCTCATCAAAAATAAGTATTACATTAACATTACAGTTATTTAAAAATTAACCTTTTCTAGGCTGGTTTAATTTTATGGATAATGTATTAATCAACATGGCTTGAAGTTTCCTATCAAAATGCAGTCAAGGCCATTTACACTACTATTTTCAGGAATCTCCTTCTGCTACCTTTGTAAAGCATTTACTTCATAGGAAGCATTTCAAACACTACTAGTGGAAAAATACACTAGGCAATTATAGCCAAAGTTTCTACGGATGTGGCTAATTTATTTCCTGGTTTAAACCATATCTAAACGAGATTTAAGAGTTCAAGAGCTGGGAATGAATGGACAATTGGGTTATTTTGTATTCTGTGGAGTGAGATTTGCAGTCAATGTCAGTATTAAATCTAGGTGTAAAATGCAAAGGTGCGAAGTTTGAATGATGCCTCCACTTTGTTAGGTGATGGCTGAATCACATACACACACACACACACACACACACACACACACTTACATAAACACATTGAATATATACACAAATACATGCAGATATAGTTAATATCTATAAATATATCTATTAAATTATAATATTAATGTCACGTAAAAATACACAGATACCCATATTTAATAATTTTTAAAATATACCATATATAGTACTTATATCTATTGTATATAACATATATATGCAAGGCACACATGTAGATATTGCTGTATATATTCTGTAGACTAATATATTGATATATATAATTATCATATTTATACAATATTATCATCATCAATGTTTTCATCAAGTTGTCACTCTCTCAGGTATAGCATACCTGAGAACTGAATACTTTTCAAGTTTATGTTTAGATGGTTTTCATGGTTGCGTTTTCCCACTGATAAAGTAGAATTTTAAATATAACTTGTCTTATTTTTATCTGTCCTCAATTTGAGTGTGTCCTAGTTCATTAAATTTAGAAATCCCTTCTCATTGCCCCTCTGCCATGTAGTTAATGGTCTGTAAAACACTTAAAAACACTAGAGGAGTTCATTTTTTTAAAAGGGGCTCTATGGAGAAGCCTTCTAAAATGTAAGAGTCTTTTGTAATCACCTATTTATTTACTTGTACTTTAAGTTCTGATTTTCATCTAGTAGAGGCATTCTTTGGTCAAGGCAAAACTGCAGTATTCTCTGTAGCTTAATATGAGTATAGCTGATAACATCATACTTTTTTCCATTACTACTATACTGAAACTAGTCTAGAACCTAATGAGCTGAATTGCTATCCAAAGGAACAGGATTTAGGTTCAGATGGGGAAAAAGAGAATAACAGCTGCATCCACACTCCCTTCCACATGATCTTGTTCATGAGCAATATGATGACCTGGCATGACGTGCAACTTTAGGTCTGGCTCTATAGCCCCAGGAGAACATGGCGAGGACAGTATTAAAAACGTGTCTATCCTATTCAACAAATGGTGCTGGGATAATTGGCAAGCCACATGTAGAAGAAGGAAACTGGATCTTCATCTCTCACCTTACACAAAAATCAACTCAAGATGGATCAAAGACTTAAATCTAAGACCTGAAGCCATATAAGTTCTAGAAGGTGACATTAAAAAAAACCTTCTAGACATTGGCTTAGGCAAAGACTTCATGACCAAGCACCCAAAAGCAAATGCAACAAAAACAAAGATAATAGATGAGACTTAATTAGACTAAAAACTTCCTGTATAGCAAAAGAAATAATCAGCAGAGTTAACAGACAACCCACAGAATGGGAGAAAATCTTCATGATCTATACATCCAACGAAGGACTAATGTCCAGAAGCTACAAAGAACTGAAACAAATCATCAAGAAAAAAATAAACAATCCCATCCAAAAGTGGGCTAAGGACATGAAAAGACAATTCTGAAAACAAATGGCCAACAAGCATATGGAAAAATGCTCAGCATCATTAATTATCAGGGAAATGCAAATCAAAACCATAACACAAAACCACCTCACTCCTGCAAGAATGGCCATGATCAAAAAAAAAAAAAAAAGATGTTGGCGTGGATATCGTGATGTGATGAAAAGGGAACACTTTTGCACTGTTGGTAGGAATGTAAACTAGTACAACGACTATGGAAAACAGTGTGTAGATTCCTTAAAGAACTAAAAGTAGATCTACCATTTGATCCAGCAATCCCACTAATGGGTATCTACCCAGAAGAAAAGAAGTCATCATACGAAAAAGATACTTGCACAACCATGTTTATAGCAGCAGAATTTGCAATTGCAAAAATACAGAGCCAGCCCAAATGCCCATCAATCAATGAGTGGATAAAGAAAACGTGGTAAATATACATCATGGAATACTACTCAGCCATAAAAAGGAATGAAATAATGGCATTTGTAGCAAGCCAGATGGAACTGACTATTATTCTAAGTGAAATAATTCAGGAATGGAAAACCAAACATCTTATGTTCTCACTGATAATTGGGGGCTAAGCTATGATGATGCAAAGGAATAAGAATGATACAGTGGGGCCAGGCACAGTGGCTCACGACTGTAATCCCAGCACTTTGGGAGGTTGAGGTGGGTACATTACTGGAGGCCAGGGTTGAAGACCAGCCTGGTCAACAGGCGAAACCATTAGCCATGTTATTAGCCAGGCATAGTAGCGCACTCCTGTAGTCCCAGCTACTGAGGGGTTGATGTTGCAGTCAGCAAAGATTGCGCCACTGCCCTCCTGGGCAACAAAGTGAGACTCCATCTCAAAAAAAAAAAAAAAAGATTGATATAATGTGGGCTTAGGGGAAGGGGTGAGAGGGGGGTGAGGGATAAATGACTACACGTTGGGTACACATTGGTAAGTGTACACTGCTTGGGTGATGGACACACCAACATCTCAGAAATCACCACTAAAGAACTTATTCTTGTAACCAAACACCACCTGTCCTCCCAAAACCTATTGAAATAAAAAATAAATTAAAAATAAAAACAAAAACACGTGTCTAGGTAGCATACATGATAGGTGTACTCACCCTAAGTAAGTTAATGTGTTTTACTTGTGTCATTGCAAAAATGAAGCAAGGTAGAGCTATAAAGGCTGTCTGAACTTTTCTCAAGACCCGGTGGTGGGGTGAGGAGTCAGTTACAACTGGTTATTTCCTCTTTGCAGGGAACGTATATGTGGCCTGAATAGTTGAGCAGACAGACTTGGGCTTGCTGCTATTAAATATGTGGAATGTGTGTTAATATTCAGGACATATTTTTTCTATTTGATTTCACTACTATACTTCAAATTTCATGCCTCCTAAAATCAAAGGCTTTTCACATTTCATATTTCCAAGTGTTGTCATAAGTCTGACTTTGGAATCATCATTTACACTATTCATAGTTCTTTTCATCTATCAAATGTTATAACCTGTTGTTCCCTGGATTCTGTATGAAACCAGAGCTCTTCTGCTTTTGTGTCCAAATATTCTCTCTGAATTTTCACTCGAGTCATTAAAAAAGAACTATTATCTGACTCTTCCATGATTTGTCTCTGGATAGGAAGCCCCAAATTGCATTAGTTGTTTTTATTATCCTAATACACTGAAAGCCTGATTTTACTATAATTTGTTCTTCACTTTCATCCCAGCCCTAGGTCTCCTGATAATACTGCTTTCTAAATTGTGTCTATTAAATGCCTTATTTGATATTATTATTTCACAGATTCATATCTTACATTTACCCAAGTTTCATTTCATTTCTTCTTTCTTCTTTGTAACCTCTTTAGATTCTTTTGTGCTAGTTATCTTTTTTCTGAGAATTGAAAGTAGTTCCCAAATTATAGCCAACTACAAATTTCCTTAGTGTTCTTTTGATCTCACTTTCCAACGGTCTCACTAAATAAGACAGATGAGATGCTTCTTACATTGAGATTTTATTTTATTGTATTATCTGTTCTAGTACTTCTCAAACTTAAACCTACATATCAATCACCTGGGGATCTTTTTAAAATGCAGATTGTGATTCCATAGCTGTGGAGTTGGGCCTGAGATTCTGCATTTTTCAACAACCTCTGGTGATGATGCTGATGTTGCTGGTTTGGGTACCATGTTGTGAGTAGCATTGATCTAGATAATTCCAGTTGGTACAAATAAATAACTTGATTGATTTCAAATAATGTTTTAAATAAAATGTTTATATTTTTAGTGATGGAAAATTTTTAAATCTGTAGTTATTTGAAATGAATAAATTTTTTTTACCTTGGATTAGAGAATCTCACTTTAATAATACCTAAGAAGGAGACAGGAGCTTGATTTTCCCTTCTTTAGCCTCCAGGGTTCCATTCTGATAGAAAAATACAAACTGCATTCTTTAAAGAAACTACCATCAGAGTAAACAGGCAACCTACAAAATGGGAGAAAATTTTCGCAACCTACTCATCTGACAAAGGGCTAATATCCAGAATCTACAATGAACTCAAACAAATTTACAAGAAAAAAACAAACAACCCCATCAAAAAGTGGGCAAAGGACATGAACAGACACTTCTCAAAAGAAGACATTTATGCAGCCAAAAAGCACATGAAAAAATGCTCACCATCACTGGCCATCGGAGAAATGCAAATCAAAACCACAATGAGATACCATCCCACACCAGTTAGAATGGCAATCATTAAAAAGTCAGTAAACAACAGGTGCTGGAGAGGATGTGGACAAATAGGTACACTTTTACACTGTTGGTGGGACTGTAAACTAGTTCAACCACTGTGGAAGTCAGTGTGGCTATTCCTCAGGGACCTAGAACTAGAAATACCATTTGACCCAGCCATCCCATTACTGGGTATATACCCAAAGGACTATAAATCATGCTGCTATAAAGACACATGCACACGTATGTTTATTGTGGCTCTATTCACAATAGCAAAGACTTGGAACCAACCCAAATGTCCAACAATGATAGACTGGATTAAAAAAATGTGGCACATATACACCATGGAATACTATGCAGCCATAAAAAATGATGAGTTCATGTCCTTTGTAGGGACATGGATGAAATTGGAAATCATCATTCTCAGTAAACTATCGCAAGAACAAAAAACCAAACACCGCATATTCTCACTCATAGGTGGGAATTGAACAATGAGAACACATGGACACAGGAAGGGGAACATCACACTCTGGGGACTGTTGTGGGGTGGGGGGAGGGGGGAGGATAGCATTAGGAGATATACCTAATGCTAAATGACGAGTTAATGGGTGCAGCACACCAGCATGGCACATGTATACATATGTAACTAACCTGCACATTGTGCACATGTACCCTAAAACTTAAAGTATAATAATAATAAAATAAAATTAAAAAAACCCCTTCTTGGTAATAAGTTATATCACCTAGTGTTTGCACACACTCATACACACATCACCTTTTCTGCCCATGCACACAGTTTTAGAGATCCCTTTTCAGTGTATTACCATCATCTTGCCTTTTTCTTATTGGGAAGACTTATCTACTTATGTGGGATTTTATTCCTCAAATAAGATGGGTTTTATTACCGACCCCTGAGGAACACAAATGCCCAGTTATCCCTATATGGAGTTTCCTATTATTAAGTCAGTTCTCTATCCAAGACAACAAAGTCCTTCTCATTTCCATGGTGACTGAATGGGGAAGCAATGATTATAAGGCATCAGCCAGAACATATGCGACAGAAAAAAGGAGGCTTGAAATTTCTCTAGACTCAGGAAATATGTATTCCATGGCACACAATAGAGTATTGCTTCTGAAATATTTCAATTTCTGTGGAATACAACTCTTGATGGATATATTTTCAAGTTGTACCGACATTCCCATACCTGTAATATGTGTATAAGCTCTCCTTTACTTTTGACACTTTTATTCACCCTTAATGGTACATGGAGCTAAAAGTGATATATTTTCCAGATGTGGCTTGATTTCAGGTGATATATATCTGCAACTAAAGAATAAGATTCTTTACAATGAGCAATGCTGAATAGGTACTTCTATAATAATCAGGCATCACATATTTGGACTTGACTGCTTAGGGTAACCATATATATTCTTGTTGAAGTACTGGGTGCTTAAAAATGTTTTACTTCATTCCTCAGTTAACAAAAATGACCCTGAAAAGTACACTGATAGCAAGTAGTATTGCACCAATTATACCCTTCACTGCATTTGATTGTAGGGTTTTCTCTTTATTAGCTTAAAAGTGAGCAGTACCAAGTCCAATTCCCCAGGGCTTTTTGTGCTTCTACAAATCATGTCAAGTTGCTCACAACCAGTGAATTCATTACTCTGATTTAGCGATGGCAGTACACAGGATGGGAATTTAAAAACAACAGCAAAAAACATTTAAGTCTTCAAATTTTACTAGTTTGCAATATGAAAAAGTTTTATATCTAGGTGAATGCTCTTTCTAGAAGGATTCTTCATATTTTTATTTATGATAGATGATTTTTGAAGATTTCAACTTCTGGTAATGGCAGAATACCTCCTTTGGGCTTCTCCTGCAGATAACTCACCAGACACACACACACACACACACACACACACACACACACACACACACACACACACTCTATCCAAATGCACTGAAGAATGTCCAAAAGAGGGCAGAAACTAAAGGGGAATTGGCACCTGGAAGAAGGGAATGACACTATTCTTTTTGCCTGAGAACAGGCTCAGGGGGTGGTACCAAGCAGGGAGGTTAAAATTCAGAGAGAAATTCGTCTTCTAACTGGCTGAGAAATCAGAGTTGGGGCCATCAAAACATCTAGAAACTGGGGAGATATCCAAGAAAGAAAGCTACAGAGAGGGAGCACCAGATTCTGCATATGTATTCTACCCAAATCACTGGCTGACATCTGAGCTATGCATGTGCTTGGCAGATGCCAAGCAGCACAGCTAAGATTGAAATAACTGTACAGATATTTCAGTCAGTTGCTAACTGCAGAAGGGGCAGAGTTTTGGGGTTTGCATTAAGATAAGTTAATTGTCTGCTAAAGCAAACAAAAATCGGGACTCTTAGGTGTGGAGAGTCCAGAGTCTCTGTATAATGTATCATTTACACAGTCCAGATACAATATAAAATTGTCAGACATAGGAAAGAGCATTTTGACTGCTCTCAAAATGAAGGGCAATCAACAGGGATCAGTCCTGAGATGATCCAGATATTAGAATTAGAGGTCAAGGATTTTAAGTCAGTTATTATAACTGTGCTCAGAATATAAAGTAAAATACTCTGATAATGAATGATGAGATAATAAATATGGCAAAGTAATAAATGAGAAAAATGAAGCAAAAAGAAATTCTAGATTTAAAAGATGTGATACTAAAATAAAAAGTTCATTAGGTAGGCTTAACAGCATAATGGAGATGGTATGAGAGGAAAGACTCAGTGAACTTGAACATGGATAAATAGAAATTGTCCAATCTGAAAAACAGAGAAACTATTAAAAAAATTAAAAGAACATCTGGGACTTGTGGAACAATCTTTGAAGTTCTAATATATATTCATTTGGAGTCTCAGAAAAGAGGAAGAAAGAATGAAACAGAAAAACTATTTAGAGAAATAATGACTAAATATTTCCTAAACTTGGTAAAAAAATAAACCCACAAACCATACATTTACCAGTTTAAGAAACCCACAGAAGCTTAAGGTAGATAAATAAAGGTTTCTAACATTTTAATAATATGTAGGAAGTAAGTTGCAGAAACTATTCAGGGGGCAATTTTGAGACTGAATTTGTGGTATGTTTGTAGAAAACTGTAGCTAAGGAGATATGAAAAAATGGGAAAATAACAAAAATTAATTAGAAATACATTCTGTTCCTTTTAATCTTATTATTAGAATGTTAAATAGGAATATTAAAGGAATAAATTTATCCATTAAATAACAAAACAGACATATGATTATTCAGTTACTATGCCGCTAAATAAATCCTATGATTTCATCTTCCTCCCTTATCTCCCTCCTTCCTTGTCTTCTTCTCTCCCTCCTTCCCTCTCTCCTGTCCTTCTTTTCTTTTATCGTAGAGAAAGATGAAGGATAAAATCTTTCTTACTGATACTATTATCATTAGGATACAATCATCATTAGGAAGACATAGTGTTTTACTGTTTGGGTCAAGAGTCATTGTAATAACCAATAGTTTTATATTTACAGTGTTATATATTCAACTAATTCACCAACAATTTCTATATAGTGTTGTGGTGGGCCTTCCAAGATAATTTTAGAACAATTCTTATTTAAAGGACATGGAATTAAAGCAGAAAATTATTTTATAAAAATAGGTGAAAAAGAAAAACAACAACAAAGACAACTTTTCTTTCTTATCCTTTCAGAATATTTCAGTAGAATGGGAAGCTACACTTGAAATGCAAGATGGAATATTTTCCCCTAAGCTCTCCATAATAGAATGTTGGTTATACCATCCTTAACTAAACTAACACTGTATCTTTTCTGTAGTACTGATAAGAAAATTGAAAATGAACAACTCGTTAATATACTACCTGAAAAATGTGAGATTAGAGAGTCCAGCAGAATTTTGAAGGCCAAGTAAGGGGGTGTTCGATGATGAGAGATAAGCAACTCTTTGAATAGAAGGATTGTAAGAGATTTACCCTCTGCTATTAGCCCCCCTCTAGTTCCCAGGGTTTAAAATCAATTACAATTTCATTGGTACTTAAAATTTCTCTTATTGTCACATAGATTGAATTTCAAAGAGAACAGGACAGCCTTACACATAGAACTAGTCAGTGGGGAGCAGAAAGTGTACAACCTAAATTGTTTACTTCATCCACAAGAGACTGTACTATGACTGGGATTCCATAATGTGATATCTGAATAAAAGCCTTACTTTACTTACTGATTTATTTTTCAAAGTTCAGTTCTTAACAAATTTTGAAAACAGAAATTCAGGCCTGGTCACTATTTATTCTTGAGTTAATTTTTCAAGTAGTTTCAGGATAGCCTTAGTTAACTTGGCAAAATGCCCTGAAAAGTGAATTAGCATGTTTAAAACTTGGCTAATCACTCCCTCATCCCCAACCATAGCAAAGCCTGCTTAATTTTGAGCCGGCGTTTTAGCATACAGTGGTCTAACTCCATCCTGCACACATATCTTGAATTGGCTGATTTGGAAGCAGGCAGACTTCCTTCTGGATCTCATTCAATTTAGAAACAACAGCAGATTAGCGATTAAATCGGCCAAACAACTTCTGGCTCATACCAATTAATTTCTTCAAGGATTTTTCCCTTAAATAAAGTGTCTTACACAGTTACAGGGAATGTCTCAAACAGCCTGACTATATATACCACTATTGTTGAATGTTTTCATTTTTAATGTTAAAAGCTCTGTCACAGAAAACAGCCTGGAAACTCTGTGGGGCAATGCAACCCATCATTCTACCATACTGATACAAGTAAAACAACAATATCAATGTTCTAATACATTAGGACCCTTTATAAAGAGTTCTCACCGTCTAAAAGCATCAGCAATCATAACGGAGCTGTGGGTATTTCTAAGCCAATCAACAAACAGCCATAAATATACTTGGAATATACAGAGACATTATCCTACTTCACTTTTAATTCAACATGAAGTCTTTTTTAAATTTAATTTAATTTTATTATTATTATACTTTAAGTTTTAGGGTACATGTGCACAATGTACAGGTTAGTTACATATGTATACATGTGCCATGCTGGTGTGCTGCACCCATTAACTTGTCATTTAGCATTAGGTATATCTCCTAATGCTATCCCTCCCCCCTCCCCCCACCCCACAACAGTCCCCAGAGTGTGATGTTCCCCTTCCTGTGTCCATGTGTTCTCATTGTTCAATTCCCACCTATGAGTGAGAACATGGGGTGTTTGGTTTTTTGTCCTTGCGATAGTTTACTGAGAATGATGATTTCCAATTTCATCCATGTCCCTACAAAGGACATGAACTCACCATTTTTTATGGCTACATAGTATTCCATGGTGTATATGTGCCACATTTTTTTAATCCAGTCTATCATTGTTGGACATTTGGGTTGGTTCCAAGTCTTTGCTATTGTGAATAGAGCCGCAATAAACATACGTGTGCATGTGTCTTTATAGCAGCATGATTTATAGTCCTTTGGGTATATACCCAGTAATGGGATGGCTGGGTCAAATGGTATTTCTAGTTCTAGGTCCCTGAGGAATCGCCACACTGACTTCCACAGTGGTTGAACTAGTTTACAGTCCCACCAACAGTGTAAAAGTGTTCCTATTTGTCCACATCCTCTCCAGCACCTGTTGTTTACTGACTTTTTAATGATTGCCATTCTAACTGGTGTGAGATGGTATCTCATTGTGGTTTTGATTTGCATTTCTCTGATGCATTCTTATACACCAATAACAGACAAACAGAGAGCCAAATCATGAGTGAACTCCCATTCACAATTGCTTCAAAGAGAAAAAAATACCTAGGAATCCAACTTACAAGGGACGTGAAGGACCTCTTCAAGGAGAACTACAAACCACTGCTCAATGAAATAAAAGAGGATACAAAGAGATGGAAGAACATTCCATGCTCATGGGTAGGAAGAATTAGTATCATGAAAATGGCCATACTGCCCAAGGTAATTTATAGATTCAATGCCATCCCCATCAAGCTACCAATGACTTTCTTCACAGAATTGGAAAAAACTACTTTAAAGTTCATATGGAACCAAAAAAGAGCCCGCATCACCAAGTCAATCCTAAGCCAAAAGAACAAAGCTGGAGGCATCATGCTACCTGACTTCAAACTATAGTACAAGGCTACAGTAACCAAAACAGCATGGTACTGGTACCAAAACAGAGATATAGATCAATGGAACAGAACAGAACCCTCAGAAATAACGCCACATATCTACAACTATCTGATCTTTGACAAACCTGAGAAAAACAAGCAATGGGGAAAGGATTCCCTATTTAATAAATGGTGCTGGGAAAACTGGCTAGCCATATGTAGAAAGCTGAAACTGGATCTCTTCCTTACACCTTATACAAAAATTAATTCAAGATGGATTAAAGACTTAAACGTTAGACCTAAAACCATAAAAACCCTAGAAGAAAACCTAGGCATTACCATTCAGGACATAGGCATGGGCAAGGACTTCATGTCTAAAACACCAAAAGCAATGGCAACAAAAGCCAAAATTGACAAATGGGATCTAATTAAACTAAAGAGCTTCTGCACAGCAAAAGAAACTACCATCAGAGTAAACAGGCGACCTACAAAATGGGAGAAAATTTTCGCAACCTACTTATCTGACAAAGGGCTAATATCCAGAATCTACAATGAACTCCAACAAATTTACAAGAAAAAAACAAACAACCCCATCAAAAAGTGGGTGAAGGACATGAACAGACACTTTTCAACATGAAGTTTAAACTATATGTAGTTGAGGTGCTTTTCCAAATGGAAAGAAAACAATCTACTACCCAAATCAACACATAGTTTCCTGTGAACAATATCAGAAACTAATAGGATGATCCTCTGTCTTAGTCCATTTGTGCTGCTATAAAAAATGGTACAGACTGGGTAATTTCTAAACAACAGAATGTTTTTGTCTCAGTTCTGGAGGCTGTGAAGTCCAAGATCAAAGTGCTGGCAGGTTTGGTATTGGGAGTTTGGTTTCTGCTTTCTAGATAGCGCCTTGTTGCTGCATCCTCCAGAGAAATGAATGCTCTGTCCTCACTTTGTGGAAGGGTCAGAAGGGCAAGAAAGTGTTCCCTTCACCCTCAAACCCTTTCATAAGGGTGCTAATCTCATTCATGAGTTTGGAGCCCTCATGACTTAATTACCTTCCAAAGACCACATCTCTTACTACTGATGCTCTGGGGATTAAGTTTTGACATCAGTTTTACAGGGGATGTGGTCATTCAAACCACAGCACCCTCTTTTAGAAACAAGATTGAGAGACAACTTTCTGGTATTCACTTATTTTTGGTTCATAGAGTTCAATCATTAAGGAAAAATGGCAAGTTGAAAAGTTGTGTAGTAAAAAATAAAGAAAACTTCAGGCCAATATCCTTGATGAACACTGATGCTAAATTCTTCAACAAAATACTGGCAAACCAAATTCAGAAGTGCATCAAGAAGTTAATTCACCATGACCAAGTAGGCTTTATCCCTGGGGTGCAAGGTTGTTTCAACATATGTAAATCAATAAATGTGATTCATCACATAAACAGAACTAAAGATAAAAACCACATGATTATCTCAATAGATGCAGAAAAGGTCTTTGATAAAATTCTACTTCCCTTTATGTTTAAAACTCTCAATAAACTAGGTATTGAAGGAACACAGCTCAAAATAATAAGATCCATATATGACAAACCCACAGCCAATATCATACTGAAAGGGCAAAAGCTGACAGCATTCCCCTTGAAAACCAGCACAAGTCAAGGATGCCCCCTCTCACCACTCCTATTCAACATGGTACTGGAATACCCGGCCAGAGCAATTAGGCAAGAGAAAGAAATACTGGGCACCCAGATGGGAAGAGAGGAAGTGAAACTATCACTGTTTGCAGATGACATGATTCTATATCTAGAAAACCTCATAGTCTTGCCCCAAAAGTTCCTTCAGCTGATAAACCTCTTCTGCAAAGTTTTGGAATACAAAATTAATGCACAAAAATCACAAGCATTCCTACACACCAACAACAGCCAAGCCAAGAGCCATATCAGGAAGGCAATCCCATTCACAATTGTCACAAAAAGAATAAAATACCTAGGAATAGCTAACCATGGACGTGAAAGATCGCTACAATGAGGATTATAAAACACTGCTCAAATAAATCAGAGATGACACAAACAAACGGGAAAACATTCCATGCTCGTGGACAGGAGGAATCAATGTTATTAAAATGACCAAGTGCCCAAAACAACGTACAGATTCTTTTTTTTTTTTTGTATTTTTAGTAGAGATGCGGTTTCACCATGTTAGCCAGGATGGTCTCGATCTGCTGACCTCGTGATCCACCTGCCTAGGCCTCCCAAAGTGCTGGGATTACAGGTGTGAGCCACTGCGCCCAGCCACAATGTACAGATTCAATGCTATTCCTATTAAATTATCAATGATATTCTTCACAGAACTAGAGAAAACTATTTCAAAGTTCATATGGAACTGAAAAAGAGCCCAATTAGCCAAGGCAATCCTAAGCAAAAAGAACAAAGCTGGAAGCATCAAGTTACCTGACTCTAAACTATACTACAGGGGCTACAGTAACCAAAACAGCATGGTACTGGTACAAAAACAGACACACAGACCAATAAAATGGAATATAAGCCCAGAAATAAGGCTGCACACCTACAACCAACTAATCATCAACAAAGCTGACAAAAACAAGCAATGGGGAAAAGACTCCCTGTTCGATAAATGATGCTGAGATAAATGGCTAGCCATATGCAGAAGATTAAAATTGGACCCCTTCCTTACCATATACAAAAATCAACTTAAGATGGATTGAAGACTTAAATGTAAAACTCTATAAAAACGCTGGATGACAACCTAGACAACACCATTCTAGATACAGGAATGGGCAAAGATTTCATGACGAAGCTTCCAAAAGCAATTGCAACAAAAGCAAGAACTGACAAATGGGAACTAATTAAACTTAAGAGCTTCTGCACAGAAAAAGAGAATGTCAACAGAGTAAACAGAAAACCTACAGAATGGGAGAAAATATTTGCAAACTATGTATCGAACAAAGATCTAATATCCTGAATCAATAAGGAACTTAAACAAATTACAAGAAAGAAGTAACAACCCCTTAATAAGTGGGCAAAATACATGAACAAACACTTCACAAAAGAAGACACACATGTGGCCAACAAGTATATGAAAACAAAGCTCAATATTTCTGATCATTAGATAAATGCAAATCAAAACCACATTGAGAAACCATCTCACATCAGTCAGAATGACTACTATTAAAAAGTTAAAAAAAAAATAGCAGACACTGGCCAAGTTGCAGAGAAAAGAGAACACTTATACACTGTTGGTGTGAGTGTCAATTAGTTTAACCATTGTGGAAAGCAATGTGGAAATTCTTCAAAGGGCTTAAAAAAGAACTACCATTCAACCCAGCAATCCCATTACTGGGTTTATACCCAAAAGAATATAAATTATTCTACCTACCATAAAGATACGTGTCCACATAAGGTATGTTCATTACAACACTATTTACAATAGCAAAGTCATTAAATCAACCTAAATGCCCATCAATGGCAGATTAGATAAAGAAAATATGGTACATATACACCATGGAATACTATGTAGCCATAACAAAGAATGAGATCATGTCCTGTGCAGGAACATGGATGGAGCTGGAGGCCGTTATCTTTAGAAAACTAAACACTGCATGTTCTCACTCATAAGTGGGAGCTAAAGAATGAGAACACAGGAACACAAAGAAGGGAACAGACACACTGGGACCTACTGAGAGTGAGGGGTGGGAGAAAACAGATAATCAGAAAAAATAACTATTGGGTACTAGGACTAGTACCTGTGTGACAAAATAATCTGTAAAAGGGGCCCCCATGACATGAGTTTACCTATATGACAAACCTGCACATGTACTAAAATAAAAGTTTTAAAAACATTAACATGAAAAAAGTAACACTGTACAGTAAAGCTTAGGTGTCATACAAATGGGAAAAATTAACTTTTCTTTTAAGATTTCCTTAAGACAACTAATGGTTTATCTTTACCTTCCCTTCAGCCCTTGGCAGCTGACCGACACAGCTACCTATTCCTTCCACACTTCCCCTTCTCTTAATTCAGAGGTATAAATGCTTTTATGTGCCAGAAATTATATTTTATGTTATGAGTTCTCCAGACATAAGCAAGAATTGCCAAACTTGCCAGATGGCCCTATACTTATATTTCAAAGTTTAAAAAAGCAGAATTTAATGCAGATACAGGAATATTATCAAAGTACCATATTATTTGAGCATTTTGGAAAATATTTTTATTTTATTTTCAATAGTTTGTATTACCACTAATGTTGTTAATCACTTCAGAGAGTATATTAATGCTAAATTCAGAAATAGGAATTTTTTTTATAGCCAAAGTTTAGATTTATAAAAAATATGAGATTCTGCTTTAGAAGAGATTCTTCATGAATAGATTTATATTTCAGTTTTCCTGGTGGGAAATCTTGTTCTTTCAAAGCCTTTCAGAAGATATCCCATTAAAAGTGTACATTTTTCAAAAGTTTTAGTGTAGTTTAAAATTATTTTGGACATAGGAAGAGCACAATATATACTTCCATGGAATAGCTACCTCATATTCATATACTCTCTCGATTTTATTTAGTGTGCTGGCATTAGATTTAAAAATTAAAGCACATATCACTCCTTTTCCTGAAAGTTACCACTTCTTGACACTGTACAATTCTTGGACATAATTACTTTGAGTCTCTAGAGTAAGATCAGTAAGCAACTAATGAAAAATTCCTGGTAGAGGCAGACAGAATGAGAAAATGACTATATAACTGAGATCAAATTATATCCACAGGGAGTAGGATGCTTTCTATATTCTACAAAAGTCTACAGCAAAAATGCACTAACGTGGATGAATTGTGTGAAGAGTCATTTTGAATTGGTGAAAAGACTGAATTACAGATTATTGGGAAAGAAATGCATTTTTTTCAGGTACATCCAATGGGAAGAATTGCTAACAAACATTCATTTAAAACAGCATATTCATTGTTGATTTTCATGTGAGTTTTGATAGCGTACTTGAAAGCTGTTAATTATCTTAAGTAGGTTAAACAATTTCTTGAAATGTGTTTATATTAATAATTCACTTAGTAAAGTAGGGCTTTTTGTCTGATAGCATAAAGGTATATTATAGCCTAGAAAGAGTAAAGAGCCTGCATTTTAAAGTAGTTATTTCTAAAATTCACAAGTTTGTAGCTCTTTATTACCAATCTTGGGAAAACTTCTAGACCTTTCTTTCAGAGGTCAACTACTCTCATTTAATAGTCATAAGTACATTATTTTTAATAAAATAACATATCCTGATGGAGTAATGTTTTCTAGTTTGGATGACAGATTTCTATAGTGGATGATAAACCTAAAGTTTTTATTCCAGTCATATATTCACAGATTCTAATTATAAATCTGAGGAACTCTAAGAACATAAAATCTTTTTTTAAGCGTGATATTCTCCAAACAAGTTAAGCTTTTCTTAGGGAAATCAGAATATTATGAGGCTTTCTAGCTCTGTGATCCAAGTAACAATCTTCTCCACAATGTGTAACAGGCTATCATACTCAGCTGTCAAATGCCTTCCAGAAAGCAAGATATGCCTTGCTGGCAGCAGCTCTTCACTCTATTGAGGGATGTAGAATGGTTTGGAATTTGGGCTTTCATTTCCTGTTGTCTGGGTTCAAATCTCAGCTGAGCCACTTGTTTTATCATCAGTTAAAGCACAGGTATCAGGAAGACCTACTTCACAGATTGCTCTGAGGGTTAAATGAGGTAACTGAAGTAAAGCCCACTGCAAGGTATTAATATTTAGTAAGAGTTGGGTGAAAATTGTTATCCATTGCCTGGAAACATATTAAAAGAGGACAGTATGTTCATCTGGTATGAGTTATTCTCATTGAATTTTCATTCTCCCTATCCCTATTCACATACATTGCTTTAGACAAATCTTGCTTCCAGAGGAACACTGCTACTTTTCCTTATTTAGATTTTTTTAACCAATGAGTTTAGATATATTCTAGATGACCAAATTGAACTTTAATATTCAGAAATTTTCAGAATTCACATTTTCACCCTTTGATAAAAATGAATTTAACGTGATTAGGCACTACACCTGACTATGCTTGCTCATATAGAGAAGGGGCTTCAATTCCCACTTAGTAATTTTTTTTTTTTTTTTGAGACAGAGTCTCACTCTGTCACCCAGGCTGCAGTGCATTGGCATGATCGCAGCTCACTGCAACCTCCACCTCACAGGTTCAAGCAATTCTCCTGCCTCAGTCTCTTGGGTAGCTGGGATTACAGGCACCCACCACCATGCCCAGTTAATTTTTGTATTTTTTTGTAGAGATGGGGTTTCACCATGCTGGCCAGGCTAGTCTCGAACTCCTGACCTCAAGTGATCCACCCACCTCAGCCTCTCAAAGTGTTGGGATTACAGGCATGAGCCACTACACCCAGCAGTGATTCTGTTTTGCTCAAGAAGAATAATCAAACTGATGATTCTTCTTGGTGAAATATTAATAGTTCTACCTACTTTGTGTTACCTATAAACATTTTACAGTTTTACATTTACTTCTCTATGGAATGGTCTAATCATTACCATTTTCTTCAGAGTGTTCTAAAAAGTCAATATTTACTGATGATATCAGTAATCCATAATGTATTCTTTTCTTTCCAACTCCAAATGTTTACAAATTGGCATTCTCTTTACATTTTGTCTTAGAAGGAGCATTTCTTTCCAAGGCGAAATACTTGAGAGAAAATGCCCTTAGTAGGAAGATGTGCTTCCAGATGCCTATGATAATTGATTAGATTTTTTTGATATATTGGGTTAATTTTTATTTTATTTTATTTTATTTTATTTTATTTTATTTGTTATGGAGTTTTGCTCTTGTTGCCCAGGGTGGAGTGCAATGGTGCGATCTCAGCTCACTGCAAAAATACTTCCACACTTTCCTCTTTTAATAGACTCTACTAGCAACCTGTCACATTTAATCACTACTGAACTAGCCATGTTGTTTTAATCTGCATTCTATACATATTTAGCATAATAAATGAAAACTTCAAAAATCCTCCCTGTTGATGACTGGTAGTGTAACTCTTGCTGTATGCACACTTATGCTCTGCCTTGGATTGTTGACATTCTATGCTCATGACACTGGAATCACTCAGAAACATCCTTGGAGCTCTCCATCTCCACCTGCATCCCTTCTACTGCCTCATCTCACTTCACCCCAACCATGGTATTTATACCTTGTGACACTCAATAAATAACTAAGGAATAGATAAATATTTAGATCATTATCCTGGGAATTCTTCTTTGGTGCAAGAGTATGAGGCTAGGTATCCTCTAGGGAACTTCCAGGGAGAAATATGCAGGCATACATACAGAAAATATATTAGCATCACAAAGGCAGGGGAAATAACCCACATACAGATCTAGAATACTTTCAGATGGCCCTCATAAGTTTTCTCTTGGTCCTCTGCAGAACTGCATACATTACAATGCTTGAGTAAGGACTGTATGAATGGAAACTTCACCTGCAGTTGTGATGAGGACACTCTAAGGTCCTTGGCAGGTATATCTAGGGTTTTCCTTGCTATTAAGTGTAAATCAGTCATTGCCTGGTACCCTGGACAGTAATAAGAATTATAAGCCAATTGAAGGTTGCTTACCACAGGGGAATCTGAAGCCCATTCGAGTACTCAGTTACTGCCTAGATAGCTGATTTTATATGAAATTGACACGACTGAAGAGACACAGAAGGCAATGTTCACATCAACAGTTTGCTGGGCATGCAGCCAGGCAACCATACACATCTACATAGGCAATGCAGCTGATGAAGGGAAGGCCCAAAGCTGGGGAGAACAAGGCAATTTGCAGGGATCTATGCAGACCTCAGGATCAGGTTTCTCCCCATTCCCTGAAGGTCTTCTCTTCTTCATTATTCTCTGGCTGTCTCTATCTTAAATACTTTCTTCTTTCCATTTCTTTTTTTTTTTTTTGAGATAGAGTCCCGCTCTGTCACCCAGGCTGGAGTGCAGTGGCGTGATCTTGGCTCACTGCAACCTCCGCCTCCTGGGTTCAAGCTATTCTCCTGCCTCAGCCTCCTGAGTAGCTGGGATTACAGGCTCAAGCCACCACACCCAGTTAATTTTTGTATTTTTAGTAGAGATGGGGTTTCACCATGTTGGTCAGGCTGGTTCGAGCTCCTGACCTCATGATCCACAAACCTCGGCCTCCCAGAGTGCTGGGATTACAGGCATGAGCCACCGTGCATGGCCTATCTTAAATACTTTCAAAGACATAATCAACAGACTAGAAAAACTAGTTTAATTAAGGCATTGGTAGGGAAAATATATGCATGTAAATAAATACATGGAGTCATAACCCAAGTTGGATTTGTTGTAGAAAAGCTAAAAGTCAAGTAATATAACATACATGGGCAGAATAGAAGGAGGAAGAGTTGGACCTGTGATCTTTGCCAATAAACGGAAGGTCCATGGTAAGGATCAGCCCACGATGGCAATGTGGCTTGATGCCAATGATGAAAGGTTGAGGAAAGAAGGTGGCATGCCTGCAAAAGCAATAATTTATCCTAAGTTCACTGAATACAGGTGAGTAAGTATTGTATTATTTCTACTACAACTGACTGCCACAGGTCACTGGGAAAGAGGTAAAACGTTCAACAATCTTGCCCACAGATTAGCAAAATCTTAATCTGCTCTCTGCCAACTCAGAATCAAATCCCAAGCATTAAAAACAATGATTCTCTCTGGACAGGATAACAAGTAGAGGTGGTAGAATGTAGTAGGCAAGTGCGGAGGTTTTGTGAGCACACAGACCAGGACCAGAATGCTGCCTCTGCTCTTTCCAGCATGGGACCTAGGACAACTTCCTAATCCCTCCAAGCCTTCCTTTTCTCAACAGGATAGAGAATAATAATTCATACCTTACATAAATCATTGTAAGATTAAAGTAGATAACACAAAAAGCCCTCAAAATGTTAAATAACAACCATTGAAGGTTTTTAATTTGTATTGTCATTATCATGATTATCAATTCTACTTTTCCTTGGGCAAATAACCTTGTACTCATAAACTGATTCTAACAGTTGTGTCTGTTTTATAGGATGAACACATACATCATTGCATGGAAAAAGCAGAACTTAGCCTGGCTGTGCATTTCATGGGTGCAGTTTATAGGCATCACCTGCAACTAGAATAGCAATATTAATTGTAATGCTAACATATGGAAAGATAAAGATAAAGGTGTAAGATAAAGCTCACTAAAACAAAGGGATCTTGATGTGGAAATGTTAGTATTTAGACAAAGTATAAGGACGCAAATGAGCAAAAAGAATTTTTGTGTTTACGACCATGATACAAACAGTTAAGAAATCCAGGTGAAAGTGGGTTTTCCATCCCACAGAATTTGAACCGCCCTCATTGTCACAACTGTAGGCATCGGTGATGGTGTTATCTTTCTTCGTAGGCTCTCTGGTCTCTAGCCAGTGGGGAGAAGGAGATTTCGATTTTATAAACTCCAGGACACATACATTAATGAGTAAAAAATGCTTCATAAGCTGATCAACAGTATTTTTTGTCATCCTTCAAGTAATAAAATACTTAAAACTCATATTAGGTTCTGACGAGCCCAAAAATGCTAAGAGGAGGGAAAGACATGATTTGATACAAAGTATAGATCTGATTTCTGTGTATGGGAATTCATATGAATTTGTTTTTATTGCACTGATTTTGATAACCTGCCATAAAACTTTTGTTAATGCTAAGAAGAAAGACATAGCTAATGCTATAAATTCACTTAGATATCTCTGCCTTCCATATTTTGGTATCAAATTAAATTTATCACTTCATTATCCCTTCCTGGCAGTTGGAAGTTGTAGACTTTAATGGAAGGTGCCAGGGTTGCTAATAGAATCTTCTCGTCACAGATGAAGGAAATGTAAAAGCGAAACTCACAAAGATTTGATAGGATTTATGCTAAATGACAACGACACCCAAAAGCACAAACTAAGAATGAAGCCTGTGCCCTATCGGGAGAAGGAATTAATTATCCAACAGATTTGTAACTCTTTCTCTACTATAAATAAAAATGTAGCAATTTTCACAAATGATCATTTAGCCAGAGCCAGCCATTGCCTATAGAATGGAATTAATGAGGACATTTACATAAACCTTACAGTGTTTTCATCCCTCAAGACTCAGTTCATCTGTTGCCTCCCAACTGCTCCTGATGCCCTAGGTTGAGATGGACACTTGTTTCCTTCTAATTCCATAACTCCGATAGCATAATAGCAGTTATGTTGAGGAGTGGTAATTGAATGGTTACGGGCACAATGTTTGTAATAAACAGAATTGGGTTTGCGTCCGGCTTCCACTAATAAATATCTAAACCTCTTTAACCTCAGTTTTCACCTTTGTAAAATGAGTATATATACACATATGTACGTATATATGTACACATGTATACATATATATGTGTATATATGTGTACATATATACACATATACGTACATATATGCGCACACATATATGTACATATATGCACACATATGTACATATATATGCACACATATATGTACACATATGTACATATATATGCACACATATATACACATATATGTGTATATATGCACACATATATGTACATATATACATATATGTGTGTATATACGTACATATATGTGTGTATATACGTACGTACATATATGTGTGTATATACGTACATATATATGTAAAATGAGTATATATATACACACATAATGTGTATATATATACACGCATATATAAAATACACACACAAAAGGTATATACAATTATGTGAAGTATTTAGAGTTTATTACTATTTTTTTTTTAACAATTGATCATCAATGATAAAGAGTTTATCTTATTAATCACTCAATCTCAATTAACTACTGCAGTGCCTGGCATGGAATACTCAATATATGTTAAATGCATAGATGTTTATTTAAATGATTAAAATCCAAACACTAAAGTTTCTGAGGCAGGGATATGTAAAATAAATTCTAATTAGTACCAAAAATCAAAATCTGTCAGAATTATGTGAGTTCAGAAAAGATGTGCGATACTTGTTTCCAGTCACAATTTTCTAGGAGAGGCATCCTAGATAATAGGAAGTACAAAGGCAGAAATCCTGAATGCAAAAATAGCAGAATGAAAGTACAGTTTTGACTCTTTTCCAATTTGCAATACTAATGCCCTACAAAATGCACAAAGTGTACCCAGAGTGAATGGAAATTCAACCTCAAGTGTTTTGTTTTCAGTTCTATAAATGTTATAATTTTATTATCCATTAATAATAATGCTATTACAAGACAAAATGTCAATGCATATATTAAAACACTAGAAATGTATTTGATTTAAAGTTTCCAGACAAATTTCCCACTGGGTTTGTTTGTATAAGGGTAGGTAGGACGTTAGGGCAAAAGAGTCCAGCCCTGCATGTAATATCCTATCGGCAATCAATTTAAGGTTCTGTTCTGGAAGCTTTGGCCTCAGGCAAGGCCAGCTTTTGTTAACGGAGGCTGCAGGCACTGGCTGATCCTACAAAGCAAAGCACATGGAAGGCCTACCAAAAGACCTAATCAAATTTTCCATCTTTAAGAAGCAGCTTCTCCTTTGAGTTGTGACACCACATCCACTACCTACTCCACTCCTCAAGGAGCAGATGTGCCCCTTCTCTGTTTCTAAGTCCTAGCCAGCCTCCCTGATGTGAAAGGCCGGAAGTCTTCCAACTCCACACCCAGCTGCTGGCAAGTTGGCAGAGTGAAATGCATTTGTTTATGCCCCTAGCCATTCATTTTCTTTAAGCTGGTTTCCAGCCAAGATTTTTATCTAGGTACCAGCTATTCTTTTCCAGTGGTTAACTTCATAAGGTTTTTAGTTCCCAAAGGCTACCTGATTAAAAGTAATTTGGGCATAAAAAATGTCTTTAGTATTTCTTATATGATATATCTTATTTTGTCATAGAAATATTACCAAATGCTTATCCTATAGTTTCTTTCAGAGTGAGTTTGCATTTCTTAAAAAAATTAACAATGTATTTATAATATGTAGGATTTATAATATACACACATTTTAAGTATACAGTTACACTTTAGACAAATATACACATTCACAAAACTACCACCCCAGTTGAGATATAGGATAAAAATATTACTGGAGAAAATTTCTGTCTTGATTTCAAATAATATGGATTTGTTACTCCCATTTTAAACTCCACATAAATGAAATCATTTGGTAACTGCTCTTTTGTGTCTGGTTTCTTTTCCTTATATGTTTGTGAGATTCAATTACCTCAAAACCTTATGGATATGTGCTTTCATTTCTCCTGGAAAGATACCTAGAAGTAGAATTGTTGGGTCTTACAAGAAATTGCTGGAGAGTTTTCCAAAGTAGTTGTACCATTTTATATACTCATTAGCAATGTATGAATTTTCAAGCTGCTCAATATCTTTGCCAACATTTATGTTTTCAGTATTTTGAACATTAGCTATTCTAGGGGGTGTGAAGTAATATCTCATTGTAGTGTTCTACTGTACTTTCTAATCTCACCTAAGCATTTTTCTCTCTTTTACCTAGGTTGTCAGTTCTTGTTCAGTGCTTTCCTTTATGTAAGAGAATACTATTCCCAATCAAAGGACAGACTACCAAAATTATGGTGATGTGCAAGGTCACCTGTGTGATGACATATAAGTTGATTATGACAACAGATGCATCTGCCAAAACATTTCCTTGATCTCCTCCTGTAAGCTTCCTTTGGGTTTCTCAGGAGGGGCAGAATGATTCACTATCAACATAGTATCACAGATAGACTTATCAGAATCTTGGTGAATTCATTCAACAGAAGTCTTCTCCATTTTGGTGCCAAAGCGATAAAGGAAGAATAAGGGCAAGGGAGTGGGTCTAGAGAATGTCTGTTTCTCAACTATACCTTATTTCCCTTATTCAACTGCCACGTTCTATAAGCCTTAGCTCCTACCTAAACCACCTAATGCATACCTCTTAGTCCAAAAAATCATCCTTGAAGCTCATTAGAATCAAGTGCATCTCTTATTAATTGATTCAAAAGTGGGAAAAACCATTTCATATAATTTAGGCTACATAAAATTTTTAAATACAGTGCAAATCAATTGAACTGTCCTTTCGTGTTGCATCTTTCAACAGCTGAATATTCTATATGGCATTTCACAGAAATAAGATTTGATTTGAGAACATCTGCAGCAGTCTGGAACACATTTTCCCCTGTACTTGACTTTTAGCTCATTATAGCTCTCAGATGTTCTCTCGGCAATCCTGTGACATATTGGAGTGTTACTGAACAAACATCAGTGAAGCCTATGTCTTGAGTAGTGTCAATCTCAGTTGAAAATGTTTCAGCTTTCTTAGCATCAACACTAGAAGAATTTAATTAACCCACTGAAACTTTCAAAGTGGTAGTTAATGCATGGAAGAAATGAGAAATCAGAAAAGTGGGGGGAGAGTGGATAAGTGCTTAACCTCCCACAAGCTGATGCCTGCCATCATCAGCCTCTGCTTAGGCAGGCCATGAGAAGCCTTGCTGCTCTGTGTAGCCTCCTGCATTCTGCCATGAAATCTCTGGCTTGCTCTATTGCCCCTATGGAGATGGAGAAGGTGTGGAGGTGGCAACTACTGCTGTCATGCTCCCCTGGTCCCCACACAAGGTCAGCTTCCAGGCTCTAATCAGCTCTCATCCAGATGCTCTCATGTTTTTAGTAGGTGGGGCTGGGAGACCAAGGTCAGAAAAGAGCTGTCGGGAGTGACACGGTTTTTTGCCCACTGCTGCTATTACATTAAGGAAGCAGCTGGTGAGATAATGTATGCCAAAGTGCTTTCTAAATTATAAAGTGCTTATATAATTGTCAGGGATAATCACTACTGTTGTTTTATTCTGAGGTTGCAGAAAAAGCACTGAACTGGGATGTTGGGTATCAAAGTCCACCAGAAAGCTGAATATAGGAATGTGTAGGGTCCACAGGGAGGTCTTTGGTGAGAGTACAGATTTGGAAGATAACAATAAAGAGAGGAATATTGGCTTCAGGGGTCAAATGACCATACAACAATATGAGAGCCAGAGATGGAACAAGGGAATACCAGTATTCAAGGGACAAAAAAATGTGTGTGTGTGTGTGTGTGTGTGTGTGTAGGGGGGGTGTCCTAAAAGATTAACTCTAAGAAGTTTCTCTTCACACACAGAAATATTGTTTATCTCCAGGCCTTTGCCACGCTTTATGCCTTATCCTAGAGTATTTTTCCCACTCCTACTAGACTTTGTTTCAGGTTATCTAGGAAAACATTCTGAAACTCATCCCCTGTTGTCTGTGTATATCTCTATAATTGCAATTATCACACTATATTATTAATAACTGTTTAAGCGTTCTATTTCCACACAGTCTGTGATCCTTTTAAGGGCACAATTATATTACTGTTAATGTTTGCATCTATAATGACCAGCAAATACTAGGTACGAACGGTTGTTTCCTTGAAAGAAATAATAGAGAAATATGAGAAAAATGTGTTTAAAAGTCAAAGAATACATTTCAAGTATGAAGGAGTAGTCAGTTGTTGAATGTCACACAGATTTTGCAAAATAAAGACTGGGAAGTATCTACTGGATTGAGTGATCAGTAGTAAATAACTCAACTTTAGTGAGAGCATGTTTAGTGATTTTGGAGGTTGCCAGTGGGTAGAAATCTAACCTTGAGTAGCTGAAGACAGAAAAGCAAGTAAGAAACGAAGGGCAGTGAGTACGGATGACATTTTCTAGAACCTGAACTGTGAAGGGATAAAGAAATTCAGACCATTCTTTCTTTCTTTTTTTTTTTTTTTGACATTCCTATAAGATATATATATCCTAACTTTTTGGATCAGGAAATAGGGGCTAAGAGAAAGTATGTATATTGTCCAAGGCTTACTGCTTACAAGACAGAAACCATGAGTAAGGTGCACACTCTTCTTGGTTCCACAGTTGGAGGAGGCCAATTGCTGGATATCCTCCTAACTTATTTAAAGTCAGGCTGTCTTAGTCTGTTCAGGCTGCTATAATAAAATACCATAAACTTGGTGGCTTATAAACAACATACATTTATTTCTCACCATTCTGGACGCTGGGAAGTTCAAGATTGAGACGCTGGGAGATTTGGTATCTGGGGGCGGCCTGCTTCCATACAGATGGCAACTTCTCACTGTATCTTCACATGGTGGAAGGGGCAAGGGATCTCTCTGGGGTCCCTTTTATAAGGACGCTAATTTTATTGCCTTCCAAAGGCCCCACCTCCTAATAGCATCACCTTGGCAGTTAAGATTTTAACATATGAATTTTGAAGGGACACAAACATTCAGACCATAGCATAGGCACAATGGGGAAATAAACATCTTAGCTGTATGTTATGGAAAGAAAGGCTATGTGGTAGCCTGGAGCACTCTGACAGGAGAGGTCAGACTACTAGTGGAGTGATATAATGGGAAACTGCACTACAGCACTAGCTACTTGCAGATGGGAAGGAGTGCAGAAAAGGAAGTGAAGAACACAAAAAATGAGTGTATTAGTCCATTCTCAGACTGCTATAAAGACATAACAGAGACTGGGTAATTTACAAAAGAGGTTTAGTTGACTCACAATTCTGCACTGCTGAGGAGGGCTCAGGAAACTTACAATCGTGGCAAAAGGCGAGAGGGAAGCAAAGGCATACCTTACATGGTGGCAGGCAAGAGATGAGTGAAGAGGGAAGAGCCCCTTATGAAACTATCAGATCTCGTGAGAACTCACTCATTCTCATGAGGACAGCACAGAGGAAACTGCCCCCATGATCCAGTCACCTCTCACCAGGTTCCACCCTTGACACATAGGGATTTTGGGGATTACAATTCAAGATGAGATTTGGGTGGGGGCACAAAATCTAACCATATAAATGAACTTTTCCATTTCATAATTTTTCACAGGGCTAAAGAGCCAGCTACCCCTTTGGAAACAGTTACAAGTTATCTGGAATTCTATATTAATCCTCATAGGCTGGTTGTACTGTGGTAATAATAGACCCTTAAATCTTAGTGGCTTAACAAAATAAAAGTTCCTTTCTTACTCAGAAAAAGTCTGCTGTGTCTCTAGCTGTGCTAATACGTGGTATCTGACCATCTAGGCCATCCATTTTATGTTGCCACTATCTCAGCATGAGACTTCAGTGTTCATCGTGGCAGAGAAAGGGAGTAGGGAGAATTGAGTGCTAGTGCTTAAACGCTTCCAGCCAAAAGAGTCATACACCACACTTTGCTCACATTTCATTGACTAAAGTAAGTCGCTCACTCATATGGAACATCCAAGGGGCAGGGAGGTTTGCCTCTTATAAAACCAGAGGGGACAAAGAATAGAAAATATTAGCGAGCACTAGCAATATCTACCACAAATGCCAAAAGCACGCAAAGTCAGATGGCATTCCAGCCTTACTCTGTATCTCAATAAAGATTATATACAGTAGCACAGGAATAATTTTATTTTCCTAGGAGGACTGGATTACCACAAATGCTATGTGTTTGCTTTTGTTTGTTTCACTTGGGACCTACATTAAGTGGAAATAAAGACTTGGTAACATTTAGGGTTTGAAAGGTGCCCAGATTGATAGCCTGATGATGGGTGGGTGACATTCTTCAGCTCAGCTGGGCTGGGCTGAGCAAATGAAGAGACTAACAGCCAGCACAGGACCTAGAAAAGGCTCTATAGTTTGAGATGAAATGGTATAAAATTGATAAGTAGGGAAGACAAACGAAATGCTTTAAAGATGTATGGCAACAAATCTTCAAAAGGCATGGTCTTGACAGTGAAACAATCCACAGCAGACTGGCCAGCATGGTGTAAGGGGCTGGGAGTGAAGGCTTCAGGGCACTTCCAGTCTATAAGGCACTTCATAAACAGTGCCTGAAGCTGCAAATCAAAGGCTTCTCAGTGCAGCATTAGTCACATTTTCTGTGCGCATTGTAGTCACATCTTCTCAGACACATTTCGAGGGGTCACCTGTGACTATGAAGCACAGAACTATTATAGGGCATGGATTTGAGCTACCAATAACATTGCTTTTTAAGATTATACAGCATAAAATAGAGTGGATATTTGATAATTAGGTGGTTAACTAGATCAATATGGGTAACCAAACAGAGTAACCAGGTTTCTAAGAAGAAAAGGAAAGGAGATGGATATTTCATCTGAATGTCTAAACTGATTTGGTTAAGTGTGAGACTGCCAATTATTCAGGGCAACTGAAGATATCCTCACCTATCCTTCCTAAGCTCCCAGGGTTTTGGTAACGCTGTTCAATATCCATATCATCTTGAAGCTAAAAATAAATTTAATTATGGTTTGTTTTGTTTGACTTTTTTTTTTGGTAAATTAAATCCCCCTTTTATTATTCCAAACAGCAGACATTTCAATTTTTTCCCCTGAAATCTTAGATGAGGACAAATTGGCATAAAGCTCAATATAATTATAATTTCTGTTGACTCTTTACATTATCAAAATGACTCCTTTGTCTCCTATAATTACCAGAAAATTGTATCTTCAAACTAATATTCCCTTTATTCAAGTGAGCAGATGGGCTTAACGGGAGATATAACAAATACATGTTTTTCTCAGGAAGAGTATCAGGGGCATAGCTCAAAATTGCAGAGAGGTATTTTCTTTACTCCATAAAATGAGGATTGGGAACAAAGCTAACTGGTTTGCTATAAATGTCCACTGATTGTGTAGAGATCATAGAAGGAAAGGTAGGGCATGAATTCAAGGCTAGAATTTGAATTCAAGTTTTAACTTACATGGATATAGTAATGATTTCATTTTAAATCCTCAATCTCCACCCAGAACAAGAACAATCCTCATTTTTTTTCATGGTTTAAAAGCAACATCAGAATTAATCTGGACAACTTGTGTTGAATATGAAAAGCATTATTATACAAGTTTTAAGTATATAATTAAATAAGGTGCATTCTGATTAGTTATATTTGATGAAGTATGAGGAATTATACTTAACCACTCCCATGAATGTGACAAAAGAAGTAACTGCATTTGTGTTTGGCAATTTGATGTAGTAAGGAGAAATGGGGAATCATAATCTGTATAAGCACGATGGACAAGAGAAAGGAACTTATGGGAGAATGACAACACAATGAAAATGTAGTATAGTTTACATTTTATTTCAGGCATGCAATGGTGGATTGTGATAAGGCAGTTGTAGCAGCTACAGATTCAAAAAGCACATTGCTGCCCAAATTCCTAGAATTGGTGACCTGTTGGTACTCCACACTCAGACATGGAAGTGGAAATCCATGTTCTGTACTATCTCATCCTATATCTCAATGTCCATGCAGGCACTGACAATTGATCACACACCTCTGCTGGGCTAGGCTTTGAATCACGAGCTTCCTCTATACAGGGCTCCCAGCAGGTACTACCAAATGATTAGAGTTGCCTTGTAAAATGAACCAACTTACCTCTGGGATGAGAGAAACCAAGTTGGGGAGGCTTACAGGACTTCACAAACTACTCTGGTTACAAGCAATGCAAAACTACCTCTTCCCATAACTTGAGGGACTCTTATCAGCCCCTCCCCTAATGGTTCACGTTAAATTCAGATGTTAACTTTTGGCAACAGCAGTAGACACCTCCCTTCTGCCTATTTTAGGAAGAATGATGGACTACTCATGACAATTTACTGCCCAAACTTGAAGTTAATTAATTTATCTCCATTTTACCTGGAAAGTGAACACTTCTCAATTATTTAGAAGCTTTTTGGGATAGGAGGTGCTTCAAAAGACAAAGATGCTAGCTTTTGACCAGATCAAACAAAACTAAGCTAGTAAAATCATGGTGTCAATAGGTTAAGGTAACTTCTAAAAACAATTTGTAAGTACCATCTGAAAAATCTGCACAAAGCAGAGAAGGAATCAACTCATAAAGTATTGCTCAAATGTTTCTATCTACCCCAATATTACCCATATATTTTGGAAATGGATATATCACATATTCAGTATTATCCCAAATTGCCTATCTATCTATGCCTCTCCATGTTACGAATAGTTATAATAACAACCACCATGTATTGATTGCTTACAACTACATGCTATACACTTTAGATAGAGGATTTCTCTTTTTTATCACAGAAGACTTCTGTGTACATATATGATTTCTAATCTTTACAAAGTACTGCAAAATAGCTATCATCATCTCAGTTTGCCTTTACATAAATGGAGGATTGTGGGATCCATGTAGCTGTTCCAAGCTCACCCAGTAGTAAGGCATCATGCCTGGATTTAAACTCAGACCTTCTGGGTTTCAAGCACTCTCTCTTCTGTGGTAAGCTTTTGACTACAGCACATTGACTTATTTGTGGGATCATCACACACTGATGAGATGATCAGAAGCTCAGAACAAGATGGGGCTAACAAATTTTATCCAACATTTTTTGCTTCTAAGGAGGAATAATCACAATTTATAAAACAGGTGTCTGTCTTATTTTTACAGGATACTTGACACTCCAGCATTCTACTTAAGATATCACTCAAACCATCTGACGATATTCAGATGTAGATTAAGTCTTCATAACATTTATGCAGTACATTCTGATCTGATAATTTTGAACCTTTGAACTTTCAGGGACTGGTGTTTTGTTTTTTATTTTCCTTCCTCATGCCCTATGAAATGAACTAAAACAATAAAAAATATTTAGCCTCATGTGATCTGACTACAATCATAGAAAGTGACCTCAATAATATATTTTATATCAATCATTACCCAAGTGACTGATAGAAATGCAAATATCATCTGGAACTTTTCTAACAACATAATGTAACTGTCTGGCAGTCCCAGGGAGAATAACTGTGGGGACAAAGCTGTAATGGGAGAAGATAACATGGACAAGAAGTACAGGGCCATACAATGAACTTGAAGAAAAATGGCTTTCATTCCCTTCCCTTCTCCTCTTTTCTGGGTTAGCTCCAAGAATGGTCATTACAGTATAAAAAAGTCCCCCAAAAATGTTATCATAGATGGACAGGAGTAAGCTGCAAGAGCCTACCAGCAGGTCCTTATTATAGATTTTCCATTTTAAGATTCTATATACTCATCAATAAAATTAAATTTTCTAATTATTACAGTTTACATTTTGAAAATATTATATACATTTATTCTGGGCACAAGTTCTTCATGAGATACAAGTATAGGAATATTTTCTCCCAATCTGTGACTTGAGTTTTTATTTTCTTAATTGTATCTTTTGATGAGTATGTTAATTGCGATGAAGCATAATTCATCTATTTTTTCTTGTATGGTTAGTGTTTTTTTGGTATCCTGTCCAAGACATTTTTCCTTTCCCCAAGGTTATAAAGATATTTACTTAATGTTTGCTTTTAAAAATGTACAGTTTGAAGGCAAGGAGTATATGCCTTCTGTTCAATTTTGCTGTGAATCTAAAACTCTAAAAAGAAAGTCTTATAGTCTTACCTTACTGTTTACTTTTTTATATCACATATTTAAAATTACTTTTTTGTCCTGTGTGAGGTAGACATGAGGTTTATTTTTTAATATAGGTATCCAATAATTCCAGTACTATTTGTTGAAAGGGCTTTCTTTTCTCCATTGGATTGCTTTTGCACCCCTGTCAAAAATCAATTGAGTGTATATGTGTGGGTCTATTTCTGGACTTTCTATCCATTACATTGATCTATTTGTCTACCCTGACACCCAAACACACTTGCTTGATTACTGCAGATTTATAGAAAATCTTGAAGGCAGATAGTACAAATTCTCCCACTTCCCACTTTGTTCTCCTTTTTCAAGATTGTTTTGGCTATTCTAGTTTGTCTGAATTCCAGTGTAAATTTTAGCATAGCTTGCCAACTTCTAAAAAACACATGTTGGGAGTTTGATTGGGATTATGATGTATATACAGATCAATCCAGGGAGAAATAACATCTTAATATATCTTACCATTATTTTAAGTCTTCTTTAATTTTTCTTCAGCAGTTCTTCTTAACTTTTATTTTAGATGCAAGGGTACATATGCAGGTTTGTAATAAAGGTAAACTCGTGTCATGGGGGTTCATTATACAGGTTATTTTGTCACTCAGGTATTAAGCATAGTGCCCAGTAGTTATTTTTTTCCTGATCCTCTCCCTCCTTGCACCTTCCATCCTCAAGTAGGCCCCAGTGTTTGTTGTTCCCTATTTTGTGTCCTTGTATTCTCATTATTTAGCTCCCACTTATGAGTGACAAAATGGAGTGTTTAGTTTTCTGTTCCTGCATTAGTTTGCTAAAAATAATGGCCTCCAGCTCCATCCATGTTTCCATAAAAGACACATCTCGTTCCTTTTTATGGTTGCATAGTATTCCATAGTGTATATGTACCACATTTTCTTTATCCAATCTGTCACTGATGGCCATTTAGGTTGATTTAATGTCTTTGCTATTGTGAATAGTGCTGCAATAAACATATGTGTTCATGTGTCTTCATGGTAGAATGATTTATGTTCCTTTGGGTATATATTTGGCAATGGGATTGCTGGGTAGAATAGCAGTTCTTTTTTTTGCTCTTTGAGGAATCAACACACTGCTTTCCACAATGGTTGAACTAATTTGCACTTCCATTGACAGTGTACAAGCATTCTGTTTTCTCTGCAACCTCACCAGCATCTATTATTTTTTGAGTTTTTATTAATAACCATTCTGATTGGTGAGAGATGGTATTTTAGTGTGCTTTTATTTGCATTTCTCTAATGATCAGTGACACTGAGCTTTTTTTCATACGCTTGTTGGCTGCATGTATCCACGTCGCTGTGAAAGCAATTCTTTCAGTGCAGATACTACATATATTTTAATTTGTTCCTAAGTATTTTATAGTTTTTACATGCCATTGTAAATGACATTTTAAAATTTTAATTTCCAGTTCATTGTTCCAATTGTTCATGTAGAAACAGAACTATTATTGTACATTGTTTTTGTATTATGAAACTTTGTTAAATTCACTTATTATTTTAATAGTGTATTTATAGGTTCTTTAGGATTTTCTATGCACACAATCTTACCATCTGCAAATAAAGACAGTGCAAGCCCATTTTTTTCCAATGTAAATATCATTTATTTATTTTTATGACCTTATTGCGCTGGTTAGGACTTCCAGTACAATATTGAATAGAAGTAGAAAGAATGGACATTCTTGCCCAGCTCTTGATCTTAAGAGAAAATAATTTATCCTTTCAACATTAAGTATGATACTAGGTATAGGATTTTTGTAGACGTTTCCTTCTATTAATGAATTGCTGAAGGCCATTATTATGATTGGATGTTGGATTTTGTCAAATGCTTTTGCTGATCTAAGGACTTATAACTAGAATGATTAAGAACTCCAAGAAATCAATTAAAAAATTAAAAAATGGACAAAATATTTGAATAGACAGTTCACAGAGTAAGATACATGGAAGGCCAATAAGAACATAAAGAAGAGTTAACATCTTCTTATTAGGGAGAAGAAAATTAAAATCACAATGAGATATCAACACATATGTACTAGAATAGCTGAAACTAAAAAGACTGAGAATATCAAAAGGTGGCTGGAACATAGAAGAACCAAACACCCACCCACAGCTGGTAGGACTGTGAAAGAGTAAAGCCACTTTGGAACTCTGTTTGGAAGTTTCTTGTAAAACTTATGCATCCACCTTATGACTGAGAAATTATACTTCTATGTACTAGCCAAGAGAAATGAAAACATGTTCACAAAAGGAGTTATGCAAGTATGTTTATAGCAAAAATATTTATAACACCAAAAAAGTGAAAACAGCCTAAATACAACTTAGAGTAAATAAATTGTGGTATTTTAATAAAATATAGTATTATTTACCAACAAAAATGAACTAATACCTACAATAATATGAAAAAATCTCTGTAATATTATAGTGAGTGAAAGTTGCAACACATACAAAAATACATATTCTGTAGAATTCCATTTATGTGAATGCTAAAAAACATGAACAAACTAATCTATGGTGGCAGGTGCTAGATGGTGTTTGCTTCTGGTGGTGGTAAAGGAAGATGTAATGGCTGGAAAAGTGCACAAGGCAGCTTCTAAGGTGTTGGCAATGTTGCATGCTTTGGCAGAGGTGAGGATTTCACGGATATATGTGTTTGTCACAACTTGTCAAATGGTTCATTTAAGACCTCTGTATTTTTCCTCCAAGTAATTTATATTTCAATAAGGGAAAATAAGTGGCATAGAAGATACAAAACTTTTAAAGTTGTAAATAGGAAATTATAGTATCCTCTTTTGAAACTGTCATTATGCTTTTGGTAAGGGTCTTGCTGTTGACATTTACACATTTCTTTGGACACTGCTTTATTCTCTGTGTTGAATAACTTTCCAGAAAGGAAAAAAATAGATAATTAGACATCTACATATAATATTACCACAACCAAATAGCAATAGTTTTATGAAATTGTGTTATTTCAGTTTTTTTTATTAGTATAAAATTAAGGGGTACAAGTGCAGTTTTGTTACATGGATATATTGCATAGTGGTGAAGTTTGAGCTTTTAGTGTAACCATCACACGAGTAATGTACATTGTACCCGTTAAGCAATTCCTCATCCCATATCCTGCTTCTACCCAATTCCTCATCCTACACCCTGCTTCTACCCTCCCACCGTTTTGAGACTCCAATGACTATTATTCCACACTCTATGTGCATGTGTACACATTAATTAACTTCCACTCACAAGTGGGAACATGCAGTATTTGACTTTCTTTTTCTGAGTTGTTTCACTTAAAATAATGGCCTCCAGAGGGCACAGTGGCTCATGCTTGTAAGCCCAGAACTCTGGGAGGCTGAGGTGGGTGGATCACTTGAGGTGAGGAGTTCGAGAACAGCCTGGACAACATGGAGGAACGCTGTCTCTACTAAAAATACAAAAATTAGCTGGGCGTGGTGGCAGACGCCTGTAATCCCAGCTACTGGGGAGGCTCAGCCATGAGAATCGCTTGAATCTGAGAGGCAGGGTTGCAGTGAGCCGAGAACGTGCCACTGCACTCCAGCCTGGGTGACAGAGCAAGACTGTGTCTCAAATAAATAAATAAAAATAAATTAAAAAAATAAAAAAGAAAATGGCTTCCAGATCCATCGATGTTGCTATAAAATACATGATTTCATTCTTTTTTTATGGCTGAATAGTATTCTACATTTTCTTTATTATCTGTCAAAGTACATTTAGCTTTATTCCATATCTTTGCTATCGTGAATAGTGCTGCCATAAACATATGAATGTATTTTTTTGATGTAATGATGTCTTTTCCTTTGGATATAAACCCAATAGTAGGATTGCTGAGGTGAATGGTAGTTTTATTTTCAGTTCTCTGAGAAATCTCTATACTCTTTTCCACAGGGTTTGAACTATTTACATTCCCACCAAAAATGTATAAGCATTCCCTTTTTTTTCCCACATCCTCACCTACATCTGTTATTTTTTGACTTTTTAGTAAGAGCCATTCTGACTGGTATAAGATAATATCTCATTGTGGTTTTAATTTACATTTCTCTGATGATTAGTGATGTTGAACAGTTTTTTATATGCTTGATGGGGTTTGTCTTCTTTTGAAAAATGTCTGTTCACGTCCTTTGCGTACTTTTTAATAGGGGTTACTTGTTTGTTGTTGTTGTTGAGTTGTTTGAGTTCTTTGTAAATTCTGGGTGACAGTCCCTGTTGGATACGTAGTTTGAATATATTTTCTCCTATTCTGTAGGCCTTCTGTTATCTCGATTATTTCATTTGCTGTGCAGAAGCTTTTTATTTTAAGTCCCATTTGTCTATTTTTGGTTTTGTTGCATTTGTTTTTGAGGTCTTTGTCATAATTATTTTTGCCTAGACTCATGTCCAGAAGAGTTTTCCTTAGATTTTTTTCTAGTACTTTTATAGTTTCAGATCTTACATTTAAGTCTTTGATGGGTTTTGAGGGGATTTTTAAATATGGTTAGAGGTAGAAGTATAATTCAATTTTTATGCATATGGCAATCCAATCATCCCAGCACTATTTATTGAAAAAGGTGTCCTTGTCCTAGTGTATACTTTTTGTCAACTTTGTCAAAGGTCAGTTGACTGTAGATATGTGGCTTTCTTTCTGGGTTCTTTATTCTGTTCCATTGATCCATGTGTCTATTTTTGTACCAGTACCATGCTGTTTTTATTACCACAGCCTAATTGTATAATTTGAGGTCAGGTAATGTGATGACTCCAGCTTTGAACTTTTTGTCAAATTTGCTTTGGCTATTTGGACTCTTTTTTGGTTGCATATGAATTTTAGAATTGTTTTATCAATAACTGAGAATGATGTATCTGGTCATATGGATACAATTTTGGTTTCTATTATCAAAACAAATCCTTGTTTTCAGAGTTGCTGTACAACCACCATGACAGAATTTCTGATTTTATCCTAATGAGAGCCTTTTAATGAGCACAGATTATGTTCATTTATTAATATCACCAATATGTATTTCATCATTTTTGAAACCTACTGAAAGTACAGTAATTTGGCAGGTTTATTGTTTTCTTCTAAAATGACTGCTGCTGTTCTTAAAAGGATCTAGCTGGAATTTTAATTATACATTGACTTTCTTTTTTCCTCCTAAATAAGGACACAACAGATAATTCGTGCAATTTAATTCTATAAACATGTAGCATTGTGCTAGGTGCTTGCAAACTCCAGTATGAATAAGATATTATCTTTCCTTCAAAATGCTTGTAATGACCTGCAGCACTGGACAAGAAGATATACAATTAAAGAAAATGCAGTACTTGCAATACTAGTTGTAGGAACCATGGGCTGTAATAAAATAAAAAGGAGTGATTTGACTTTCTTGGAGGCCAAGGAAGAGGGTCATAGACAGACTCACAAAAGAAGTGACATTTAAGATAGATTCTAAAAATATATTAATGATTGATCAGTATGTTCAATTCAGCTACCATGCCATTACTCCTACATGGTAGACATTGCATTAGGCACTGGCACACAGTCTGTGTTCTAGGCCGTCAAGAAGCTTATAATCTAGGCATATTTTGCCAAGTCAAGAAGGCATAAAGGTTGCTCACCTGTCTATCTCACTCCTTCTATTCTGGCTTTTTCCATGTTATTTTTACCAAACTCAATTCACACATAAAAAGGAACTTTAAGTTCAAAGGTTATTTCTTTACATATTCTTTTCTTTTCTGATGTAATGGAAAAAGTAATGGCTTGGTAAGTCAAGTGATTACTAATTCTTAATGTTACCAATAAGCTTTTTTCTTTCAACATTCATTTAGTCATCAGTTCACTTCTTCAGTCAACATTTATTAAGGCATTACCATGTTCAGTGCATGTCTAGAGAACTTAGATACAAAGATGGGTAAGAAAAGTGAGGTTATTTTCTAGTAAAGGAAGCAGACTTACAAAAATACAACTGCGATGTGATACTGGTTACAGCCAAGGTTCAAAAAGGAAGGAGACATTAATTCTATAGCAAAGGTCAGGGAATAGCTCAAAAAGTGATGCTTGAGAACTGGAAGGCCATTCCAGATGTCGGGAACAGCATGTGGAAATGCATGCAGATCCCAAGTGATCATTAGTTTTTGGCCTCTACTGTTTTTCTTTCATGACTGGTATTTAGGAGTCCTGTTCTCATCCCAAGCACCAAAAAGTGAAGACATTTTCTTTCATGCTTTTCCAGTTGCAAAATTTGTTGTTCAAATATCGGACTGTCCAATTTCTTTCATGTTTCTTAACGAAGAATGTCAACATAACTCTTATTTCCCATAATTAAAAGTGCCAAATAGTAATGTTTTCTTTTCTGAAATCACTAAAATATATACATTGCCTCCAACTCTATAGATGAATTTCTGGATGAAGTTATATTTGCAATTATATTTTCATTTTGGTAATCTTCACAAGCCCATAGTTAAAACCTTTGGAGCCAGATGTATGGATTTAGAAATATCTTTTGGATTTTAGAAATGTAAAATGGTACATACACCTAATTTTAATAAACACTCCCTCTCCAGCCCCAGCAAGGTGTGGGGTAGCAACCTGGAATCAAACACGTTAATCTGATGTTCTCTGAGAGGAATAAAGATTATAGCAAGTCTCACATCAGTTCAGGCCAGGTTTTCTGCTGAATGAATTATGTAAAACCATTTGGTTTCAGTATGTTTTGGATTTCAGAATTGTTAATGAGGGATTATGGAACTGTATTGTAATTATTTTCATTGTACAGTTTTATAAAAAGGTTTACAGAGATTAAGTAACTTGCCCAAGTTGTCTAGCTAACAAGGAAGCTTCACATAAATCCAGCAGTCTTACTATTTGCTAATAACTGCTGTCCTACATGCAGTTTCTTCATTGGGTATTTCCAACCTCTGGCCATTTGGAACCTAATGTGATGCTTCTCTGGCATTCCTCTCCTGCCTCTTTTATTTCACTTCTTTTTCAGCTCAAAATTATTTATTGTTTACTTTCTCCATCAAGAGAAGCTTGTGTTCTGCTCATTGCTGACTTCTCAATCTCTCACTGTTCTATTGCTATTCTCTTTTTTGTCCCTTTTGGCAATGCAGATTTTTGGATCCCTCCATGAGAATTATGATGTTAAAATGCAGATTCTCAACACACCTCTTACCCACTGACTCAGGATCAATGCTAGTGGGGCCTGGGAACCTACATTTCTCACAAGCATGCTGCATGGTTTTTAAGCACCAAGAGTTTGACATCAACAGCTCTGTGTTGTGCCAAAGCTGATGACTGTTCTTCTCAGGAATTTGCTCTTCTTGCAGGCACAGATTTTAATGGCTTGCACAGTAAGTGTACTAACACCCAACTACCTGCCCTTCAACAGCCACCTGAAGAAATGCTGGTTAGGCAGTTTGATCAGTTAATAAGTAAGGTAAGCATAAGGAAAGTATATTAATATGCTAATTACTTGAAAGATAACATGACATACTTGGCCAAATCCTTGTTTCCATAGCCCAAGTCTCATTTTCTCTCCATTGTCAAACACTGCACTGTAATGGGTTTCTTCTAAATATCTATTCTGGTTTATTCTAGCCTGACCTATGAGTGAATATCAGAGTAGCCATTGTACTTTCCAAACAAAATTTTCCTGTGTAAAGAAGCCAGATACTTCTAGAGTGTCTTTCTACAAAGGGTCTACATTTTCTCTCATCTTCCTATAGTATGCGGACACTGTGAGGACCAGCATACTATTCTTTGGCTAATGATAGGACAATGTGAGTTATATGCAAAGACACACACACACATACACACACATACACACGTACATACAAACACACACACACACAAAAGCAGCAGCAACATTAAGAAAGAATGATTAGTTTGCTGAGAATGATGCACATGTACCCTAGAACTTAAAGTATAATAAAAAATATAAACATAATAAAAAGAAAAATAAAAAAATTATAGGACCAAAAAAAAGAACGATTAGGAAATCACCTGTACCCTAGATCCAGAGTACTTTGATTCACTACTGGGGATATAAATCTAAAGGGATAATCACCTATTGTTTTAGTCATGTCAGCCTGCACAGGAGAATCCAGAAGCACAAATCTATTACCAGACCATCTGCTTATTCCTCAAGTTAGTGTTGAGAAATGAATCACTAATATAATCACATAGAAAAATCTTCCTTTTTTTAAACGAATGATAATGCTGAAAATTACACTTACGATTTTGATGAAAGCTGAGCTTAACAAAATAAAGTCTGAATCTTGATTCAAACTATTACCAAATCAGTTTCCATTTATGTCATTGACACAAGTTGTCTTCATCATTACCCATCTTTTATTTGAATATGTAAGTTTTGAAACGAGTGTGAAAATCCTTTAAAGACAAAACATGACAGTGCAATGCAGCTACTTCCATTTCCGCTCACATGGCAACCACCCAAATTTGAGACAATGATTTTATAGATGGTCATAAACTATCATGTCAGAGACAATTTCCTTGAGATATTTACATCGAATGATTGTAAAGTCATTTGTGAATTTTTTTTAGTTATAAGCAACCTTAGGATATTGATAGTCATTGATAAAGGCAAGAACACTCACTGTCTAAATACTGCAGAGTCAGTTTATGATAATATGATTAGTTACACTAATAATGCTGCTTAGGCATTATCTTGCTAATTACAATATTATAAATATTAATGTCACAGTCTTTCTGTTTGATTGCCACTCATGGAGTCATTCATCATGACATTTTCCTGGAACCCACATTGTAAGATTTTATTTCTTTCCTCCTTTTCTTTTTTCATTACTGGACTTGCAACCATACACATTACTCTTGAAGAAGGGTTTTTTTTGGCTATCTATTAGGAGAGGGACAGTGATATTTTCTACTAAAACTAGCCAAATATAAGTCAATTATATGATGTTTCTCTTATTCTTTCTGAGTCCCTAACCCAGTCATCCAAGGCAGAGTACCCAGGGCTTTTGTTTTCCATTCTTTTTCATGTGACCTGCTTCAAGTTAAGATTCATTTGAATTATTAAATGCTTCCTTAAAGAATCTTTTTATACTGCCTCTCTTTTTTTTAAAGTTAATTATTGATGTAGTGACAAGCTGAAAAGACTAAGAATTATAATTTTTTCCTCCCCTCATTGAGGGCTCAAGAAATGTCTTCTGACAATGGTTATCTATTTAGAATAATACAAAGGAAATACAAAGGCAAAATGCTGAATGTTGTTTTAGCAGTGTTGCTAAAATCACTGTATTATAGAAAACGTAAATGTAGTGTATATTTCTTGGAAAATAGCAGTTAGTGAGAAAGCTGGGACCATAACCGTTTGAGACCGGGTTTAACCACACAGCAGAAGCAGTTACAAAAGATACTGATTAGATTTTAATTTTAAAAACTTCCTTATATTATTCAAGACTACAGTGATTTGATTGTCTTGAAAATAGAAAGGTAATGTTATAATTTCCAGAAAGCATAAAGAAATCTCCAGACTCCCACTGGGAAGAATGCCAGTCATCACCACAGTAAGCAAGAATTTGGAGGCACTTTACACTGCAAACATCGGTCTTTTCCTTTTATATAATCTTGTGTTGTATTGGTTTATAAAAAGGTAACTCACAGACCCATCATATGGCTGTAATCAAGTCTCCTTCAGAAAGAGTCCACTGAAGAAATCACATCCAGGAGGCACTGTGTTTCCTTTGTTAGTGAGAATGTGAGATGGTAAATAAGATCTGAAATAGAAACCAAGGCTGAGTTCTCAAGAATAACACAGGAGATTTAAGCACATACCTTGTCCATGAGTTCAGCTATACGTGGAACTGGTTTCCCTTTCTGGTGACTCACAGTAGCTGGACTCTGTCCATCCCAGTCTTGTAGTTCTTCAATGCTTTTCAGATAAAGCAGGGCTTTGAGGCCAGTGCAGTAGTCTTCGATCACAGTGAAATCCTGATTCTGAATGGCACTGCATACCTAGAAAAGACAGAGCAGTCAACCAAGTGTCAAACCAAGAGATAATTCTCCAAACAAATTCACTTTTCTTTGAGTCAACAAATATTTATTTTATGTGCCAGGCACTGTTTGAGGCATGATGGATCAGTAGCCGTCTGGAGATGGGGGTGGTGGGGAGGAATGGACTGCAAAGAACACAAGGAAATTTCCAGGGACAATGAACATTTTTCATAAACTTGCAATGGTAATGGTGTCACAGGTATATACATGTTCCAAAACTTATTAAGTTGTATAGTTTAAATAGCTACAGTTTATTATATGTCAGGCTTAAGGAGTCGAATTTGGCACAACATAATAAAGGACATTTAAATTCTCATTGTCACTCTATTGGGATGTGCTGCCTGCAGGCAGTTCTCACGTCTGAAAGTGGTCAAACTGAGGTTGGAGTGCTGTTTATTACGTTAACTCAACCATCACTTACCCCTGCCTCTGTCTCCCTCCTCATCTGCTATTGTTCTCCTTGTTGTCAACTATGATCCAGTTACCCAGGTCTTTCCTTTCTTCCTCAAAAAAAATGCCATAGTCTTTCTTTGCCTTAGGATCTTTTCACAAGACCTTCTCACTGGCTAGAAGGCCTTTCTTTTCCACACATGGCTAACTACCAACCATTCCTCAGGCTCATGGTAAATGTCCCTTCTTCAAGGAGGCTTCCAGGAGCCCAGAATAGGTTATGGCCTTCTTTTAATCAGACATTTTTAACTTCTAATTATTGCATTATTATTTAGTTGACAACTCACTTCCCAATTAGACCAAAGTTTCAGAAGGGAAGAACTGCATTTATTTTGGTCACTATATTATCTGCAGTGACTAGGACACTGTTTGTCTGTTAGTCTGCTCTCCACAAATATAAGATGAATGAATAATGATGATATGGTTTGGCTGTGTCCCCACACAAATCTCATCTTGAATTGTAGTTCCCATAATCCCCACGTGCAGTAGGAGGGACCTGGTGGGGGTAACTGAATCATGGGGATGGTTATCTCCATGCTGTTCTCGTGATGATGAGTGAGCTCTCACACAATCTGATGGTTTTATAAGGGGCTTTTCCCCTTTTCCTTTGCACTTCTCCTTCCTACCACCATGTGATGAAGGATATGCCTGCTTCCCCTTCTGCCATGATTGTAAGTTTCCCGAGGCCTCCCCCAGAAATGTTGAACTGTGAGTCAATCAAACCTCTTTCCTTTATAAATTACCCAGTCTCAGGTATATCTTTTTATTTATTTATTTATTTATTTATTTTTGGAGTCTCACCCTGTCACCAGGCTGGAGTGCAGCAGCGCGATCTCGGCTCACTGTGACCTCCACCTCCCGGGTTCAAGCAATTCTCCTGCCTCTGCCTCTCGAGTAGCTGGGACTACAGGGACACACCACCATGTCCAGCTAATTTTTGTATTTTTAGTAGGAACGGGGTTTCACCATGCTGGCTAGGATGGCCTCAATCTCTTGACTTTGTGATCCACCCGCCTCAGCCTCCCAAAGTGCTGGGATTACAGGCGTGACCCACTGTGCCCGGCCTCAGGTATATCTTTATTAGCAGCATGAGAATGGACTATTACAAAAGATTAAAAAGAAAAGAGAACTAAAATAAAAAATTCTGGAGTTAAGGAAGTTTGAATCAGAGAAATTAAAGTTCTTCCACTAAAAAAACCCTGGGGATTCTGTGAGTGTGGCTGGGATTTGAGTTAAAGCTTGAAGAATGTGGATTTAGATACTGCTTCTAGGTTGCTTATTTCCAAAGATATCCCTCCAATTTTGATATCACATGTAGACTCCAGAGAGTCATTTACAACTTCCTGTAGAACCTCTTCACCAACATGGCCCAACATTACATCAAATTCAAAATTTACAACATGAATTCAACATACTTCCCAATTTATATTTCAACTTCAAACAATGAAACAACCATTAAAACAAAACTGAGCAAAGAAAAACTCATTTCTATCCTGTTTTCCCAGATGTTGAATACCTAGTATATCAGGGTGTCTGGCAATGGCAGCCAACAAAGAAAAATCATGTCATGCATGAATGAAAAAGAAAATGAAGGAAATGCCTGAAAACAGAATAATAAGATTCTATTTCAAAGACTCTTAAAGCCTTTTGGGTCTTTGATTAAATACATTTTATTGTAAGCCTCGTGCCTAGCATGCTACCTGATACCTCATTGTTGCTAGGTTGGTTGAGAGAATTTATTGAAAACATACTAGGAGGTTCCAGAATGGGGAATGGGATAAGGAGAGAGAGAGAGAGAGAGAGAGAGAGAGAGAGAGAGAGACAGAACTCTCATATATATATATATATATATATATATGTGTGTGTGTGTATATATATGTATGTGTATATGTATGTGTATATATATATATATATATATATATATATATATATATATATATATATATATATATGCCTAGGAGTTCTCAGCAAGCAGTGGTAGTGATTCCATGATGTGTACCTAAAAAAATGCCAGGTGTGAAATTCTGGGAATGCTAGCACTTAAAAGGAAGGCTAAGGAAGATGATCGTGAGGGACACCGAGCAGAAGAGATCCAAGAGAGTTAAGTCAGGCGCTGCAGAAAGGTCAGGAATATCAGAGCTGGAAGCGATGACTGGATGTAACACTCGGCAATATACCGGATAACATTTGCCTTTATAGGAGAGATCTGCAATGGAGTAGATGCCGGTTTTTTTGGTAGGTTGAGGAATGGATGAGGGATGATGAACTAAAGATATGCAGCCAGGTCACATTTCTAAGAAGTTTGGCTCCTGTAAGAGGAAGAGGCGAGCTGGGGTTATAGGTTATAGGGTTTTGCATTTTGCTTTTTACTTTTATTTTTGAGACAGAGTCTTGCTCTGTCACCCAGGCTGGAGTGCAGTGGCACAATCATAGCTCAGTGTAGCCTCAACCTCCTGAGCTCAAGCAATCCTCTCACCTCAGCTTCCCAAGTAGCTAGGACTACAGGCACACACCACCATGCTTGGGTAATTGTTTTTGGTATTTATTTATTTATTTTTTTATTTATTCTTATAGAGATGAGGTTTTGCCATATTGCTCAAACTCCTGAGCTCAAGCAATCCGCCCACCTGGCCTCCCACAAATGCTGGGATTACAGGCATGGACCACCATGCTTGGCCTGCATTTTATTTTTTTAAAGAATGAAAATAATTATGTTTTAAGGAGATACAGTTATTTTACATTTCAGAATAGGACAGACTGATTTCTGTGTATGAGATTTCTGTCAAAATTGGCTGAATGATTATGCGATGAGAATAAAACAATGCAATATCTAACATGATGCGGGCTCTTCTTAGGGGCCAGGCACTTTGTTAGCACTTTTAAATATATTATCTTCTTTAGTCCTCAAGATAACCCTAAAAGATAGGTTTAATTTTCAGCCCCATTTTACAGGTGAGGAAAGTGAGTCTTAGGAAAGTTAAATGACTTGCTCCAGGCCCCATGGTTAGAAAGTGGTGGCACCAGAATTCCTGGCCATACAATAGAATATGACCTAGATATAGACATTAACAGAGGAAAAACTTTTAATATAACTACAAATACTTTCCTACAACTATTGCATGGACCAAATGCATACGTTTTTAAAAATTTAATCAAGTTATCTTCAACTGAAATATAGCTCTGGTTTTGAAAAAATCCACACTTTTAGACAAAAATTGTCAATGTTTTCAATTTACCTTCTTACTTGTACAGTATGAGTAAGAATAGTAACAAGCCAAAACCAAAAAGCAGAAACAAAAACCCCTTCATTTTCTATTCTGAAGTGCTGCATGTTAGTACAATGTAGAAAAGAGTATAGAATAACTACTAAATATGAACAAGAACATTTTCTAGGAAGCCCATTTACATCAGATTAAAAAAATCTGTTTCTCAGGAGGAACAATTTGAACATTAATTAGGCCTGTTATAACCTTCTTAGAGTTGGTGGTGTTTTTTTCTCACAACAATTATAAGGAACATCATTATCATTTCCTCCACAGGGGTATTTTTTTTCTTTTGACTATAAAAGTCAACTGATGCTTTACTTAATCCTCTTTGCTCACTCTGAGATTCTATTTTTTTGTAGTATATGCTTATGGGTATACTTTACTATAGTCTTAAAATAGTTCACCATGTGAACATAAGAAATCAGATTTTGAAAATCACATAATGTCATGTACTTTATGGGATTTTCATGATTATTGTAAAATCCTGCTGCTAAAATGAATCTAGAAATACACTGCAAGGGATGAACAGTAAAGTATAATCTAAATCATCCCTGATGTTTCCAGGAAGAAGATACAAAAGCTATGAGTTATCTCAATCCTCAAACATGGCACAATTTGTATACAGTAGACTCAGACAAGGAGTGGAGTGATCAGAATGTAGACTTGGGATCTTTTAACTGTAGAAGAACATGGTAGGTCCCAAGGCTAAGAAAACTTCCTCTTTCCCACCCACTTCTAGACTCTTTATCATACAGGGTTGGTGTTTCACATAATTGGGAGCTATACTGAGAATGTGAACTGAACACAAAACCTTAAGAGGAAGGAGAGACTACAAGATACTTACTGAGCAAGACTGGGATAGTGTGCAATGCTGGAAGCCCTGGAATCCACCATGAGACACGAGTGCTGGAGGGGACCACTTCAGATATACTTAATCATATGGCAAATGTCACACCACTTACGTACCTTTACAAAATGAGTAGTTTAATTTTTACTTCCAATAAGATTAAACCTACTAATTTTCCTGATAGAATTTTTGATAGTAGGAACTTTGCACATTGATATTTTCTTTTAAAATTTTGTTGCACATACAAATCAGGTGGGGATCTTTTTAAAATGCAGATTCTGGTTTTGTAGCTTTAGAGTGGGATCCTGGAGTGAGATCCTGCATTGGCCAAATTTTCGGGGGATGCTGCTGCTGCTGCTGGACCACACTTAGAACAGCAAAGTCTTAAGCACTGGCAGGGGTGAATCTCATCTCAACTGAAATGCTGACTGCAAAAAAAAATTTCTTCTAAACAAATAGGTTTCTTCTTAATTTTTACTATTAGATTATATCAACATTTTCCTAGCCTTTCAAAGAATGCACTACTTATAATAAGAAGTCATGTTTGAAGAAACAAGAATAATTTGCTGATTAAATACTAATAAGACTAAAAATAAAACTTAGGATGCAAGTGCACCATTGAGAACAGCTTTGCCCATGGATTTGATCTCAGGAAATGGAATTGCTTAGAAAGATGCCTTGTCCTTGCCTAACTTATATACTCCATTGAGGGCCTTATCGCTATCTCAAAGGTAAATCGTTCTTGTTAAAACTCCAAACATGTAGCTGCTATGCCTAAATGGGTGCATTTTATATGACATCTCTTAATTGTTTGTTTAACAGCTCTGATTAGGACTCTTAATAGCTGTTAACATGTTTGCTTAGTATAATTTGTAAGTTCTTTATGGTGAAGGCTGGTTTATCTTTCTTCACAGCAGGGCATCAGGTGCCATTATAAGGATCGTTGCCACCATTAATTATTTCTATATGTGTGAATATCCCTATAGTGAGCTATTTTAAAGAGAGGCCCCTAGATTCTCAGCAGGACCAGCCCTACACAGGAGCAGAGTAGGTGGTGGCCCCCGTGCAGCGTGATTTGACGTGTTCCATAAAGCACCAAATAGCCTCCTCCAGGGGTCTGACACAGTGCCCTGAATTTTTACTTTAGGTGCAGACGCATTTAATAGAGGCCGACCTGTGCAGAACAACTGTACAAATACCTGGATGGTAACAGAGGGTTGTGGGGAGCTATTCTTTTCTCATTATTTCTCATAAAATGAGATTAACTAGATTATCAGTAAATTACCTATTTATGGAGATTTACGTCTTCAAAATCTTCTTTACATACATTATTTCTTTCAGTACTCAAAGCTGACTTAGTCAGGAGAGGGAGTAATATTCTTACTTGTAAAATGGAAAGAGCTTGGACTTGAAGTCCTGTTTCTTAAAGTCAATCTTGTGGTTTCTATGCCATATTAAGTTAAGAGGCTGAGAGCATGCACACAGAAGTCAAGCAGAATAGAGTTCCAATTACATCTTAGCTGTGTAATCATGAGCATTTTTTTCACTTAAAAATGGAGATTAAATACTTAGCACATAGGAAACTAAAAGGCAACATACTTAAGTGCTTAAAATAGTAGCTTATACTCAGCTACATTGGCACCAAAATTAAATTTCATACTATGAATAAATCATTAGGGCATGAATTAGGCAGGATATAATTTTTTTAATGTAATACATTTTTGGTCAAATACTGCAGAGGAAAGGCATGGACCTTATTTTTATTTGCATTAAATAATGATCTCCAAAAAAAAAAAGCTTTGGTTTTGTTGTCAGAAGACTCAGGTCTGAGACCCAACTCTTGTCATCTGGCAGCTGTGTAACTAGGGCTAGTCATTTAGCTTGTTGATTCCCTTCTCCCTCCTTTACATCTGAAAAAGGAGGATGATAACATCTTATTGTTGTGAAGATTAAATTATACCATGAAGGTGGAAGTACTGTGGAAATTATAAAGCTTAGACAGAATGGTACTAAACCTCATAGGTATTGTAGAATTTCACGTAATCTAGAATTTCAAGTGCCTGGCAGAGGCCAAAATGGGAAGTTTTGCCTATTAAAAAAAAGCTCACTTCATCTGAAAAGTAAAATAAATTTACAAGGAAGCTATCAAATAAAATCTAAATTAGATTAAAAATATTTATCCCAGGTAAATAATTTGGCAGAGAAGAGTTCTACAAAAGCAGGAACACCCTGAGACTGGCACATGCTTTTGTGTAATCAAATAGCACATTTTTCAAATGCTATTTTAAAATATAACAAAGTTTAAAAATAGAGATCTTGATCTATTAAACACAACTCAGATAAACCCATGACCATAATTATCCCTTTTCATTTCTTATCATACAGGTGGATAAACTACACTTCAGGACTTAGAAGTATGTGCCTCCAGGTTATATGCAAGTAAAATATATGCTTACAATTTAAGTCTAAAGTTGTCTCAAATTTACTGTAAATTCATTAGTAAAAGTTCTATTGGAGAATTACTACATTTAAGCAAAAACGGAAATTCTTCTGCAATGGTTATCACATCACAAATTGCATTAATAACTGAGTTATGTATCTGGAAGAGGTTCAAGAAGCCTCCCATGAATGTGGTTCATATATGAAACACTGAATAAGAAGGGTTGTTCATCCAATTCTTAAAGCTTTCTCAGGAAAAAGAAGGTTATATTATCTCTTCTTACTAACCTATTTTGATAAGCACATATTTTGTTTAAACTATGCAAAACATCTGCAATATTTTATATAGCACTTTATAGTTTTCAAAGCATGCTGTCAAAAAGAAATATCTATACAATGATTTATAGTTTTCAAAGCATGGTGACAAACAAGATTAAAGGGAATTTAGACTTTTTTTCAGACCAGCTTCCTCATTTCAGAGATCAGGAGTCCAGACTGGCTAAATGATCTGTGCATGGTACACAGCTAGTTGGAGGCAGTGCTGGCAGACCCGCCTGGTTTGAAGCTCTTTCTGCTACAACACTGTCTGTCAATATCATCGTACAGCAGTTCTAAGAGAAAGACAGAGAAGGTGCTATGAATTGTTCAGTAAGTGAGGAAATTGAAACCAAACATTGAATGCAGTGCCCAAAATCAAGATTAGTAACTGGGAGGGCCAACAGTAAGACTCAGAATTTCTGACCTCTGCAGAGCTTTTTATCTTTTCTTTTTATTATTATTTCCATAAATTTCAAAGCCTTAAATGAGATGAAAGTCTTACATATATAAACAAGCATATATGTATAATTTTCATAAAAAGAAGCGAAGTGATTTCACATTTATTAGTTAATTATTATGACAGAAATCCACAGATTTTTAACATTTAAGGTTTTAATATTTGGATGACCCACTTAAAATTTCTTACTTTAACTGGAAACTAAATTTCTCCTGTTTTCGGATGTTATGCAGTTTCTAATTCTATCTGTCCACACCTACTGATTAAAAAAATCAGATTTTCTGAAGGCATGGAATCAATAATTACTCACGGAATTGAGTTCTGACCAGTACTAACAAACAGATGTATAAAACTACATTGTACTTTAAAAATGGATGTACAATACATATAGATAAGGTAAGAATTCAGAATAACAATATCCGCCTATGAGCTTTTGGTACTACATAAACATGGCATTGCTTACTGGAATTCATGAATAAAACACCAAAATTATAATTTTATAAAAATATAGGTTAAAAGACAGCCCCTGGAGATACATAGTAAATAGGGAACTAGATGGGGATGTATTTGTATATTCACATAAAACCACAAATCTTAGTTGTTCTATCATATTAGTTTCTATCTGTTGGAGCTGTACAACATCAAAGTCATGATGTCCCTATATATTGCATTTAGCAGTAATGTAACGGACTACGTGAAGAAATCAAAGTGAGAGTTTCTAAGTAGTTTCCTGGCAATTGAGACAGCAGGCTCTCTCATCTGCTCTGTAACTGTGGCAGTGCATTGATTTAAACTCCTTCTGAGATCTCAAATGCTTTTATATTCTTAGGTCTCTCAAGCAGCTTTTTTTTTTTTTTTCCCAAAGTGATAAAATTCCAGCATTCAGCAGAATACCATCTTGTTTCCCCCAAAAGGAGAGGGCTTATTTCAGCTTTGCTACGAAACTGCACAGGATCACTAAGTAAAATAGCTGTCCAAATGTCATTCTACTAAGAAATCTGGCTTTGAGTTCAGTTGTCTATGTTCTGACCACAGCAAATAGGATTGGGAAAAAAAGAACAACAAACGAATAGCCCCGGAGATGTTGTTTTTCAAAAGTTCAGTTCAGAAAAATTGCCGAAATGGATAAGTAGTTCTGCTTATTAAATATTTTCAAAGTTGTTTTTAATTGCCACTCATTGATCAGTCCAAATGGTATAGGAGTCATTTATTTTGTAAATCATATATTTCTTCTCAGTACATTACTTATCCTCTGAAACGATAAATTCTCTGATAAATTTTAAGTATAAAAATTTCCCCCTTTTCCTCCAATTAGGAAGGAACTTTATGTAGCCTGAAAGTCTATTTTTCAGTGTAACTCTGTGGTCATTCTTTAATTAATTTCTTAACCCAAGATCAGCTAAAGACAGACTGAAGAGAATAATATGTTTTCAAGGTATATTATACTGAGATCCAAACCACATTTTGCCAGCCAGAATATAATCATCAATTCTCCAAGTATTTTCTCAAAGGCAGCATATGATGGGCCACCCACTCGACTACTATTCAGAAGAGCATTTGTGAGACTGATCTTCTCTGTTGCACTTTGTTGATGACACAGTTTCACTGAAGATGGCCTGCGCTGATTAGTCAAAGGGCTGTGCCCTGCAGGCGAGACTGCCCTGCCCCCTTCCTTGTATCTGTCCTTTACAAAGTGAGCTCTAACTGGACTCAGATCTCAATAATGACTGCAACCAAGAAATAATAATAAGAACCATACAGAGACACAGCACCTCTGTCTGCCTTTTATGTGACACTAGAGATAAAATGGGTGAGACAGGTACAACATGTAGGGCCAAAGAATGGTGATTACTGTTCTGTCTCTTCAAAGATATTGCTGTTGATGGCTCTGCTTCCCAACGGGCATAAATACAAGACTCAAAAGACTGAGGTAACAACTGGAGTCTTCTACACACCAGGATCCTATGCAGCCCATTCTTTGGTTAGGAACTGTGGCTGCAGTTTGAGGAAGCTTGGCCACTGCTCTTCAGAGGCAGTAGGATTTTTCTACTAACATCGTTTCTCACCATCAGGCTTTGGTGCTGCATCAGTTACCACAGCAATTTTCAATTACTCTGCAGTAACACAGGTGGTGGTGTAAGGGTTTGCATGTAGCATTGTGCATGCTCAGCACCTCTCATGATAAAAGTGGGGTAAGAAAAGGAAACTAAACATCCAAACAATAGCTGTCAGAAGACTCAAATCCTTAATTTTAGGCAATCTTTCTTTTTCAACAGAGTCAACACAGCTGGGAAAACTTGATTTATCATATCATTCACTAAAATACCAGATAGAGTTTGATCACAGAGGAGAAGTCATAATGCCTAGAGAGAAAAAGTTCAGGAAGGGGAATATCACACTCTGGGGACTGTTGTGGGGTGGGGGGAGGTGGGCGGGATAGCATTGGGAGATATACCTAATGCTAGATGACGAGTTAGTGGGTGCAGCGCACCAGCATGGCACATGTATACATATGTAACTAACCTGCACAAGCACATGTACCCTAAAACTTAAAGTATAATAAAAAAAATAAAAAAAATAATAAAGGATGAGTTCAGACCCCCCCCCCCCAAAAAAAAAAAAAGAGAAAAAGTCTATAGGGAAAATTAACGCATGGAATTTTTTTCTGAACTCTGAAGATGGATGAAAGTTATGTGGTCACTCAATAACTAAGCAGACATTCACATTCCAAAAAAAAAAAAAAAAAAAAAAAAAGAACAACTCACCTACAATGAGAAACATTTGTTAACATGAAAATAACATCTCAAATAGTCCTGACTACCTCTGAAAGCATTCACAATTCAGTAGTTGGTGTGATAGTTAATCTATAATTGATAAAAACACAAATTTGTGAGAGAGTACAACTTGGCTGTTATCAGTGAGTCAACAATTTTGACTGAGTTGCCAATATATTCTGGGACACAAAAGTTAAAGTTCAGTTGATTAAGAGTGAATAAACTATGTAAGAGTTAAGCGTTATAGGAAAAACAAAACAACCTTACCAATGTTGAAGTTAATATATGGTAAACACGGTGCATATTTATGGGAGGGCTAGAGAAGCAAAGCAATAAGGTTTGCATTTGTTAAAAGGAACTTTTAAAAATACTAAACTCATTTTTAATCCCTTTACTGTGTATATGGAAAAATAAAAGCTCACAAAGTTTGTGGTTTTGCAGAAAGACCAGGAAAATAAATTGTATGCTAGTTTTTTTTGGCTTTTTGTTTTAATGAAGGCCAAGAACCTAAAAGTAAAATGCCTGGTCTTCAGCTACAAAAGATGGATCTACTGGAACATGGTTACAGACAAACAAATGCAATGTCCAAAGAAGTAGTTTTATTTATGCCTTCTCACTAAAAGGGCACATATTTTATGATTTGTGACTCTGACAACCTGAAGAAAGATTACAAACACCAGTAAAAGTTCTAGGCTGAGGGTTTTAGGAGGATGCTTAGAGATGACCATATAATTTACCATCCAAACTGTGACACTTGAGAGTAAACAGGAAACTATTAGTGAAAATACCAGGACCAGCAGTATAAACTGGGATTGTCCTGTACCACTAGGATCTGTGATTCCCTTACTCAGAGGGTTTTTTTCATTCCTGTCTTTATATTGGAGGGAGACTTTCACTTGTCCCTGTGGAATGCATTCCAAAATGCTCCGTCACTTTTGGTTTAGTTTAACATTCTGGTCTTTCAGATACTTATGCAGGCCTCAGAGCATTAACATTGGATCTAATTCACCAGGCTTTTATTACTTAGGTGGGGATTTGGAATCCTGGAGACCTGACTTGATCCAATAAGAGGACCCGACTTGATCCTGTTATTGACCCAGATAATCCTAGATTTAAAGGGTCCCTTTTGGCCTCCAACTTTAAAAAAAATAATTAATAGACTTTGCTTTTTAGTACACTTTTAGATTTACAGAATAATTGGGCAGATAGTACATAGAGTTTCATACGCCCACACCACCCCCAAACTCGGCACCTTCCCCATTATTAATATCTTGCATTAGATGGTACATCTGTTACAGTTAAAGCACCAATATTGATATGCTATTATTAAAATTCATAGTTTATATTAAGATTCACTCTTTGCATTGTACCTTTCTATGGTTTTTGACAAATGTATAATGACATGTATTCATCATTAGAGTTTTATACAGAATAGCTTCACTGCCCTAAAAATCTACTATGCTGTACGTATTCATCCCCCTCACCCTCACCTCCCCCATCCCCTGGCAACCACTGATCTTTTTTACTGTCTCCATAGTTTTGCCTTTTCCAATATGTCGTATAATTGAAATCACATATATGTAGCTTTTTCAGATTGACTTATTTCACTTAGCAGTATGCATTTAAGGTTGCTCCAGGTTGTTCTGTAGCAACAGAATCCATTCACCTATTGAAAAATTATCACAGTTTTTTTCAACTTTAGTAAGAACTTCATATATTTTAAAATATAAAACCATTTTTCTATATAGCCAAATAATATTTTAACAGTTAATAAAATAAATAATTCCTTAGTGTAATCTGATATCCATAGTACAATTTCCATAATATTTTTATAGCTAGTTTATCCAAGCCTAGGTTCAATCCAGGACTGCATGTTGCATCCAGTTGCTCTGTCCTTCAAGGTTCCTTTTATCTGGCACAGCCTCTTTTTCATTGCACCAGCCTGTTGTAGAAACCCTACTGCTGGAGTCTGGCTGCTTTGCCACAGTGTTCTTTACATTTCTTTCCTCTAACCCTTGCATCTCCTGGAAACTTGTACTTGTCTTGAATCTTGTTGAACTCTCACACAATGTGGTTCACTAGAATTGGGTCCTCACAGGGCATCTCCAGCGCTTAATGGGAATGGGGTGGCAGGGAATGAATGGTGGACATTGCCTGTAATCATGGGCTTGCTCTGCTGTCCCACTGGACTTCAGTTTAACCCTTTTATGATAAAAGATACAACTCAGAAACAGCCAAACAGAAAAGATGCATAGGGCAAGGTATGAGGGAGGGGTACGGAGCTTCCATGTCTTCTCCAGACACTCCTCCAAGGGTCTTTCAGCCTAAAAAAAAAACTCAAAGGGGACAGGGGAGGCAAGGAGCTACTCAAAATCCATATCCTTTAAGGGTGGAAAAGTTTGGTGTATTTTAACAAACTTAATATTCTGTCCTTTTGTAACTTATTTCTTTATGCTTTACCCAAATTCCCTTATGATTACAGCATTTTGAAATTTACTTAGGTTACTTATTATGTTTTAAACCCTGTTCAAAATATGTCTACATGTAGCACCACATTGAAACTCACAATAGCACCTTGGGTAAGTATTATTATTTTCTTCAGTTAGCAGATGGGTAAATATGGGGTCAGAAATTACAGGCCTTGATTAAGATCACACAGCTACTAAATGGCAGAACAAAGATTAAAATTCTGGCTCAGTTTGCCCACAGGATCCTTTCTTGTAACCACAGTGCAGTCCTGCTTTCTGTTCTGACCACTACTACGAAGGCAACTGGCTTTCATGTGAAAACAGGGAGATTTTATATATATATATATATATATATATATATATATATATATATATATATATAATCTATATGCTTATAATGCATATGTGCGTATACATGTTTATATGTTTATGTTAATGTATGTTTTATATGTATGTGTGTATATGTTTTTAGGTTTATGCATACACATACATATACACACAAGCATCTATATACACACAATATTGTATGTATGATATACAATATATGTACATATATTTATACATAGACACATATATACACATATATACCTATGTATATGTAGTATAGATTTCTTGTAAGTATTATATCAAATAAAACATACATAATTATCTACTTCAGTGCCTAAATAACTGCACAATAGGTATCATCATTTGGATCTCATTCACCAGATTTCAGAGACACAGCAAAAAGGGCAGAGACTATATTTCTTTTGGTTACCATTGTACACCCAGTACTTACCACATAAAGATCTTTGCCTGGCATATGACTTATTCAATGGATGAATACATGAAGCAAAATAAAAATATTGTAATAGTATCAGTCAGTGACAAACACAATTCCCTTTCATTCCCTGTCCAGAATACATTTTTCTCTCCAATTATACGAATATATCATAATTAAGAACTCACATCAATCCACAAGAGAATACTTTTCTCTCAACTTTTGCTGCACTCTATATCACTCATTGCATCATTTATACATTAATATCTTTGCATTATTACTTAACTCTTCTTTGGATATGCCAATGTATTTCAAGGATGCAGGGAGTAACTCTACTTCTTCAGCATTTTTCTTCATATTCAAAGTACTATTTGTCACAGACAAACTGGACAAAGCCTGTGTATAGATTTTTGCATCTCTGGTGTTCCCAGTCTGGATGCCTGAGTCTTATCAGCAATTGTCATTTGATTATGTTTTCTCTTATGATAGTCCCCTTTAACACTAACTGAAGGAATGTATAATTAAGAACCCTATAAAAGATCTCATTTAACAATGACTGAATTCACACTATCAAATCCAATATATACAATGTTCTAATTTTCACACATATATATTAAAGCAATCTGGATTCTAACTCTAATAAAGGACAGATAAAACAGAGCCCAGAGACGCTAAGGAAAAGGTCTTCTATCTTGTTTTGTGTCTAGACTCTCTTATCTAATTTTTTTGGGTTTCTGCATCACGCACCAATAGAGGTCAGTCCAGCATTCTTGGGTCAGGACTAATGTTTTCATTTTAAAGAATTCCCTCTCTATCTTTAATTATTTCAAGTTCATAAAGTTCAACACTTCATCAAATTACTTTGAAATAGTTCAAAGTAAATGATAAAATGTATTATTGAGCAAATTTGTACAAATATTATTGCCATTGTAAATGATTTGCTTCCTCTAATACAGGTCCTGCAAAACCACTGCACATGCCCAGTAAAGGCCTTCTCTCTGTTTGCTGGGAATGTAGCCAGGAGTGTTTAATAGATTATTCTGAATTTTTACCAGAAGAGAGCAATTGTTTTTGTTTTTTTCCTCTCTTTCTTTTTTCTTTTCTTTTCTTTCTTTCTTTTACTTTTTTTTCTTCCTCTTTCTTCTTTCTCTTTGTTTCTTTTCTTTCTCTTTCTTCTTTCTCTTTCTTTCTTTCTTTCTTTTTCTTTCTTCTTTCTCTCTCTCTTTCTTTTTTTTTTTTGACAGGGTCTCACTCTGTTGCCTAGGCTGAATGCAGTGGCATGATCATAGCTCACTGCAGTCTCAAACTCCTGGGCACATGCAATCCTCCTCCTTCAGCCTCCTGGGTAGCTGGGACTACAGGCGCATGCCACCATGCTTGGCTAATTTCTTAATTTTTTTGTAGAGACAGGGTCTTGCTATGTTGCCCAGGCTGATCTTGAACTCCTGGGCTTAAGCGATCCTCCTGCCTCAGCCTCCCAAGGATTGGGACTATAGGTGTGACACACTGCACTTCGCCAAGGGAGCTATATTCAAACTCATCATTTCTTCAAAAACTTTCTCTATTACTCAAAAACTACCTACTAATTAATTTATTCTTTCATTCAGCACATGTTAATTTATGGACTAATCTTCCGGTTTCTTTTCACATTCAATTATCAAACAAAATTGTTGACTGAAGCAGCCTGAGGTTATGCTGTTTGTTTTCTGTCAGAATGAACTTTCCATGCAGAGCTGTTGTGAGGACCAAATGAGATAAGAATTATTAAGTACTGTTTACTAGGAAGGCCTCCCTTGTTGGTATAGGTGTGACACAATGCGTTTGATTCAGAGGTAAGAATAATTATTCAAGTTCTGAATTTTGTATCTGAATGTGCAACTGGTGTCTTCTGAGGTGTGTGTGTGTGTGTTCCATATTGACTAATTTCTAAGATGAGTTGCTCCATTGAGCTCCAGGACCAAAATGATCATATCTTTGTTGTAAACAATTAACTTAATCACACACAGATAAACATATAAGATCGAATTTTGAGACAAGGAAATGACCTGACTTTCAATTGTTATGCTTTGAGAGTATAAACCAGAATCATATTACCACCGCCTACCCATAAATCAATATACTACAGGTTTTAAATCAATTATTGAATATGAATTAGGTCAAAGAAAAGGTAAATAAGGTAAATAAATACAGGTAAGTTGGATTTTATGTGTTTTATATTTCATTTTTGTCTATAAAATGTCACACTTTAAACCATTGCTTATATTTTGAATCTGCTTATAATCAACATTACCTAATTAAATAATGCTCAGACATGCAATAGAATTGGCTTTTTTTAAACTCCCTCCAGATTACTCACATTTATTTTTTGTGTTTTAGAGACATCAGGCCTTATAAATGTGCAACAGTATTCTTACTGTAGCTGTGTAAGACCAGGCATGTGTAATGTGTGATGTATTTGGCCATACAAATTCACCAGTGATTAAACTGATTTTTTGCTTGTGTCATTGTTTTTAGGCTCAATGATGAGTCGTGAAACTTTCCTCTCACCTCATATTCATTGCTACATCTGGTGTCATCCAGAGTTAATATCCACGATGTACTGATTGATTTAGGAAGATGATAATGAGATTATTGCTTATGCCCTTAAAGCATGACAACTGAAATCCCATCATTTTCCACATGAGGAAATATGCTAAATATTATAATATCTGACAGGTCTATCACTGTGGGATTAAGCCAGCTATCTGAAACAAAGGTTTGATATTTTGATCTTTAGACATATTATCTTCTTTCGTCTTACAAACACAGAATTGTTGATTTGGAGATAATGGCAGTTTATATTTGCATGCCTACATCTTTAATTCCACAAACTGTTAAGGTCCTCCTGGTTCATATCTGCCAAACGAAGCTAAGAGCAAACATTGTTCTTTCTTCTGATTATGTGGGGCATGACCATAGAATAGGGGAAGAGAAATGTTTAACTTGGAGCATTTATATTTCAGGCCAGGAGAATCTGGTTTAAAAGTTTTCAAAAGACTGATGAGCCACAAAAATATTAAATGTGTAGGAAATCTGACCAGTTAAACAAAATGAAGAAGGAATGTTTCCTGAATATTCAAAGAAGGCAAGTTATAGAATTGGATGAGCATGTGTTTAAAGCTAATAAATGTAGAGCGTTTTTTTCCCTCCCCCTTGGAGGGAAATGTTTTATAGACCATTTACTTATTTTATTTTAAAATGTACATTTGATATGAATTTCATTTCTTTTACTCTTTCCTCAAAGATTCATAATCTTCTAAAATTTAGCTTCAGGAACATATTTCTGAGAATGACAAGAGCTTACTGAAACTGGCCTCTGAACTATTCAAAACACAGTTGCTTATTGTCCATTTTTAAACATTCATTGGTCGAGACTTACAGTAAGGCATTCCTCTCTCCCCTTAGCATCTGTCCACAAGCAAGTATGCACATATCTGCTTTGTGCCTAATATTATTTCAATTACTATGAGGCATTCTTAAGAAGTGAAAATGCACATACATCCTAGCTAGGAGATAAGACATACATTCATTTATCTGCATTGGCTTGTACATGCATTTTCAGGCTTGAGACATGTCTAGAAAGTAGGATAGAAACAAAAAGATACTAGTGCCTATCTGACATTTTCACGGAGGTGTTTCCTAGGCATCTTAACTATAGCCAGAATACCATTCCTAGTTTTTCCACTCACTGCAGCCTACTACTCCACCAGTCCAAAGTCTAGAAATCATCTCTGTCCCTTTCTTTTCATGTCCACAACCATTCAATCTCTCAGCAAATCTTGTAGCACTACTTCAAGTATATATCGTGAATCTATTTGTTGCCATAACCACAGCTTCTTGCAACTGGAATCAATCATGGTCTCTCACTTGCCTCACTGCAATACTTTCTTTATTCACTCTTGACCCTCCTAAATTAATTATCTACACGACAGCTAAGATGATTATTTAAAAATATTAATTAGATCATAATTTGCCACTGCATAAGACCAACAATGTCTTGCCTCACTTTGCAAAAATGGGAACACTTTCTACAAAGTACTGCATGATCTGGTCCTGCCTCGTTGGCCTTCCTTCAGTATGTCAAGCTTATTTCTGCCTTAGGAGCTTTGCTCTGTCTTTCTGCAATGCCTTTCTCCATACTTTCCCATAGCTGGATGAATCTTCTCATTCAGTTCTCAGCTTAAACATCACTGCTCTAGAGACGACTCCCCAGCCAGACAAGGTATCCTCCCAGTCACTATCACACAGTCTAATTTAAATTCTAAGTTAATGTAAAGTACTTACCACTATCTGACATTTTTCTTATATATCTGTTTCTTACTAATGTGCCTGGTACCCATCAGACACTCAGTAACTATTTGCTGAATGAATAGAAATTATGACCACTACATAATACACTGTTTGATAATATGAACCTTATGACTGAGTTTCTCAGCAGATATTAGTTATTGACAGCTTCAAAGCCAATCTCTCCTTGATATATTTAACTTTTCTTAAATAATATACAGTTTTAAAATTTAAATAACTTGCAACATTCATAAACATTTATACAAAGTATGATTAGTGCTTATTTGTAAGGAAATACTCTAATTTTAATACTTTAATACATGGAACACACTTGAGAAATATAGAAATGCTTCCTACCCAGGATGCCTTAATTAGGCAGACTTATTTAAACGTGCTTATTTTTAAATTTGGCAAGGTTCACAAACATTAATTTTGTTACATTGCTGATACTAATAATAGTATACATATCTTAAATAAAGGTATTATGTCATTTTCCCGTAAGACTTTGAAGAAATAGAACTCCTAAGCATGAGTGAAATCCCCCTTACTTGCCTACAGATTTTTCTCCACTATGAATCGCTCCCAATTCAGATTTCAAAATTCAGTATTTAATAACTTCATTACACATATTATTTAAGCTATCTTTAAGTATGTGGGTTTTTAAAAACATTATTATGGTATAATTTACATAGCATAAAACTCGCCCACTATACGTGTGCAAGGCAATGATATTTTTGTAAATTTATAGAGTTGTGCAGCATCACCACAACCTGGTTTTACGATATTCCAATTACCCAAAAGTTTTCTTGCATCCTTTAGCAGCCACTGTTCACCACCTCCCCAAGCTTCAAGAAACTACTGATTCGTTGTCCTCATAATTTTGTCACATCCAATCATTTCATAAAAATGGAATTTTATAATAACAAATATTAGTATTTTGTGTCTTTTTATCTTCATTTAGCATGTTTTTATACATGTCAAAATATTCTGTGCTATTATGGTGTCAGTCTATTTTATTGCTGAATAATATCTCATTGTATGGATGTACCACCACATTTTGTTTACCATTCATCAACCTGCTAGGGATTTAGACTGTGTCCAGTTTTGGGGTATTAGAAACAATGCTGCTATGACCATCTGTATGCAAGTCTTTTTTTCTGGATATATATATTTATTTGTCTGAGATAGATGATGTGGAGTGGAATTTCCGGATTGTATGGTACATTTTTGTAACATTATAAGAAACTGCCAAACTGTTTTCCAAAGCAGTTGCACCGTTTTATATTCCAACAAGCAATGTGTGAGGATTCCAGTTTCTCCACATCCTCACCGTCATTAAGTATTATCTGTCTTTTGATACTAGCCATTTTAGTGGGCAGAAATGTCAACATAGTGTACCGGTTAAAATAACAGATTCTGGGCCAAATTGTGTAAATTCATATCACAACTTGCCATCCTGTAACTTAACATTCCTGTCTATAGAATGAGGACAGTAATAACACCTGTCTTAGCCTGTTTGAACATGCTATAACAAAAATGCCATAGACTGGGTAGCTTCAATAACAAACATTCATTTCTCACAGTTTTGGAGGCTAGGAAGACCAAGATCAAGGTGTCTGGTGAAGACTTGCTTCCAGGTTAATAGATGGCCATCTTTTTGCTGTTTTCAAGTGGCAGAAAGAATAGGGGCTCTCTGGAGTCTCTTGAATAAAAGCACCAATCTCATTTATAAGGGCACCACCCTCTGACCTATCAAACCTTTGACTTACCAAAGGCCTATCTCTTAATACTACCAGATTGGGGTTAGTATTCCAACATATACATTTTGGGGGGACACAAACATTCAATCTATAACAATAACTATCTCACAGGATTACTGGAGGTATAAATAAATTATTACAACTTTTAGCTTACAAAAGGTGTGTCTCATAGTAAATTTCACATACAAGTTAACCATGATAATTTTTTTATTATCATAATTTGCAAAGTGACAACATACTTAACCTGGCTGTGGATTATAGTTAGGCTTTGGGAAGCTGTTTATGTTCTCTTAATGATCGCTTCCTTACATGATGTCAGCTTAAGATAGTTAAGATGGTTATCACAATGTCCAGGCACTAGAATGCTAGGTACTGTGAAAATCAAATCACAGATTTTAAATGACAATTAGAATGGTTAAAACTTCTAAATGGTCAGATTGACCTGCCAGACTACTTCAGTCAAATACGGGACTTTGAATGAATGATTGAACCAGTGGTTTATTTTACTAATAAAATGTACCTGTCCATGGGGATAAAAAAGGAAACTGCTGTAGGTAAGCTGTTTTCCTTTACAAAATTGTCAATTGTTTGACCATAAGGACCTTCGTCCTCTGTTTTCTTTATCCCATTTATTTGTTTCCTTGTCTTCTTCCTCCTTCACTTGACTACGTGGGTGATTAATGGATCACTGCTGCTTTGACCAAGGAATAAATGGAGAAACGGCAAAAGGATGATATTCCCCCTCTCGAGTTACTAAAATGCCCATTTTAGACACTTTTCTAGAAAGGCACATGTGCCGTCTGCTTGTCAAATCCCTTTCTGATTAATAGCTTTAGAAGATGTTTTGCATGCATGCTTGCCAGTTTTTAAAGCACATTACTGAAAGCATTTCAGAGCACTTCTCCTGGGTTTCCAGCAACAAGCAGGGATCACTTCTCCATGCTTAGGTCACTGCTGTACTAATTTCTCCAGGTTCCAGCAAGCCTTGGGGGTACCAATAGAATTCCCTAACAGCAGCCAAATTTTACTTGAGACCATCCAACTTAGCCTTCTGTATTGCATCCTGGGAGTGACTTGATTTAGGTTATGATATGGTAAAACTATTATAAAATTGCACACTATTTTCACTCACCTGTGTACCACTCATAGTCATATGAATATAAGATTCAACTATTTATGGATTGTCAAGGTTTTCTCCATTTCTGAAAGTCTCTGTTTCTATGAAAATAGCATGGATAGATTCTATCTAGTTTTAAAAAGAAGTAGGCCAATGAATAAAAGATATATGAAGGCACATCCTCCAAAATAAGGCAGAAATTGTGTATAACTTTATGAATATTCAACCACGTTGGATAATCACAAGTGTAGAAGAGAGTAATATAGTGGATTAAGTGCCATACTGGGCCAAACCACAGGGTGTTGAAGAAGCTTTCACCAGGTGATAAAATCCAGAAGGACTGGGTAGTGGACTCTCCAGAAGGATGAACTTCAACCAATGCATGACAGAAGGCAGAAGGGAATAGAAGATACATTTCCTCTCCATTTTTTCCTGTGATGGATTACCCCAAGGCATTGCTTTCTAGCTAGTCTATCTGGAGTTGTTCCACGTGGCCAGTTGGCTGTCTTGTCTCACTGAAGCTTGTGAAGCAGTGGCTAACTCAGTAATGCATTACCTTGTATTCAAGTCTCATCTTTCTCTGTCTCATTTCCATCTTCTTTTACTCTTGCTACCCTAGAATTTTATCTCCCAACAAAACATTAACACTTGACCCTTTCCTTGGGTTCTGCTTTCTACCACCCTGAGCTAAGATACATACTAGTCAAAAGCTAGAATAGAGGGCTGTACATTTTATTTTAAAATTTGGCATAAATGCATAAAACTACTAGCAGACTGGATGATGATGATGGCTGATGATGATAATTAATAGCTTGCATCTGTGGTACACATACTTTGCTTCAGATACTGTATGAGGTGCTTTGCATATGGTTGTGAATCCTCACAACCATACTACGAGGTAGGTAGTATTATTATCTCCACTTTACAGATAACAAAATTGAAGTATAAAATGTTCACACGTCTAGTAAGCCCAAGGTCATATAGCTAATGAGCAACAGAGCTGGGATTTCAACCCAAACAATTTGATGCATTTTCATTTGGGTTGAAGCATTCATGAATAAGGTGGAGTTCTCAGTGACTTCCTGTTCTTATTTGGTGATTCTGAGACTGATATCACTACCTGTCCAGTAGCTTCTGGAAAAGGTCATCTGAGTCCTTGCCATATTATTTATGATTACAATAGCGTCTCTAGAGAGCCGAAGTCCACTTTCTTTCAAGAATGTATGGTTGTTGAGGCATCTGATTCTCTACCTCCCAGGCTATTCAAATTGTATGTTCAAAAGGAGGCAATGAAAAACACACACTTAGTTCAACTAAAATCTCTCATACCTTTCCTTGTAGTAGAGGTTTATGAAAGGTCTACGTTATTTTATATTTAACTGAGGGCACTTGTAGTTTCATCCTTGAATCATTTTTACCCACCATCACATAGTGCATACCACATTCCTCCTGCGCACAAACAGGCACGCCCATGCTTAGGCCCATGACACTCCATCACGTGACTGGCGCTAAAATATAAACGTTCCCATTTTGTGTGGTATAAGATACTTGTGACTGAAAGTGACCTAAGCATTCTTTTTGCCTTTCTGTTGCTCTATTTAAAATAATGACTACAGACTCTCTTTCAACAAAGGGTCATTTGTGTCAATGGACAGAAGAGAGGATCAGATCACCTGCGGTAATTGCAAATTAATGTTCTCCTGGTAATGCACTAACTACACACTATTGATCTACAATTGAATACTAGAGGCTACTGATAAGTGATTTTTACTTTCCTGCTTTTTTGTGTGTGCTTTTATTGCTTTTTCCATAATGCATTTTTCTTTCAACTGGAATTTTCTCTAATTGTCTCCATTTTTAATTTCCCACAGTGAGATGACTTCTAACTTGTAATTAGAATCTGTAAAAATTCATGTCTCTGTCTCAAAAGCCTTTTAGAAATCTACTGAACTGTAACTTTGATGCCATAAACCACATATATGATGCACAGATACATAGTTTGAGAGAGCCAAGCTTTCGAATTTTTTTTTTATTAATACTCAGATAAAACAGAAATCCATTTGGCCCTCTATCCAAAATAGCAATTTGTTGAGTAGTCTGCAGTAAAACATTCAAAAGTTTCCCCTAAAAGCATTTTACTTGGAGAACATTGATGACGTGTTTTTCTTTCCAAGAGCAAACTTTTAAAATATGAGTAAACGGTTTATTACAAGATAATTTTTATTTTTAAGTGTGTGAGAGAAGCGGGGCACAGTGGCTCACACCTGTAATCCCAGTACTTTGGGAGGCCGAGGCAGGCAAATCACTTGAGGTCAGGAGTTCGAGACCAGCCTGGCCAACATGGTGAAACCCGTATCTACTAAAAATACAAAAATTATAGCCAGATGTGGTGGCGGGCACCTGTAGTCCCACCTACTCAGAAGACTGAGGCAGGAGAATTGTTTGAACCTGGGAGGCAGAGGTTGCAGTGACTTGAGATCACGCCACTGCACCCCAGCCTGGGTGACAGAGCGACACTCGTCTCAAACAACAACAACAAAAAAGTGTTTGAGAAGAGGATGCAGATTTCCAATTGAGTAAATATTTATACACATCTTCACAGCATACTTTTGACAATGTTAAATTTTCTCATGTTTGTGTCAAAACCTTAATTGAGGATCTGGCACCGTGGCTCATGCCTGTAATCCCAGCACTTTGGGAGGCCGAGGTGAGTGGATCACCTGAGGTCAGGAGTTCGAGACCAGCCTGACCAAGATGGTGAAACTCCGTCTCTACTAAAAACACAAAAATTAGCTGGACATGGTGGTGGGTGCCTGTAATCCCAAGTACTTGGGAGGCTGAGGCAGGAGAATCGCTTGAACACGGGAGGCGGAGGTTGCAGTGAGCCGAGATCATGCCACTGCACTCCAGCCTCGGCGACAGAGCAAGACTCTGTCTCAAAAAACAAACAAACAAAAACAAAAAACACGTTAATTGATAATAATTATTCTATCTGGTGGAAATTAACACACGTTTGTATTTCAGTGTTGTACTTGATCATGCTCCCTGTTTAGACAGAGGTCATTCATCCTAAATCTGGTTTCTGAACTGTGGTCTAGAAATCACCTGAAATGGAGAGATAGTCTGACAGTAATTTCCTTCACTACTATTTGTAAACTTTAAGCTTATCATTGATTTTCTGTATTTCTAAATAAGAGACATAGTTGTGATTTCTAAGTGTTTTCAGGCCTGTAAGAACTTTGATATTTTACTGTAATTTCTTTTACAATCATTATTTGCAGCTAGTCACAATTAAATACCATCAAAATAAATGTGTGCCCAAATTGTTTGCTTATTTTTTATTCCTAAGTCATGATTATCTGTACCAAAAAAAAAAAAAAGTAATAACTGTCAACCGCATGGCTAGAATTATATAAGTCTGGTACTCTTTCTTTTATCAGTTTATAACTAGAGACAGATACAATTACAGTTGATATTCATTTTACAAGCAGTCTTAGGGCTGGACCAGAGTGCTGATGGCTCCCTGATGTGCCAATCATTGTTGGATAATGAAAAGCGGGGCAACACCAGGGTGGCTGGAGCAGGAGGGAGATACTCGGAGGACTGAGACTCTGAATTGTGATACTCGCTTTATCATATTAAATATCATTTCTGTCTTATTACAATCCAATGAGATAGGTACTATAACTTCCATTTTATAGATAAATAAACCAAGGTTTATAGAGGTTAAATAATTAGCCCAAATTTATCCAGCTAGTAAATGTTGAGCAAAGTATTATAAAACTTCAAAGCTCCTTCTCTTAACTACCATAGTATACATGACAACAGAACCACATCTGTATACATAATGATAGCACACAAATACTGTAAAGAATCTTCAAGCTTAGGATGAACTGAGATTTTTGAAAAATGTTAAAACTAACAACAGGGTTACATTACAATATACATTAAAAGTCCAGAGTTCACTATGAATCCATGTAACAAAACTGCACTTGTAATCCTTAAATTTACACAAAGAAAAAAATGAATGCATTAAGAATGAGGAAACTGAATGTACTGATTTATGAAGAAAAAACAAAAAATGACCAAAAACATACTTGGTATTAGGTATATACAGGTATAAGGTAGAGCAATTCAGCTTTAATTTCATCTCACTAATAAGAGCTACCCATCCGCCTTTATACAGAGGTTCTCAGAGCTTGGTTATATTTTTGGTCTAGAGCTGGAGTCATTCCCGTCTAGCTACTGTCTAACATTGTCTTCCTCCCTTTTCCTCTTTTCTGTTCTGCCTCAGCCTTTAGACATCCTAGATCAAACCCAAAAAGTCAATAAATAAATCCTCAAATTTTCTAATCTTGGACGATGGTTAGGAATGGGACCTTTTCAAATCTACTCCATAAGCAATAAACTCAGAAGAAATCAGAAGTACATCAACACAAGGAAAAAAGGAAAACAAGAATAAAATAATGATATGCCAAATCAAAAGTGATGAGTGGGCTTTCTGAGAAGAAGATAACATCAGAGGGTCTAGTTTGTTGTGAACACATTGAAAATATGGTGACCAAACATGAGACTAATTGTAAATAGGCCTATATAAACATGAGTGTAGGTGTTAGGAGGATAAGAGATTTTAAAGTTTGGTTTGTTAGTACTGCAAAGAGAAATTGCCTTTTGAAAAGGCAAAGGTGCCTAAAAAATTAAAGGTACCAGTCTGAAAAAAGCCCAGAAAAATCTAAATTTGTTTTGAACCCTTTAGAAGAAAGATAGTAATCATCAGGTAGAGAGAGAAGTCCTTTAAAAAGGAGAGTGGCCATAACCCATGAGTTTCATTTTATAATAAGCTTATAATTCAGTGTTATTTAGAAAATGTAATGAAGAAAAGTTATAAAGAATTGGGACAGTACACACAAAGCAAAACAGTGGGGTACAAAACTGAATGTCATGAATGGAAACTCTTAGAGAGGTAGATGCTTTTGAGGGACCAACTGTGAAATGTATTTTTGTGGTCTGTATTTTCATTTTTTGTTGCAAGATAAATAGAGTGGCAAAATCTATTCTCATCTGAACCCTTGGGAAAATTTTTAAATATATTAAGCACATGATAGAACTGAATGATTCTGGAAAGAGATGTGTGTTAGTCTGATTTTTGCATTAATATTTAATAATGTTTTCCCTTGTATAGAAAGTTAATGATGATGTCCTACCATTAACAGAACATGTGCTTTGGAGACACGTTTCCTCTAGAAGTGATGAATTTGAGTTGATAAAGGCACATTTTTGGGGCCTGTCACCCTTGAGAGTAGTAAAAATTATTTATAAGCAGCTAACCAAGGGTGAAGGAGGCAAAAAGTAGCCCTAGAAGAGAGGAGAATTAAAATTATGAAGGATAAAAACCATTATTTAAAAATGAACAAGATGCCATGGAAGTACAAAGTAGAAAAGGCCTACTGAGCATTCACTCCAGGATCTGAGGAAAGCGACAGCTGGTGTGGTGTTGGCCTGTGAAAATGTAAAGACCTTGCCACTCTTTGGAGACACTTCACTCCTCAAGTGCAGAATAACATCTAAAATCGTTATCATGACCTGAAGTACTCCACAAGATTCATCTCTGCCTATGTCTTTCTCTTCATTTCCTATCATTCTCACCTCTGTTCAGTATGTCTTGCCATGCCTGAAATAGGCCATATTTGCTCACTTGTATAACTACGCCTTGATATTTATACTGTTGCTCTTTCTCTGGCCAGGAGGACACTCTTCTCTCGGGGTCTCTGAATGGCTCAATTATTTTATCATTGCTATGGTTTGAATGTCCCCTCCAAAACTCATGTTGAAACTCAATCTCCAATGTGGCAGTATTGAGAGGTGGGGTCTGTAAGAGGTGATTGGATCATGACAGCTCTGCCCTTATGAATGGATTATTCCATTCACAGATTAATGCACTATCATGGGAGTGGGATTCATGGCTTTATACGAAGAGAAAGAAAGACCTGAACTAGCGCATTAGCAAGCACAGGCCCCTCATCATGTGATGTCCTGCCCCACCTCAGGACTCTCCAGAGAGTCTCTGCCAGCAAGAAAACTCACACCAGATGCAGCCCCTCAACCTTGGACCTCTCAGCATCCATAACTGTAAGAAATACATTCCCTTTCTTTAAAAATTGCCCAGCTTTGAGTATTCTAAGTAACAGAAAATGGACTAAGACATCACTCTTGTGAGGGAGCTTCTAGCATGCAAGCTTCCTGAGGGCAGGTCTCAGGTGTCTGAGAATATCCTTGTATCCTTGATGCTTGAGCTCTGCCTGGGATATAGTGGGGCTCATTCAGTGATAAAGATGCCATTTTATGATAGTTCATTGAGGACATTATTTTCATTTTCCTAGATACCACATTTCAAATGTAACTAAGATAAACTTTTTAAAAGAAGCTATACTGTTTATCTTACTGTCAATTATATCCCTCTATGGTTTTTCCACAAAATCTTCTCTTTGCCATGGTTGTCTCCACTTCAGATGTATACTTAAGTTTTTGTACCCAAGAATAGAACCTTACTTTTGTCACTAATTAACTGTGTCTTCTCATATTAGATCAATCACACATGCATCTTCTGATTTTTCTGAGTCTACTTTGTGATTTACTCTTTACCCCAAGTTTACTCCAAATTTCATGTTATCCAAAAATGTGATCAAATGGATTTCTGTGCTTCCCCCAAGTAGAGCCCAGGAGCCCCAGAGTAGCCAGTCTTCTAGAAATCTCAAAGTTTTCTTTACTCAGCACGTGGAAAGAATGTTCAGAATTCAAAATAATTTTGGAAACTGAAGAAGTCAGGGATAAATTACTTAATAAAGACAAAAACAAATATCTCACTTATAAAATTATATGATTGGGTATAAACAAACTACTCACAGATAGAGCTCAAGAACTAAGAAGAATCAGCAATTAATAAGTGAAAGAGCAAGCTTTCACACGTTTATTATTTTGAATTCCTCTTTCATTTTGCTAGCACATTTCTTGAGTACAGTAACAGGGAGGGTGGGGGATGCAGAGACAAATTATAGAATAGAAATCAGGTAACATGGTTCCTAGTCCTACTGGAAAGTCAACTGATAAAATGAACCCAAGGAAATTACAAACTGTGAATATGCAAATCTATAAATGGGGTTAAAAATGCTTATTGATATACCCACAGCTTCATAAGAATTATATAAATTAACATATGGAAAAGGCTTTTTGAAAAAATAGAAGATAATATTCAATAGATCATTAATACTCTTTATAATATATTTTGCTATGGTCTAAGAGCTCTCTAAATTCCCAGTACAGTCCAGGTTTTCTAGATCTCTAACTTAGTACCAAAGTCTATAAAACATTGAAAAAATTTTAAAACAAATATCAAAGTGTATACATCAAAATGAAGTGGTCTTTTCAAAATAATCACCTGGGAAGATGTTCGCACTACTCAGAACAATTTTGGAACATTTCTCTGTAAACTGGTAATTAAAATCAATTTATGAACTAACAGAAAAAAGACTCATGACTTTGGATACCTAATTCACTCAACAACCAACTTTGTTCATTCATCTTGGCTCTCTTTAGCTTTTTAAAATGGGAATGAAATCCATTCCCAATATATAAAGAGTAGTTACTACATTACCTCCCCAAATAACTATTTCTAATAGTCATTTGGATGAACAAGACACAGTTATTAAAAAATCAGTTACCCATCCAATCACAACTCATTTCAAGTGACACTGATAAACCAGAAATAGAGGAAAGGAACAAAGATATACAATGTTTAGAAAGTAATATGTGAAATAAGAATATCTAAACAACTGAGATTTTCTTTCAAAATGAAGAATAAAAATAGTAGTTTAAGACTTTGGTCAAGCATATGAAGACTCTTTGAAAAAGAAGTCAGACCGTTAATTAGTCACATCTCTGCATACAATTCAAATAGGAACGGACAGTAGAAAGGATTTGTCAGGGACAAGAAAAAATTTAGGCAAGGACATTTATATAAGGTGAGGAATTTTCTGTAGCTATACGCCTGCAAACATCTTAGCTAACTCATGATTATTCTCTAACTTGAAATAGTCATTGTGCAATGCTATTATTTTTTTCTATAGTAAAACTGTCTTTCAAAAATATTAGCTTGAGTTTCAATTAATTTCTCTTGAATCTAGATGTTAATCTTTCTATCAAGTGGAGAATGTGTAGTCACTCAAAGACGTAATAAGTTTCCATTTAATTTATTCTCTTTGCTTATAAACAACATTTGTTGCACTAGAATCAAGATGCTTTTTAAATATGAAAACCTCTTGAAAATAACCTTTCATTAAAGTAATTTAAAATAATGTGATAACTGACACAGCAATTAGAACATCATTGAATGGATAAACTAAAAGCATTTTTTTCTTATATATTATTGTGAGAATATTGAGTTTCCATTTTTAAAAATATCTACTTACATATTATTCTTAAAGTTGTAAGTGAAACATTCATTAAAGCCAGGACACAAGAAATTGCATAATGGAAAGAAAAAATATTTCTCTTTTAACCAGTTATGTGAAATAGTTCTGATTCCATTTAAAATAATTTTGAATGCTGTCAAGTATTTTTACTACATTTGTTACCCTCTGGCCTGAAACTGAATGATGATGAAATAAAAAATTAGAAGTTATTGAATAAATATTTTCCACCTACCCAATGAAAATTTGTAATATAGGGTGCAAAATTTTTATCACCTAAAGACACCCGTCAGTAAAGTTGAAGCAATGAAGCCTCTGTGTATATTATGACCAAGAGATAATATGGGTAATGCATCCATCTGCACTCAAGTGGAAACAGTGTCATCGTGCTGCTTCAATTACTTCTTTTTCTCTAATTTTAATAAAATAATACATTTCCTGATCACATTAAAAAATTCCATTTAGCTTGAACTAGCTCCATCAGAGCAGCTTTGATTATTGTTAAAAATTGATTTGGTTATCTGAGTTCAGCGAGTGGCCGTCATGTGACCATGACTTTCCACAGCAAATGCCCACTATGCTTCATCTTTCCGTTATATTTCAGGATTTTCTATTAACTTTAGTGACAAACCCACGCAGAAAAGATAGAATTAAACACACACACACACACACACACACACACACAAACACACACACATCCATACAATCTCAATGAAGGCACAGGTCATAATTGTTTGTGAATTAACTGATAAGTTTTGACTTTCTGAATCAAAGTCCTTAAGGTAATGAATTGTAATGGCAGTATCATTAAATTAAATTAAATTATAGAAACCTACAGTCATTCAGTGAAAAAAGTCATATAGTATGTATATTTTTTATCTATAGAGGAAGGTGAACATTTTATAATGAAACCTATCACTGAAAGCAACTGACTCAGTCTGAGCTTTGGTTGTAATACAAATCCCTAAATAGTTTTTCAACAGAAATTATAGTCTAGTACTTGAATACTAGAAAGAAGATACAGGACTCATTGGGAAGATAAGATCTGGGACTAACAGTGAAATCAAAACTTAAAAAAGCCAATGTTAATTTATTAAAGTTCTCCCTTCAAACTGTTTTGAAGGTGAATTACTAGTTATTTATTTATTTTTCTCTTCATGAAGAAATAATTGGCAGTCAGAAGCAAACTTCTTTTTTTCAGAGTAGCCCTCAAAAAGATTTCAAGACCTCAAGAGTTTATGAATAATTTGAGAATATAATTTAACAGGAAGGTTTTTATAAATATCAGTACCTGAAATTTACTGATAATTTTCATCTGTCCTTTTCATATTTCTAATTTGCATATTCTAACTAATGAAATCCTGTCAAATAAGATTAAAAAATCAGGGATTTCAAAGACACTGAAGTTCACTTAAATAAATTAGAAGTCAGTTGGGTTGACTGAAGAACTTATAAGAGCATTTACCCAGGAAGGCAAGCCTGTAATCGGTTTTGAATCTTATTTCTAGGCCACGGTGTTACATCTGGTTCTGTTGTAATAGTCATTTTCACTCCAAAGTTGTACTAGGAAAATGATCTGGAGTACCCAGATTACTCTCTAGCTAATTCCTTAGTTTTTATATTCAGGATTCATTGAAGCATTTTATCCATTTTAAAATTATACAGATTTAAGTGTACTGCATGATGTTTTGTTATACATATACACACTCAAATGATCACTACAGTCAAGCCAATTAACACATCTCTCATTTTACACAGCAACATTTTTTTTCTGGTGGTAAGAGTGTCTAAAATCTACTCTCTTAGCAAATATCTAGTATAAAATACAATATTATTAACTAGATTACTTGTGCTGTGCTTTAGATCTCCAGACTTACTCATCTGACATGACTGCAATTTTGTATCCTTGAACTGCATCTCTTTGTAACCTTCCTACTTCATGCACCCACATATGATAACTACAGTTCTACTCTCTAAGTAGTCAACTTTTTTTTTTTTTAGATTCCACATATAAGAGAGATCATACAACATTTTCCTTTCTGTGTTTGGCTTATTTCATTTGGCATAGTATTCTCTAGGTTCATTTATTTTGACACAAATGGCAGGATCTTTTTTACAGCTGAACAAAACTCCATTGCGTATATATGCTGCAATTTCTTCATCATTCATCTATTGATAGACACTTAAGGTTGCTTCCATATCTTGGCTATTGTGAATAATACTGCACAGAATATGGGAGTACAGATCTATCTAACTATCTGTCTGTCTGTCTATCTATCTATCTATCTATCTATCTATCTATCTATCTATCTATCTATCTATCTGTCTATCATCTATCTATATGTAGTGCTGATTTCATTTCCTTTGGGGATTTACCCAGAAGAAGGATCGCTAGGTCACATCGTAGTTCTGTTTTTAATTTTTTGAGGAACCTCCATATTGTTTTCCATAATGGCTGCACCAATTTACATTTTCCCCAACAATGAACAAAAGTTGCCCTTTCTTTACACCCTCATCAACATTTGCTATTTTTATCTTGTTTGATAATAGTTATTCTAACAGGTGTAAGATAATATCTCATTGTAGTTTTGATTTGCATTTTCCTGAAGATCAGTGATGTTAAGCATCTATTCAAATATCTGTGCCATTTATGTCTCCTTTGGTCCATTATTTACTCAGGTTCTTTACTCAAAGATATTTACTCGGGTTCTTTATTCAAAGAATATTAACGTCTACACTCAAGACACATAACTCTCATTCATTTTTCTATGATTTCACATTTTTTTTCTTCAAAGATCCTGAGTAAAAAATTTTGAAATCAGGTTGTTTTTTTTTTTTTTTTGCTTTTGAATTGTGAGAGCTCCTTATATATTTTAAATATTAACCCCTTAAAAGACATATGGTTTGAAAATATTTTTCCAAATCCATAGGAAGTCTTTTCATCTTGTTGATTGCTTCCTTTTTTGTATAGAAGTTTTCAGTTTGATGTAGTCCTACTTGTTTATTTTTCTTTTGTTGCATGTCCTTTGATGTCCTATTCAAACAATCATAGCCAAGGCCAATGTCTAGGAGCTTTTCCCCTGTGTTTTCTTCCAGGAGTTTTATGATTTCAGGTCTTATGTTTAAGTCTTTAATTCATTTTGAGTTTGAGTTTCAGCTGAGCCCAGTATTACGCTGAAGCCAAACCCAGAAAAGGGTACTATAGGAAAAAAAGTATAGGCCGTATCTCTGATAAACATGGTTGCAAAAATCTTCACCAAAGTAATAACAAACTGAATTCAACAGCACATTAAAAGAATCATTCACCATGATCAAATAGCAGTCATCTTAGAGATGTGAGAATGATTAAACCTATGCAAACCAATAAATATAACAACACATTAAGAGAATGAATCACAAAAACCATACGATAATCTTAATAGATGCAGAAAAATCATCCGACAAAATTGAACATCTTTCTTAATAAAAACTCTCAAAAAATTAGATATACAGGGAATGTACTTCAGTACAGTAAAGGCCATATATCACAAGCATGCAGCTAACATCACAGTCAATAGTGAAAAGTTGAAAGCTTTTCTTCTAATATTAAGAACAAGACAAGGATGCCCACTCTCCTCATTTTTACTCCACATAGTACTGGAAGCCCTAGCCAGATTAATTAGGAAGAAAAAGAAATAAAAGCACCCAAATCAGAAAGAAAAAGTTAAATAGACTCTGTAGATACCATATTATATGTAGGAAACTCGGAAGCCTCCACCAAAAAACAGAACAGTTAGAATAAATGTATTCAATAAAGCTGCAGGATACAAAATTCACATGCAAAAATTAGTGATGTTTCTATAAATTAACAAAAAATTATCCAAAAAAGAAATCAAAGAGTTAATCTCACTTACAGTAGCATAAAAATAAACACTTAGCGATAAATTTAACCAAGGAGGTGAAAGACCTGTATACTGAAAATTATAAAACATGAATTAAAGAAATTGAAGAAAGCACAAGTAAGTGATAAGATACCCTATGTTCAAGGACTGGAAGAATCAATAGTGTTAAAATATCCATACTATCCAAAGCAATCTAAATATTCAATAGAATCCCTACAAACATTCCACTGGCATTTTTCATAAAAAAAATCACTGAAGAGTTTTTTAAGGTAAGATGATTGGATGATTTACCATTGAAATGTTGACATCTTGTCAAAGCATGTTACAGAATAAGATCATAGAAATAAACAGTGCCACGGAGAAATGATACATTCCAAGAAAATTCGCTCAAAAATTTTGAAGCAAATTTTGCTATGAAAAGCAATAATTGGGCTGGGCATGGTGGCTCACTCCTTTAATCCCAGTCTTTTGGGAGGCTGAGTGGGTGGATCACAAGGTCAGAAGATCGAGACCATCCTGGCCAACATGTTGAAACCCCGTCTTTACAAAAAATACAAAAATTAGCTGGATGTGGTGGCACGCACTTGTAATCCCAGCTCTACTCGGGAGGCTGAGGCAGGAAAATGGCTTGAATCTGGGAGGTGGAGATTGCAGTGAGCCGAGATCGTGCCACGGCCACTGCGCTCCAGCCTGGCAACAGAGTGAGACTCTATCTCAAAAAAAAAAAAAAAAAAAAAAAAAAGAAAGAAAGAAAAAAGAAAGAAAGAAAAGCAATAATTGCCCAATAAAATGTAATCTGAAACCCTAAGAGACATTTCAGTTTATCAACTGTGAGGTGGACCCTATTTAGCTGATGTGATTACTATGCATTGCATGCTTATATTAAAATAGCTCACATAACCTATAAATATGTACACCTACTATGTACCCACAAAAATTTTAAGAAGTTTAAAAAAAGTATATGCCCTTTACTGATCAATTACATTATACTAAAATATATTATAAAATAATTAGAGATAAATGCAATTTGGTTTTCTCAGCACTGCTTAAACTAGTAGTGAAGAAGAACCCATATAATGGATTTTATAAATAAATTTCAGTGCATTTATAATATGGGATAATATGTGACCACTGAAGGTAGCACTATATACCGAAGTATGTTGAGATGCAAAATGTATTTTGGTATATCAAGTGATAATAAGGTTCAGTTTGATTATACATATGAAAATAAATAAATAAAAATAAACTGTGAGGTGATATACAATATTTTGTGAACTTACATTTAATTCCTCAATTAGCAAAAATTTAAGCAAATGATGCTGTAACCTAGGTTTTTTCTTCAATAAAAATTTTCTAGGATTTACAACCATCATTTTTTAATAAAAATATTATCTTTACAATGAAGTCTGTTTTTTTCCCACAGCACTTATCTTATGTTAAATATAATACACTTACATTTAACATTTATTGTATATTTTTCTGTCTCTGCTCACAAGAATGTAAGCCCAATAAGGTAACAGACTTTAGTTGTTTTTTTTTTTAATTCACAGAAATACTCTAAATTTCTACAACAATGCTAAGAATATATAGTAGGGTCTCAATACATATTTATTAAAAAATGAATGAATGAATTATTCTCTGTGATGCATATAAAGCAATAAAGAAGGTATGCGCTATCACACTTATGCAACTTATGAAAAAAATTAGCTTTCCATTCTTGAAATGTCATTACTCTTCTTAATGTCAGTCATATGGCTTAATTTACAAACATAGATTCATTTGGAACAGATTTTGAAATTACTAATTTGAGTGTAAATCTTTATTTTAGCAGTGAACTCACTTAATTACATAAGATTTTGAAATTACTAATTTGAGTGTAAATCTTAATTTTAGTAGGGCACTCACTTATCTACATAGTCTATACACATGATGAATAGTGTATGAGAAAAATCAGAATCAAAATATTTATTTATATTACTATTTCTACACCCATTACAGGACTTCTATTTCTATACTCTAGTGTATCAGCACCATAACCTAGATATTTAAATCAATTTCATTTGTCTGGTTATACCTGCTATAAAGAATTCATTTTGTTGGTACACATTTCACTTGTGAATAGAAATCATTAGAAAGGTGGATTTAATAAATATTGTAAAACCAGAGAACAGAATTCGGTTGGGCAATGAGAGGCAATGAAAGGATGATATGAGAGAAATGGGAGGATGATGATCAAGAGGCTAAGGGCTTTGAGCTGTATGAAAAAGATTCGAACTAACTGCAAGAAAGAATTTGAGGCTGGGTGCGGTGGCTCATGCCTGTCTGTAATCCCAGCACTTTGGGAGGCCGAGGTGGGCGGATCACGAGGTCAGGAGATTGAGACCATCCTGGCTAACATAGTGAAACCCTGTCTCTACTAAAAATACACACACAAAAAAATTAGCCGGGCATGGTGGCGGGCACCTGTGGTCCCAGCTACTTGGGAGGCTGAGGCAGGAGAATGGTGTGAACCCGGGAGGCGGAGCTTGCTGTGAGCTGAGATTGCGTCACTGCACTCCAGCCTGGGCAACAGTGCGAGACTCCTTCTCAAAAAAAAAAAAAAAAGAAAAAAAAAAAAGAATTTGATGGGAAGTAAAAAAAAAAAAAGACGAATAAAAAGAAATACTGACTAGTACCCAAGCCCCAGCAGACATTAAACACTATGTATTTGGAGTAAGCCCAATTGCAGAGTTACATTAATTTCTCTAATAATATTCAACAGCTTAAAACTATACTGAACGAAAGGTTAGGTTAACCCAAGATTAGGGAGTGGAATGAAGTGAAATTCAGTTAGAATGGAAGAAAGATGGAAATATATATTCTCTACCCTCCACTGAACTACCAAACTAAAATTATAAATTCAAATATTTCCCACCTTATGACCATCCTAAGTATATATATATATATATATATATATATATATATATATATATATACTGATTTTAATTCATACTTTAGCTAATATTGGTTAAAAAAACATGTTCTGGCTGAGTTAAAAATCTGACTCAAGCTAATGGCAGAGCTGAAAAATAATCTTTAAATTTCTACAGATTAGATTGCCAGCTCTCTGGGCAATAAATTCTCCTAGGTATTTTTTAGCTGAAATTGTCTTGATTTCCTCTTCATTTCTGAAGTAAAAACCTATGTGTGAAACTTTACATTTTTAACAAAATCATTTGGGAACCAATATTTTAATAGCCAGAAAGTCTCTGGGCTATTCCCAGCTAGAGCTAAAGAGATAATGATTTCTTTTATACCATGTGAATCCTTGTATCCCCTCTTCACAATTCTGGTAAAAACAAAACAAAACAAAAAACCCATAACCAAGCACATTCATTTAACAAACTCATTCAACCAAAATTTACTATATTTCTGTTACACACCAAGCAGTCAATACATGGGGTAACCAATAGCTTATGATGGGGCCTGGCATAAAAAGATAAATTTAGGCAAACAGATTTCCTCTCTTAGCAGTCTGAGCTGTACACAAAGGAATATAAATCATCCCATTATAAAGACACATGCATATGTATGTTCACTGCAGCACTATTCACAATAGCAAAGACATGGAATCAACCTAAATTCCCATCAATGATAGACTGGATAAAGAAAATGTGGTACATGTACACCATGGAATACTATTCAGCCATAAAAAGGAATGAGATCATGTCATTTGCAGGGACCTGGAGGGAGCTGGAGGCCATTATCCTTAGCAAGGTAATACAGGAACGGACAACCAAATACTGCATGTTCTCACTTAGAAGTGGAAACTAAATTATGAGAACACATGAACACATAGAGGGGAATGACACACACTGGGGCCTATGAGAGGGTGAAGGATGGGAGGAGGGAGAGGATCAAGAAAAATAATGAGTACTAGGCTTAATACTTGGGTGATAAAATAATCTCTATAACAAACCACATGAAAAAAGTTTACCTATGTAGCAAACCTGCACACGTACCCTGAACTTAAAATAAAAGTTTAAAAAAAGAAATCCAAGCCAATAGACAGTAAGCTATTGGGACATTTCATGGAGAAATGAGAGCTAAAAGGCTGCAATGTGGCGTGGGTCTAAGGGTCATGACAGCCATGTGATAGAAGTTCAGAGGAGGCAAGAGTAAGCCATGGAGAGAACAAGAGTGGACAGAAATTTAGTTTCTTCTGAAGAAGAAATCACATGGCTCACAAAAGAGAGATGGCAAAGGTCTTGCCCCAGGACTGTCCCACTGGTTCTTGCAGTTCCAGTTCCAGGGTCCTTTCATGTCCAGAATACAATAGGCTTCATGTGCATAGTCAGTGAGTTTCTGATTTTCCATCTAAGAGGAGCCTAAGTAGAAACTGACATTTGAATAATTATTTCACCATTCATTTCTATGAGGACACATAGTACTCTATGTATATTTACATACTAGGATCTGCACCCTGAGCACACATCTACACCCAGGACACATAACTCTCGTTTAGTTTTCTATGATTTCACTTTTCTTCTCTTCATAGAAACTTGACTCTAAGAGGTAAGCTATAGCCTGAACATGTAAGCTTTGAGTGGGCATGGAAGACTTGCGTATTACTAATATTCCCGTCTTACAGGTCCTGTGATGGAAGACAGGCAATATGCCCAGTTGGAAGAGTATTTGCTTTGTGGCTGTGAAACTCTAGATGGGAATTCTGGCTCCATTGCTAGTCATGTGACTGCTATTAAAGACACACCTAAGACTGGGTAATTTATAAAGGAAAGAGGTCTAATTGACTCACAGTTCCACATGGCTGGGGAAGCCTCACAATCATGTGGAAGGCAAATGGTGAGCAAAGTCTCGTCTTACATGGCGGCAGGCAAGAGAGCATGTGCAGGGGAACTCCCCTTTATAAAACCACCAGATCTAGTGAGACTTACTCACTGTCAGGAAAGCACAGGAAAGACCTGCCCCCATGATTTAACTACCTCCCACCAGGTCCCTCCCACAACATATGGGGATTATTACAATTCAAGGTGAGATTTGAATTGTAATCTCACACAGAGCCAAGCCATATCAATCACTTTTATCCTCCAAGCCTTAGTTGATGTCAATAAAAAAAAATATTTAAAAATTTCACTCTCAAGTAGGTTGTGGAAATACTATATGTAGCAGCAATTACTACCAGCACATGGTAGACAGTCAATAATCTTTACTTCCATGTGTGACTTGCCCATGGTCACATCTGACAATGAGCAAGAGTCTCTTCTGAAACCCACTCATAACTCCATTGTATCCTTCAGCTCAGGTATTTCTACATGTGGATGAAAATAAATTCAGGTGATACTCAAGCCTGGATACTGTTATCTTCCAGATTCTTTTTGAAGACACTGCTCCATATTCTTCCTTTCTTCTTGATATCCTAAGGTGCCTTCTTTTATCATTTTCTTTCTTCTGAAAAAGCTTTCTTTAGCCATTCTTTTGGTTAAGGATTCCTGGCAATACATTCTCTTAGTTTTTCTTCAGCCGAGAATGTCTTGATTTCTGGCTCATTTCTGAAGGATACAGGATTTTGAGCTGACAGTTCTTGTTTTAGCATTTGAAAAATGTCCCACTTTCTTCCAGACTCCATGGCTTGTGATGAGAAATCCCCTGTTATTAGAATTGTTTGTCCCCAATAAGTAAGGTGTCATCTTCCTCTTGCTGTTATCGAGGTTTTATCTTTTTCTTCAGTTTTCAGAAATTTGAATATGATGGATTTTGGTATGGATTTCTTTGAAGCTGCCCTCTTTGGAAGTCTACCTTGACCTCTTGAATCTACAGGTTTATGTCTTTTGCAAAAATTGGAATATTTTTAGCCATTATTTTTTTTCCATTCCTGCCTTTTTCACCTCTCCTCTGGGACTCTGAGGACATTAGTGTTACATCTTTTGTTATAGTCCCACAGTTCCCTGAGGGCTGTTTTCATTCTTTTCTTCAGTCTTTTTTTCTCTCTGTTTTTCATATTGGCCAATTTCTATTGCCAATTTCTATTGCTCTATCTTCTAGTTCACTGATTTTTTCTTCTGTTCTCTTATTTTACTATTGAGCACATCAGCTGAGTTTTATATTTAAGTGATTGCATTTTTAAGTCCAAAATTTTCATCTTTATATCTTCTATTTCTTTGATGAGACTTTCTGTTGTTTCATTTGTTTCAATCATACTTGTAGTTGCTTGTTAATGCAATTTTATAATGGAGGCTTAAAATATCTGACAGATAATTATAGTATCTCTGTCATGTTAATGTGGGCATCTATCAATTCTTTTTTATGATCCAGCCTGAGGTTTTCCTGGGTCTTGGTATCATGAGTAATTTTTAATTGAAATCTTGACAATTTTGGTATAATATTAAGAGACTCTTGATTTTATTTAAACTTTGTTTCTGCTAGCTTTCCTTGGTGTCAGTCTGGCAGGGGAAGTGGAGAATGCCACCTCCTTAATGCCAGATAGAAGCCCAGGTATCTTACTTGGCTTTCTTGGACACCCGAGGGGCATGGCTCCTGGTTACTGCTGGGAGGAGGTGAGAATTCTGGCTCTCCAGTAAGCCTGCACTGACACATCCCTGGCTAAGAGATGCAGGCACGCCTTGTTGCTGCTCCCTACTTGGCCTTCACTGACACCATAAGAAGGAGGAAAGGAGAGTGGCCTTATTACCACACGGTGATGATGAAGGTCCTGACTCTGCACTAGACCTCCTCTACTACTACTGCAGAAGGGGGGAGGACGGACACCTCATTACTCTCAGGTGAGGGTAGAAGTCCAGGCTTCTGATATGGGATGGGGGTGAGGGCTCATTTTTGCCCAGTGGGGATGTGAGACTGCTTGGTGAGGGTGGACGTCTAAGATCCCTACTTGTCCTTTGCTTGCATGGATGGGTGTAGGGATGGAATATTTATCCGTGGTGTTGGGTGGAGCAGGGAAGTTATGTCTAAAAGTTCTCTCTCTTGCTAGACTGCCCCTTTCCTGGTTCTTTGGCTAGAGAGAGCAGGCTTTTCATCTGTGCCTATTGTTGTTTCTGGGCTGTTGAGCTTCTTTGGCTCCAAGTGTGAGATGAGATATGTGAGGAAAAAAATCGCAGGAAACTCACCACTGTGTTGTTTCTCGGGTCTTGAGATCCCTAGCCAATCTGCCTTCTCTTCACCTTTCAGTCTTCTTATATCATCAGTTTTACATATAAGGGTTTTTAGCTGTATACAGTGGGAGGCACAGAGAAAAGTAAATCTATTCCATCTTCTTGGAAGCAGAAGTCTGCCTCCATTAGCTTTCTAATACATATTATTTCCACCATAGATTGTAGGTATTTCATAGAACAATGTTAATTCTGATTGTCAAGTTAGCAACATGAACTATTTACACTCTACCCTTTTGCCAGAGAATATGTGATGCCAAACTTTCTGCTTTCCAATTACCATCAATGCTAAGTAGTGAGAAGTCATTATTAATGGAGTATTACCAGAGAGTTCACAGTTCACAGTCTAGTCATATAAAAAGCTTGGTCCCTAGGTCAATTCAGACTACAAAACCTGAATGAGAAATTCTTATGCTAAAATGTGCTGACAGTACTAAGCCCATGTTGAGCAACATTATTTTTAAAAAGTATATGAATACTTTTTAATGTTCTAATTTTTATTATTTTAGGGGTATTATTAAGAGTACAATTCACTACATCTCACAGCATCCCTTTAAGAGGACAAGGGAAGAAAGAAGTTCCCTCAGCTTTGTACCACAAGAAGCTGAACAATCAATTTATTTTAATATTTTAAAAGTTATAAAGCTAATAATTTATTTCTTTGGCTGCCAGGAATCTCAGGATCAAATTTGGTAATGACATAGATTTTCATACCCTTGATTTCATTTTGTTTTTCAATTGAGATTTTACTTTTACTCAGATTTCCTCATGTATTGTTTTTCCAGGAGGACAGTACTCATTTTGGTACCTGATCTTATTTATTTCAGGATCACATGGGTGAATAAATGTATTAAGAAAAGACAGTGGGTTCGTAAGCCCTCAACAGGACAGGAAATAAACCTCAGGTCTCTTCATAACTTGTCAGAGGAACTTAATACATGCTGCCATTTTGATCCCAAATGGCCTCCTTTTCAAGAGGCCCAAAAACGAATCTATTTTTTTTTTGTCACATAACTTACATTGCATTTGTGAGATGGAGATTTTTAAAAGGGACAGACAAACACAATGACTACCTGGAGGACGGAAGCACCACTATGGAGAAACTGAAGACCACTTTCAGCAGAGTCAATTCCACCAGTAGCCAAAATGGGAAATCCAGGCAGAGCACGAGCAATGGAGGTCACAGCTCTCAAAGCAATAGGTCTGATTGCTGTCCCTACACAAAATCAGAATAATCAATGGTTAGCACACTGACCACTTGAGTATACTGTCTTATATTACTTCTATTACTATGATGTGATGACAGCGTCACTGGACAAATTTCAAATTACTTTATCTCTGTTTAAGATGTATATACATATGTAGTGTATAAATGTTATGTTTTAAAGCATGTTAATTTGTTAATGGATGTTTATTTATTTTAAGGACTTTGATACCAATATTGAATTTAGACATGTTATACAAGTAGGTATAGCAAACACAGAATTCTCTGTGCACACATATTACATGCATATTACAATTGGATATACAGTAATGTGTAAAAGATTGCATAGAATATTTGAGCATCAGTGGCTCACGCCTGTAATCCTAGCACTTTGGGAGGCCGAGGTGGGTGGATCACCTGAGGTCAGGAGTTTGAGACTAGCCTGGCCAACATGGTGAAATCCCATGGCTACTAAAAATACAAAAATAAACATTAACCAGGCGTGGTGGCAGGCTCCTGTAATCCCAGCTACTTGGGAGGCTGAGGCAGGAAAACTGCTTGAATCCACGAGGCGGAGGTTGCAGTGAGCCGAGATCACACCATTGCACTCCAGCCTGGGTGACAGAGTGAGACTCTGTCTCAAAAACAAACAAACAAACAAAAAACAAGGAACAGCAGATTTTGAAAAGAAAAACAATCCCATATAGTACATCAGTAGACATACAGCTATGTTATGTTTCTTTAGAGTACAAAGCAGATGTTGCGAACATAGACTCTGTAAAAAAAGGCAAGGTGCTGATGAACTTACAGATTCCATGTTGCTTTTTATATGTACTTCCCACAATTTGAAAAAAAATAGGGAGTCTAATCCAATTTTTCACATATTAGAAAGTTTTAATCAAGTTAAAGAGAATTTACTAGAATCCAGTAATTAGAGTGTATGAATTTAATTTTTTAATATTTAATTAGCCAGACATTACCAGTATATTATTCCCTAATAGTAATAAAAATTGTATGGATAGAAAGAATACTTTGGGGCTATTTTAAAAATGAGTATATTGTACTAAAGCTACTTTGAATTCTCAAATGTTAAACATCCCAGAGTACATTAATGCTTTCATAATAAAGGAATATAATTTGATATTCCTGGTGTTCCCTTATAAGTCAGGGGTCCTTTAAGCATTTTCTGAACTAAAGGCAGTTCAACTTATGCAAGAATTTGACACTGCCTTAAACCAGGGCTTCACAAACAACATAAACAAATAACTGGTTCAGCCTCACGTGGTGAGTTCTTTGTCATCACCTCCACCACCACTAGTCACCAGCAATATCAATATGTATTTACTGGAGTGCTTACTCTGAGGTAGCACACACAGCCTTCCTTTAAAAAATGGCCAGAACTTAAAATTAAATTAAATTAAAAAATAAAATAAAATAATTAAATAAGAAAAGAAACAAAAAGTTAAAGGGCTTTCAATTTGAAAAGGCTAGATAGCATATGATTCCAACTATATGACATTCTGGAAAAGGAAAAACTGTGGAGACAGTGAAAATATCAGTGGTAGTAAGGAGCGAACGGGAGGGATAAATAGGCAGAGCAAAGAGGATTTTTAGGACAGTGAAAATACTATATATACTATAATGGTGGATGCATGTTGTTATACATTTACACACACACACACAAAACACACTTAGAGAATGTATCTGTTACACTCATAGAATGCCCAACACCAAGTGTGAAACCTATTGTAAAGTTCGGACTTTGGGTGGTTAGGCTATAGGTGTCAATGCACGTTCATGGATTACAACAAATGTATCACTCTAGTGGGGAATGTTGATAATGAGGGAGGTCATGCATGTGTTGGAGCAGTGGATATATTGAGTATCTCTGTATCTTCCTCTCAATTTTGCTGTGAATCTAAACTGCTCTAAAAAATAAAGTCTAAAACAGAGGCTGGGAGTGGTGGCTCACGCCTATAATCCTAGCACTTTGGGAGGCCGAGGCAGAGGGATCACCTGAGGTCAGAAGTTTGAGACCAGCCTGGCCAACAGTTTGAGACCAGCCTGGCCAACATGGTAAAACCCCGTGTCTACAAACAAATACAAAAATTATCTGGACTTGGTGGCGGGCGCCTGTAATCCCAGCTACCCAGGAGGCTGAGGCAGGAGAATTGCTGGAACCCAGGAGGTGGAGGCTGCAGTGAGCCGAGATTGCGCCATTGCCCTCCAGCCTGGGCAACAAGAGCAAGATTCTGTCTCAAAAAAAAAAAAAAAAAAAAAAAAAAAAAAATCGGTGGCTTTCTTTTTATCCTGTTCATATCTGTTTCAGATAAAATTGAACGTTTGCATGACTACTGCTTTTGTACTCAACACAAAAATGTTTGTGGAAATGTCTACTTGTGGCTCCCACACCTCAAACATCTTCCTCTACATATTACTATAGCATTCCTTAGTTAGGAATATTCAATGCTGACACTTCAAAATTCATAATAGACATTTTGGATACAAAGTATTAAGTTGGGCAAATTAGAAACCGGACATTAAGATTCTACTTCTATATTATTTATCAGTGATTCCTCACAGTTTTTATGTTTTAACCATAAAAAGGCTAATAGTGGACAGAATTTATAGTGAGAATACAAAAACACACATATATATACACATATCTTCAGTTATACTAAAAGAAATCTACATAACAAAAGTTAAAGGAAAGCATTTTTTAAGGAAAGCTGTAACAAACTTTTTGATAGACACACAGCTATCTCTGCATAATATAACTGGCATAGCCAATACATACCAACCCAATGGCTTCTTTACATACACACTACTTTGAAGTAATAAAGAAATATTGGTTTTTTTCCTCCCTTATTTAGTTGACCCAAGAGAGTAAATTTGAGCTAAGTAGATAAATAATTTATTTCTACCTCCACTGTTAGAAGACTATCATTAACAGTAAGGGGTAAAATTTCAAAGTGGTATACAGGGATTTGGCCACATATTCTATTGATATTAATGGACATAAAAAGGCAACACAGCTTTGAAAAATTAACCAGTGACACTTAAAGGGCAACATTATTACACAGGTGTTAAAAAAATCAGCAAATTCTTATTGGCATTTGAAGATGTTCAATTAGGTCAATAAGACATTTTCCAATTTATGCTTTTCTTCCTTTCTAACGCTTTTATAATGTACCTAATGAACAGAAAATCTTTTCAAAAAATAAGAGTATTTTTTCAAGTTAAGAGTAACTATGTTCTCTGAGGAAATGAGATCCAAAAAATGAAGAAATGATCTCTCTGTTGCTGGACTACAGTAAATTCAGTTTTTATTTCCATTATAAACCCAGTTTGATTTTTTATAACTCAACTGATTTAATACAAAATATAATCTACCTGTTCTCAGCATTTTTATGGGGAATAGTTCTTAAGAATGACTTCATCCACTAAGAACGGTTTCTAGAAGGAAAATGAAGGTATATAAAAAGATCTTTCTAAATTGCTATGTAGAATTTATTTTTAGTTTTAAAATGACAGAAATGAAGTAATAATAGGTTCAAGATAAAAATAAAACTGTTGGTTTAAAGAAAATACATATATCAATGCCATACAAAATTGTACATATGCCAATTAAAATCATAAAGACTTCCTGAATTACAATTATCGAGATAAAGGTCTTTTAAAATTTTGTCACTGCTACAGTGATTAATGATTTTAGACCAAAGACTAGGGAGGAAGAAGCCAGTGTGAGAAGTTCAAAGAATGTGTATGCGGGCTCTATCTTTAAGGAAACAACAAGGTTTAAATCAAGAAATTGAAATCCTATACACTTAATTGAACTAACAGGTAACATGCAATTTAAATTAAGCCCTCATCTACATGGGGTGGCCAGATGAACCTAATGGGGAATTCAGTTACATCAAGCCATTCTGCTTCAACTGTGTGGAATCCTCCAATAAAAATCAAGCCATTCTGAGTTCCCACGTTTTGAAACAAGCTGCAGGTTCGAACAAACAAACGAAAAATGAACTGGACTTATGAGTTGCAACATTGCTACCAAGAACTTTGCTTTGCATTATGTGGCTCTTGTGGTGGACTAGACTGAACTGTAACTTTTGGTCAATAATCATTCTAGGCCCTCCATGTAGTCATAATTTAAAATACAAATCAGTGTGTTGAATTCATAGATTGTCTTAGATAAACTACACAGAACATTCTTGAATTGATTCATGTTTCAGAAAAACATTTTAGTAAGCCAGAGATTTTGAATTAAGTTAATCAATCTGATTTTGATGAAAAGTATTTTTCTTAAGAAAATGAACTCTCATTTGTCAGATATCATTTTAAATACAATTTCAGAAATGCTATCATTGGCTATAATATTATATATTGATATATGTGTATTAATGTATTATGACAATCAGGTTCCTTACTCAGTCTTCATTTATCCATTCATCTGTCTATCCACAAAATATTTTTTAAGCACCTATGGCTTTTTTTTTCCTGGTTCATCAGTTTGTGTCCTAACTATATATCTACGCTTGACTCACAAAACACCAGGTCTTATCATTGTAGTAGGTTATTTCAAGTTAATAATTTGAATCCAGTTATTCATTCTCTACCAGTATTCCATTAGAAACAATTCACATTTGTTAGAACATTATACATTTTATAAATACTATTAATATGAATTCTATCAAGAAGGCAATTTGAGGATGAACTAGTTACCAACATCAGAGAGACAACTGGGCCAACTGTTGAGGTTCAAATCTTAGTTCCATTTATAAGCTGTGTGACTTTGTGAAAATTTTTAAATCCCACCGAATCTCAATTTTGTCATCTATAAAATAATAAAAATTGTAATAACGTCTTCATAGAGCTGTTTTGAAGAATAAATTACATAATATATATAAAAGGCGAGGACATAATAAAAATTGTAGAAGTGTTTGCTGTTATAATTTGTACTGCCCTCAAGGACAATTGATTTCAGAGTGAGCATTTATGTAGTTTACTTTGACATTGCCTTCTATGTTCTTGTGTGTTTAGTGATGCAATTAAAACCAATTTTTAAATTGGAGACAAAAGCATGATGCCTATGATGACAGAACTTTATCCTCTGAAACCTTAAGAGGACCATACATGTCCCCTCCTTTTTCTCTTTTCCTAACAGCTGTCATTTAGCAGTGTCATAATGTTGATGAAGATTACTTTGACCCCAAAGGAAAAAAAGCCTCAAAAGGCTGACATCAATATATTTAAGATTTTTTTTTTTTGAGAAGCAAAATGTCCATGGATTTTAATTACAATATCTGAACTCAAGTTTATTGGTGAAAAGGAGGCAGAGATGTACTTCGCATGACTAAATCCTTGAAGAAAAAAGGAATTTTTAATGAGCAAGAGAGTGTGGAACATATGCTAAATAACTGGAATTTTGAATAATTGAGTTTAATTCTGTTTGTCTTTCTCCCCCTAATCATTTGACTCCTCTAGGACAGCGACTGTTACACAATTAATTGTTAGAACTAAGTCCACAATAAACTCCCTGATAATAGCTCTAGCTGGCAATAAAACAGAAATTGGGTTATAATACTCATTCGTGCTCACTGTGTATGCAAAAAGAAAATGTAGTTTTAATTTGCTTACATTAATTAAAATATAATGAATTAAGTGGATAACAAATTCATTAGAAATTGAACCTTGACTGTCTAATTGTTAACAGTTTTAACACCATCCAGAAGAAAAAAAATTAGTAAATCAAGAATTTCAAGGATTTAGGAGGTGAGAGATTGATTTTTATAACCTACATATAAATGAACCACCAACAAATTTATGCTTTACTAAAATTAAGTGTACAATGTTAATGAAGTTAATATACTAATAAATACATGGGACACACCTATTTAAAAATAACATCTTTACACATGGATTAGGGTCCTCTGAGAATATTTGCATAATTCAATCAGAAACTGAAGTACTAAAAGGATCTAGGGTTATATGTAGAGATGTGTAATTTAAAGAGAAGAAATGGAAAAAATAAAGTTGATTATTTGATGTTATTTTAGTTTTTTCAGAAAAGCTAAAAATTTCTTCTGAAAATGTTTTAATTTTAGTTGAATTTTTTATGTTTTCTCCAAGTCTTCCTATCTTCATAGCTATGTTTTTCTGCTTCATAATGCATTCAATATGTTCCTAGTGGATTCATATTAAATAACTCAGTACCTAGCATGTGTCAGGCATTTATTTTTACCAAGAGAATTAATAACATTCACCAAAGAGGGCCATTCTCCTTTCTGAAAGTGTCAGCTACTGTTACTGGAATGAGTAGGATCACTCATTCATAGAGTGATTTCCACGTGCAGACACTGAGGCAGGGGCTTCATGTACACTGTGTACTTTAACCCTTGTAACTCTGAAGCTAGGTGCTGTCCTCTCTATTTTGTACATAAAGGAAGAGAAGCTCAAGCTGAATAAATAACTTATCCAGTGTCACGTAGTTTAAAAAGGATGTAATACATTAAAAATAAAGTCTCTGCGACATGAAAGTTCCCATTTTCAGTTATTATTGAGAAGTGACAATGCAGCAATTACCAAAAGAACCATCTCTGGATTATTTTTGCCTAAGAAAACTAGTATCAGTACAGACTGATGCTATGAGAACACAGAGGAAGTCCAACCAATTAGGTGTAAGTCTCAAACCATTTGCTTTATACAATTGTAGCTTTGAGCAAGCTCCTCAACTTCCTAAAACATTGGTTTTCCCTAATTAAAAAACAAGGACATTAATACTAATAATATTCCAGGGAGTTTGGATGTATTAGATGATACAACTCATGGGAAAGACTTGGCACAGTGCCTAGCTTATAATGTGTATAAGCTAATATTAGTGTCAAAGCCAGAGAAAATTGATCAGAAAAATAAACATTCAGCTATAACACATATAAGGATAAACACTTAATTTTTAAGGGTTGTTAATATTCATTCCTAGATATAACATTTGGGGTTCCTTTTGTAACCCATATATTATTTCATTGGCTTCAAAATTATGAATATTCATAGCTTGAGTCTATGGTAGTAAATGTGTGTATCTGTGTGAATAAATCTTTATTAGATTTTTAAGTGTAATTTGCAACGTGTGTGTGCGTGTGTATATATATATATATATATATATATATATATATATATATATATATATCTTCTAAGTCTTTTTTGAAGAATCTGTTCCATTAGTGCTTAGACACAAAGTTACATATACAACAATGTTCCTGGAAGTATTACTTTCTATAGAAAAACCGTAGAAAACAATCTAAAGGATCATGAGTAGTTACTCTATTAAATAAATTATAGTTCACCAAGATATGATATTCCAGAAAACCTTTAAAATTGACACGCAAATAGCTCTAATTTATAATGTTAAGAGTTAATCACAAGTAGCAGAGCAATATATATGGTATGCTCCCATTGTTGGCAAAAAAGTATGTGATTACATTTAGTATGTGTGCATGTAAATGCATATAATGTTGAATTTCATACTGTTCACAGGTATCATCTCTGGGAAAGGGGGTGAGTCCTGCAGTAAAGGGATTGAAGACCTTTCAAGTTTATATATATATACTTTTTATTGTTGGATTCTTTTTGATAAAATGGTGTTATAATTTACTTCTGTAGTAAAAATATCTATTTTTATAATGTTCCTAAAATTCACCTTACGAGAATAAGCATCATCAGTATATATGATGTGACATTTTTATATATGAGTGATACATACAGTGATTCTATCCTCTGTACATTACAAAGAACATGTTTGGTTCTGTGTCCAATATTTTAGATAAAAGATCTACAAACACAACAGAGTGAATAGGATGATCTCTCTTGATCTGTCTTTCTCACACACATATCATATATATCTATATAGTGATTAAAAGAAATCCTATAAATGGTCATCAAATATTTGAAGGATAATCATGAAAAAAAGGGCTTATCCTATGTAGCAAATTGGAACGAACAATTCAGCATACACGATTGGTTTTATTATTCTTATTTTTATAATTAATTTATTGTAAATTCAGCAATGAAAGCAGCTACAATGGAACTTCCCTATTCCTTGAATCTTGATGGCTACTTGACAGCAAGATGCAACAGAAAGACTTCTCTGTACTACAGGAAATATTGGATTAGTTTTTCTCTTCCAATTCAAAATCTGGGGATACTATAACTTATTCTTGGTAGTTTAAGAGCAATTTTATATGCTCTATAGTTTTCCAACAGATACCAGTGATTAACTTAGAAAAGAAGCAAGTATGAGTTAACTTTTAAGATTAAATATGTTAAATATAAATGCTCCTCTTTTGAGTGCTTTCTAATTGACAGATAGTTTCCTATTTATTTTTGCATACATTGTGCTGGTCACATTACTATGAAATAGATATTTCTGTCTCTATTTTTATAGATGTGTAAACTGAGATTCAGCAGGGATAAATGCCACATCCTCAAGATCACTCTGTTAGAAAGTATGGGTCCAGTATTTGAATCCAGGCCTACCTGACTCCCAACACCATGCTCTTAACCACAATGCTATGCTGCTTCCTGATTTTAAGTGTCTGGATATAAATTAAGCTTTAGAAAGAAGAGTTAATAATAATAATTGTTATAATTAATAAAGATATATTATCCAGGTATGATAAAACCATAAAAATCAACATTATAGAAAAATAGACATTATATTAATTGTTGGATAAAAATTAAATTAGAAGTAGAATAGCTAGTAATTGTATAACTAGAGTAACCATATAGCCCAGTTTGCCCAAGAGAGTCCCAGTTTATTATACCTGTATTTATTTGTAATTACATAATGTAACAATAGCTATCTTCCTTTGGTCTAAAAGTATCCCAGTTCAGATGATAAATTATAAAATCATACTAGCTATAACTAAAGATAATTATGTCCAAGAATAATAGGACAAAGACAATTACAGAAGCAAAGTGAAATTTGTTTTAGAACCAAAACCAAATTTATGAGGAGCTTAGAAACTCACTATACTGTCCAAGACTCAAAAGATGGCATGAAGAGCTAAATGTCTTTAAATTTGTCACTAGAGAGAAAAATATATGGCATTTACTAGGCATAATTAGTCTATATGTATGTTCTTTCTATTTTCAACCTGTAGGTGGCCACCACAAGCTACACTTATTAAACAACTCATTAGTAGCATTTTCAATACTGTCATCTTCAGATAATTAGCAATTTATTTAAATAACCAATTTCTGTAGAAATAATTGCCATGAAATGCCCTGAACCTACTTTTTATAAACTATAATAAAAGTGTTAAGATAATCCCTGACATTTGCAAATGCCATTAGTTCACCTTTCCTTTTGATAGTGCTATGGCATTATGTTTAAACAATTACCCGACAACACAGCAGTTTAATGAAACAGTACAGTGAGCACATTCTTCAATATGGCCAGAGAGGACATTCAGATTTAGAAAGAAATCCAGTGCGCAGAGAGGTTTACCCAGAGGAAAAACACAGCTAAAAGAAAAAGAATTACTGAATTAAGGACATTATTGCTATTTCCAAGTTGGTTTAGTTTCCATGGTAGATGCCGTATCATATGTACTCTCTTTGGAAACAAGAAAGGAGAGTTTTACAAGTTGATTTATGTGATAGGCTGGTGTGAACTATAATCATATATATCTACGAATATGTATAATACCTTCATTGTATTATTTGCTCTAAAACCTTGATGCAGGAACAAGTAGTAAATTTTTCTTACTATCAACCTTAAATGTACTTTTACTTTAAAAATGGTGTGCACTTTCAAAGTAGAGTTATTGAGGAAACGCACAAATGGTTTTACATCGCAGCTAGTATTTATCATTTAAAATAGACCAGAGTTCTAACTCAGTTTCTTCCTTGCTATTCAGTTCCTTATACTACTAAGATCCATTGATGTGGGATTATACAGTGTGTCTTGGTTGCGAGTGGTAAAACTATTTGAAGCCTTTATAATTTTTAAGCTGGTGTCCACTTCATATGAAAAAATAAAATTAGAATTCAAAGCCAGTGGCAATATTATTTTTATGGTTAGACTGAAATAACTTGAGAACCTATTAAGTACCAGTTGCTCTGCTAAATTATTCACTCGTTATTTATATCCTCACGACATCATTACAAGTCACATATACATTATCTCCATTTTACAGACATGGAAATTCAGGCTCAAGGAATTAAATAGTATGTGCATGTAAGAAAGGCAGGGCCGTGTGGTTAGATAATGCATTACAACAATAAGACAATTAGTCTGCAATATCACCATAAAATTCACTGCCGGGTTTGAATGTGAGGACTTTTCTTTATTTCCAGATTAACACATGCCTCAATCTCTCCAAATAAGAGCTTCTGGCAATGCTTTTTGCCTACAATTTTAAAGGTTTACCTATAAGTATAAATAGAAGAACTATTTAAAAAAGACATATTTCCCCAGCCAAGAAATTATTCTCACCTATGACAGACTTAGTGGACTTGAAGTAATATTTCTCATGTGATTTTGCTTAAGGATGTCCAGAGCAAATGTTACACAGCATAAAAATCTCACCATTCTATGTGTTTTCAAAAATGATTATTTGAGTAGGAGAAGGAGGAAGATTATAATGACAATGATAATGCCGATGACCGGAGTTTCATTTTACTCTTGGGAGAATCCAGGATAACAAGTGGGCATTATTCTGAGAACATACAGAAAAATAAAAAAGAGGTTCCACATCCATTAGGATCCTATTACTTCTTCCTTTGGAAAATCACAATTTCTTTTCTCTCTGAAATCCTGTGCTCTGTTTACTCTGTGGGTGGTTCTATGGCCAGGGTGTCCATGGCAGCACTTGCTGTACTGTAAAACCATTCCTTTCACTCTCAGCAACACATTCTCTTTCACTTTACAAAGAATTACATGTGTTAATCTCTATGCTCTGTGATAAGGCTGTGTCCCTCAGAGTCTACTGAAACACAGGCTGTACAGCAGTTGATGGCGTTTTGTTCTCTTCTTTGGCCTGTACAACTCTCAAAGATGTGGTGTGGACAAGGACATCTCTACCTGGGCCCTTATCTGAACCCTCTGAATCAATGCTCACTCTAAAACTGACCAGGCACTTTGAAAAAGAGAGATCCTACTGTTTAGTTGCTCTATCAATTAGTTGACAATAACATTTCTTCCTAAATTTCAATAGGGTAAAAAATGAAAAATCATTTTCAGTCAAAATTATTTCTTGTACCCAGCACCATGGCTGTTGCTCAAAGGCAGCAGAAGAGATGTCTCTTCTCAGCAAGCTTATAAGGCTGGGTCAATGAGATAAAAAACATGGACAACCCATGTTCACATGCCCAATTTTGTGGGTCAGACAACAGACACTGCTGAAACTTAGAAGACAAGGAGAGCCAGGAAATCTGAGGTGGTCTAGGAAGGCTTTGAGGAAGATGCAGGACTTACTTCAGTTGGGCTCTTGAAAGATAAGTGGGTAGGTCTGGGGCTAAAAATTAGGATATTTCAAACTGTGGCAGAGTTTGGGAACAAGGTGAGAAAAATTTCAGATATAGTAATGAACAAATCATATTTATAAAACACGTTAACAGCAAAACTAAAGTAGCCTCTCAGGTTGGGAAATGGTATACAGTGCATTACATAGTGTAGGGATGTTGCCTCGTAGGCAGGAAAACAGCCTACCCCCAGCTCTCGCAGCTACCAATATCAATTTCTATATGGCATTTTACTTTTTAAAATGCATTAAAAAATATTGACCTAGTATAAGAATAAACAGGTTTAAATTTAAACAAAATATCAAGTAAGGGAAGTTCAAAGCTATTTATTGTTAATAAAAATAATATTCCTATTTTAATAGCAATTGTTAATTATTAATAAATTAATAAATATTGCTATTTACTGCCAATAAAAATATTTCTCAGGGGACACTAAAGAGAATCTGTACTCTTTATACATGTCCCTGTCTGCAGCCTTTCTAGAGATCATAAAGTTCTTTCTAGTCTGATGAAAAGTAATATTAGGATTTTTATCAAACAGAAGGGATAAGAACTACAACTAGAATAATATGATCCACTTTTTCATAATATAGAGAGCTTATATAATGGAAGAGAACAAGTGTTCCACTCCATTCAACCATTCAGTAACTATTGCCAGTAATGTGAATTATCATTTTCACAGATGCATCTATACTTTTAACAAACATCATAAATAGTGCAGGAATCTGTAGCATGTATTAAAAAGAGCATATGATCAAAAAACTAGGAAAGGAAAAAGAACTTAAGACTACATTATTTCAGACAAGATCTCCTAAAGTATTACCTAAAGGAACTGTAATACTACCCTAGAGCATGAGGATATGGAGCAATCTGGCAACCTCTCTTAACATACCACAAGTCAGCTACTTGCCAAAAATGGGAAGCTAGTTTCAAGCTGTGCATATCTGTGTGGCCCCTGAGACCCCTGATGTTTCAGGGCTTTGGACTACAAGCTGAGGATGTGCCTCAACCAAATGGATGATAAAAACTAGTAGTGATTTGTATAGCCACTGAGTAGGCATGAATTTCTAATGTATCTAATACAGAACCAAATAGAATAAAATAGAATAATCTATGTAAAGCAGGCAGCACAGTGACAAGCACATAGTAAATGCTTTAAAAATGCCATCACTACAGTTTCTAAAAATATAAAAGGATAATAATAGAACAATATGAGCAATGTCATACAATAAACTCAACAGTTGAAGTGAAATGCACAAATTCCATGCAAAACACAACTAACCAAAATTGAGACAACAAAAAACAGAAAGTCAAAATTAAAAATAGATCCATAACTATTGCACAAGTTGAATTCATAATAAAAAACATTTTCACAAAGCAAACTGCAAGCCCAGATGGCTTCGCTGGTAAATTCTATTAAACTAAAGGAAGGAATAATACCGATCTTACACAAACTCTTGTAGAAGATAGAGGAAGAATGAGCCAATCTCAACTCATTTTATAAAGCCAGTATAATCTTGATATTGAAACCTGACAAATAAACTAAAGGAAAATAAAATTATAGACCAATATCCATAGACTCAAATATCTGTATTAAATAAATTCAGCAATATATAAAAGGTGTAAAGCATCATGATCAAATACAGTTTATCCCAGGAATATGAAGGTAATTTGATATGGTTTGGCTGTGTCCCCACCCAAATCTCATCTTGAATTGTTAACTCCCACACTTCCCACGTGTTGTGGGAGGAACCCAGTGGGAGGTGATTGGATTATGGGGGCGGGTCTTTCCTGCGCTGTTCTTGTGATAGTGAATGAGATCTGATGGTTTTAAAAACAGGAGTTGCCTTGCACAAGCTCTCTTTTTGCCTGCTGCCATCCATGTAAGATGTGATTGCTCCTCCTTGCCTTCCACCATGATTGCAAGGCCTCCCCAGCCACATGGAACTGTGAGTCCAATTAAACCTCTTTCTTTGGAAATTGCCCAGTCTGATGTATGTCTTTATTAGCAGTGTGAAAATGGACTAATACATGGTTTAACATTTGAAAATCAATTAATGTAATTCACCAATCAACTGAATAAAAGAGAAAAGACATATGAGTATCTCAAAAGGGTACAGAAAGTGTACACAGGAAAATCTGAAATCCATCCGTGATGAGAACTGTAAGCAAAACAAGGGTGAGACTATCCTCAATCTGACAAAGAACATCTATAAAAAAACCTATAGCTAAAATCAGACTTTATGTTAAAAAATTCTTTCTCTATATACTCTTCATACTTTCTATATACTCTATTCCATATACTCACAAGAAGCAATTAGAAAGTTAAAAAATAGTATTCACAATAGCACCAAAAAGCAACAATAGGAGTACATTTAGAAAAGATATGTAAGATCTGTACACTAAAAATATTTTGTAAAATATTTCTGAGAAAAATTCATGATACTTCAGAAAATAAAGAGACATACTAATCATAGACTTGTTGACTCAATACTGTTAAGATGTTAAACTTCACCAAATTGATCTGTAGATTCAACACAACTCAAAACAAAAATCCAAAAAGGTTTCTTTGAAGAAACTGATAAGCTGATTCTTAACATTATTTAAAAATACAAAGGATGTAGATTAGCAAAAACAATCAGGAAAGAAAATAACTCAAGGACACGATTTCATTTTAGGACTTGCTTTAAATTTATAGTAATAAAGACAATGGCATTAGAATATACGACAAATAAGTGAAAGAGAACGGAGTCCTGATATAGTCCCACAGGTAAGGCCAATTAATTTTTGACCAAGGCAGGAAGTCAGTTCAATGAGGGGAAAAAAGCCATTCTAACAAATGGTGTGAGAAAAGCAGGATATTTTTAAGAGGAAGGGGGGAGAAAAGAAAAGAAAAGAAAGGAAAAAAATGAAACCATGGCCTCTACCTCACTTCATATACAGTTTTTTTAAAGATTCAAGATGAATTGTAAATCTAAATGTAAAACTTGAAACCATAAAGTTCCTAGGGAGAAGAAAAGGAGAATATTTCTGTAACCCTGAATTAGGCAAAAATTTCATGGAAAGGATGTTAAAAGCAACGACTAATTTAAAAAAAAAATTGATAAACTGGACACTTGAACAAAATACATCATTAAGAAAATAAAGAAGCCAAAGTCTAGAAAAAAATATATTCACACACATATATTTTAAAACGAACTCATATGTAAAATACATGAAGAACTAGAAACCAACAGTTAAAAGATTACAATAGACAAAATACTTGAACAATACTTTTTAAAAAGACATACAAATGATCAATAAATACATAAAAAAGTGTTCCACATCAGGGAACTCGAAATTAAAATCACCATGAGACACCATTTTAGGCCCACAGGAATGGCTAAAAATCCAAAAGACTGATAACACCAAATGTTGATAACAATGTGGAACAAAACGAACTCTCACATGCTGCTGGAAGGAGTATAAAATGATAAATCACGGCCAGGCATGGTGGCTCACGCCTGTAATCCCAGCACTTTGGGAGGCCAAGGCGGGCGGATCACGAGGTCAGGAGTTGGAGAACAGTCTGGCCAACATAGTGAAACCCTGTCTCTATAAAAACACAAAAAATAAGCCGGGTGTGGTGGTGTGTGCCTGTAATCCCAGCTACTCAGGAAGCTGAGGCAGGAGAATCGCGTGAACATGGGAGACGGAGGTTGCAGTGAGCCGAGATCACGCCATTGCACCCCAGCCCAGGCAACAATGCAAGACTCCATCTCAAAAAAATAAAAAATAAAAATAAATAAATAAATAAAGATAAATCACTTTGGATAATTGTTTGACAGTTTCTTTAAAAAATGACATACATCTATCCTATCACCCAGCAATTTCTTTCCTAGATATTCACTCAACAGTGAAAACAGAACTAAAAAAGTATATGTACAAAAATGTTCATGACAGCCTTACCCATAACAGCTCAAAACTGGAAACAACTGAAATATCCATCAATTGGAGAATGAATAAACACATTTTGGTCAATCAGTAGAATGTAAACTACTAGCAATAAAAATGAAATTTCTACTGATGTATGTGACAATATTATTTTAAAAATTATATTGAACGTAAATGAGGCCAGACATGTCCCCTACTCACACACACATGGAAGTAGCAGGGAAGAAAGGTAAGAAAGAGAAAGAGAGAATAGAATGAATATTATTTAGTTTATATGAAGTTTTAGTACAGATAAAAAGAGTCTATGGTGGTATAAGTCTCAGCTGGAGATGGAGAAATTGACTAGCAAGCAACCCAAGAGAACTTTCTGGTGTGAAGGAAATATCCTCTGTCTTGTTTCAGATTGTGTTACTACAGATGTGCATCATTTTGAAAGCTAACTTATCTGAACATATATCATATCTGTGTATTATATTGTATTTAACTATACTCCATTAAAAATAAAAATATATGAATACATAAATAAGAAGTAGCAAAATGTCCATCTCAAAAGTGAGCATCTCCTATATGAATCCACTTCTAAAAAATTCTTTTGATGGTCAGAATCTTTCAAATACTTAATTTTATGAAATATGAGGACATCTTCCCATTTGCAAATAGAAAATGAATCTGTGGCAGGGCACGGTGGCTCATGTCTGTAATTCCAGCACTTGGGGAGGCCAAGGCAGGTGGATGACCTGAGGTCAGGAGTTCGAGACCAGCCTGGCCGACATGGTGAAAACCCATCTCCAGTAAAAATACAAAATCAGTTGGTCATGGTGGCAGGCGCCTCTCCAGCAACTTGGAAGGCTGAGGCAGGAGAATCGCTTGAATCTGGGAGGCGGAGGTTGCAGTGAGCCGAGATTGCGCCATTGCACTCCAGCCTGGCCAACAAGAGTGAAACTCTGTCTAAAAAAAAAAAAAAAAAAAAAAGAAAGAAAAAAAGAAAAAAAATGAATCTGTGAGCTTATATTTTAAAGGTGAATGGGACTGAAGATCATCATCTACAGTACATCATGTAAGGTAAATCAATGTCAACTTAGATGACCCAGTGAGAGCAATTTTTATGGTGGTGTTGCTCTTGTTAATGTTCGTAATCTCCATGAAATTTTCTTGAGAGCAATGCTTTTAAAGAAGCCACATATATCACATATAAGCACGTACACACAAACATACACATACACACACACACATTGTCAGTGATAAATCACTAGTTACTAAGAATAAGGACACATGGAGTACAAAATGATGAGCATATAAAGACAGGTATTACGGCTAGACTATACCTCTAAATCGTAACTCTTGAATTAGCCAGGCATGCTAAAAATCACTCTATTTAGAAAGGCACAGCTTCAATGAACCAAAGAAGCAGTTTGGCCCTTTGCTGACTGTAGTGCTAAGTGAGACCCCAGAGCCAAATTTCAAAAAATGCCATCAACTGATCACAAGTATTGTTAACATATAATGAGAATGTCTGTTTCTGCACTTTATGCCCAAATTGGTATTTGAGTATATCTTTACCTCTCCAAAACGAGAGAGGAGTCACTCAAGGGTGTTATTCCTATTAAAACCTTGTAGTCATAAACTTAACTTCCCAGACAAATCTTTAAGGAATATTTGGCTCATAGTTATGTCAAGTCTATGGTGGATTTGTAATGAAGTATCCTTTCTCTATTTGCTATTTTTTCAATCTTTAATGTTTTCTGATGAAATTTCAGGCTCTTGTCAAATTGAGGTCATTACTTTGTCTACTGGCATGGATATGCAGGCAAATTGGCCAGTGTGCAACCCTGGATGACTCAACTTATTGCCAAATGGCAGTTAGCTAACTTCCATTTGCAAGAAGAGGAGACAGCCTATTGTCAGGACCAACTTGGTGGGGAAAGGATATATAGTCTGTGTCTAATGCACATATCTAAGCAAAATGTGATGCATATATTTTTCCACATTCGTAGATGCTCTTTCTTGTTTTTTTCCAATTTATATTGTTGACATAAGTGTCTCATCGTCCAAATGCTTAAATTGTGTATAATAATTCCAAACAGCATTCGACCATTCAGATTTGGGCATTGGGCATCACAGATATGTTAAATCTAGTTACAGAGGCAGAGCTAGAGCATGGTTTCCATGCCTTGAGGGGAGAGACATTTTTCAGTAACCTTTGCCAAAACCGCTATATACTGTTTTTCTCAACAGAGCTCAGAGACTCATTGTAATTGTGTAGAAGTCAACAGAAATCATATTAAACTATAACACTTTCAAATTTTTTCAAGTATATTTGCAATCCAGTGTAAATAGGGCCAATGGTCACAATGTATATATTTTTGGAACACTAATATTTGTTTTACTCTAGGCAAGTGTTTTCACAGGTAGTAACTGGTATGAAAAAGATCTGCTTTCACTCTAGAAGATTATTTATTCATAAACTTCGAAATACAAATCATAAGACTCCCAGAATTCTAATTTACTAAATGCTGAATATATTATGAAGCAGTTCTTAAAATTTAAAATTTGAAAATGGAAATGTATTGAAAAAGTTTCAGAAAAAAATGATGTATTTCCCATATCCAGCACAAACTGAACTAGAGAAACATATTATGATTGCCAAAAAACGGGCTATCACTCTAAAGGCTGTAGGCAAACAAAATACTAACAAGTTTAATTATTCACAATGGCACATTTATGGAGAGTATAATGTCACAATCAATGATTACAAGCCCACACAAATAGCACTGTAATAATCCTACAAGGCGTGTTCAGAAGTGAAATAATTTAGAATTTGAAATCAATAGCATTTATAGACATTGGAAAATGTCAAATGGAAAACGAATGCCAGTATTTGTATTCTTTCTGGAGCATTTTTACTTCTCAGCTTTTAATTATTCTTTAAAAGATTTTTTAGTATCTGAAAGCAAAAGCAAACATTTCCCTTTCATGTCTCAACTAACTCTTTCAATAAACTTAGATATGTGAGGGTATTGTTTTATGTATGGAAAAATGAGAAGTCTTTGTGAGAGCTAAGGTTTTGCTAAGTGTTTCCCTTTAATTTCCCTTCTCGTGGCATCGTTCCCTTGTGCCATTCTCATCCTCCATCTCACAATGTTTTTGTTCCATTCATTTCCCATCACTATTAGCATTTAAATTCCGGTTTTGGCACAAAAACTTTCCAACACAAGGTATTACTTTGACAAATTCTTAAAATACTCCTTGTAATTAGAGACAGGGTAAATTGGATGAGAAGTATATAGGGATTCTCTCCACTATCTTTTCAACTTTTCTGTAAGTCTAAAATCATTAAAAAATAAACCTTTATTTTTAAAAGTTTCCCCTATATAACACTTGGATTCTTCTTGCTCTTATAAAAATATCAGTTTACCTATATTATTTGGGAAAAACAAGGACACAAACTTGTGAATATTGAAAATAATTCTTAAAAATATAACATTCATAGCTATTTTAATTAATTGCCATTTCCTAGCAAGGAATAATAGCAATAACAATAACTATCCTTTGTTGAATGAACTAAATATGCACACAGAACTCTATTAAGGCTTTTATTAATATTACTTAAGTTACTTTATCTAAATCTCACAGAATCTCCAGGAGCTATCACTTTTTATGCTAAAAATTGTTAAATATCTTGTCTTTATAAGAGTAACTGGAAGGTCTCAGATTCTACCCAAATATGTTGACTCCCAAACTAGGGCCGTTTTTCACAAACATTTTGCCTTCCTTCAATAAGTTGATATTTGTATGTACCTATTGGCTCTAGGCATTGCACTGTACATATACTTTTTATATATATACTTATTTGTATGAATGCTCAAAAATAACCCTGCAACAAGTTGCTATTAATTCTAAAAACGAAAGGAAAAATCCTGACATTTTCTAGTAAAAGCTGTTCTAGTTACGAAAGCATTTAACTGTCAACTCTGGTCTTTGCTGACACTTTTTTAGATTTCTGAAAAAAAAACTGTATTTAACCATTTGTCCATTAATGGAGTGATGTCCAATCACCTTATGTACCATCAAATTACCTATCAACAGAAAGAGAAAGAGAAGAAAATTTAATTTCAGGTTACTCCAGAAACTATGGCAACCAGGCTGTTTGGCAGCCAAAGGGTGTAAAATCCAGATTAGATAGATGGATGTATTTACATATTCACTTTTACATTAAACAGAGTGGATGACACATCCCTGTATAAAACCTATTATTTAAAAACTTCAAGTGAAAACTGTTAAAATAAATGGCTCATGACTTATGAAGTGTTAAAATAAACGTTTATTTCAACACTATACATGTCATAAGCCATTTATTTCAACACTCCCTACTTCAGAAGACTTACCCAAAACAAGAAGAAAAGATCTCACTTGCTAAGTGTATGTCAAGAGGCCAAGACGCAGAAGATAAAACCGAAGTTTTGATGCTAGAGCTTTGGTATGTGGAAGTTCAGATCAGAAGGTGGAAGAGGAGGTTTGATGCTTAACACCTGGTAAAAGCTCTGTGGTTGTGGTAAACTGTTCATCATCACCACCTACATTGGCTTCATTTAGACATCACGTTTATCTTAAGTCATTCTGAGAGTTTAGGGCATGCCTGAGTATCAAATTATGAATGAAATGCACTGTTTGAGGTGTTTCTGCAAAGATAATATATGTTTTATTTTATGTCCCCACTTATTAGAGAAGGCTCATGTAATCAAAGTCTTCAGGGAGCAAAGCTTCAGGGACAAAGGCCCAGTTTCATAAGCATAAGTGCATACACTTATACAGCACTTCCTATATGACAAGCTCTAGTGTAAGTGTTATACAAATATTAAGTAATTTAATCTTCACAGTGTTTAGGAGGGTGATATGGTTTAGCTGTGTTCCCACCCAAATTTCATCTTGTATTCCCACATGTTGTGGGAGGGACCCAGTGGGAGGTAATTAAATCATGTGGGCAGGTCTTTCCCTGCTATTCTCATGATAGTAAGTCTCATGAGATCTGATGGTTTTATAAAGAGGAGTTCCCCTGCACAAGTTCTCTCTCTTTGCCTGCTGCCATTCATGTAAGTTGTGACTTGCTCCTCTTTGCCTTCTGTCATGATTGTGAGGCTTCCCCAGCCATGTGGAACTGTAAGTCCATTAAACCTCCTTCTTTTGTAAATTGTCCAATCTTGGGTATGTCTTTATCAGCAATATGAAAACAGACTAATACAGAGGGGTAGGTATTTTTATTTTTGCCGTTTTTTTTTTTCAGATGGGAAAACAAATCTAGAGTGGCTGAGTAATCTAACCAGGGGAAACTGGTAAGTGGTGGCACCAGGATTTTACCCCAAGCAGTTAGCGCCAGAGTCCACGTTCCTTATCCCTATGCTAGGTTGCTGACTTTCAGCAGCAGAACAGCAGACTATCTCATGCTCTAGAAGTCATGTGGGCTTGAGAAGTCAAGTTCATCATTTCATTTTCGGGCAGGGCTAGCCCAAATGGGTGACAATTTCTCTCCTTTATAAACAAGATCTCCTAGATGAAAAGAATTAATGCTATTTCTATAAGAAATTAGTATTGACTGATGACTGATGATAGTTGATTATGACAGCTTTCAGTTTTGCCTATTTTAAGACTTTATGTTCCTACCAAAAGTTGAAGGCCTATGGTTGAAGTGGGAACGTCTGACAGTGACTGAATTATTTCCCTCCAGGATGTCTTTTATTGCCCGCTAATAAAAGCGCTAGTAAAACATTTCCATTGTTAAGCATACCCAATAATAGCAGTCTTTATATTCTGAAACAATGCTGTATAGCTCCCAAGCTTCTCTCTCCCTCCCTTCCTCATCCTTCCTTCTCTCTTTCTTTTATATTTCCCTCTTGATATGGTTTGGCTGTGTCCCCCCTCAAATTTCATCTTGAATTGTAGCTTCCACAATTCCCATGTGTTGTGGGAGGGACCCGGTGGGAGGTAACTGAATCATGGGGGTGTGTCTTTCTCATGCTCTTCTCATGATAATGAATAAGTCTCATGAGATCTGATGGTTTCATAAGGAGGAGTTTCCCTGCATAAGCTCTCTCTTTGCCTGCTGTTATCCACGTTAAGATGTGACTTGCTCCTCCTTGCCTTCCACCATGATTGTGAGGCCTCCCCAGCCATGTGGAACTGTGAGTCCATTAAACCTCTTTCCTGTATAAATTATCCAGTCTCAGGTATATCTTTATTAGCAGTGTGAGAACAGACTAATACACTTCCTCTTATTTCTCTAACATCTCTTCTTTCCTTTATCTCCCATCTTTACCTTACCTCTCCCCTCTCCTCAGACACCTTAGCACTAAGAACAAAATTAAGTGTGGATTGCTTAAAGTCCCTCAGTCTTTATAATTTTATAAATCTGTCAATAGTTGGAACATATGATGTAAAATCATGTAGTCTATCTGTAATACATATCCTTGTCCACAAACCAGACTTTAAAATATCTACACCCTTCCTCTGCCCACCCACCTTCCCACTTCACACTACGCAATGATTACCAACAAGTTCCTTTGGAAATCACAAAGCCAAAAATTGGTAAAAAGAAATCAGAAGACTCAGTGCACTGTGACATACAAAAAACAATGTGCTTTTAACATACCACAATGGAAAGAAAAATTCTGAGTTTTTTTGATTAGAACATTTGGCATTTGAAAGAAGAAAACTAAATTATTATAAAATTATGGAATGTACTCAACAAAAAAGTGACATAATTAAAAAAATAATAGGTTGGATAATATGAAAATATACTATATACTCACCTATTTATAAAATCTCTATATTTGATATCTTGTTATTAGAATCCAAACTACTCCAACTAGTAAAACATTCAGATGTATTTATACTACATAAATGAGACCTATATTTTTATAAGTGACACCTGAAATGTATTTTCTGAGAGCATATTTTGATATTTACTACTGGTACTAAAGTAAAAGTACATATACATACGTATATATATATATATATAGAGAGAGAGAAAGAGAGAGAGAGCACGTGAGTTATGTAAATATACATATACCATATCTCTATATAGTGTGCATATGTATATGTGTGTGTATATATGTATACGTATATATATATTTGTGTATGTATATGTGTATATATATGGTACAAGTATATCTTCCCAGCTATTTTTTCAATTTAAAAAAAGTTTCATACCATCAATTTGAAAAAATTCTAAATTTAAAATTAATTTTTATACAAATTTAAACTAGACATTAAAAACCAAATATTTTCATTCATTAAATAAGTAGACATTTATTGAATGCCAGCTATGAAGCAGCTATTATGTTTGGAGCTGGTGACATAAATAGGAGTTAGACATTATCCCTGTCTTTAAGAAATGTACACTCTAGCTAAATGAATATATAAATAACTTATTATAATGTATGTTAATGACTCCAGTAAACCTTAGAAAATGATCATGACAAATCAGAGAAAAGTGTATTGTACTTTGTCTAGTTGGGTCATCTTTACTTGAAGATGAAATATGAACTATGTCTTAAAGGATAACTAGCATTTTGAATGCAGAGAAGGAATGGAGGGAATCACAGATAACGGCATGAGCAAAAGGATACAGATCTGGCTGGAATGTTAGGTGTGTCGTAGGGCCTAGAGTAAAGATGGATTAGGAGGGAGAGGAAGGAGACAAGGCTAGATGGAGAGTGGGGCAGATATTTCTGGGACACACACTACAGCCTCCTTGACCACCTCTAATTCAACAGCAGCTCTTCTAGTCAGTTCCATGTCAGCTCTGACTGACCCCAAGAAAACAGAGCCCCACTTCATGCTTTGCTAAACTTCTTTGTACCCCCTGTCCCAGGGCCTCTCCTGCCACCACAAGAGCCTACTAAGCCTGTGCTTCCAAGCCACAAAAGTACAGGCAAGTGAATAAATACTTTCAGGGACAGCCCTTAGGCTGCTCCCGCCTTCCATCCTTCAGGGGGACAATTCTATAAGGCTTCTGCACACTTTCTAGGAGTTCATAATTGTGATCTAAAAGTGATACCTGCTTAAGTTGACTTTTGCTCCTTCTTTGTCTCATATTTCCTCCTCCCTGATGTCTATTTCCCAAGATCAACTCCCAAATAGGCCACTTTCATCCAAGTCCTTGTCTTCAGGCTTTGCTTTTGTAAGAACTCAAACTAAGGCAGAGATGCAATGAGGCCTGTTTGTGAAGGGTCCTATACTCTGCATTCAGCATTCTGGACAGTTTCTTACAGAAGTGAGAGGGCCTCTGAGAATTTTGAGCAAGGTAGTTACCAGATAAGATTGTATTTTGGACTTTGTATATGATGGTGGTGTTGCATAAGGACCAGAAGGACAAGAAAGTGAAAGTGATTAGCAGATGGTCATTTAAGAATTGTCTATAAACACAAGGGCTTGGACTAAGTCAAGCCTATATAAGATAGAAAATGACATAAAAGATTTCATTCACATTCGGAGATGGACTATATAAAACCTTGTGACTAATTAGAAATGCAGAGTAAAAGGGTCAACAGTGTCAAGAGGACTCAGGTTAATGCCATTTACTGTGATAATTTTTAAAGTATTTAGAGGATAACAAATTTGAGTTTGGGTAAATACCTGAGGCTAACTGGATGGAAAACAGCTGAGCTACTTAAAAACATGAAATATAACCTATTACTTATGTTTTGGTTTGCCATGCATGGTATCTCCAGTACTGTAAAACTGGGATTCTATAAATGCCTTATTTATAAATAGGATCCTAGAGCTCAAAGAGATTGTGACAATGCTGACTACTAGAAAGAGTTTGCTAAAATGTTATTCAATTGAAAACTGTGTATGAACTTTAGGATCATAAAAAGCTTGGTATACATTCTCCTTTCCTCTCTTAACAGCAACCACAAACTGGAATTTACCGATTAAAAATATTATTATTTTTGAGTCAGAGTCTTGCTCTTTCACCCAGGCTGGAGTACAGTGGTGTGATCAATAGCTCATTGCAGACTCGAACCCCTCCTCAAGTGCCCCTCCTGCCTCAGCCTCCTAAGTAGCTGGTACCACAGGCAGAAATTGAAAGACCAGTGGCCAAGGATCAAAGTATTCAATCAAGGTTGGGCAGTGACTTAGGATTAGCAGATGAGATCAGGTGGCATAATGGGAGGCAAAGTCAGTGTATAAGGTCAAGATGGTATAATGGAGGCAAGAACTTCAAAGACTGGTGAGTGAAAACTGTACAATAATGATTTGGAAGAAGCAGTGAAATAATAAAACAATTATAGTAACATCACAAATTTTGATTACATACAACAAGAATTTCATTTCTTGCTTTCAATTTTCATCCTTCTTCTATATCTGTACAAGTCAGACTAGCCAGACTGAAATTGGAAGATGATATGGGCAATGGTTGACATAGATAGATATGTACACATCTCTTTACATATATACATAAAGTTACCTTTCACCACTGTCATTCTTGGCAGATAAAACACTATAATCACTTTATAGTTGAATGGCATATAATGCAATGAAAGGTCTTCACAAGAAAAAAAATTATGTTTTCACCTTTTTACTTTCTTTAGCAGTGATTAGTTCCAGAAATATAAGGTATCATCACTTCTCAAAAAGCGCTGTAGGTTATAAGATTGCTCTTCTGAAGTTGGCAACATGTAATAAATGTGCTTTATTCCTAAACATCAATCAGTTTCAAGAATGGCACTTGCTTGTAAAATGGTAATAATAGAAATAGTCAGCTAATAAGTACTATAGGCATTAAAACACTGGATGACAGGTGTGAAGACTTCTTGTTATAAAAGAATACTCTCTTATATAATTATGGTTTTATAACTAGTTACATCAGTTTCTAAATATTTAGTTTTTAAGATTTCTGTATCTTTTTTGGTAATGAAACTTATATGATAGTATTCTGTACTATCATATTTATAACAAATAAAATATAGAGATATAGCCAAAAAAGACAATGAAAGTATTCTGGAGAGGTGTGATGGCTGTAGGTCATTTAATCTGAAGAGTAACAAATTTAAATAATTATTAAAAGTGTTGCTTGAGAAGATATTAATTTGTTGTATAAGTATACAATTGAAAAATATTTGTGTAAGTCTTAAAATTACCATAAAATTAGAATGTTTCAGTAATTTATGAAATAGTTGCATGGATAAACTTTATTGAATGTGTGGTTTAGTAGAAACAAACAAAAAACACTCAAATACAAAACAAAAGGACACATGGTGATTTTCATTTTCCAAAGCAAAACTTCACTCTGTGTCAAATAAACAGAAAAATCAGGTTCCTAACCTAAATGGAGTTATATTTTGCTGGAGAGAGGATCTGCAGACTGAACATAACTATATAATGTACGAAATCTAAATGCCAGGGGAATGTAGCAGACAGTCCAGAGGGAGTTCAGAGAGCAGGCAAGTTCCAGAAAGTACATGGAGGCAGTAAGCATTTTAAGTACAAAATCAGATAAATGGACCACAGGCATATCAAACTTCAGAAATGTTTTCAAAGAAGGCATGCAAGTGAGAACACATATTTTGTTTTCACAGAATGAAGAGATAATCGTTCACCATAAGTAAACAGTTTGTAAATGATCACTGAATTGTAGATAGGGGTGTAAATAGTTGCTGGATTGTGAAGACTTAGTCTAGAATTGTGAAGACGTATGACAAACACATGACAAACAAGTCACTGGCAAAATGTCTGGAGTTCTCTTTCCATGTAGCTTTTCGAAGTAGATTCAGAAAAGGCTTTTAATATAAATTTGAAAGGAAAGAAAGGGAAGGGGAGCTAATGGATGCCTCTATGCGCTGGGCACTGTGATGGACACCTTTAACTTTAGAATACATTATTTTTATGACAGCTACTTTATTGTAAATATATGTATCTGCAATCACATCTATCCAAAATTAATGTAGAGATCCAACTGCACAAATATGAGAAAATTAAGTATCAAGTGACACTTGCTAGTGTGGATGAAGTTATGATGACTTTCTTTGAGAAAATGATAAAAGACTATGCATCTTTTTTTTTTTTTTTTTTTTTTTAAAAAAGAACGATTTGTGTCTCTCTCCTAACTTGCCAAGCAGGAAAATTCAAAGGGAAATTGTGCCAAATGACTATTTTATTTAAAGAAAATAGTTTGAGATGGCAGTTCCAAAATTACTTCTGAAGGTAGCAAAGGGTATGAATTTAGTTAAGAGATAAAACTGTGTTTTTAGAATTGAGAACTTAGGCTAGGCAGGCATTTGGCATACATTAGCTAATTTATTCCTCATAATAGCTCTATGAAGTCTGATTTTTGGCATTATCTTCAGTTCACAGTGAAGTTACTGAGGTCATCAGCTGGTGAGTGTGTTTCTGACATTAAAACTCCGTAAGTTTTTTTCATCATTCATGTGACTTCTACCTGATAATTCCTTAAACACTAAACTATTTGCTGTTTCTTGAAAATATCATAATTATTCACACCTCTGTGTGATTTCTCCTGCTATTCCTACTGCCTGAATTTTTTTTTGTTTTTGTCTTCTTCTCTTTGTTTGTTAAGGCTAATACCAAATATTACATCCTTTGGGGAGCACTCCTAGACCATCCTCAATCACCAGATTCCTTTCTTTTTGTTCTCTCTAGCATGAGTGGGAACAACATCTTGAATAATAGCAATACCCACCTGCCTCATCTTTTAATGTGTGAGCTCCGTAAGGGCAGGAGAAATGTCTAGTTACTACTTTGACTGTAGGTATATCCATTGGAAAGAAAATAAAGGTAATCTTTACGCACACTGGGCATGACCAGATAAGCTCCTTAAGTTCTTTGAGTCTTGGTTTCCTCATATATGAAATGAGGCCAATGGAAGTATCTATCTCATGTGAGTTAGATGAGCGATTGCATGTAAAATGCTCCACATAGGGTTGAACACATTGTAAGCCCTTAATAAATGTCAGTTCTTACCAACATCATCACCTTTATCATTATTATTCCTAGTAATTAACAATTCGTTCTTCAACTTCCTGGACAATAAAAATGGGTTACATTTTCCACTAAAACTTGAAGACAATTAATTTTAACTTTTTAAAATTCTAAAGTTTTGAGAGTAGTAATGAAAAATAATCTTTATTTCTTTTATGATCTATATTTTGTCTTAACTTCTGAACGAAGCCTCTACAGAATTAGCAGTTTGGGATATATTTTCTTTTACCAGAAGCTATATAAAGAACAATATAATTCTTCTTATTTCTTTTTCTTTTTTTAGGAGGTGAAAATTATAAGACATTTTCTGATAGAGAAGATAATATCAGACTTAGGTCTACAGCAGGTTCATTCTGGATCCATGCTGGGAGAGAAAACAATGAATGTTACACTTCATTTATAATTTCCACTGTGAACATGATAAGGGCTAGTATATTCTCAAATCAAATTAATCCACAATTCTAGCATTTAAGATACAGTGCAAATCCCTAATTCAAGTATAAAGTATCACCTACAAAGCCAAAATAAATGGGGTAAGATAACAGTTCTCAGTGTTGGGTTATAGTGTCAATGCAAGACTTGAGCTGTGTTAATTCAACAAGCTTGATCTTGATTGCCAAAGCATGCTTGTCAATATTTAGCTCCCAGAGGGCATGTCAGGGGCCTTTACAGAAACTAGCTTAAATACAAAATACTATAGCAGGATTTGTGATCCTTTTCCTAATACTCAGATTAAACTGCTGATTTTCTTTCTTTTAGCTTTTTAAACCAAGAACGTGTTTTCCATACTCCTATGGTAACAAGAAGAGAAGAAATTGCATAGAAGAATTGTAAATGCTATTATTAGAGTTCCTTGAAACCCAGATAAAATTCTGTCACATGAAATCACTATAAAGCTTTTATCTGAGGTCTGAAATACCATTTCCCCACTATGATTACAATATAGAAAAAGGCTTGGAAAAAAATGTTAATCTTTATTCAAAAACAAATGTAATACAGATGAGATGATGGGTAATGATTCCCACAAACTTAAAAACAAATAGTTTACAATTTTAATAACTCTGCACTTAGAATCTTCTGCTACAAGGATGCTGTGAGGTTTTGAAGCTTATATAGCCATTATTATTTATTATTTAAGGGTTGAACCATTAAAACAATTACACTTAAGAAAATATAGTGGGAATCAGTAGTACACTGATGAAAACCTATACCCTCTATGGTGATTAAGTATAATACATGATATGAAAAATAGCATTTTTCCAAATTAATACATTTGTTTGCCTTCTAACTTTTATTCCTCATTAGATATCAATTAATTGGACATCTACATTCTCCTTTTCACTGAACCTGACAAAACATTCTATGAGATTGGGTATGGTGAGATTCTGACCAAAATATTTCCAAAACAAACAAAATAAACCCTACCACCACAACAAAAACATGTTAAACACATACTTCAGATAATTGAAAAATTACCCCCTTCATTTGATGATCAAAATTTTAATATATGTCAAGTACTTATAACATGGCTGAAAATAGCCCTTGATATTATCTTTTTTCTTTTATCTATTTTTTTCTAAAATAATGACTAAAGATAAAATCAGATCAATGCTGCAACAATGAGAATCAGGCTGAAATGGAAGAGCCAGATCATGATCTAGATTCTTTTGGTTACCTACAGATAGCTATGACTGCCAATTCTGAATCTTAATAGCAAAATTCTGTTTTTTTTTTTTTTTTTTTTTTTTTTTTTTTGGACAAAGTCTTACTCTGTTGCCCAGGCTGAAGTGCAGAACTCATTGCAGCCTCAAATTCTTGGGCTCAAGCGATCTTCCTGCCTCACCCTCTCAAATAGCTGGGATTATAGGCACACGCCACCATGCCTGGCTAGTATTTTTTTGTTTTATGTTTTTTGTTTCTAATTTTTAGTAGAGATGAGGTCTTGCCATGTTGCCCAGGCTGGTCTTGAACTCCTGAGCTCAAGCAATCCTCCCTGCTTGGTCTCCCAAAGTGTTGGAATTACAGGTGTGAGCCAACCCTTCTCTTCCCACTTTATACATTTCTGAATTGAAAATTCCAGTGATTTGTCGAAACAATACCGTTTCCATTAATCATATTTGTTTTACTAAGCTAAGACAAATGCATAAGCCACATCCCTAAATCCTATTTTAACTTTTACACAGTAATAAATTTTTCCATCATTGTCCCTAACTTAAGCTTCCTAAATGTCAGCTGATCTTCACAATTACCATATTTTATAGATAATAAATTGTGCTCAGATGGATCAAAACAGCACAATTCAACACCACAAGGCAAAGCTAATTTATATTTAAATTGGGACTCGAACCTGGGTCTGCTGACTACAACCTTTTTGCTGTCTTTATCCACACATCAGATATTTCTTGATCAAGGCAAAGCTTAAATATAAAACCACTATGACTTCGAGACCTGAAAGTGTTTTTGTTTTCAGAGAAATGTTATTCCTCAGCATGTGTCAAAGATATGGTTATGAGAAAGACAAAACTTTATAGTTTTCAGTTATATTTTGCCTTGTCCCTTCAATTTTACCCCAATAGATAGTAATAGCAAGACTGTCCCGTTCATCCGTGGACAGTGCCATTATTAGATACTGGGAATCCTCGTTATAAATTACATCATACCACTTTCACCTTGTTTATCAGACTCCTGCCTCACTGATACTTGTTGTTTCTTAAATTCCCAAGCTCATGGTAGTAGGTCCTTTGCATGACCTTTTCCCTCTTCTTGGTGTTCTAAATCCATATTATTGCATGATTGGCACTGTTCATACAAGTCTTAGCCCAAATGTCATTTCTCAAAGACATCTTCTCTGACCCCTAATCTAAAGTCCCATCTCTTTTTCTATCACAATTATACCACCTAGTTTTGCTATTTTCATAACAGTTAGAGGTATTTGAGATTATTCTTATGTATTTTTTATTCTCTCCTCCCCACAGCAATCCCTGCTTCCTGTCTGCTCAATGCTCTACGCTCAGAATTTAGAACAGCACCTGGCATATGGTAGGCTCTTTTACAAATATATGTTTAATGGATAAATAATTGAATCAGAGCATTTTAACATCTAGATGTAATATATCCTACAAGAATTGTTTTAAGAATAACATTTGTCTTTATCAGTCCCACCTGTGGGAGTTTGAATGTGGTAGAATTTGTGTCATTGTGATGTACAAAAAATCTTATTATCTGTTTTTTATTATGTAGTGTATAGTTTTTATATCACTACTGTTTGAGATAAATGTGACCTTTTAATCTTCTTATTAAACTTTTAAATACAATTTTTTCTTTAATCATTCCAGGTCTCTGACTAACATGCTCAATTTCAAACATGTACTCTATCTACTCATAAGTTAGAAAATTTTGATACTCTCTACTTAGATGACTAAGTTTCTAAGAAAACCCCATCACTCTATTTTGGTCTAAATTTGATTCCTTTACTCAGAAGTTTACAAATTAAACTTTCTATATGAGATGCATTCTACAGCATTTTAATTGGTAAATACATTGTGCTTTAAGTAAAGGTAAAAATTACTTTTAAAGTCACATGAATTTAGACAAATAGTACTACACAATAAAGTTACTGCTGATCACCAGGTTTTTTAGCTAATAGGGACATCTAGAAATAAATAAACTTAATCTAAGTTTCACAATAATTAGCTCATAATATTTTTAGTAGAATATGAATTTCAGGGATATCCTGTGTTATAAAATCTGTGTCATTTGTTCCTTTGAGTTCAGAAGGGTATTAATAAATGCCCCTAGGCAGCAGTATCCAATTGGCTTAGCATATCAAGGGAGAATACTAACTAGAGAATGAAAAATAGCACATTAGTGTTCAGAATGCTCATCTATTAAGAGAAGATACGTCTGCACCATGGAGAGAGGGTACAAGGACATCAAGACAAAATCTAGGAGTGCTATCTAATATCAATTAAACAAATCATTGCTGTGTCCTGCAGTTCAGGGTTCTGCATCTTTGGTGTCTTAATCTGCTGTATGCTGCTATAACAGAATACTATAGACTGGGTAATTTGTAATGAACAGATATTCATTTCTTTTTTTATTATTATTATACGTTAAGTTCTAGGGTACATGTGCACAACGGGCAGGTTTGTTACATAGGTATACATGTGCCATGTTGGTTTGCTGCACCCATTAACTCGTCATTTACATTAAGTATTTCTCCTAATGCTATCCCTCCCCCTGCCCCCCACCTCATGACAGGCCCCAGTGTCTGATGTTCTCTGCCCTGTGTCCAAGTGTTCTCATCGTTCAATTCCTACCTATGAGTGAGAACATGGGGTGTTTGGTTTTTTGGCCTTGTGATAATTTGCTCAGAATGATGACTTCCAGATTCATTCATGTCTCTGCAAAGGACATGAACTCATCCTTTTTTATAGCTGCATAGTATTCCACGGTGTATATGTGCCACATTTTCTTAATCCAGTCTATCATTGATAGACATTTGGGTTGGTTCCAAGTCTTTGCTATTGTGAACAGTGCTGCAATAAACATACAGGTGCATGTGTCTTTATAGTAACATGATTTGTAATCCTTTGGGTATATACCCCGTAATGGGATCACTGGGTCAAATGGTATTTCTAGTTCTAGATCCTTGAGGAATTGCCACACTGTCTTCCACAATGGTTGAACTAGTTTACACTCCCACCAACAGTGTAAAAGCGTTTCTATTTCTCCACATCCTCTCCAGCATCTGTTGTTTCCTGACTTTTTAATGACTGCCATTGTAACTGGTGTGAGATGGTATCTCATTGTGGTTTTTATTTGCATTTCTCTGATGACCAGTGATGATGAGCATTTTTTTCATGTGTCTGTTGGCTGCATAAATGTCTTCTTTTGAGAAGTGCCTGTTCATATCCTTTGCCCACTTTTTGATCAAGTGGAAGAAAGGGTATCAGTGATTGAAGATCAGATTCATTTCTTACAGTTTCAGATTGAAGATCAGATTCATTTTTTACAGTTCCAGAAGCTGGGAAATCCAAGGTCAAGGGGCCTGCATCTGGTGAGAGCCTTCCTGCTGTGTCATCCCACGGTGGAAGGCAGAATGGCACAGGCGCACACAAGAGAGAAAGAGATTGAACTGGCAGCCTCAAGCGCTTTTATAATGGGCATTAATCCATTCATGAGGGTGGAGCTTTATGGCTTATCACCTCTCAGGAATCACCCTCATGAATGGGCATTAATCCATTCATGAGGGTGGAGACTTATGGCCTAATCACCTCACACCTCTTATTGCTGTTGCATTGGGGATTAAGCTTCCAACAAATGCTTTTGGGGGACACATTCAAACCACAGCATTCCACCATGGTCCCTCAAAATCATGTCCTTCTCATATACAAAATATGTTCATTCCATCCCAATGGCTTTAACCCATTCCAGCACGAACTCCTAAGTCCAAAGTCCAGAGTGTCATGAAAGTCAGATATGGGGGAAACCCAAGGCACAATTCATCTTGAGGCAAATTCCCATCAGTCTGGGAAATCGAACAAGTTATCTACTTCCAAAAACACAATGGTGAGACAAGCATAGGATAGACATTCCCGTTCCAAAAGAAAGAAATAGGCAAGAAAAAAGGAGTAACTTGTTTCATGTAAGTCCAAACCACAAGAAGGGAACATTAAATTTTAAAGCTAGAGAATAATATGTTTTGACTCTATGTCCCACCTCCTGGACACACTGGGGCAGGGGTTGGGCCCCTAGGGATTGGGCAGCCCTGTTTATGGCTTTGATGGGTTCAGTACACTCAGCAGCTCTCACAATTTGGCGTCTTATGCCCGCAGTTCTCCTAGGCTACAGTTGCATGCTGGTGGCACCACAGTTCTGGGGTCCAGGGACTGCCTCACTCCCATGGCTCTACTAAGTAATGTCAAAGTGGGGATTCCCTGCAGTAGTCTCACTCCTGCACTCTGCTGTGCATTGCCCTAGTAATAGCTCTTTGCAGTGGCTCTGTGCCTATGACAAGTCTCTTCTTAGGGACCCAGGCTAACCGAGAGATCCTTTGAAATCTAGGTGGAGGGTGCCATGGCCCCAGAGCTCCTGTATTCTATATTCTTGAAGAATTAGCACTATGTGGACACTGTGAAGGTTTGCAGCTTATACCTTCTGGAGTGATGGATCAAGGTGCCCCTAGGATTGCTTGAGCCACTGCTGGGGAAGCTGAGGGTGATGGACAAAAATTCAGGGAACAAAGTCTCAAGATAGTGCAGGGCACCTAATGCTGAGGTCCGATATGAGCCCCTGTCTAGAAACCCTGCCTTCAATGTCCTACCTAACTTGCCTTGAAGATCTCAGAAATGCCTCCATGGTCATTCTCCCATAGTCTTGATGAATAAAACCTGGATTTCTTCTATCCATATTAATCTCTTTAGCAAACAGTCGCTTAGCCACACACTTAGTATTCCCTCCTGAACACATTCTTTTATTCTTTATGTGGCTAAGTTGAGAGTTTTTCAATGTTTTCTGTTCTGTTTCCCTTTTAATTATAAGTTCCATCTTTAAAACATTTCTCTCTCTCATTTTACTGTAAGCTGCCACCATATAGCACCTTGAATGCTTTGTTGCTTAGATATTTATCCTGCCAGATGTTGTTTAGATAGTTCTTCTTAAGTTCTGTCTTCCACGAAATCCTAGAACATAGACACAATTCTACCACATTTTTTTTTGCAACTGCACAAGGATAGCTTTTTACTCAAGTCTCCAATACCACATTCGTTATTTCCATCTGAAATCTTATCAGAATGCCCCTTACCATCCACATTTCTACAACATTCTGATTATGACCACCTAAGTAATCCCTAAGAAGATTTAGGCTCTCCCTGTAGCTCTTGTCTTCTTCTGAGCCCTCACCAGAATTGTCCTGAAAGCTCTATTCATGGAAACCTAGGCTTTTTCTAGCCTTCTCCTCCAAACTGTTCTAGCCTCTACCCGTTACCCAGTTCCAAAGTCATTTCCACATTTTCAGATATTTGTTATAGCAGCAGTCACACTTCTCGGTACCAATTTCCTGTCTTAGTCCATTTTATAGTGTTTTAACAGAATACCAAAGACTGGGTAATTTATAATGAACAGAGATTTATTTCTTATAGTTCCAAAGGCTGGGAAGTCGGTGGTTGAGGTGCTGGCTGATTCAGTTCCTGGTGAGGGCTCTCTTCCTAGCTTGGAGATGGCTGCTTTCTCACTGCGTCCTCACTCACATGGTAGAGAGAGAGCTCTGATATCTCTTCCTCTTCTTATAAAGTCACCAGCCCTATTGCATTAGGGACCCACCCTTATGACTTCATTTAACTTTCAGCACCTCTTCACAGGCTTTATCTCCAAATACAGTCACATTGGAGGTTAGGAGGTTAGGGCTTCAACATATGAACTTTGGAGGGAGGGGCACAATTCAGTACACAGCGCTCAATATCTTTCCAAGTAAATTACTTCATCAGCAAATTTATGATAAGATTTAATTGCCCAAATTCCCTCTGAAAAGCATATGAGATTATGTCACATCATTTGGCTCAAATGAAGAACTGTAAACTCTTCCATATTTCAGGTGCTTTTCGGAGGGACATAGGTTATAAGCACCACGAAGGCCTGGGGCCATGTATGTTTCCTTCATGCCATTCCAGCAGAGTGGCATATAGAAAGCACTCTATTTGTTAAAGGAAGAGAGGAGGCAAGAAAAGTAGTAAAGAAAGCAATAGAATCACTAACAATTTCCCATTAGGAGTCTAAATTCATAAACAACCGGAGAATGGGTTTAGTCTTCCCAAAGGAAAGATATATGGTCATCTTGCGGTTGAGAGGCATCATAATATTCCAGTAGAATGTGTATAGACTATAATTTTTTATTCTTCCCTACCCCAATCTGTGTTCTTGCAATATCTCAACCAAGTGCTGATATTTCTCATATTCAAGCTATTCCTTTGTGTTAAATCTAGAAAAATCTAATTAAAACACACACACATTTTCTGTGAAAGATCATTAACTACAACATTTACACCATTCCCCATTCATATGGACCTGTGCTCTAAAGGCTGTGAGAGGGTAAAACATGGGGCTGGTAAGCTCTGCTGCAAGTGTGGGGCCAGAAAATATTTCATATATAAACAATTGCTACATAAGGTAGAGTTTGGGAGAAAAATGTTTGTCTCAAATGAAGAAAGGTGCTGTGAACACTGGGAATTTGTCTGCTAAAAGAGGAAGTAAAAGTGAGAGGGACAAAGATAAACTTTGTCTGGTTATGTTCTTCAAGAGCCATCCTTGCCTATTTAAACAGTTTAAGGAGAAGTTAGTTATGTAAGTTCTCTCACAAACTCTTACATATTTCGAGCAAATTTATTCAGGAAGATTTCTGCTCTTAATACCTGCCTCTTTTATTCTTTCCCCAAGTGTTTATTGAGTGCCTACTACTACATACCAGGTACTTTGCTAATGCAAGATTTAAAAAATGACCAAGAGGACATTTCTGTGCTGAAAGAACTTGCAAACTGCTAAAAGAGAAATGCAGTAACCACACAAAATGATAAGTCCTTTGACAGAAACACACTGAAAGTATGTTTCCCATCAAAGGAAGCATCAAATTCAGCTAAAGAATTCATAGAGAAGGTTTGTTGGCACATTGAAGGAAGCTGGGATTTCCCCAGACAAGAGATAAGGCACGGAGTGTGGGGAGCATGGTGCATTAGAGAGTAGAACAGTTCCCTCTGACTGGAGCACAGCTGAGCCTGGGGGCAGGCAGGGAAAGCTAAGGATAGAAACGTTCTTAGGAATGAGCTTGTGGACATCATTAACAAGGATTTTGAAAATAAAAGAAAATTAAATGTAGTGTAGAGAATGGACAGAAGGGAGAGAAATAAAATAAAATCAGGAAGAAGTTAATTGCAGTATTCCCAGAGATAATCTTGTGGAATTAGACAAAAAGGACCAGCTCAGAAAAACTTTAAGCAAGTAGGTTCTTTGGGCTTTAGAGATCAATCAGATATGGCAATACTTATCAAAGCCTCACCTGTCCTCTTAGAAGAGGTAATGTGTACTGGAGGAAAAATTGTAATAAAGATCAAAGAGAGATTGCTATTTTAAATTCAACCTTTTTCAAGAAATCTGCATATTCTCCACATTCTGCCGATATTATATTTTGAAAACCCCATAAAAGCATGTTTTGCTAATGCAGATTAAAAGAAATTACTAGGGCATAAATATATAGATCATTTTCAATTTAGTCCCTACTCACTACTGTTTTGTACCTTACCACATCCTCAAATAGCTGCATTCTCCTTTCTCCCACTTGGTGAACTATTGAATCACAATATCCAAATGGAAGGACTTCCACACTTTGAATAATTGATCTCAAGCATGTTCCCTGATGATTTGACATTCACTCTGTTCTTCTCCCTGAAGTATATTTATATCAATAACTGCAGCTTCAGTTGCCCTTATATCACAGTGTTCCTTTTTAAGAGCAAACTGATACCGTAAGTAATTGCTAGCCTCTTTCTGAAAAATTTTATTCTTTCTGCAATTTGAACTTAGAGCAACAGACTTTGTCAAAGGCAAACCAGCACATTTTTCTCTTTTAAAAACACAAGTTTTGAACGCCTGTGAAAGGTCTCCATTCAATTTGACACTCAGCCAAGTCCTAGGAAAATAAAACTCACAGTCTTGTTTACTTTTTCTCTACTTTTTCTCCAACTTCCTCTATATTTTAAAACATATTTTCTGGCCTCATGAATAAAAACAAACAAAAATGTGGCAGAGAGCACAAGCATGAAAGTTAAATTTCAGAATGGGCTACATTTAGCTATTCTGTTGCTTCTAGTCTGACTCTTTATTTGCACAGCAATTAATCAGCTATGGTATGTCTTTTAACTGAGTAAACGATCATCAACCTCTCCTAAACATGTTAAGAAGTTCATTTCCGTCTGAATTGTCCTGACAAATACTAAAATAGATAACCTTAATAAGGCACTAATGAGATCATTATAACTAGTTTTGTCTGTATTTAAAGTACAGATTTAAGATCTTCATTAATGATTAACTACTGGAAAACTTTGTTCAATCCCTTGAGTTATTTTTAATCTCTATATACTATAATTACATATATTCAATCATAAAACTTTCCATGGTGCTGAACACAATTGAACTTTGAATAAGAACAAGTACGTTACACATCTTGGCTGTTTAAAAAGGTTAATCTTTAAGTAGATTAATGACATAGTGATCTTCACTCAGTTCAAGCTTTTTTTCTTTTTGACTGAGGAAAAGATACGTTACTACAAGCTATTTCATATCTTTCTGATGGAACTTACATGAATGACTGCTTTAGAATATTGAACAATCAGAACCCTGAACTTTCTATTATAAGGTGTCTCTGAGATCAGATAAGTAGGATGTGGCCTATCACTGGTCTTTATTTTCAGTTGTGCTAAAATGAAACAAGTGTGTTTTCTCCCGTCAGTTTCAGAGGAGAGTGGATATTAAATGTTAAATCACATTTAAGCTGAAGTCAATGTACAAAACTTTCAACCCTAAAGTTGCCTAAGGGAATCAGAAATAAGGGCATTTTACGGGTGTTACTATAAAATTAAAGAGGAGACAGAAATGTGGGATGTTTCCTTTCATTAAATGCCAAATAGTTATTTCAAACAACTTGTAGATGACTGTATTTTAATGTTATGACATACAATTTTCAAAATTAAATGTGTTTTAAGTCAAATTTGCTAATAGTATCCAGCAAAAAGATAAATTTTAGAAACATAATTCTCTAACTGTTCAGGCCTTTCAAAATATAGTTTGCCATGGGCCCAACAAGGCCAAGGGTGAAACGCAATATTTTCTGATCCTAAAATCTTTGCAAAAAAGGAATGCAGAAAATCAATGCAGAATTATATAAAATATGTTTGAGGCACAGACTAGCTCTTCATCTATACTCCAACTAAACTACTCCCTCTCACAAGATACCACTTTTTAATATAGTACAATTACCTCCATACTGACTGCAAAATGGCAGTTAAACCTTTAAAGTGTAAATCTTTGCTTTTGTGTGTTTACCTGTCATGGACTTTAAACAGTGTGGAGAGAGGACTAAGGAAGGTGGTAAGCTATTTATAAATTGGAAAGTCTTTTTGCATTTATCTAGGAATATAGACATTGTCAATATGTGATTGAATTACTGCACCAGTTTTCCTGGAGGATTTGTATGTTTATTGCTTTTTTGTAAGACATTTATCCAGCTCTCTCAATCCTGTTCTCTTTCTTGCATGAGTTCACACATATTAAAATGCAAGTGTCTTGCTTGTCTGATATGTCTTTTGCATTATTTGAAACCCTGAAGCCCCAATATTTCTTGATATCTGTACAATTCTGAAACAAAATTATTTAGTAATAATATTCCAGGGATAAGGCAATAATGAAATGTATATGCAACAAAAAGTTCACAAGCCATCATTTCAATTTTCCTCTTGAATTTTCAGGGTAAAGTTGAAGGAAACATTTACTTTTGAAGAAAGAACAAAACTCTAAATTATTATCATCACAGCCTGTGAATTATTCTTTGATGCCTATTGTGCTAAATAGGAGATTTTATACAACATAAAGTTAAGGCAATATTTACTTTAGCAGCTTACATTTTAAAGAATAAAAACGAGAAAATAAATATGAATTTGGATATATACATCTAAATTCAAGGAACCTAGAACATGATATGGTTTGTATATTTGTCCCCTCCAAATCTCAGGTTGAAATGTAATCCCCGCTGTCAGAGGTGGGGCCCAGTGGGTTATATTTGGGCCATGGGGGCAGATCTCTCATGAAGGGTGTGGTACCATCCCTGTGGTAATGCATGAGTTCTAGCAATCTATTATTTCACACCTGAGCCGCTTGTTTAAAAGAGCCTGGCATCTCTCTTGTGCCCTCTCTTGCCATGTGACACATCTGATCTGCTCTCCCTTTGTTTTCCCCGATGATCAGAAGCTTCCTGAGGTCCTCACTAGAAGCAGATGCCAGCACTATGCTTCTTGTAGAGTCTGCAGAACCTGGAAACAATTAAACCTCTTTTCTTTATAAATTACCCAGCCTTGGGTATTCCTTTATAGCAAGGCGAAATGGACTAATACAAAATAATATGAACCAAAGTACAAATACTCATTCATGATGATAAAGCAGAAACCAGCATTTACTATTAGGTTGGTGCAAATGTAACTGCAGTTTCTGCCATTACTTTCAATGGCAAAACGCGCAATTACTTTTGCACCAACATAATATGTTCTATTACACAGGAAGTTGCTCCAGGTTGTCAAAAAGTGATCAGTGCTGGTTGGTAACCATTGTATCCTAGTGTGTGGGTCTAGGGATCAGTTATATGCCAGGCAAGTCTCTGATCCCCTGAAGTTCACAGATAAGAAATTATATGTAGAATATGATATAAACACGAGAGAGATGCACAGGATGCATAAGATGCATGGAATCAGGGGTAAGGGCTTCTAAAGTAGTTTGGGGAGTGTAAGGAAAATATTGGACTGAGAAGCTGGTTCTAAGGGTAGAAATGCCTCTGTGTCTAAGGTAGCAGTATGCTTGTAGGTACCATAGGTATAGAAGCAAGAGCAACCTTGGCATTAGGTAAAAGTGTGAGTAGCTCAGTATGGTTGATTATGGCCTGGGGCAGTGGCAGGGGATGGCAACAGAAAAGGCTGGAGATGTAAGCTGGGACAAAATCATCCAGAGCATGGAATACCATGACTAGGTAACTTTTATCCTGGAATCATATTCTTTCTTCAAGTTTTAGTTAAAATGTTATCTCTCCCACAAAGTCTTCCCTGATCCTTCCAGTAAGAAGTGATCACTCCCCCATGGAGCTCCTACAGATCTTTGTTTGAATTGCTCCTTTGACAGGTACCAAATTTTCTACTGCAATAGGTAATGGAGTGAAAAGTATAAGAATCTAGGATTCAGAGGGCAAGAGGTTCTACTCCCAATTTTGTCACTTTGCAGTGGTCTATTTGCCTTTGGGCAGATCTGTTCACCTTATTTTCCTTTACCTGTAAACTCTGCGTAATAGTAGTTACAAACATTTGTCATTCAGGGTTATTATGAGTATGTGAAAGTGGCTTTAGAAATTTTGAAATTTCTAAAAATTGAGGTGTTTGAATATATGTCATCTATTTCCTATAAGAATGCACACACCTTAAAGGGAGCAAGATTTAGATTCTAGAAGAGGTGGATAATAGTTTGCCAATTATTTATAAGCCTAAAACCTTGAAGATTAATTTATCTCAATCCTTCCTCTTTCCAGGAAATCTTCCTTCAGTTCTTTTCCATGATAAGTCAGCTTCCTGTTAGCTTCCTCTCTCCTTGAGGCATAGACATGTGCATAGCTATCTCACTGCACATGGCTTATCATGCCTTCTCCTGATCTTCTTCCTCTCAGCTTCTTTTGCTGGATCTTCTTACTCTTCCTGTTCATAAAATGCTAAAATAGCCATTGGACCTCTTTTTTTTCTTTATCTGTATGCATTTCTTAGTTTATCTCAACAGGTTCCACAACTTTTTATAACATGTTTATGGCATGAAGGTTCAATTTATGTATTCAGTTCTTTCTTCTCCTTGAACTTCAGGGTCAAATATCTAACTAGTTAATCTATATCTTCATTTGGATGTCTGATAAGATGTCTTAAGTTCAACATATCCAAAAAGAACTATTCTTTCCCAAGGCTGATGTCCAGAATGGTGTTTCCTAGGTTTTCTTCTAGGACTCTTAATGGTCTTATATTTAAATCTTATGACTAAGTTCTCAAAAGCAATTGCAACAACAACAAAAATTGACAAGTGTGACCTAAGTAAACTAAATAGCTTCAGCACAGCAAAAGAAATTACCAACAGCTTAAACAGAGAGCCTACAGAATGGGAGGAAATATTTGCAAACTATGCGTCCAACAAAAGTCTAATATCCAGAATCTATAAGAAACTTAAACAAGTCAACCAGCAAAACATAAATAACTCCATTAAAAAGCTGGCAAAAGACATGAACAGGCACTTCTCAAAAGAAGACATACAAGTGGGCAACAATGAAAAAATGAAAAAATGTTCAACATCATTAATCACCAGAGAAATGAAAATCAAAACCACAAAGGGTTACCATCTCACACCAGTCAGAATGGCTATTAAGAAGTCAACAAATGTGACACAGCAAGACTCTGTCTCAAAAAAAAAAAAAAAAAAGTCAACAAACAACAGATACTGGTGAGGTTGTGGAGAAAAGGGAATGCTTATACACTGTTGGTGAGAATGTAAATTAGTTCAGCCACTGTGGAAAGCAGTTTGGAGATTTCTCAAAGAACTTAAAACAGAACCAGCATTTAATGCAGCAATCTCATTACTGGGTATATATCCAAAGGGAAATAAATTGTTCTACCAAAAAGACACATGTGCTTGTATGTTCATCACAGCACTATTCACCATAGCAAAGACACGGAAACAACCCAGGTGCCCATCAATGGTGAACTGAATAAAGAAAATCTGGTACATACACACCATGGAATACTATGCAGCCATAAAAAAGAATAAGATCATGTCTTTTGAAGCAACCTGGATGCATCTGGAGGCCATTATCCTAAGTGAATTAACGCAGGAACAGAAAACCAAATACTGTATATTCTCGTTTATAAGTGGGAGCTAAACACTGGGTATACATGGACATATAGATGGGAACAACAGACACTTGGGACTACCAGAGAAAGGGAGGAAGGAAAGGAGGTAAGGGTTGAAAAACAACTCACTGGGTACTAAGCTCACTACCTGGGTGACAGGATCATTCATATCCCAAACCCCAGCATCACACAAATTACCCATGTAACAGACCTGCACGTGTACCCTTGAATCTAAAATGAGAGTTGAAATTAAAAAAAAAAAGAGAACACAAAAAACACAAAACAAACAAATAAACAAACAAACAAAATGCCCCTCAAATCAGAAATGAACTATTGATCCTCCTCCCTTACTCTTTTGCCATAAAGCTGTTCTCCAGAGTTTACTTAAAATGGCACTACTGTTTGTTCACATGCTCAGCCCAAACTATTTGAAGTTATTTATAATTCCCTTTCCTCTTGTATCACACATTCAACCCATCAGTTAATCCCATTGACCTTCTCTAAAACATATTCTGAACACAACATTCTCCCTCCTCCAATTCCTCCATTGCTACTACACTGGTCTAAACCACAACTGTCTCTTGCTTAGATTCCTGAATTAGCTTTAAAAATAATTGCCCTGTCCCCATTCTTATGCTGTATAGTCTGTCTGCTACACAACAGCCATGGTGCCCATTTATTTAGAAATTGAAATTAGATCATATAACTACCTTAACAATTAGAATAAATCCCAAAATCCATGCAGGGCCTACATGATCTCTGGTTAGTCCTCCAATCTCATTGTCAACTATTCACTCTCCTATTCAACTTACTTCACACCATGCATCCTTATTGCTGTTTCTGAGCATTCTACTATATTTAGCCCTTTGTCTTTGGGATTTCTGATCTATTTATTTAGTTTGTGATTGCCTAGTTCACCTTATGTGACTAACTCTGACTAATGTGCCAGTGTTAAGTGTTTACTGTCAATTCATCTCATGACTCAGTCTGTTCCAGGAAATGCAAAGATTAAAAAGAATTTCTCTTGATTGCAGCTTAATATTTTCCTTATTCTAAAATGTTTCTTTCTGTCTTGAGCAATACCTAACTACTAGTAACTACCAGAAATGTTAGTGAAAGTTTGCCTACTCAGGGGCTTCATCTCATAAGAAAGTACCAGAAAAGCCAAAAGTAATGCGCCAGTCTATAACAAATCTGTGTTTTTGATAATCTAATTTTTAAAAGTTACATTTACTTTCTGACTGCCCCTTATCACATTACAGTTCAGGGCAGAACAACCAGAAACTACAGAAAGTAAATGGACAGGGAAAGAGATGTGCCATTGTTGTTGATAATGTGCCGGCACATGACTAAGCTGTGATAGTTCAATGTTTCTTAATGTTCTTAACTCAATGCCTAGATTTAAAAAGTCACAGATCAGAGCTGCAATTATGCCAAATACCTGGTGGTTTTATTAAACCCCCAAACAGATTTCCTGTTGTTGCTCCCCTCTAAAAGTTTCAAAATATGCAGAGAAAAATGAGGACAGCCAAATGAGGATAATCTGATGTGTACAGTTGAAAATAAAGCATCATTTAGGAAGAAACAAAGTTTTCTGTTATGTAGTAATGATGCAAAGGGCTAGAGAAATCTATAACCCTGAATTCTGACAGTGCAGATAATAATCTGTTTTTCTTGCACAATGAAATTTACTATCAGTGTATGAATTTTAACTGTGTGTAGATATATATGCACACTCTAACACATATATACATAAATATATATTACACTCTTACTAAGACAATGGTATTTCGTAAAAATTTTTTTTTTCCCACAGCTCTTTGCAGACACTAAACTTGAGCTTCTGAATGGCAGAAATTGACTTTTAAAATATATGACTTCTTAAAAAAATTCAACTTTGATTCTAGATTCAGGTGACGGACATGCAGATTTGTTCCATGAGTATATTGCATGATGCTGAAGTCTGTGATATGAATGATCCTGTCACCCAGGTAGTGAGCATAGTGGTGAATCTGTAAGACATTAGATTCTGATATTACAATTTCCAAGGGATTGTTTTTGAAATTACATTAAGCATACCCCATACTTTGTTTAAACATGGCAGATTCCCCACACATATATGAGAAGTTTTGGAAGATGAAAAGCAGATTGTAAAATGATAACTGACTTAGTAGAAAAAAAAGAACATTCAACATGTAGAACTCCCAAAAAGGCAGCTAAAGACAGGGTACTGGAGAGCACAGTTCAAGCAGGGAGGCACAGTGGGTGAAATGTGAAGACTGTCTGAAGATGGTATATAGAGCCAATTGGACCCCAGTTTCCATCACAACCCTGTGCAATCAGGTTTCTAGTGGTCCACTGGAGACAGAGATTTGTTTGTTTGTTTGTTTGTTTGTTTGTTTACTTGAGATGGAGTCTGGCTCTGTAACTCAGGCTGGAGTGCAGTGGTGCGATCTTGGGTCACCGCAACCTCCGCCTCCGGAGTTCGAGCGATTCTCCTGCCTCAGCCTCCGAGTAGCTGGGACAACAGGTGTGCATGACCATGCCTGGCTAATTTTTGTATTTTTAGTAGAGATGGGGTTTCACCATGTTGGCCAAGCTGGTCTCAAACTCCTCACCTTAGGTGATCCGCCCACCTCAGCCTCCCAAGGTGTTAGGATTACAGGCGTGAGACAGAAATTTATTTTTATAGAAGTGTACTAGAGATACTCCAGATATCAAAACTAGTGGAAGGCTGTAATTGAGACAGGAAACTGAAAGCAAGGAAATGAAATGAAAGTCTGCATATTGAAAGCTGGGACTACCATTCATCCACTGATCCCTTTTTTACAGAAAGGCACATTGCTTTCATGACGGAGATCTGAGGATCCTTCTAAGAAATTGTTTATCCCCAGAGAAAAGACCTGAAGATACTCACATTTGTCAGCCACAGTAAAAGGAAGAGCTTACCACTCAATCTCCTCTGCAATAAAGCTCCCTAGCTGTTAAATTTCACTCACATACTCAAGGCTTCCAATCAACTTTTTAATATCTCACACTTAAAAACTAAATTGAGGATGTCTTGAATCTCCAGACATTTCAGAAGTCTTTTTTTTTACATGAACTAGAGAAACCAAAACAAATAATCAAAATAAATAAATGAATAATGAGGCAGAAGATATAGAGATTTATATACGCATTGAAGGGAAACTGTAAGAAAAAAACCAAACATAGCTAACATCTTCAGAGACAGTACAGAATGAACTGCATCCAAAAGATAATGCAATCAAGAAGAAACCACCAAAGAAAATGATATCAATATGCTGAAGAGATATCTGTGCTCCCATGTTTATTGCAGCACTATTCACAACAGCCAAGATATGGAATCAAACTAAATGGCCATCTATAGATAAATAAAGAAAATGTGGTATGTACGCAATGGAATACTATTCAGCCATAAAACAGAATGAAATCCTTTCATTTGTGGCAACATGGATGAACCTGCAGGGTATTACGTTAAGTGAAATAAGCCAGGCAGAGTAAGACAAATACTGCATGAACTCACTCACATGTGGAATCTGAAAAAGTTGATTTCATGGAAGTAGAGAGTAGAAAAGTGGTATTAAGAGACTGGGGAGGGGTAGGGGGAGCAGGGGCCTGGATAGGTTAGTCAATGAATACAAAGTTATAGTTAGGAAGAAACATTTCTGTTGTTTCATTACACAGTAGGGAGATTACAGCAAATAACAATATAGTGTATATCTCAAGATACCTCGAAGATTTTAAATCTTATCTCCACAAAGAAATGATAAATGCTTAGAGTGATGGATATGGTAATTACCCCGATTTGATCATTATACAATGTATTCGTGCACTGGAACATCACTACACACCCCATAAAAATACAATTATTGTTCGATTATAAATACAACATTATTTTAAAAACTATCAAAAGCAGAAAGAGTTGTACAAAAGTTAAAATATAATGATCAATAAAAAATAAGTTACAGGTATGATATCAAAGAAATCTCCCAAAAGAGAAAGCAAAATTCAAATAGGAGAAACAAAACAAAATAAATCAGAGGGGAGAATGACTAAAAGAAAGAATGGAGAAAATGGGAAGAAAAAATGATAAACAGATAACACCAGAGAATTTCCAGACCTAAAAATAAAATTTTCCACATAGAAAAGAGCTGAGAGTAAAACAAGAAATTAAAAGGAAAATCCAGGTTGTGAAAACCAGATCACAAGAGATAAAGAGTAGATCCTACCAAAAGGATAAAACAATTTGAAAGAGAGAAAATATATAAATATATATATGGATGTGCATATATATAATTTAAATCAAAGAGCAGATAACAGATGAGATCAGCCCTCTCTATAACTGATAGAAGAAACTAGAATATTGGCTATAAATACTTAATTAAAAATTGTTTTCAATATAAAATTTTATACCCAATCAAATTATTAAGTATGAGGATAGAATAAAAACATTTTCAAATATGCAAATTTTATCTAAAGTTTCTCAGAATGCTTAGAATATCTCAGGAAGTTATCAAACTAAGTCCCAGAAAAATAAGTAAATATACTAAGGGTGAGAAATGTATGGGATCCAGAAATAGAGGGTTTAACACACATAAGCTAAGGAACATCCCTAAATAACATCAATTAGGACACACAGGGAATAATTTTAATTTTTTCCCCCATGATGTATAACAAAGTGCAATATCATGAGTAGGGTATAAAATTATCTACCTCATCATTATCTTTGAATTATATATTGCCTTTAAATATTTTACCAATTTGATACTCAAAAATAGCTCACCATTGCTTCACTTTGCATGTCTTCGCAAACTGAGTTTTAAGAGTTTTTGCACATAAGTTATTGGCTTTTTTCCATCTATTGCTCAAATAACTTTAAATATCTATCTCTATTTTAAGCCAGAGCAGCTCAGAGTTGCTTTTATTGACTTACCACTTGATATTATGTTTGATATTAAACCTACACTGAGGGATGTTGTAAGAGAAAACCCACTGGTGTTACTGTGTTGACTACAAAGCTTTTGTTGAGGATACAGCTATTTTATGACATCATACTCTCTGAGTGAGAAGTCATAGACCTTGATTCTGAAGCAATTGCATTATTGTTGTCTTATGAACACTGTTTCATATTCGTCTTCTAATTTTGTTCTTTTTTTGATATATAAAAAATTAAAGACAATATGCAGTCAAATATTTGCAATATTTTCACTGATATTTTTCCATTTATTTTATCTTTACAAAGCTTTCCTTTACCATTTTCTCTTTTTTTCAGAGATGCAGAGGTTGTTTAATATTAGGAAATACATTAATATTATTTTATGACTCTAATAGACAAAAGCAGAAAATCATATATTTTCTAGATACACTAGTTTATTTGACTAGACAGAAGCTAATTTACTAGTATAAAATTTTTAAAATAAAATTCAACTTTTTTCTTGCCAACATTTATTTTAGGTTCAAGGGGTACATGTGCAGGTTTGTTACATGTATAAATTGCATGTTGCATGGGTTTGGTGTATAGAGAATTTTGTCACCTAGTTAATCATCATAGGTAGTTTCTATCCTCACCCTCCTCCTAACCTCCTCTCTCAAATAGGCCCCAGTGTCTATTGCTCCCTTCTTTGTGTCCATGTGTACTTAGTGTTTAGTTCCCACTTCCGAGTGAGAACGGTATTTGGTTTTCTGCTTCTATGTTAATTTGCTTAGGATAATGGCCTCCAGCTTCATCCATGTTGTTGCAAAGGCCATGATTTCACTTTCATATGCTGTGTAGTATTCCATGGTGTTTATATACCGCATTTTCTTTATTCAGTCCACTGCTGATGGGCATCTAGGCTGGTTCCATGTCTTTGCTATTGTGAATAGTGCTGTGATGAACACATGTATGCATGTGTCTTTATGGTGAAATGATTTTCAAATAGGATAAACATACACCTATCTTTTTTCTTTTTTAATAGTTTAATTTAGTACAATTGTTAAAATTTTAGTCTACTATTTATTTTGATACATAGTATGAAGAAAAGTTAATACTTAGACTTTTTTCTAAATAAATAGCTAATTTATCCATTGATTATCTGTTTAATAAAACATCTTTTGTTTCCCTGACAATTGGTTTGAGTGTCTTCTTTTATATGCGATATTCTTGGAAATACGAAGACTATTTCAGAGTTCTCTGTTCCATTGGTTTAATCTACTGGTTCTTGTGCCAGAAAACATTGTCTTAGTTATTATAATTTTGAAATTGGTTTAAATAATCTGTTATGTATGTCCTTTTTCACCTTTCATCTAGGTGAAAAAGTTGCTTAGTGATTTTTTCCTGTTTCCTCTTGCTCTTAAATTTTAAAGTAATTTTATGTGTCTTAGAAAAAAGCTCATTTCAATTTTGTAATTGACTTAATTTGAAATAACTGCCATATTCATTTCTAATTTGAACTAAATGCCATATTATGAGTCTTTTATTATAACTCAATTTAATATAACTCAATTTGAAATAAACGCTGTATTTACTATGAGTCTTCTACTATAAGAACATATTGTGTTTTGTCATATATTCAAAGCTGCTTCTCTATGCTGAAGTAGTTATGTTGTTTCTTTCAGTCCCATATATTATTTAAGAATGAGTGTTTTATACTTCGTTTTTGCTAGTTTGAATGCTGGTGTATAGGAAAGCAATTGTTTGTGTGTCTACTGTACAGTGGAACACTGGGTCCAAGAGTATAAGCCTTGGAATCAGTCAGATCTGACCTCAAGTACCAATGGACCTCAGGCCTTGGTATTGTTTTTCTCATTTATAAAATGATTCTTTGTGAAAGCTGCCTAACTCAGAGCCTGGTACACAAAATCTCCTTAATAAAAGGCAGCCGATATAATACCTTAAGCATCACCATTATCATCTCACTATCTTATACTTTAATTAATTCTGAGATTTAAATTAACTCTTCACATTTCCTAGGTATATGAACAGAGCATCTCTATTAACAATAATGGTATTTTCTAGAATGATACGTCACTTCTTTCATGTTACATGTGTCACACATAACTTTCACAACAATATTAAATAACAATGTTCATGGTATATATCTTTGTCTTGACTTTTATTTTAATGGAACTATTTTTAATAGTAAACTCACTCATTAAGTGTGAGTTTGACTTTTGGTTTATGATGTATATTCTCAATATTAATATTTATCATAAACTACTTTTAGTTTTCTAAGATTTTAAACAGAAAGTGATACTGAAATTTTAGAATGAGTTTCCAGATCATTTCAAAAGAATTAAGCTTTTTCATATTGGATACAGTTATATAGTATATTATGTTAATAATGTTCATAATATTAAGCCATCTTTGCATTCCTGGAATATTCTTCTTTGGTCAGGATGGCTATATCTTTTAATGTGCTGTTGAATTTAATTTCCCAGCAATTAATATAAAATTAATTGCTAGTCAATTTTTTAAAGCATCAAATAAAAGTTTTAGATCAATTTCATTTATGAATATAAATGTATATTCATTATTCTGCTCCCCCACTCCCATCCTGCTACTTCATCATGAATTCATTTTGGGTTGTCTCATTGTCACCTTCTCTTTCATAATTTTGATTACTCTGTCATATTTTTCTACATTTTCTGGAGAAATTCCTATGGCTATCCTTCACAACACATTCAATTTTCCATGATCTCAATTCTGCTCTGTCACAACAGCAATGTGTATTTTATTTGTGCTGCTGTATTTTTGATTCTGTATTGTCTTTCCATTTCCCACGTATTTTCCTATCCATTCTGTATCTTCTTGTTTCAACCCAGTGTGAATTGCCCTGCTTTTTCTGTCTGCTTGTTTGGGAAAATCCCCTTTTCAGGACTAGAGACACACACAACATTGATGCTAACGGGTCTGGATCAAAGCCAAATTGGCAGAATCTAGCAGATTTTTATGGGACTCTACAAGACTAAAGGTGGAGGGTTTTAACTTTTCCTCCTTGCCTTGACCTCTAACACTCTGTATAGAAGGGATATATGTAAACTACAAAATTCACAGTAAATAGACAGGAAACTTGAAGTCTCTGATTCTACTTGAAGATCATGGCTTCTGAAAATTAGACCTCTTAAACATTAGGCATTGCTTCCAACAACTGCTTGCTCGCAGAAACGAAGAGAAATGAAGAGGCTTCCTTCACTGTAGGTTCTATCCTATGGCATCAGAACAAGAGCAATCCTGCTTGCCTTAAAGTAGGTATAAAAGTGCCAAGTGCTTCATTTCTCTATTTTTATCTATTCGTAGTTTAGAAAACAAACACAAAAAATAAAATCTGAACCACTTATTACAGTATCCTTATAATTGCTCTTTGATGTATACAATCATATATACATACCCTCAGAAATACCTGGTCAGAAATTAGGAGTAGTAAAGAAGGACTACTACTGCTGAATCCCATCACTCAAAGTTTAAATCCATATGTGAAGTTCACTAAATGGAATATTTGTGAAAATTTCTTGGCCATTCTGACAATTGGCTGAAAGTCAACTTTTTATTGTTCCTTTAATTTTTTTTTTTTTTTTTTGAGACAGGGTCTCTTTCTGTTACCCAGGCTGGGGTGCAGTGGCATAATCTCAGCTCACCACAACCTTTGCCTCCTAGGCTCAGGCAATTCTCCCATCTCATTAAATTTTTGTTTATCCTCTATGTCTTCATATATTTTAGTGAGACTTTTGGAGAGTCCACCCGAGTGTCCAATCACAAACCTAAATTCCTTTTAACTGGACCATTTAGTCCATTTACATTTAAAGTTAATATTGTTATGTGTGAATTTGATCCTGTCATTATGATGTTAGCTGGTTATTTTGCTCATTAATTGATGCAGTTTCTTCCTAGTCTCGATAATCTTTACAATTTGGCATGATTTTGCAGTGGCTGGAACCGGTTGTTCCTTTCCATGTTTAGCGCTTCCTTCAGGAGCTCTTTAGGGCAGGCCTGGTGGTGAGAAAATCTCTCAGCATTTGCTTGTCTGTAAAGGATTTTATTTCTCCTTCACTTATGAAGCTTAGTTTGGCTGGATATGAAATTCTGGGTTGAAAATTCTTTTCTTTAAGAATGTTGAATATTGGCCCCCACTCTCTTCTGGCTTGTAGAGTTTCTGCTGAGAGATCCGCTGTTAGTCTGATGGGCTTCCCTTTGTGGGTATCCCGACCTTTCTCTCTGGCTGCCCTTAACATTTTTTCTTTCATTTCAATTTTGGTGAATCTGACGATTATGTGTCTTGGAGTTGCTCTTCTCAAGGAGTATCTTTGTGGCGTTCTCTGTATTTCCTGAATCTGAATGTTGGCCTGCCTTGCTAGATTGGGGAAGTTCTCCTGGATAATATCCTGCAGAGTGTTTTCCAACTTGGTTCCATTCTCCCCGTCACTTTCAGGTACACCAATCAGACGTAGATTTGGTCGTTTCACATAGTCCCATATTTCTTGGAGGCTTTGTTCATTTCTTTTTATTCTTTTTTCTCTAAACTTCCCTTCTCACTTCATTTCATTCATTTCATCTTCCATCACTGATACCCTTTCTTCCAGTTGATCGCATCGGCTCCTGAGGCTTCTGCATTCTTCACGTAGTTCTCGAGCCTTGGCTCTCAGCTCCATCAGCTCCTTTAAGCACTTCTCTGTATTGGTTATTCTAGTTATACATTCGTCTAAATTATTTTCAAAATTTTCAACTTGTTTGCCTTTGGTTTGAATTTCCTCCTGTAGCTCGGAGTAGTTTGATCGTCTGAAGCCTTCTTCTCTCAACTCGTCAAAGTCATTCTCTGCCCAGCTTTGTTACGTTGCTGGTGAGGAACTGCGTTCCATTGGAGGAGGAGAGGCACTCTGCTTTTTAGAGTTTCCAGTTTTTCTGCTCTGTTTTTTCCTTTTCCCCATCTTTGTGGTTTTATCTACTTTTGGTCTTTGATGATGGTGATGTACAGATGGGTTTTTGGTGTGGATGTCCTTTCTGCTTGTTAGTTTTCCTTCTAACAGACAGGACCCTCAGCTGCAGGTCTGTTGGAGTTTACTAGAGGTCCACTCCAGACCCTGTTTGCCTGGGTATCAGCAGCGGTGGCCGCAGAACAGCGGATTTTCATGAACCACGAATGCTGCTGTCTGATCGTTCCTCTGGAAGTTCTGTCTCAGAGGAGTACCCGGCTGTGTGAGCAGTCAGTCTGCCCCTACTGGGAGGTGCCTCCCAGTTAGGCTGCTCGGGGGTCAGGGGTCAGGCACCCACTTGAGGAGGCAGTCTGCCCCTTCTCAGATCTCCAGCTGCGTGCTGGGAGAACCACTGCTCTCTTCAAAGCTGTCAGACAGGGACATTTAAGTCTGCAGAGGTTACTGCTGTCTTTTTGTTTGTCTGTGCCCTGCCCCCAGAGGTGGAGCCTACAGAGGCAGGCAGGCATCCTTGAGCTGTGGTGGGCTCCACCCAGTTGGAGCTTTCTGGCTGCTTTGTTTACCTAAGCAAGCCTGGGTAATGGCGAGCACCCCTCCCCCAGCCTCGCTGCCGCCTTGCAGTTTGATCTCAGACTGCTGTGCTAGCCATCAGTGAGAATCTGTGGGTGTAGGACCCTCCGAGCCAGGTGCAGGATATAATCTCCTGGTGCGCCATTTTTTAAGCCTGTCGGAAACTCTCAGTATTAGGGTGGGAGTGACCTGATTTTCCAGGTGCCATCTGTCACCCCTTTCTTTGACTAGGAAAGGGAACTCCCTAGCCCCTTGCAAGACACAGACTGGCAAATTAGATAAAGAGTCAAGTCCCATCAGTGTGCTGTATTCAGGAAACCCATCTCACGTGCAGAGACACACATAGGCTCAAAATAAAAGGATGGAGGAAGATCTACCAAGCAAATGGAAAACAAAAAAAGGCAAGGGTTGCAATCCTACTCTCTGATAAAACAGACTTTAAACCAACAAAGATCAAAAGAGACAAAGAAGGCCATTACATAATGGTAAAGGGATCAATTCAACAAGAAAAGCTAACTATCCTAAATATATATGCACCCAGTACAGGAGCACCCAGATTCATAAAGCAAGTCCTGAGTGACCTACAAAGAGACTTAGACTCCCACACAATAATAATGGGAGAATTTAACACCCCACTGTCAACATTAGACAGATCAACGAGACAGAAAGTTAACAAGGATACACAGGAATTCAACTCAGCTCTGCACCAAGGGGACCTAATAGACATCTACAGAACTCTCCACCCCAAATCAACAGAATATACATTTTTTTCAGCACCACACCACACCTATTCCAAAACTGACCACATAGTTGGAAGTAAAGCTCTCCTCAGCAAATGTAAAAGAACAGAAATTATAACAAACTGTCTCTCAGACAACAGTGCAATCAAACTAGAACTCAGGATTAAGAAACTCACTCAAAACTGCTCAACTACACGGAAACTGAACAATCTGCTCCTGAATGACTACTGGGTACATAATGAAATGAAGGCAGAAATAAAGATGTTCTTTGAAACCAACGAGAACAAAGACACAACATACCAGACTCTCTGGGACACATTCAAAGCAGTGTGTAGAGGGAAATTTATAGCACTAAATGCCCACAAGAGAAAGCAGGAGAGATCCAAAATTGACACCCTAACATCACAACTAAAAGAACTAGAAAAGCAAGAGCAAACACATTCAAAAGCTAGCAGAAGGCAAGAAATAACTAAAATCAGAGCACAACTGAAGGAAATAGAGACACAAAAAACCCTTCAAAAAATTAATGAATCCAGGATCTGGTTTTTTGAAAGGATCAACAAAATTGATAGACTGCTAGCAAGACTAATAAAGAAGAAAAGAGAGAAGAATCAAATAGATGCAATAAAAAATGATAAAGGGGACATCACCACTGATACTGCAGAAATACAAACTACCATAAGAGAATACTACAAACACCTTTACACAAATAAACTAGAAAATCTAGAAGAAATGGATAAATTCCTTGACACATACACCCTCCCAAGACTAAACCAAGAAGAAGCTGAATCTCTGAATAGAGCAATAACAGGCTCTGAAATTGTGGCAATAATCAATAGCTTACCAACCAAAAAGAGTCCAGGACCAGATGGATTCACAGCCGAATTCTACCAGAGGTACAAGGAGGAACTGGTACCATTCCTTCTGAAACTATTCCAATCAATAGAAAAAGAGGGAATCCTCCCTAACTCATGTTATGAGGCCAGCATCATCCTGATACCAAAGCCGGGCAGAGACACAATCGAAAAAGAGAATTTTAGACCAATATCCTTGATGAACATTGATGCAAAAATCCTCAATAAAATACTGGCAAAACGAATCCAGCAGCACATCAAAAAGCTTATCCACCATGATCAAGTGGGCTTCATCCCTGGGATGCAAGGCTGGTTCAACATACGCAAATCAATAAATGTAATCCAGCATATAAACAGAACCAAAGACAAAAACCACATGATTATCTCAATAGATGCAGAAAAGGCCTTTGACAAAATTTAACAACCCTTCATGCTAAAAACTCTCAATAAATTAGGTATTGATGGGACGTATCTCAAAATCATAAGAGCTATCTATGACTAACCCACAGCCAATATCATACTGAATGGGCAAAAACTGGAAGCATTCCCTTTGAAAACTGGCACAAGACAGTGATGCCCTCTCTCGCCACTCCTATTCAACATAGTGTTGGAAGTTCTGGCCAGGGCAATTAGGCAGGAGAATGAAATAAAGGGTATTCAATTAGGAAAAGAGGAAGTCAAATTGTCCCTGTTTGCAGATGACATGACTGTATATCTAGAAAACCCCATTGTCTCAGCCCAAAATCTCCTTAAGCTGATAAGCAACTTCAGCAAAGTCTCAGGATACAAAATCAATGTACAAAAATCAAATCACAAGCATTCTTATACACCAATAACAGACAGAGAGCCAAATCATGAGTGAACTACCATTCACAATTGCTTCAAAGAGAATAAAATACCTAGGGACCCAACTTACAAGGGACGTGAAGGACCTCTTCAAGGAGAACTACAAACCACTGCTCAAGGAAATTAAAGAGGATACAAGTGGAAGAACATTCCATGCTCATGGGTAGGAAGAATCAATATCGTGAAAATGGCCATACTGCCCAAGGTAATTTACAGATTCAATGCCATCCCCATCAAGCTACCAATGACTTTCTTCACAGAATTGGAAAAAACTACTTTAAAGTTCATATGGAACCAAAAGAGAGCCCACATCGCCAAGTCAATCCTAAGCCAAAACAACAAAGCTGGAGGCATCACGCTACCTGACTTCAAACTATACTACAAGGCTACAGTAACCAAAACAGCATGGTACTGGTACCAAAACAGAGATATAGATCAATGGAACAGAACAGAGCCCTCAGAAATAACACCGCATATCTACAACTATCTGATCTTTGAGAAACCTGACAAAAACAAGAAATAGGGAAAGGATTCCCTATTTAATAAATGGTTCTGGGAAAACTGGCTAGCCATATGTAGAAAGCTGAAACTGGATCCCTTCCTTACACCTTATACAAAAATTAATTCAAGATAGATTAAAGACTTAAACGTTAGACCTAAAACCATAAAAACCCTAGAACAAAACCTAGGCATTACCATTCAGGACATAGGCATGGGCAAGGACTTCATGTCTAAAACACCAAAAGCAATGGCAACAAAAGCCAGAGTTAACAAATGGGATCTAATTAAACTAAAGAGCTTCTGCACAGCAAAAGAAACTACCATCAGAGTGAACAGGCAACCTACAAAATGGGAGAAAATTTTCACAACCTACTCATCTGACAAAGGGCTAATATCCAGAATCTACAATGAACTCAAACAAATTTACAAGAAAAAACCAAACAACCCCATCAAAAAGTGGGCGAAGGACATGAACAGACACTTCTCAAAAGAAGACATTTATGCAGCCATCAGACAAATGAAAAAATGCTCATCATCACTGGCCATCAGAGAAATGCAAATCAAAACCACAATGATATACCATCTCACACCAGTTAGAATGGCAATCATTAAAAAGTCAGGAAACAACAGGTGCTGGAGAGGATGTGGAGAAATAAGAACACTTTTACACTGTTGGTGGGACTGTAAACTAGTTCAACCATTATGGAAGTCAGTGTGGCGATTCCTCAGGGATCTAGAACTAGAAATACCATTTGACCCAGCCATCCCATTACTGGGTATATACCCAAAGGACTATAAATCATGCTGCTATAAAGACACATGCACACGTATGTTTATTGTGGCACTATTCACAATAGCAAAGACTTGGAACCAACCCAAATGTCCAACAATGATAGACTGGATTAAGAAAATGTGGCACATATACACCATGGAATACTATGCAGCCATAAAAAATGATGAGTTCATGTCCTTTGTAAGGAAATGGATGAAATTGGAAATCATCATTCTCAGTAAACTATCGCAAGGACAAAAAACCAAACACCGCATTTTCTCACTCATAGGTGGGAATTGAACAATGAGAACACATGGACACAGGAATGGGAACATCACACTCTGGGGACTGTTGTGGGGTGGGGGGAGTGGGGAGGGATAGCATTAGGAGATATACCTAATGCTAAATGATGAGTTAATGGGTGCAGCACACCAGCATGGCACATGTATACATATGTAGCTAAACTGCACATTGTGCACATGTACCCTAAAACTTAAAGTATAATAAAATACAATAAAATAAACCCTAAAAAAAACCCTAAATTCCTATATTTGAATTACTAGTACTAGAATGATCACTGACTAAATTTAACCTACCAAAGATATATATTTTTCATTTCATTCTCCTTAAAACAAACATTTTAAATTTTTTTTACACAAAATTATAATGCGTTATACCCCACATTAGGTTTTATTTTTTTTCCTTTCAAAGTGGGGACTAAAGTTGCATGTATCAGAATCCTCTGAGATGCTAATTGAAAATATATATGCTTGGCCTTAACAAACATCTACTGAATTAGATGCTCTAATTCCAAGAATCTGTGTATTTGAAAAGCTCCTCAGGTGACTATTATCATACTAAAGACTTCAGTGACCTCTGCTGTATTATAAGCTACATTGGTCTGTTCTCATGCTGCTATTAAAGGCATACCCGAGACTGGGTAATGTATAAAAGAAAGAGATTTAATTCACTCACAGTTCTGCAGGGCTGGGGAGACCTCAGGAAACTTACAATCATGTCAGAACGGGAAGCAAACATGTCCTTCTTCACGTGTTGGCAGCAAGGAGAAGCGCAGAGTGAAGTGGGGGAAAAGCCCCTTATAAAACCATCAGATATTGTGAGAACTCACTCACTATCATGAGAACAGCATAGAGGTAACTGCCCCCATGATTCAATTACCTGCCATTGGGTCCCTCCCATGACATGTGGGGATTATGAGAACTACAGTTCAAGATGAGATTTGGGTGGGGACATGGCCAAACCATATCACAAGCCTATATAAAAAGGGTGAAACTAAAGAAAGGTCTTTGAGAGTGATTTCAAATAATGTACAAGGAACAAACACCCAGACACAAACACACATGCGTGCACGCGCGCGCACACGCGCGAGCACACACACACACACACACACACACTATTTCTACAAAATATTACCACACCCTCATCTAGTATAAGCTTGCTATTAAAACAAGGGTTTGGGGATCTGGGAACACTAGGGTAAAAAGATATTTCAACAACACAAGGCATTGTTGTTGGCCTAATTCATTTCTATTATGTTTTCATTTTAACTACTTAATAGAGAAATTCATAATTTCATTTTAGTATTGGAGTAAACTAAAAAAAAGACCAAATGTTTGGAACTATTGAATAAAAATCCAACATAGAAATAATTTGATCCATTAAACCTTTGGCATCTGCCTTGAAAAGTACATATGTTTCTTTGTGTTATTTCTCAGTATATTAATATGAGAAATGCATGAAGCACAGAGGTTAATAGGAATATGGAGAGGTTTACTAGACCACTTACAGTGTAATTGTGACCTGTCATTACTGTGAATTTTTTTAAAACAGTGATTAATCTCAGTGTTATATTTATAGATTGTTTTCAGTCAATTTTTTTGTCAAGTACAAAAGTGACTATATATTTTCATCCTACAATATGTTAAGACATTACAAAAGCTTAATGGAATAAATTAATACAGAATGAGCAATGGAGAAGGGGCAGCTGAAGCACAGTGCTTAAGTGTACAGTATGAAGAGTCAGACAGTAGAGATTCCCATATACCTGGATACCAGCTGTGTGATGTTATAGAATTTACTTGACCTTTCTGTGTCTCAGTTTATATTTCAAAAAAGCAGGCCCCTAATTGTGCCCACCTGATTGGTTTGTTGTACTGATTAAATAGCATAACATGTGAAAAGCTCCCAGCATCTGACATCTAACACATAGTAAGATGGCCTATATTCTATTAGCTAGAATTTCTTACTAAGTTTCCAAAGCTCAACAGCAAAATCAAGATGGCTGGCAAAGATTAAAAGTCAGTCCAGGCCGGGTGTGGTGGCTCATGCCTGTAATCTCAGCACTTTGTGGGGCTGAGGCAGATGGATCACCTGAGGTCAGGAGTTTGAGACCAGACTGGCCAACATGGCAAAACCCTATCTCTACTAAAAATACAAAAATTAGCAATTAGCCAGCATGGTGGTGTGAGTCTGTAATCCCAGCTACTCGGGAAGCTGAGGCATGAGAATCGCTCGAACCCGGGAGGTGGAGGTTGCAGTGAGCAGAGATCACACCACTGAACTCCAGCTTGGGTGACTGAGTGACACTCTGTCACAAACAAAAAAAACCAGTCCAATCACTAAATGCTCCTGCTTGTATGCAACTGAATATTAAGAATAAAATGGGGTTTCTTACATGTCTACTATGTCCCTGAAACTTTCATAAATTCTGGAGGAGTCGATATGAAGGAAACAACGGCTCTTGCTTTTAAGATGTTTATAATCCAAACAGGTCAGTCATCAACCGAATGTGCTAAATGAACTGAGACTAATTAGGAACATTCCTTGGACTCATGGTTTCTGTTCCATACACTTCTTTTCAAATTAATACACACTAATTAACATTTCTCACACCATATCATGACAGATATGTGCTAAGACAGTTTAACCTTCTTGTTTATTTTTGTTTATTTATATTATATATCGTTTTGTTGTAAACCAGGAGAAATGAGAAAGAGTGTGAGCTCCTTTTTCACTTCAGAAAGGACTTAGTATAGGTTTTTTAAATCTCAATTTCTTCCCTACCTCACCGTCTTCAAAATGTCCTTCTCTTTTTCCTCATCTAATGAAAAGGTAGCATATCTGAATTACTTACTAGGCTTTTGCAAGCTCAGTTGAAATTATAAAAGAGATGATGTTGCTTTGGGGAAAAAGATGAATCTGTTCGAAAAGAAGGTGAGACATATGCAGGAACACAGGTATTTGTAACTTACTCAGGATTACAAAGAAGAAATTAAGAAGGACATCCAAAGTTGCTCTTGGCATCACAGTTAGACTGAGTGCTCAGACGGTTCATCCAAGGCAGTAAGAAATAAAGTTTTTTATTACTATATTGATGGCAGCTACATTTCTAGCTGCATGCTTACACTTCAAGAAAAATGCCTGAATGATGCCTCTCATTTTTGTTCCTTGAAACGAATCCAAGAATGTTTCCCTAATTTACCTATCTGACTCAATTTTCCAAGATAGAGACTGAGTGAAACAGGTAATATCGGCCCATAATTTTAACAAGGGTCACAGAAGAGTACACTGGCAGCTTTTCAAAACCAGAGAGAATAAATGTTAGATTAGTAAGTGACACTTGTAGACTATTAGAATTTAATGAGTATACTATATTTAGACAGATATGACAGATGTTAATCTCTGATATTAATAAAAATGCCTAAAAGTTCATTTTGGAGAAAGATCTGAGTATGAACCCAGACTATGACATATCCTGGTTATGTAAACTCTGGCAAGTTTCTTAAGTATCTAGACTTGAGTCTCTAAGTCTGCAGAATGGGCCCAATGGTATCCACCTCCCAGGGTTATTTAAATAAGAATGCATACAAAGTGTTCAATAAAGTTCTGGGCACATAAAGATTGTATTATTCCAAGGCCTCGATATTCCCACACAGCTGCTATGCATTGCTTGAATAGCCAGTGCTGCTGAGGAATGCAGAAATGTTGATCAATTTTCTAGCAATACAAGTCTGTCAACATAAATTTCCAAATACCAAAAAGAGCACATATTAACTTAAATACTGAGATTTATAAATCTATAAATAACTTTTTTTTTTTATAGGGTCTCACTCTTTTGCCCAGGCTGGAGTGCATGGGCGCAATCTTGGCTCACTGCAGCATCGACCTCCCAGACTGAATCGCTCCTCCCACCTCAGCCTCAGGAGTAGCTGGGACTACAGGCGCATGTCACCATGCCAGGCTAAGTTTTGTGTTTTTGGTAGAGACAGGGTTTCACCATGTTGCTCAGGCTAGTCTCAAACTCCTGGGCTCAAGCAATCTGCCCGCCGCAGCTTCCCGAAGTGCTGGGATTCCATGTGTGAGCCATCGCTCTCAGCCTGATAATTTTCTTAAAATTGCCAGTGCTACTGTAAGAGACATAGTTAAGTTTATATTAAAAGGAAAACCAAGGTATTGCTTAGTTGTCATAAAGTTGTGTGAAGATTAAGTGAAATATGTTAGTGGTTTTCTCACAGAGTATACACACAGAGAGTTACACTTTACACAGAAATCTATATATCCCACAAGTAAACTGATTTTAAGGGAATCATTTTCTAGTTTCCCAATTTCCATATGTATGATGTCTTAAATTTTGTATGCCTGAGAAACAATGCAATCAAGGCATCCCGCTGGTTCTTCTGTCTCAACTCCTCTGTTTCAACAGTCTTTCCCTTACTTTCGAAAAAAAGCATATTTTTCATTGATCTCAAATATTACAATAACATATACATAGAATATAAAAATTTGGGGATACCAAACAAAATAATTCAAAATATTGGTGTTGGTTTTGAGAAAATGATTGATTCTAATGATTGAGTGACAAAAATTCTTGCAAATCAGGTAAAACCCAGGTTTCTGATTTCAATAAAATAGAAAGAGCAAGTCATCAAGTTGCTTAATCACTTTTGGTGAAGATCGCTAACTAATTTTAGGCTTACAATGGAGAAGGTGTCCAAATATTTAGGTAAAATGACTATAATAAACTCCTTCCAGTTTATTTATTTAGATAAACAAGGATTTCCAATGTCTACACCTAAAAAAAAGAATAAAACTGATGATAAACTCTATTTAAGAATAATATGTCTCGATAGATACATGATCAAATTATTTAAAAAGCCATATGTTTCTCATTAATAAATGAATCTTCAATAAAATTCACTTTTATTTTGAATAATTGTCAATATTTATGATATATTCATGCTGTTTTGATAAAGTATAAATTATAAATTCTAACAATACAGGAAATCATTTATCATTTAAAGACTGAATCTAGGAATTTTTAAAATGTAAAAGTCCATTTATAGACATATATTTTGTTAAAGAGTACTTCCAAAGAGGATCCTTAAGATGTTCAAATTTTAAAAAAAACATAAAAATAGGATAAAATTTGATGGAGAAATTGTTTTAAAATATGAGTTTAAGGAGGAAAAAAGAGGCAAAACTTCCCACTATTTGTTAGAGCATGTTTATGAATTTTTAAATGGGTGATGATAAATATAAAAAAGCACAGTGGTGTTATTTATTCCTAGTAGGTTTATTTAAAAAATGCTGAAACAATTTCATTTAAAGAATTCATATTTGCAAAACATGGGGGATTATGTCTTTTGCTAGCACTTGAACTTACTGCTAAAATTCTCAGGTCAACTAAAATGAGTGAGGAGTATATGGTTTATAACGTTTTAATTGTAGGGTATTTGTAAGCATAACAATTTGAAAACCACAGAAATAATGTACTGTATATAAAAATCTTCAGTACACTTTCCAATCCAACATTTTTTCACTGAATTGAATTGAAACGTTGGACTCTCCAAAAGCATAGCAAGTAAAGTTAAGCTGGCCTGACCAAATTCCTTTCTCTTCTCTATTCTGATAACAACTCTTATCATCACTCCTGTATAACCCTGGCAGTCTCCACCTTCAAGTATCAGACACCATGTATGTGTCTCAAAGGTTTACTATGCCCCACACTTAAGGACCTCTTGGAATTTGAGGTGTTTTCTACCAGCCATTCACATGGTACTAAATTTTTGGGAATGCACATCAGGACATTTGTCTGTCAGAGAAGGTTTCAAGCAGCTTCCAGGATTGATGAATAATATCATGAACAGTCTATAAAGATGACTTTGGAAGAGCTCAGTGCATAGTGTAACAGTGCTAACAGCAGGGACACTGCATTGAAATAGCATATCTCCAAATCATTGATTATCTCCTCCCTTCCACTAATAAAAGGATAGCATTGTCTGGGGATGGCAAGAAAGCAGTAAATTAAGAGAGAAGAGCAGTAAGCTACCAGCACTGCTGTTTCCCACACTTTAAGGGTTTGAGAACATAACTAGGTAAATTTGCATGTAAGCACTGTCCTAGAAGAGAGCTGTTATTTCTCAATATGCTAGTGTCTATACAAAGTTAAGAAGAAAAACATAACATTTCACAATCGAGAACGTAATTTTATCCTTGCCTAACTCACACCTGTTTCCTTTTCAAAGGACTAGTGATATCCATAAATTGTCTTCAATGGCACTCATAATAAATTCTCTTTGCATAAACAATGGTTTCCACTCAACATTTAATCTTAAAAGAGTGAATGTTATTCCCTACTCTGAGACCTCAAAGACTGTGTTCCACTTTTTCTAAGAATTCTGACTTCATTTACTATAATTTGTTTCAGATACTTAACTGTGGGCAGAGATTCTTATTTATTTATCAAATACTATACCCCTCTAATTTTACCATTGCTTAAAGCGTTTGACATTATTTTGGAAATAAGATATTCTAACTAAAATGCTCGATGATACTAATCTTTCTTCATCTACTGTTCTCAAAGTGTGGTTCCCAGATCGGTAGCAAAAGCATCATCTGGAACTTGTTAGCAGTGTACATTCTGATACATAAGGCCCTCCAAGCCTTATGTATCAGAAACTCTGGAGAAGAGGTCCAGCAATCTGTGTCACAACAAGCCTTCCAGTTTCTGATGCATGCTAAAGTCTGAGAACCACTGATCTACTGGAATCTCACCTCACCAAGAGGATGTTGATATGCAAAAATTGGCTACAGTTTACAAGTTAAATAAAAATATTTTTCTTTACTAACATAGATGAATCCTGATCCATAAAAGACTCATAAATATAAATCTTAAATCCCATAAATTAAGAATCTGATTTCTTCTTATGTAATCAGACATTTGCTTCTAGCAGGTTTCAAGATCTTCAACTACGGAGAGGCAATGACATTTTGATAGTCCTCTAGATTTAAGGAATAAATATGCTGGCTGTATAGTCAGAGTAATGCTAGAGAGTTTGGTCTGATGCTTAGGGATTTAGGACGACGAATGGATAGAGATGGTGAGGAATCTCATTCCAGTCATGCTCTCCTTTCCTAATTTCCCTTTTCACTGTTTGGTCTTCTCCCCCTTTTCCTTAGGGAGTCGAGTGATTGATAGCCTAATCCAATGACTGTATTACAGCTGCCTCAACTAGGACTCTTTTCCTTATCATTAGCAGTTAGCCTATGGTTAAATTCACAGCTCACTGCTTGGTACAGCCCCTGAGATTTAAGGGTCTGGCCTTTAGAAAATATTTAACATAAAACTGAAATCTTGACATACTGAGAACTCAGTTCTCTGCAAGGCTTCCTTAATTAATCCAATGTACTGTACCATTGTTCTGTATGAGACTGTGACATGGTGAACTGTTTCTGAAGCTTACAGAGATGTGTAGTTCTAAATTAAACAGCCACTGACGTGTACCTACACTGATTTTTTAGTACAGTAGATATGCATGAATCTGTGAATATTTAAATTCAAGCTCAAACAGTGACACAATACTCTCTAGTTTTACTTTCATAATAGAACATTTTTTGATTAATTTCAAGCTTGAAATCATTCTTTATGAAAAAACACACACAGAGGAAAGAAATTTAATAATTCATTACCACTGCTGCAAAGGTAAGTTTTCTTAATATGCTTGTCAGAGTTCTTTGGTTTACAAAGTCTATCAAATATTTTCTTAGGAACTGGAACAGACATTAATTTATTTTCCTAATTTTTAACCAAAGGAAAATATATATAATATCCAGGTACCCATGAATTTGTTGGCTCTTAAATACTATTTGGTTCTACCATTTATCTGCAGGACAATAGTTATCTTAAAATACCTAAGGAAAGGATGTAGACCTTGATCTATGCTTTAAACCTTTGCCCTTGCTCCAGTCTGTCCATGAGCTGTAAGCATCTATGAATATGGCAGCTGAGTCCCAGATGAAAAATTATGCATCTCATAAACTGCTATTCTGCTGAAATGTCAAGCCAAGGCAAGGCTGTACCTCAGACTCAGCACTTGGCATTTTCCTTCTGTCTGCTTTGTTGCCATGAAGCAAACATGAACAGTGAAGATTTGTGTAGGGCAGGTAGCAGGCGAGCTCACTGTCAAAAATCTATTATTAGGGCCCTGGTCTCCTGCACAGACCAACGATGGCTAAACAGTGAGATACTGAGGCTCTGAGAAAGGCAACATAATGAAAGAGGGGATTCTTTGTCAATCTGTACATGAATATATTCAAATGAGCATTATTTAAATGAGAATATTTCTAATGGTAAGCCTCTCTCAACCAAAGTGATAATTTATAATAAAATTGTAATCTAGCATCTGTATTTGAAATGCCTACTTTTGACTGTTCTGCAAATATAGTACATACATATTTGTATAACAAGTTCTTTAATAGTTTGATCAGTTAAACTTGTAATAAGCTAAGAATGTTTTTACATAGGTGAATAACAGGCCAGATTTTTTGCATTACTTTTGTCCATACAAAAAAAGGAAAAAAGTGAGTATAAAATGGAAGGCTCTCCTTTTAATTATTCTTTTTGCATGAATTACTACATTTTTATCCATTTAAATTCTATCTTTATCTATCAGGTTATTTTAGATCTTCAATGTTAAAGCCTAAGCTCTTATCGATCAAGATGATTACAATAGATAGCTTAAATTTGATGACAGATAATAGGCATGTTTTTCTAAAAGCAATTTATGCATCGATAATCATGTGATTGACACATAAAAAAATCCAGCACATTAAAAACAACTTCCCAATTAAAAAAATACTAACACTGTTTTTTATGATGGAATTGTAATGTGTGGTGTAAGAACTTAAAGCAATCCTGCCAAAATCTTCAGTTGCTGGCATGCGTGAAAATAGTTATTTAAAGAAAAATGTAACTAAAACTTCTGAGTTTGTAATCTGTTTTGTTTTGCCATCTCCCTGATTTTACACAAATATTCACTAATAAATACAACAAAATAAGTGTATGATTAGAGTGGGTTACACTGGATTTGTGTTTACGTAATGCCCAGTAGCACAGTGTATGCTGCCAAGTTATTATTGCATTCTAACAATTCACGCCTAAGTAACTATCTTAAAAACACATAAACTATGCGATGTGAAGTCGATGCCTAAAATCCCTTTCTAAGCTACTATATTGATTCACATTTGTGCAAGTTTTCTAAATTATACACTTTGTACTCACTTCTGGCCCTACACTGACGCAGATCTACAAATTACTAGCTAAATTTCTAACTTGTACCTTCTTTTATTAGTATTTCCTATGTTGGATTTACAATGAAAACACCTTTAGGAAGCTAGTAACCATACAAGCCAGTGTCCAATATCTCACACAGCTAGATTTCAAATCATTCATTATTCACTTGTAGACTCTAAGAACATTCATGGAATATTCCATTATAACTTATTTAGAAATACACAGTCATTTACTGGATTCTGTAATAACCTCTATGAGAGGAGTAACTTTGAGCTGAAACAGAAAATCTTAAAAGCCATCTTTTATGAATTATTCAGAAATCAATAATAAAGTTTATGTCTTAATACTGAAAAAAATGTGTTCTATTGTTGTAATTGTATAAGTTCATACATAATGAATAACTTCAAACAAGCATTCAAAATTTGAAGTTAAGAACAAGAATTTCCTTTCCTTTGGTGAAAATAGAACAAATTTGGCAAATAAAATAATTTAAAATAATAAGTTTTTCAAGCTTGTGGGAAGTAAATTATATTGAGCCTAAAGTGTCTATCATTATTTCAATTTAAGTGCCTTCTGCACTCTTTCCTATATATGTGAATGTGCATGTGTTTGTAAGTGCAACACACAAAATATATACAGGACAATGAAATTCATTCCCCATTAATAAAAAAAAGTTAAAAACACAAGGAACAACAACGAAAACTTCAAATGAATTCACCCCATTGAAAAATGCTTGAATACTGTTTCTCCCGAAGCACCTGTAAATGAATAAAGGTTATCCTCATGAAGTCAGCTGCAAGAAAGACATCTTTAGCTTATGCCATGCAGGACTGATTCTTAACCAGCTCTGAAAGAATCTTACCCACAGGGAGGATTTCATGTGAAAATGTCACACCACAGCTGGATAACACCATTTATATAGGTGATAGTAATCACTGATTTGGGGGCTATCTTAAGATGCCCTCATTATTTGGGAATGAAGTCAGAAAAAAAGGTCAAAATTTCAAACTAAAACAAGAAAAAAAGAAATTAAACTGGGAAAAATAATGGGTCACGCAGTCAAGGATGGAGTTTATAATTGTTACTGAGATTAGGGTTTTTTTCCAATCAAATAAGTCAAAGAATTTCTTCTTCCTTTCCTCTCTCCAAACCCAATAAACTATTCAGCTGTGTGATGATACATGAATTAACTGCTGTTTGATGCAACAGAAGTTTTCTGCATGGATTCTAGAAAAAGGAAAGGTCGTAACAACTTAGTGTTACATCTATACTGTCCAAAGAAAGGTACAGAATTATTTAGAATCAATGGTTTAGACAGAGTACTTATATGGTGGAGAGCTGAATCAGCCATCCTTGTTTGATAAAAAATATTCCTTTTGGATACCAAACAAGATTTCCTTTTATACTGTTCTCACTATGAAATCATCTGGTATATAATTCAACTTTTTAATGGAGCAATACTATGATGTATTTCTCCCATAATTGAAATTCAAGTTTATAAATCACTTTATTATGAGTTTGTTTCATATATTTAAGCACCGCCCCCCAGAGTTTAATCATCTGTAGATGAATTAGAAAAAGTGCTTCTAAAATAGCAAAGCTGAGGATAAGACCTTGGAGTGAGGTCCTAATTTGCTCTCTTGATGTAACTTTTAAGCTACAGCAGGTAGAAGTTATCTTTCTATAGTCTTATTGACTTCTTTTATTTAACAAAAGAGACCTCCCTCTGAAACAGTAACTCTCAAAATATTTTGAAGTTAACTAAGTAAAAAGTGCGTTTTACATTATGGCATATATAAGTGTATATTATGTGTATAACTGAAAAAGAAGTTTGGCCAAACAATGCTTATCCCAACTATATGCAAAGCATTCTGACATTTCTTATTCTATTTCATTATTTAAAATGTTGATTACAGTTCACTAAACTTGATTGCATAGTATACTCATGAGTTGGGAACCAACCTTTGAAAGACATTGCTCTCAAATCCAGGCTACTTATATCGGAAATAATTCCACTGACATTCCTTAGCTGAGATCCCGTTTTCCCAATGCAAGTCACTGTCCCTTATTAGCTAATGCATTTTCTCTAGAAGAACATTCCTGAAATGTGCCCAGTTTTCTACAGCAGGTATACTACTCCAGGTGCCTCACTATTTCCGTATTTAAACAAAACATAATCTTCATTTCAAAGAGCAGAAATCTTATTCTGAGAAAAATAATAACAATTGAATAAACAGCTAAAGAATATATTGAAAGGGGAAAATATCCTTCACTGGCAATGAAAAGTATGTATTGTGTTCAGGTGGCTATCCAAAATTAAACTCTATTTAGTTTTCACTTTTTAAAAATCTGTGATTCATGCAGCATCTCTGAAAGCAGACATTGCCATGCTCTGAGACAACACTTGAGCAGATATTAGCACTGTGCTATGGTAAATTTTTTAAAAATCTTATAAAAATATCTAGCTTATTTTGTGTAACTTTCAGTATTAAGGCAGCATTTGAAGTCCTGACAACCATATTTGATACAACTCTCGTAAAATTTGAAACCATTATTATTTAACACAATTTTGCTAGGCTAAGTTTTGCTATAACTCATACTGAAGGTACTCTGTTATAGAACTTGCTCTGTCCTAAAATATATTATCATTGCCTATTTAAACTGCTTTTCAGATTCTATTACTTTTAAACTTAAGCAAGCATTACTTTAAAGGAGGAAAACTATATTAATTCTGTCAATGTGGAGAAAGGCTATTTTCAAAACAGATTGTTTAATGTGAAGAAACTTAATATAGAACCTATTAGAAATGAGGTACAAGTCCTTTAAAATGTTAGGGATTTTTTGTTGTTTAAAATGAAAGTTCTACCCAGGCTTACCTAAGCTTATAGCCCAAGTGAATATTTATATATGAATTTATAAATCTTAGAAATAGAGTTTTATGGAAATGCTAACAGGCCCTGAGGTATGACTGAGCTTGTTTTCAGGTACTGCTATAATTTCCAGTGTGTGTATGCTTAAAGACTGCAACACAAAAGACTTTTTCTAATGCTGTAATTTTGTAGTTTTATTAGACTGAGTTATAGTATGGGAGAATATTCAGACATTGCAGCTTAAATGAGAAAACATGAATGGTGTTACTTATATAAAATACTACTGCAATAGTTCTTTTATTAATTTTTAATGTTCAGCACCCTCTGTGACCTCCTTTATTCTCTTGCTGTCAACATGGCAGGCTGGAAAAATTGAAATGGGCTGACAGAAAACATAGTGCATGTTACAGCCCAACTCTGGAGTCTCTTGACTCTCTTTCTGTGGCACATGCTAACGCGGTCCACGTTATTCTGCATTACAATAATATTTAAGGCCCTGTTTGATAGCTCCTGATAAAAGCGAGCTGTGTCTGGAGCCTGAGCAGGTGCTCCTCGTCAGCCTTCTTCTTTCTGACATTGTGGGAATGGCATTCAATTAAAAGCAGAATATAACCGTTTTTGTTCTTCATGGCTCACAGGCATACTTCATACTCTCAAAACTGAATACCTCAGCATGGATAGAGCTTTATTTGTGTCTGTCCAGCCTCTTCCAAAAGCACATTTTGGTCTGATTCAGCAATGCTTTTCTTGAACAGTGGGGCACTGTTATGTTATGTATATTTACCACTTTCTCTATCACCAAGGAGACTAATCCCAAACCAGTACAGTCAAGAACCTTACAGCATTGTCTTTGCAAGACCAAGTTCATGTTGTCACAGTCACAGAGTGCACAGGGTAAAGATACTGAACAGGACCTTGAGATTAAAACCTCTCTTTCTTTTTCAAATTCAAGCGTATGCTGATGAGAAAGAGCGTGCAAAGGTGTGAGGTCTGCAAATGTCTTGTCAGCTGATGCTTAATTCAGTGTTTTAATGGCTTGTTTGGGACAGTTGGGACAAGGTTTTTGAAGAAGGTAGATGTCTAAATTCTAGGAAGAATGAAAACTAGTCCAGACCATGAAAAAGATATTATAATGAGGGTACTTATATTTTTCTCTCAGAGGGCCCTCATATTAACCCTTACTAGTAAGTGGCAAAAGAACTGAGAGACGATGAGAAATTCTTAGGAAAGCATGGACCACAAGAGAATAGAATTTGTGCAAGACCTTATCTTGATATTCTCTCATCCTGTGCTGTCACTTGAGCTTTCATATTCAATCCGTTCTGTCATAACTATTAGGAATATTGATCAGCTATGAGTTATAAGAATTTGGGATCATAAAGGGCACAAAACTCTTGCAACATGACCTTCTGATTTTTCAGCAACCTCCAAGAAAGCACAATGCAAGAAGTGGGCAACACCTACCAGACACTCCTCCATATGTAGTTCGCTTTGCAATCCCCACTGCTGGCCAAGGTGTGCCATCAGATTTTAATCCCATCAGACCTGAGACAGTGTTGGTGGCTGTAACGCCATTGGCACCACCTATGCAAGACACATCAACATTTTCATGCAGCTCTTATAAGACACGATAGTTAAAACCCATTCAAACCCTCACATCCCAGAAAAATGCATTCTATTTTATCTTGAGAACATGTCTTCTCCTCAAAGTTCTTCACTAATTTAACTCCTACATTTATGTTTAAAATTTTAAACATTAAAGAAGTTTTAATTACCACAACTTTACTTTCTCAAATATTATACAGACTTGTTGTTACCAAATGTTTTGTATTTGGTGTTATTTTCCAGGTAATTTACAATGTCTTTGCAAGTCAGGGTGCAATTTCCCTGGGATGGAACACAAGCACGCATGATTTTTGTATTCAACAGATATTTATTGAGCATGTGTTTAAGGAAGTCAGCTAGGCCCTACAAAATATGAAGAGAACTCATAAGAAATTTCACATTGTGCAAATTGAATTTTCTTTTTTTCTTTTTTACTCATTAAAGTTTAATATATTGAATTGTTACATTATGAGGTCATTTATTTTGGACGGGTTTGCTGTGACTGTGTTTTTTGTTCTTATAATGTGTGAAATAAGTGTTTATTAGGAAAAACTATAAAGGATCTTGTGTTTCCAGATCAAAATTCATGGTCAATTTGCTAGCATGAGTCCAGGTGTAAATCTCCTGTGTTTGTGGGATCAAGTGCTCAACTGGAAACTTTTAAAATTGAGACAAAAAATATGCACATGTTTGTAGGAAAAGACATACTTGAGTATGGCTACATAATGTGGGCCAATATTTACAATAGCGGGCAACTGATTCAAGTCAAGTTCTTACCTTCCTTTGCAGCTCTTGCGATGCTCACAATATCAGTGACATTTGGGGTCAGCTTGGCAAAAAAAGGAATCTGAACAGCTTGCCTAACCCAGCGGCAGATGTTCCGCACCAGCTCTGGATCCTGTTCAAATAGGTCGGTTAAATATAGAACAAAATTAAAGAATTGTGATCAAAATGTGTACTGGAACAACAGCAAAGCTGGAGACGTGCAAGACAAATCCAACTTGACAATGAGCTACATGATATATTTCTCAAATTCCTCCTCAGTATTACACCTAGACTCATTAGGGAACTAAGGTTAACACACTTCAAGTGAACTGCAAATTCATCACATAAAGGTTAAATTCCTCAACAGAGCCTTTAGAAAATAAAATTTCAAAGAACAAAATGGAAGACAGTGTTTCCCACTTTCAGTTAAATATTATCAGGAATGAAACACAAACTTTTGATGTTAAGTACAAGAAACATTACAAAATTTCTAGTGATCTCATTGGTTTAAGCAAAATAAAAAATATTTAAAACTGCTGACTCAAGTGAATGATATTAAATCTAAAGCTTGTTTTCATTATTAGACTTAGTCTTGATGTGTATTCAAAATAAAATCTATGACTTCATCATCAATCTACATGTGATATATAGTATATGCAAATATGGAATAATTCAGCCTTGTATTATACATGAGCTGATCAGTAACTTTAATTTACTTTTGTAAATGTTACCAAGATCTGTGCAGCATTTTCAGCACTCACAAACTTGACAGAATTGATCAAAATGACAAAAATGAAATAAAATATCAAATGCTCATTTTAAAAAGCAAGAAATAGACATTTCCATGTGCCTATTTTCTGTGATTTTCCAGGCTCTTATTTTCTCATGGGGCAAGTATCATTTAGAGGGCAAACACCTATCCTCTCCATTGAATAACTTAGCTACAGTACAGTAATGTTCTTTGATTTCAACACATACAATAGTCCTTTTTTTCATTACTTTTAGTGCAAAATTTATTCTGACAGGTACTGATAATGTGCTTTGATAAATTACCTTAAAGTATGCAATAGCAATTCATTATCGAACTTGGTAATATTATCTTAGCAAGTTAAAATGTTTTTGAATAAAAGAAAAACCCAGAGAAATACAGTCATATATTTAAACTATGAAATAGCAGGCAAGCATATCATTTGTAATTAATGTTTTTGTATGTAAGAAAGTTGCTCTTTGCATTTTAACCTTTCGAATTCCTTTAAGATGAGATTTGTAATGTTATAACCTTTAGAAAGAACCTTCTCACTTAGGTTTAATGTGTCTTGATCCATCATCCTGTATTACTCAAAAAGTTATGCATTTTTGTGCTAAGATACTGCAATGAGGTAATTTCTGTTGATTGTTATCATCTCTATTAAGCAAAACTTAATACTTTTAAAAAGAAGTCTTTGGCTTGGCTTATTCTCTTTTTAGAACAGTAATTTCTTCATTAAACATAAATATTAAAAAAGTGCTATATGGAATGCTCTACAGGGCATAGTGTGCATTATGAATAGTAAAATGTGGAGACTTAGCTGTACAAATTCTAACTCATGAAAATGGAGATCTGCCCCTGCCCATGCAATGCTCATGAAATATTTATAACCACTGCATTGGTATTATGAAGGCAGTTGCATCTTTGTGACTTTCATTTCTAAGTTATGAATTTCCATGGGACTTAGCCTAGAAATGACAGTAACTCTAGATGATATGAATTGCATGTCCTTTGTGGAAGCTCTCTTTAAGGTAGACTTTGACAATAATTTAAAGATCACTTGAATGGCATAATACATGGAATGTGTCCTGATAAGAATTACTGAAACAAATTTGAAATATTATTTGGTTCCAATAGAGTAAACACTAATAATCTGATATAGGCTTCCAAGTGGCTTTCAATACTATTGACCCCCATGCCATAATAATTTACTCTGAACATCTGTCAGACATTTTTCCTGATTTTCACTAGGTGACTGCTTTAAATGACTGCCTCTTACCCATTGCTTAATGATCTGGAATTTGTTCAAAGTTTTTCAAATTCTTAGAAACACATGGTTTTTTTTGGTTAGCACTGTTTACTTGAATCATCTGTCTCTATTTTGAGATACCATAATTTGACCCTCCATGAGTAAATTTGACCCTCCATGAGTAAAGTTGACGGTGTTCACATATATTTTTCTCATCTTCATACTTAGGCAAGCCAGCTGCTGACTAATCATCACAGCCAAGGGTAAGTACAGTTTGGCTACCTGAGAATTTTAAAAACAACTTCTAACCAAAATTACCATAAAAATTAATGATTGTTCTGTAAATTGCAATGTTTTGTTTGACAGGTATAATAGAGAATATTCTAATACAACTAGAAATGTGGTGAGGTCAATAACATCATGAAATGAATCTATATACTTCAGGGAATTCACGAATAGACTGTAACTATTTATATTTTCCTGGTTTCTTCAAAATTTTGATATGAATGTTCAAGATCTAAAAGCAATTAGTAGTGTTTCTACATCTTGACCTTCTCATTTTCTAGTGATAGCATGAGATGGCTTTGCCTTTTGTAACAAGCCAGTTTTTAGAATCTTATTGAAATAAATAAGTTTTAGACAATTTCTAATTCTTCCCAAAATCTTCAGGATCTGAAATATACAAAAGTACTCTTATCTCTCAGACAAATCAAGAGTTTACCATTACCAATACATACAAGGAGAAGAAGAAGAGGAAGAAGGAAAACAAAAAACAATTATTGACTGCTCTATTTCTGGGCACTAAAAAATATATGTTGTGTCAATGAATGAGAAATGAGTGAAAACTTGGCAACTTGGCATATTTTCACATTATTTCCTTATATATCCATCAAAATATAAACTATGTCTAGATTTAAGAAAAACCCAGCTATATTTTATGACAATGTCCAAAAGCATGAAATGTAGGAAGACTACTTTACAAATCACTGGTAATTCTGTGAAAAAGTGATGGATAATTAAGAAAAACAGAATAGCTTAACAAAATCTTAAAAATGTCTAATACACAAAAACGTCTACGTAGATCACAAAGGCTTTATTGGTGCTTTCTAAAGGCATTAATGCTTCTCCCTGAACATGATTTGCAATCTCTGTCACAGTAGTTGCTTGTCTTGTGTGTGTGTGTGTGTGTGTGTGTGTGTGTGTGAGCATGTTCTTCAATACCTGTTAACCCTTTTGCTATTCAATGTGATCACCAAAGAAAGCTCTGAAGCAACAAAATGATTTCCTGTGACAGAGGTGCATGGCATTATAAGCAGAAAGACACTTGAAGCCCCTAAGAGAATGAGTGACAGATCTAGGGAGCAAATGGTGGTCTTGAGGATACTACATAAAGTGAAGGTACCAGAGCAGACTTGTGAAGTGCTGAGAAGAGTTTTGATAAAAGCAAGCTAGAGGCAAATTTGGCCTATTTGAAAATTTTGATGAGGTACAGCCCAGTGTCTGCCTGCAACTAATCTTATCGGGAATAGATTCCTATGAAAATCAAACAACGGTGACAACACAACTAGAAAAGGTAATGCTGAGGAATGCAGATTACTTGCTGCAGTAATGTCCATTATGCAAAACTGGTTGTTTTTAAAGCTTAATTTCTAATCTGGGACACAAGATAATAATTTTTAATTCTAGTAACTACTCTGTATTTAGTTACACATTAAGGGAGTTCTATAAATGACCCATCCTGCTGCTTTTGAGACCCTGAAGATGACCTCTTCATTGTAGAGCAGGTATTTCTACCAATTACTTAGGGCATCAAATCTCACTGGTTTCATGTCCTCTGCAAAGGAATAAGCACTACAGAATGAGACTGAGAATTTCCTGATAAGCTAAATTACAAGTGAAATTTTGACTTGAAGAAACATTTCTCTCCCATTTACCTAGTAATTTTCACTCTGTACAATTCATTTCAAAATGGCTTTCTTAGAATCTGGCATTTCAATAAATCCACTGCAAAATTTTACCAGTTATAAAATGTTTTTCACTAAGCAACTCTTAAGTCTTAATTCATATGACATGCCAAGAGGTGGCTAGAATTTTCATTACATCCATGTTTCTGATGGAAAGAACTGGGGCCCAGAAGATCAATCTGAGTACCAATTTCACCTTCTTAATTTTCTTTCCCATTATCATGTCCTAAACCTTCATCTTCTTTAGCAAAATTGCTCCCTGAAGTGAAATTCAGCCATCAATTGTAAACTAGAACTATCGAAGGCTTCTACTTCACTTATTCCTGTAAGACTAGAAGTAGCTGCAACATAATGAGCAAACGTGATGTATTATCCTTCTATGTCAATAAAACAGGACAGGCAGTCAACTGTTCCAGGCACAATTATAATATTAGTGAATGCAAAGACTATGTGTTGAAATGGAGATGTTTTTATTAACTATTTTTTAGCATGTGTCCTTCTTGCATCTGTTTTTCTGACTTAAGTATTCTAAAGGTGGTCCAACCACTTTGGAAATTAGTTGTGCAGTTTCCTAAAAAGGTAGACATGGACTTACTAATTAACCCAGAAATTCAACTCTTAATTATATATACAAGTGAGATGGAAACATATTTCTACATTAAAACTTGCACATGAATACTCACAGAAACTTTTTCAAAATAGGCCCAAATTTGACATAATGCCAATATTCATCAATATGTGAGTTGAATAAACAAAATTGCTGCATATCCACGCAATGAAATATGATTCAACAACAAAAAGAAACTAATGAATCATGCCACAACTTGGAATTAATAAAACAAAATGATGCTAAGTTACAGAAGTAGACATTATATGCATACATTTATTAAAATTCTGTAAGAGGAAAAACCATGAGTATGGAAAGCAGAGCAGTGGTTGCTGAGACTGAGAATTAGGCTGGAGGAGCAATTAAGTGGAAATAAGTATAAGAAAATTTTTGAGGGTAATGGAAATGTTCCATTTTCTTTAAAGGAAAACTATTGATATATTTGAAGATATTAAAATTAAAATGTTAATATATTTAAAAACATTGTGAAAAGACAAGGCACAAAGTGGGACAAGATTCTGAAGCACAATTCATAAAGGAGTAGTATCCAGAATATATAAAGGACCACCTGAAAATTAATGAGAAAAATGGGCAAAACTTTAACATACTTCGTTCAACATAGCATACTTCATTGGATTTCATTCAAGATGAAATCCAAATGGCCAAAAAATTTATGAAATGTGATCAGCCTTATGAACACCTTTCACATTTTTTCCATATAAGGACAATGCTCATTTAAACCACAATGTGATGCCATTATCTATCTACCAGATTGGGGGGTTGGGGGAAAGTCAATACACCCTGGGGAGAATGTAAATCAGTACAAGAGTCTTTGGGAAACAGTTTCACATGATCTAGGTTCCACTCTTACGTATATGTCCTTTTAAAGATGCAAACTCCAGAATACATGTTCAAAATATCCATAGTAGCACTGTTTGAAATAGCCCCAAAGTGGAAAAAATCCAAATTGTCCATCAAGAGTAAAATGAAAAATAAATGGTAATATAGTCATACAATGGAATAAACACACTAGAGCTATATACAATGATAAGGATTAATCTCATAAGGCTTAGCAAAAGAAACCAGTCTCAAAAGTATACAATATAATTTGATTCATATAAATTCCTTAAATAGAAAGTAAATATGGTCTTTAGAGACATATATATGGGTGATAAAACTACGAAGAAAAGCAAAGCAAAGAGTAGGGATGGTGTTAAAGTGGACAGAGAGGGTTGTGTTAGGGTGGGACATATAGGGAGCTTTTGAGGTGTTGGAGATGTTCTATTTCTTGACCTGGTGGTCACATGGTGTGCACATTATGAGTTGTTAAAAAATATATATGTGTGTGTGTAGGTATCTGTTTATAAATGCATACATATATGTTTCATGTATGTTGTCTATATTCCACAATAAGAAAATATACAAATGACCAGCAAATATGAAAAGACATCGAATCTCGCTAGTAATTAGAAAAACAAAAGAATAAACATGATCACCTATCATGATTTGCCGAAAATGTAAAGACTGATAATATCCCTCTTTGCTGAGGTTGCAAAGAAACAGGCATTCTCATAGGCTCTCAATAGGAAAGTAAATTAATAACTCCTTTTTAAGAACAATGTGGTAATATGTATAAAAATGTAAAGCTCATCTTATAAGTTTTAAATTCCAATTCCAAATACCTAGCCTAATTAAATCCACATGCATTCAAAATATGTGTACAAAGATGTCTGCCATTCACTACAGCATTGTTTGCAGTAGTGGAAAAAAAGAATAAATGTCAATATGGGAAGATTTGTGAAAAGTACTATAATCCATACAATGAAATACTATGCAGCCATTAAAAATAAATCTTTGTAAACTGACATGGAAAGATATCCAAAACATATTAAGTGAACAAAAGCAAGACACAGAATAACACACAGATAGCCTAATCCTGTTTTTAAAATATAAATATGTACATATATTTATATAGAGGTCTGAAAAACAGACTATGCATTTATGCTGTAACCTGTTAGCAGTGATTACCTCTGAAACGTTCCATATTTTGAATGTGGTATAATCGGGTATAGACATTTGCCAAAACACATCAAACTCTATACTTAAGTGTGTTCATGCTAATATAGGTAAATTATTTCTAATATAGATAAATTTCATCTATTATTCTAAAAATAATTCTAAAGGCACTCAAATATAAATAGAAAAATGAAAGAAAGTGGCATTGTAGGTAATGTGGGTTCTACCCTTTTGGCAAATATTTATTGACCATGAGGCACTACAAATTTTCCGTGCTGAACACTAAGATGAATGAAACTAGAGTCTGCAAGGAAATGCAAACCAGGCACACAATAAAATGGACATCTGATATTAAGTGTCACAAAAGACAAGACATCCTGAAAGTGTTCTATCATTTCAGCTTATTTCAGAGCATGTAGCGCAGAACCTGACACATAGTAGGCATTCAACAGTATTGTTGAATTGATAGAGCCTACACCACACAAATTGACACTGACTTTCTTATTTCTATGTACTTGGAGGAAAATTGAGAGTACAGTATACTGGGTCCAGGATAACATAATAGATAACTGTTTTAGGTACTATATTGGATAATACAGATTTAGAGATATGTAATATGCTATCCCTGTTCTTTAAAAACATAAAGCAAAATACTTTACAATCTAGGGGAGACAAATGCATACAACAAACACATAATGTGATTATAAAATGTTGTAACTGTATATACCTGGAATGTGTACATGTGTGCCTGTGTGTGTGTGTGTGTGTGTGTGTGGCTACTTCCTTGTGCCTTAAATAGAAGATGACATAGACCCACCTGTGTGTCCTCTCCTCCCCAAGCACATAGCCTTCTCTATTCTGTTTCTCATTTCAAGTTTTTTCTTATTTTTCTCTTTCTACCTGGAATGCCCTTCATTTTTTGTCCCTTGAATAACACCCTTCAACGCAGCCCTCCATGACAAATCCTTCCATCTCACTTCAGCATAGGATGGATTAGTAAATGACTGCCTCTTTAGTGCTCCTATAATGTTTCTTTATTACTGCATTTATCACAGTGTTTTATAGTCATCTTCTCTGTTCCATAATCAATTTCTTTCTACTAGACTATTAGTCTTTTAGGGGATGTATTTTACTCTTTTATCCTAGCAAAGAGCCTGGTACATGAAAGACAATAAATACCATGTTGAATGAAAGAATGAAGAATTTCTAATTGCATACCAGCTTTCCATCATGAACCACAAAACATTTGCATCTCCTCTTCCATGGAGCCAAAATAAGCTGGAGATACAGGATATTAGCAGCTCTTGCTCCAGGAGCCAACTGAGTTTGAAAACAGTCTTTTGATGCTCTCCATCAGTGAGCTAAAATACTTGGAGAGAACTGTCTCCTACTGTGGCCTAGAAGTCCACGAGAACCCACCTGAGGACCCAGGCTGACCATGATCCTTTCTGTCTGAACCTTTAATATATTGAGGGCTTTTCCAGAGTTTGTACCTCTGACCCTGACCCTGCCTCAACTCTCAGTCTTTAGTCCCTGGGACCTTGAGGGGAAGGGAGATGCTGTCCATATTTTTATCAGCTAAGGGGAACTATATTCCTGTTTTGTTCCTTTAAATATCATTTCTGGTGAACATAACTTAATGATGTTTTTTTCTTCCTTTCAGACAAAATTTCCCTAGTGTACCATTCCTCTGACATTCTTAGTGTCAATGCTCCCCATTCCACTTAGTCGCTAAAGCTTTCTTTTTTTTTTTTTTTTTTTTTACAAATGGACAAGAATTGCCATACACTACTCACTGTTTAGTTAATTCCTGACTGCCAGCGTTCTTTCAGGCACTATTTTAATTCTCTGTGAGGACTCTCAGATCCTCTCCACCAGCTCACTTCTTTACTCTCAAATGGCAGTGTTAATTGTAGAGATCAGCCCTGAAAGCTGTTCAAATTTCAGATCTCCTCTGCCACAATTTGTCCCTATGGAATCAGATTCAGATTTCATAGAATTATCTTGCTTCTGCCGGCTAATCCCAACAGGAAATCCACGGCCTCACCTGGCCATGGTAATGAAGTTTGAGAGGTACCTGCCCAAATAAACAGATCAATGAACACCTTCTGCCCACAGTTTCATGTGCTATTCTAGACACTGAGCCTCTCAGGGGCACTGTAGCACTGTTGCTATTTTAATATGTAAATACCTTGTCTCTATTCCAGGAATCCCATGTTGCATCAAAGAAATGGAAGCAGGGCTCAGACCCTGCATGGTAGAGGGGGCTCTGCAATTTAAAGGGTTAACTTTCTGCAATGTTGAGGAGTCGCATAACTTTTCACGAGAACTGATGAGTAGATATGCTAAAGTAACTAAGTTCTGAAAACGTCTAAGAAAAATACATGCAGAAGCAGGCAACTGCAACAGACACAGACATGAACCACTCGGATCTACCTTCAGGAACAGACTCTGGCCCAGCTGCAGGAGTGTGGTGAGCTGACTGCCTCTAACTGCTTCCTCCTTTAGGTGTGCCTCGCTTTTAAACTGGGGTCATGCTCCTTTCAGGGAGACCCCAGTGAATGATAGCAAAACTGTAGTACAAGGGTCTAGCTATTTCCGGTGAATGTGGGACTCCTCTAATAGGCACTTTTTGTCCTGAAGCTCCCTACTGGGCTAGCAAAGACTTTTCTTGTGTCTGTATCAGGGTCCAATGGCTCCCCTTTTCCAATTTTGCTTCCACTTTTTTCCTTTCACAAGCATTTCTCTCCAATAAACCTTTGGCCCTCCTAACTCCCTCTCTGTGTCTGATTCCTGGAGGACTCAACTGACACAACAGTTCTCTACTTGTATGAAGAATTCTCCCTGTAAGAGGATTACGCTATATTCTAGGAAAGTCAAAGAAGAAAGAAACTTGCCCAAGTGACCCCAGGATATCTTACTGAGAGGAATTCAAGAAAGCTACGCTGAATCCAAACGAATCTCTCAAATTTCTTCTGAATTCTAGTTCTACCCTTGGCTTGACAGAACAAGGTCTCTTGGAATGTCCTGAATACAGTTAAGCCTTGTTGGTGACCTACCCAGCAATAGCCAATATATGCTCAGGGGAAAGAAAAGGTCCAATACCAGGAAGCAGGGCTAATTTTTTTCCTAGAAAAAGACTGCTTTTAGGGACATGGTAGGAGACAATGATTGAGTGACCTCTGCAAAAAGACAACTCAGAGACATCCTTAAAGAGTTTGGACACTTACTTGATCTTTTGATTCAGAACTTGCTCAAACTCACTATTGTGATGTGGGACTCTGGAAGCAATTGTGCAAATGCCCATGGATAAAGGACATGATGCCTTTGTGTCCGCAAGACAAAATTATCCATCAAGGGAGGATGGCCAGAGGAATCAGTGTAGATGCTAATACTCATTCCAATTCTTTGTCTCTTACAGATGCAATCAATGACAAACCCTTTAAAACATCACTGAGAGGCTGGGCACATTGGCTCATGCCTGTAATCCCAGCACTTTGGAAGACTGAGGAGGGTGGATCACTTGAGGTCAGGCGTTCAAGACCACCCTGGCCCACATGGCAAATCCTTGTCTCTAGTAAAAGTAAAAAAAAGAAAAAAAAAAACAAAAAAACAAAAAACCAGGCATGGTAACACATACCTGTAATCCCAGCTACTCAGGAGGCTGAGGAATGAGAATCCTTTAAACCCAGGAGGTGGAGGCTGCAGTGAGCCGAGATTGCGTCACTGCATTCCAGCCTGGGAGACAGAGCAAGACTCTGTCTCAATAAAATAAAATAAAATAAAATAAAATAAAATAAAATAAAATAAAATATCATTCATTGAGAGGTCAGATGAAACTTCTTCCAGGTGTGTTGGGCCTCCAATGCCCTCTGTTCTGAACTGTACTCCATTCTAATGTCTGCCTTAGCTTTCATAATCCATTCTGCTTGTTTGAAGTCTAGTTCTCCCTTTCCGCTATCTGTACTCTACATTTCTAGACTTTATCCATTGTTCACTTCTTTCTGGATTGGATCCCTCTGAGCCTCTATGCCTGCCTGAATTGACCTAAAGTTGCCTACCTTGCACCCAAAATTGATCCATGACTTGTCTGTCACTTAGGGGCAGCCATTCCTTTCTGCCTTATAATGTTTTTCTTTACCTATGGTGTATATTCCCAGGTCTATTTCCCTTGTCTTTAATTTTATCATGTTTTTTTTGTAAAACCAAGATTGACACAGGTTCCATAGGCCTATCTTCACAGGCAAACAAAAAACTCTTCGAGAGCCATACATTGGCCATATTTCGCAGTAATTAGGACACCTCCAAATCTTCTACATTAAAGCATTTCAGAATAGTTTATTCTTTTGTTGAATCCTTTATACTGGGCCAAAAAATGAGCTTGAACTTTCTTTATGTGTGGGATATTATTTATCTTTAAATTAAAATGCTAGTTTTATCTACCATACAAAAAGGGTGTCATCCATAGTTTGCTTATTAATGAGGGTATGCAGCATAATTTGGAAGATCTTAATATATGCAGAAACAGGTCATGTACACATTTTCCTGATACCACCAGTAGGTGTTCAAAATTGTGGACCAGCTGAGCCAAAATGAACCCCAGCAGGTTTCCTAATCATTGCTTAGAACACATTAAAAAGACCTCAGTGGGTTATGAAATATAGGCAGCTGCTTGCCCTACTATGTATGGATTCATTTTGGATAAGGGCAAGTGTGTATGTAAATGTATAATAAGGAGTTTTTATTCTTTGCAGACTTCAAGCAGCTTGGCATTTGTTTTCTTAATGCAAAGCATTAGTGTAAACAGTATAACAATTTATATTTTATACATCTGCTGGTCTATTCACTTAGCTTATGTATTTCAGTGCTAGACTTAGAAAACAACCACAAGCATAAAACCTCAGTATTTTTATAATTCCATATTGAAGTGAATGATTAACCAACACAGGGAGGAAGCTAGTGTGGGGCACCATTCTGCCCTGGAGCACCCACCATGCTGATACATTTAGGATGAAGAGAGTCTAGGGAAGTCACGCTTCTGTCCTGGGAATGTTATGAAATCCAAGCAAGAAAGAATTACTATTGAGGCAATTTTAAATAACCTATCAGAGAAAAACTGCAATCCCTTGGCAATGAATGGTTCCGACTAAGGAGAACTCATCCATAACAAGTTGGTATAGTTCTTTAAAGAATTTCAATTTTCAACCCAGAATTTCATATCCAGCCAAACTAAGCTTCATAAGTGAAGGAGAAATAAAATACTTTATAGACAAGCAAATGCTGAGAGATTTTGTCACCACCAGGCCTGCCCTAAAAGAGCTCCTGAAGGAAGCGCTAAACATGGAAAGGAACAACTGGTACCAGCCGCTGCAAAATCATGCCAAAATGTAAAGACCATTGAGACTAGGAAGAAACTGCATCAACTAACGAGCAAAATCACCAGCTAACATCATAATGACAGGATCAAATTCACACATAACAATATTAACTTTAAATATAAATGGACTAAATTCTGCAATTAAAAGACACAGACTGGCAAGTTGGATAAAGAGTCAAGACCCATTAGTGTGCTGTATTCAGGAAACCCATCTCACATGCAGAGACACACATAGGCTCAAAATAAAAGGATGGAGGAAGATCTACCAAGCAAATGGAAAAGAAAAAAAGGCAGGGGTTGCAATCCTAGTCTCTGATAAAACAGATTGTAAACCAACAAAGATCAAAAGGGACAAAGAAGGCCATTACATAATGGTAAAGGGATCAATTCAACAAGAGGAGCTAACTATCCTAAATATTTATGCAACCAATACAGGAGCACCCAGATTCATAAAGCAAGTCCTGAGTGACCTACAAAGAGACTTAGACTCCCACACATTAATAATGAGACACTTTAACACCCCACTGTCAACATTAGACAGATCAACGAGACAGAAAGTCAACAAGGATACCCAGGAATTGAACTCAGCTCTGCACCAAGCGGACCTAATAGACATCTACAGAACTCTCCACCCCAAATCAACAGAATATACATTTTTTTCAGCACCACACCACACCTATTCCAAAATTGACCACATAGTTGGAAGTAAAGCACTCCTCAGCAAATGTAAAAGAACAGAAATTATAACAAACTATCTCTCAGACAACAGTGCAATCAAACTAGAACTCAGGATTAAGAATCTCACTCAAAGCCGCTCAACTACATGGAAACTGAACAACCTGCTCCTGAATGACTACTGGGTACATAACGAAATGAAGGCAGAAATAAAGATGTTCTTTGAAACCAACGAGAACAAAGACACAACATACCAGAATCTCTGGGATGCATTCAAAGCAGTGTGTAGAGGGAAATTTATAGCACTAAATGCCCACAAGAGAAAGCAGGAAAGATCCAAAATTGACAACCTAACATCACAATTAAAAGAACTAGAAAAGCAAGAGCAAACACATTCAAAAGCTAGCAGAAGGCAAGAAATAACTAAAATCAGAGCACAACTGAAGGAAATAGAGACACAAAAAACCCTTCAAAAAATCAATGAATCCAGGAGCTGGTTTTCTGAAAGGATCAACAAAATTGATAGACTGCTAGCAAGACTAATAAAGAAAAAAAGAGAGAAGAATCAAATAGACACAATAAAAAATGATAAAGGGGATATCACCACCGATCCCACAGAAATACAAACTACCATCAGAGAATACTACAAACACCTCTACGCAAATAAACTAGAAAATCTAGAAGAAATGGATACATTCCTCGACACATACACTCTCCCAAGACTAAACCAGGAAGCAGTTGAATCTCTGAATAGACCAATAACAGGCTCTGAAATTGTGGCAATAATCAATAGTTTACCAACCAAAAAGAGTCCAGGACCACATGGATTCACAGCCGAATTCTACCAGAGGTACAAGGAGGAACTGGTACCATTCCTTCTGAAACTATTCCAATCAATAGAAAAAGAGGGAATCCTCCCTAACTCATTTTATGAGGCCAGCATCATTCTGATACCAAAGCCGGGCAGAGACACAACCAAAAAAGAGAATTTTAGACCAATATCCTTGATGAACATTGATGCAAAAATCCTCAATAAAATACTGGCAAACCGAATCCAGCAGCACATCAAAAAGCTTATCCACCATGATCAAGTGGGCTTCATCCCTGGGATGCAAGGCTGGTTCAATATACGCAAATCAATAAATGTAATACAGCATATAAACAGAGCCAAAGACAAAAACCACATGATTATCTCAATAGATGCAGAAAAGGCCTTTGACAAAATTCAACAATGCTTCATGCTAAAAACTCTCAATAAATTAGGTATTGATGGGATGTATTTCAAAATAATAAGAGCTATCTATGACAAACCCACAGCCAATATCATACTGAATGGGCAAAAACTGGAAGCATTCCCTTTGAAAACTGGCACAAGACAGGGATGCCCTCTCTCACCGCTCCTATTCAACATAGTGTTGGAAGTTCTGGCCAGGGCAATCAGGCAGGAGAAAGAAATAAAGGGTATTCAACTAGGAAAAGAGGAAGTCAAATTGTCCCTGTTTGCAGACGACATGATTGTTTATCTAGAAAACCCCATCGTCTCAGCCCAAAATCTCCTTAAGCTGATAAGCAACTTCAGCAAAGTCTCAGGATACAAAATCAATGTACAAAAATCACAAGCATTCTTATACACCAACAACAGACAAACAGAGAGCCAAGTCATGAGTGAACTCCCATTCACAATTGCTTCAAAGAGAATAAAATACCTAGGAATCCAACTTACAAGGGATGTGAAGGACCTCTTCAAGGAGAACTACAAACCACTGCTCAAGGAAATAAAAGAGGACACAAACAAATGGAAGAACATTCCATGCTCATGGGTAGGAAGAGTCAATATCGTGAAAATGGCCATACTGCCCAAGGTAATTTACAGATTCAATGCCATCCCCATCAAGCTACCAATGACTTTCTTCACAGAATTGGAAAAAACTACTTTAAAGTTCATATGGAACCAAAAAAGAGCCCACATCGCCAAGTCAATCCTAAGCCAAAAGAACAAAGCTGGAGGCATCACACTACCTGACTTCAAACTATACTACAAGGCTACAGTAACCAAAACAGCATGGTACTGGTACCAAAACAGAGATATAGATCAATGGAACAGAACAGAGCCCTCAGAAATAATGCCGCATATCTACAACTATCTGATCTTTGACAAACCTGAGAAAAACAAGCAATGGGGAAAGGATTCCCTATTTAATAAATGGTGCTGGGAAAACTGACTAGCCATATGTAGAAAGCTGAAACTGGATCCCTTCCTTACACCTTATACAAAAATCAATTCAAGATGGATTACAGATTTAAACGTTAGACCTAAAACCATAAAAACCCTAGAAGAAAACCTAGGCATTACCATTCAGGACATAGGCGTGGGCAAGGACTTCATGTCCAAAACACCAAAAGCAATGGCAACAAAAGCCAAAATTGACAAATGGGATCTAATTAAACTAAAGAGCTTCTGCACAGCAAAAGAAACTACCATCAGAGTGAACAGGCAACCTACAACATGGGAGAAAATTTTCGCAACCTACTCATCTGACAAAGGGCTAATATCCAGAATCTACAATGAACTCAAACAAATTTACAAGAAAAAAAAAACAGCCCCATCAAAAAGTGGGCGAAGGACATGAACAGACACTTCTCAAAAGAAGACATTTATGCAGCCAAAAAACACATGAAAAAATGCTCATCATCACTGGCCATCAGAGAAATGCAAATCAAAACCACAATGAGATACCATCTCACACCAGTTAGAATGGCGATCATTAAAAAGTCAGGAAACAACAGGTGCTGGAGAGGATGTGGAGAAATAGGAACACTTTTACACTGTTGGTGGGACTGTAAACTAGTTCAACCATTGTGGAAGTCAGTGTGGCGATTCCTCAGGGATCTAGAACTAGAAATACCATTTGACCCAGCCATCCCATTACTGGGTATATACCCAAATGACTATAAATCATGCTGCTATAAAGACACATGCACACGTATGTTTATTGTGGCACTATTCACAATAGCAAAGACTTGGAACCAACCCAAATGTCCAACAATGATAGACTGGATTAAGAAAATGTGGCACATATACACCATGGAATACTATGCAGCCATAAAAAATGATGAGTTCATGTCCTTTGTAGGGACATGGATGAAATTGGAAACCATCATTCTCAGTAAACTATCGCAAGAACAAAAAAACAAACACCGCATGTTCTCACTCATAGGTGGGAATTGAACAATGAGATCACATGGACACAGGAAGGGGAATATCACACTCTGGGGACTGTGGTGGGGTGGGGGGAGGGGGGAGGGATAGCATTGGGAGATATACCTAATGCTAGATGACGCGTTAGTGGGTGCAGTGCACCAGCATGGCACATGTATACATATGTAACTAACCTGCACAATGTGCACATGTACCCTAAAACTTAAAGTATAATAAAAAAAAATAATAAATAAATAAATAAAAGGAATTAGGAAGGGAAAAAAAAATTTCTTCCCACTGCTGCTGTAGGAGCTGGAAAGAAATATCTAGGCCATTTTGTTTGTTTGTTTGTTTGCTTGCTTGTTTTTGCCAGCTCTGTGGACTGATATCCCTTTTTGAGGTAAATACTCAAAACTAAATACTAAAGGAAATAATAATACTAAGGAAATACTAAAGTGGGTGACTTTGGTAGAAGTCTTTGGTGATAATGTGGGATAGAGAAGGCTTTAAACATGACCTTTTGTAAGTGTAGTATTCACAAATTCAAAATGAAATTCATGGATACTGGATTTTATCTAAAATCTTTAGCAATCTTGAACCTAAAAATCCTTGAATATATTTATTACACTCATGTGGTGGTTTATAAGCATACATGTCATAAGGGGTGTGTCTGTGTAAAAAGAGAGTTCTCTATTTTAATCTTTCAGGTGTCAAGGAAAGGAAACATGGCGAGGTTACCCCATTTTGGGGAGTTTATTACAACTATACATGGAAAAATAAAAAAGTAAGTGAAATGTTTTTGGTAAAGGAAGGGCTAGGCCTCTGGGGATTGGGACACCATAAATCATTTTGTAAGACATACAGCAGCTCTAAAGAGCAGCTCCTGTTTTCTTGTTGTTACTTTAGGAATGGGTGTCTATTGTTTTAAGGATTAAAAACTCTGCAATACGAATACATCTGCTCTTATTTCTCAGCATCTCTTATTCCATTTCTACTTCTACTCACTTTCTCCTTTTTCCTATATTAGCTTTTTGGTTCTCCAATTCAATTTTTTTCAAAATTGAGTTGAACTTGGTTTTCCGATTCAATTTTTTTACTATTTTTTATATATATATGCATATATATGTGTGTGTGTTTATGTATAGGCATATATATGTGTAAATATATATGTATATATACATATCATATATACACGTATATATATCCACATATGTGTATACATACATATGTATATATGTATACACATTTATATACTTATATACATATGTGTATATGTACACGTATATATACATATGTGTATATGTACACGTATATATACATATGTGTATATGTACACGTATATATACATGTGTATATGTACACGTATGTATACATGTGTATATGTACACGTATGTATACATATGTGTATATGTACACGTATATATACATATGTGTATATGTACACGTATATACATATCATATATACATATATGTGTATATATACACGTATATATACATATCATATGTACATATGTGTATATATACACATATATATACATATCATATATATACATATATGTGTATATATACACGTATATATACATATCATATATACATATATGTGTATATATACACGTATATATACATATCATATATACATATATGTGTATATATACACGTATATATACATATCATATATATACATATATGTGTATATATACACGTATATATATACACACACACATATATATACATATATATATAATATATTTAAAAACAAATCCACAGAGAACAACACTCAGTACAAATAGCGTTCTTTATATTTTGGCTGTCTGAAATTTGACTTCCCTTCCTATTTGCAGGAAATTTAAATCATATGAAGCATTGGTAGGACACAGGAACTATCCCCATTTCGCAAGTCTTTGAAAAGAGGGTCTTACTCTTTCTACTGTCTTGCAACCAAAAAACCAGTACATGATCTAGGCCTAGGCAACTGAAGATCCAGCCCAAAGTTTTAACCTCACAATCAGAAAAGTGGTTAAATTGTATTTGTGGTAGTGTGTTGTGCAGCATCTCCTGACAGTATCCCATGATGGCAGTAGTGGTGGATATCAACCCTGGTAGAGGCTGTATTAGCTGGACAACTCTTGGTGTTCATTCTCTGAGCCTTTTCGTTTTTTGCCCATTTTCTAAGCCTGCTGTTCCTGCCTTCTTTGATTCCATAAGCCATCTTGTATCCTGCCAATAAATCTCCTTTCACTTCTGACAGCCAGTCAGTTTCTGTTGCTTGCAATTAAGAGTGTTAATTGATACAGGCAGTTGGCCACTATCCAGTGTGGAGTGACATTATTGCCTGGGTTATGGCATCACACTTCCTGACAAGTTGCTGACCTCTTTTTATTTAGTCTCCAAGTGGTTGCTTTTTGCTCAGGGATACAATATCTGGTCCAATAAATTGTGGTCAAGGTAGCCAGGACACACACTTTTACGGCAGGTGTATGCCAAATACTGCTTCTGTTTACTTTTCTTTAGAAAGGAGCTATTGGCCTGGCCGAGCAGGTCCTTAGTTTCATGGACTATGTGGAAATTACAAGAGTAAGGCATCAACTTTGTCCTCAAAGAACTTACAATCAAGTTATAGTTTCAGTTGTGACACTTAAACTATGTCAGGTTCAGCAGAATATAAAAATGGCCTTTAGAATTACAATACATCTCTATTCCTCTATAAATCATTTAGCATTTTAATATGTCATAATGAGTAAGCCCTCATATAATTCAGGAGACCCTTGCAGAAAGAAGTGATAAATATCACCCAGATCCAGGAAAGCTTTATTTGAAATGTATTAACAGTGGCTATGATTTCTACAAGATGGATATGTAGACAGAGAACAGTAATATAGTCCATAAGGGAAAATATCTTGAGGCACTGAAGTTAAATTAAAATATGATCTCCCTTTCATTCTCAATACCTGCATGATTACCAATTCGACAAGGATCTTTCATTTATCCCAACTCAACTTTACAGAAGTGCCTGAAGCCTACATTGTTGATAAAACAGTTGATGAAGTTTTCATGGGGGAAAAAAATCTTTAAAGTGCTTGATATACAAAATCATATTAGTACTAAAACAGATGGGTATTTACTTTTGCAATATTCAACAAATGCAGAGTACCCAAAGGACTGCTAAATTTAGATAGTTTAAAACTTTGCGCTTTTTTTCACTTAACAAGGAACATACTATGGTGAACTTTGCTGGTTATGTAATTAACACCTAGAAGCAGCAGCACCTAATTAGATTTTTACATCATCTGGGCAAAGGCAGCATCCAGCACTATAAAGAAGTCTTTATTTCATACCTTTCAAATTGCTACTATTCCTAGAACTTAACATAAAACTGCTAAAATCACAAATGCAACTCACAGATTTCTTACTGCTTTTTCCTTTTTTTGAAAGTGAATAATTTGTGGGAATACTGAAACCTTCTGAATCTGGACCAATGTCCTTAAATGAGCACTTGCAACTATCCTGCCTCTAACCATGAAAGCTTTACAGTCTTCATGGTTTAGGCCATTCTGGGTTTGGTAAAATAAACAGACATAAAAATGATCCAAAACAATCTGCTCTACTTGAAGTGTTTATGAAGTGAATGAAAACTTAGCAGTGGAGTGATTACTTTTTATTAACTTCTAGAGTGTGTGTGTATGAGAGAGATGTGAGGAGACAACAGTGAAGGTGATTGTAGTTTGGAATCTTGAGGGATTCACAAAATCACTGGCTGGAGTAGAGCCTATGGAAAAATGTATGACTAAAAAATACTTAAGAAAAGGTTCAAAAGCATAGGAATGCATGGTATCATATGAAATGGGAAGGAAACTAGTGCATATGAAGGAAGCAGGGAGGAGACATGTCCACATGGTTCAGCTAGAGTTTAGGGTCAATTTTTGAAAGATTTTGTGCCTTATCCTTTAGGCAATAAGAAAACATGGAAGGCCATATGTTTAATCCATGTTTTAGAAACATAACTCTTATATATGTCTATGGGGTGAGAGTATAAGAGTCCAAGCAGGAGACCAATCAGAAAGAGAAGGTATGGCTAATGTGAAACAATGTCAGTGAAAATCAATAATTTCAAGTGGACTAGGATGTTATTTTAAAGATGAATGTTAAAAAGTTTCAAGATAAGGACAAATCAGAGTTGGGGAATGAAAATTTAAAATTTTGCAGATTTCAATTGCTGGAGGATAGTAATGTATTCAATCAAGTTAGGAAACACAAGAGAAGCAGGTTTTGGCAAGGGCTGGGGAAGGGTGAATGAATTTCAGATACATTGAGTTTGAGGTCTCTATGGGACATCTACCTGAAAGAATCTGGTTGAGAGTTAATAGAAATCTGGATCTCAGAAAGGAGTTTTGGAAACATAGATTTGAGAGTCATTGGCATAACTCTCAAATTAAACTCTAATTAGTAGATGGTGGTTGATGTCTTGTGAATGGATGAGAAGATGGAAGGAAAAGGGCTTAAGCTTTGGGATCATTAATACTAAGGTGCAGAATCCTTATAATGGTCAGAGAGAGAGGAGAACAACCAGGAAAAATATAAATGAGAAGACCACTTCCCCTAAAAAAGATGTGGATGAAATTATTGAGGTAAAATACTGCAGAGAAATTAGGTAGAATGAAGACTGAAATGTAAGTAATAGAATATACCACTCACAGTTATTGGCAACTTATGGGAATGTAGTTATAGACACCTAATAAGATGGAAGGCAGATTGCAAGGGGTTAAGAAATTAATATTTGCAAACATATAGTCAAAGAAAACTAACAATAAATTAATCTGAACTATCAGAGTCTATAACTGTGTTTTACATAAAATACGTATAAAACAAATATAGCAATTAATTATCATTTTACAGTTCTCACAATTAGAACTAATGACATGATGAAAGAGATCATCTGTTATGTTACAAGGCAATAAGTGTATGTAAAGATAAAGAGATTATAAGACATTTTAAAATAAATCAATTGTGGTTTAAACAACATCCTGAATTCTTACAATGTGAAACCAGCAACTGTCTGAGACACCAAAAATGAACTTTGCTTATTAAACACATAATTGAGATCACAGGCCTAAATAGGACCTGAAGAAGTTCCCAGACAATATTAAAACTAACATATATACCACAGTTAATGATTTTCCAAGTCCTCTCACCTATTAGCTTTACGGTGCTTAAATCATTCCAGCTTTCTTATTTTCTTTCAAATTATCCCTAGCAACAGATACAGTAGACTCTGCTTCTCATAATATTTATAATCATCAAATTCCAATGAATATCTTTCTTATCCTGCTACAGATTAAAATCATATCTACTTGTCTTACCTTGAATGAGAAAAGAAACAACTATTTACCATAATTCATTCAATATTCCTACATTATATTTTTCAAATGTTATTTTCCTGATTATAAAAAAAGTTCTTAATTATTGTGGAAGCAAATACCAACTTGAATAAAGAAGAAAAAACTAAAATTACTCATAATGAAACAACTAAATAGAAATAAAATTAAAAAGGTCTATTTCCTTTGAGTAAGAAAATTTTACTCCTTTATTGAGTAAATACACTGTACTCAAAATTTAATGCTTATCATTTTTAGTTATATATCCTTCATTTTTATATAAGGTGCATTCCCTATGTCACTAAGCTTCTTTAAAAATACTATTTTAACAGTCATATATTTCATATAATAATTTATAAATCATATAGATACACCCTATTTTACTTAATTATTTATTTCTCAATTTTTGGATGTTGAGATTATTTCCAGGTTTTGTTATAAATAACATGGCACTAAATCTCTTCTAATAGGTGGTGCTCATACATTGCCTTGCTTTTGATGCTACGTGCTGTGTTCATAGGCAAAACTGATATTACAAAAAGCAAATACATAACAATAGGCATTTAGAAGATATAACTTCTTAGAAGAACTGGGTAATCCATAGCTCTGGGCCTGGCACAAGCAGGAACTTTGATGCTGTATGTTAACACAAGGGCAACTGATGAAGGAGATATAAGTGGGTATTTCAGTTGATGCACGATACCCATCCACAATTGGTCTTCAAATCTCCTCTGTCCTCTGAGAGAGAGTAGAGTATACAGGGCTTCTATGTCTTGCTCACATACAGATCTCCTCTCAGATAGCACATGCATAATTCGATTTGTCCACAATGTATAATCTGAGCCTATGTTATTCATAATAGAATTGCCTAAACCTTATACACCATAGAGATGCCTCTTAAGAAATAAAACAGTAATGCTACTATATTATAGACATGGTTATTTCTAAATAATTAAGAAAGAGACAATAGCCTATATAATACATATAAATCATGGCATGCAGCGAAAACCAGTCACTATATAGTATGTTAGGAAAGTCATATTAGTCTACTTATGTTTAACTCCCAGGCCAGAGTTTATTAATGTTGTTTCCTCCATCCACAATATCCATCCCATTCATATCACACACACTTGCTCCTGCCCTTGAGTGAATTTACTCATTTACTTTTCCTTCAGATTTTACTCAGATTTTTGCTTAATAGAAATGTACTTAACAGATGAATAAATGAATACTACTTGTTATATAACTGGATACTATGATAAAATTATTTGAAAAGTATCAATAGTGTTATAGGTATCCAAAAGACACATTAGTTAGAAAAGATAACAGAACTATATCCTACTAGAAAAGGGAAAAATGGTCAGATTACATAAAATATAGGTTTACTTTTACAAAGTATACTTAAGTAGTATTTTGTTAATCATTTCAGAGTTATATATTTACTTTTATACAAATAAATGTACTTAAAGTATGCTGAAATTTTACTGTGATTATGTTGCAATCAATTATTACAGAAAAGTTGTGAATATTCAAGTTGGACTTATTTGTATCAGCTCTTTACACCAAAGGGCTTTTTATTGTATGCTTTTGTTTTATTTCACATTTAATTAAAGCTAATAATTTGTTTAAAGTTTGATTAGAGAAAATATTTTCCAAGGTGAGTGAGAAACAACTTCTGAATATTACTTCCTAGATTTTTGGACAATTTGGTAGGATGAACTTAAGCCTAAAGCACCTATTAAACAAGAAGGAAAAGAAGAATAATAGTAAATCTGAATTTTGTTAAGATTTCATGAATAGAAATGAGCATTACAAAAAGATATTTCAGGATGTGGAAATGCTACCAATTTGAATACTGCATAAATTCATTTTTGTGGTGATGTCACTAACTTTGAATTATCCGTATTAGAGTGGGAACAGCCATTTATATTACAAGCATATTCAAAATAAAGTATATGTCTCTTTGGGATGTAATCAGCATTACAAATGTACACTGCTAACATTCTTTATTTTCAGTATTTAATCCTGTATTAAAGTGATGTTTGATGAGCACTCTGTGGCTACTAATGGGTAAGGGTAAGAAATAATTTTGAGGCTGGGCGCAGTGGTTTACGCCTGTAATCTCAGCAATTTGGGAGGCCCAGGTGGGCGGATCACCTGAGGTCAGGAGTTCGAGACCAGCCTGGCCAACATGGCAAAACCCGGTATCTACTAAAAATTAAAAAAACAAAATTAGCTGGGCATGGTGGTGTGTGCCTTTAATTCTAGGCACTCGGGAAGCTGATGCAAGAGAATCTCTTGAACCCAGGAGGTGGAGGTTACAGTGAGCCGAGACTGTGCCACTGCACTCCAGCCTGGGCGACAGAGTGAAACTCCATCTTAAAAAAAAAAAAAAGGAAAGAAATAATTTTGAGACCCCATGCATGAATGGCACACTAGATAAATGTCTTACCCTATGTTTGAACACAGATTCACAAAAGAATGACTATCAGGTCATTTTTACCATGTTTGTGACTTTTGATGAAGGTTAAAATTTACAAAGAATGGAAATATTTTGATATCTTATTTCTATGTTATTTCTGGTCACTTCTAGAACACCAAAATATGCAATGTATTTCCATCTCAAAAAAAATTCAAGTCCTAACTTGACTACAACTTTCGTTATTATGTATATATGTATATAATCCTAATATACAAGAAACATTTTACTTATATTTCTTAATTCCTAATTAGATAGTGAACAACTGTTTGGACATTAAATTTCCTGTATTTTGCCCTGACACAATATAAAGTGAATCAATAAAAATAAATACTGATTTTCCTGGCTTTAAAAGAAATCAGGATGAGCTCAAAAGCAGCCCTAAAAAATTGAAAATTGAAAAGATGATAAGTTCATTCTCTTTTATATCACTCCTTGTTGTGGTTCATTGTTATAACTGTTGTTTAATTAATATCCAAACTTGCATAATAACTAAAGTATGTGAATGGTAAACAGTAGGGTATCATCAGCCATAATTATCTTATTTGCCTAGTAGTGGGCTGCATGTTATATAACCAGTCTGTAATAATCCTTATTTGATGATACTCATTAATTCATTCACTCCACAAATATGTATTCAACTGCTACTCTATCTGCCAGAGCTCGACAGTAATAAGACAAAGCTACTTTTCTCATGAAGTTTTCATTCTAGTGGAAAATATGATAAGAACAAAATAAATAAGTAATATAATTTCAAGTAGGTGATTTAAAAATATACAACAGGGCAAGGGATGAGGGGGTAGAGAGTGGCTGTAAGGGTGTGGTACACTGGGGATGAATTACCTTGGATAACCTTTTGGGAAAGTCACAGTTAACTCCGTATATTCTATAACTACACAAATTATCCATTTGCTTTTATAGTTGCCTTTAAATTATTTTAATTTCATGAACTTAAATTTTGTCTTTGCTCACAGATTTTGAGTTGCTCAAAGTTAGAGATCATGTATTTTTTCATCATGCAATATCATCCACAGGGACAATCATAATATTGGTACATGAAAGACACAGTAGATATCTTTGTTGACTGAATATTAATTCTTGACTAAATATTCATTACTTAGATAAAACTTTTTAAAAATAAAACGCAACTGCAAAGCAAATGTAATGCTGACATATTTCATATGATCATTGCCTGTCTACATGATCCAGTTCTATATAACACAGTAAGAGGAAACTGAGATACAGGTGTGAGAAAGCTTCTAAGAGTTAGGATAACTCTTAGCCAAGTCACTAGCTCACACCAGCCTCATGACTCAAATTTTTTGCAAACCTATATATTGAGGATGGGTGTGGTGGCTCATGCCTGTAATTCCAGTGTTTTAGGAGGTCAAGACAGGAGGATCGCTTGAGGCCAGGAGTTCAGAGCCAGCCTACGTAACAAAGACCTCTTCTCTACAGAAAAAGAGGAAATTAAAAAGTTAGTCAGGCGTGGTGGTGTGTGACTGTAGTCCTAGCTACTTGGGAGGATGCGGCAGGAGGCTCGCTTGAGCCCAGGAGAGTTCGAGGTTACAGTAAGCTATGGCTGTGCGACTGTACTACATCCTGGATGACAGAGCAAGACCCTGTCTCAAACAAACAACCCCCCTGCCAAAATTGTGTATTGGTATATTTTATACGAGTCCATTCACCAATAGTTGAAACTGCAAATGTTTGCACTCATGTTCATATGGGTTATGGGTAGGTAATGAGATTTTCTTCACAAAGGAGAAAAGCAAAGAAGGAGGAAAGAAAGACTAAAGAAGACTAGAGCTAATAAATTAAATTATTAATAACTCCTCTGAAGTATTATAACATTTAGCTTTTGCTACAAATTATATGATGATGCCATTTGTGTAGGGCAGCTTAAGAATAAAGAATAGTGTTTTTGTTGTTGTTCAGACATGGATACAGGATAATATAAAGAATGCTTGTGATTTTATTAAGAAAATAACTTTAAAATTCCACTTGGAAGCTATATATGTTCAGGTCAGGATGAAAAATTCTGAGAAATACAGATCTAATGGGAGTATTAACGGGATATTCTCATCACTGTTTTATCTATTATCCAGAAACTTTTACCTTAGAAGAAAGAATGCTTTATTTCTCTCGTATTCAAGGTTTACATATCCAGGTCCTATGAATTCCATCTGAGATGCTATTAGTTGATCATTGTTATCTTCTAATTGTGTGCCTAGGAACACTGAGAATTCCGTTGGTATTTCTGAGCCTAGATCTACTGTCCAGAGTCATACACCCTTCTTGTCCAGCTCTGCAAGTGGTAATCTGAAGTCTGAGCTGCTTCTCTACAATGAGGCACACATCCTGTCTATTCCTGTAGTCTCTGAGCTAGTTCTGCTTCTGTTTTACAATTTAACTACTTTAAATGGGCCAGATTGTTTTTGGAAAATTTAAAAGAGCTAAATAAAAATGTACATGTATAAAACAGAGTTATTTCAAGTTTCTCACACATGCATTCAATTTTTATTAAACACACACGCATATATGTATTTTTAGCAATATAATAAGGATGGTAGTAATATTAAAGTAGAACTAGGAATAGCATTACTATAGGCAAATTATTGAACTAGGAATTCTGAGTTTGAAGGCTTGATGATTTCGTTGAGTTTTGTGTCCTAGAAGCATCTTCATCTGCTCCAAGCCAAGTACTCTGTCTTCATGCTTGGGCATGAATACAATTCAAGATAGTTACCAACAAAACGATAGTGGTGCCTTGTCATGTAATAGAAAAGATATTGCACTTTTTTGATTCCTGACATAGTATGAATAGTAATGTAAATCACAAACTCTGGAAAAATGAACAAAATGCATAGTCAAGTAAGTAAATTCTTTATTATTGTTGATGGATACATTGAAAAACACAAAAGAGGCTGAAATTAAATAATCTAAATCTCTGAGAGTCATAGACTAAACATTTGCTGTTTCAACTATTTGTGAATGGTTGTAAAGAACATATTAATATGTAATTCTGTAAGAAACTTGAATCATGCAGTGAGGGTATGTGAATGACTCACATGGCTAAGAATGAGTTGAACTTTCAAGAGCTTTTCCAGCTAGCCCCTACACTGTAGTCTCAACTCTTTTTTTAACTTAGTAGTTTAATTTTGTGAAGTTTTATTTAAAAGACCCCCAAAGAAAGCCAACTGCTAATTCTTTTTTTTTTTTTTTTCAGACAGAGTCTTGCTCTGCCACCAGGCTGGAGTGCAGTGCCATGATCTGCTCACTGCAACCTCCGCCTCCCTGGTTTTCAAGCGATTACCCTGTCTCAGGCTCCCAAGTAGCTGGGACTATAGGCATGCACCACCATGCCTGGCTAATTTTTTGTATTTTAATATTTGGTATTTCTGGGCCTAGATCTACTGTCCAGAGTAATACACCCTTCTTGCCCAGCTCTGCAAGTGGTGGTCTGTAGTCAGAGCTGCTTCTTTATAATGATGCACATTCGGTCTATTCCTGTAGTCTCTGAGCTAGTTCTAGAGATGGAGTTTCACCATGTTGGCCAGGATGGTCTTGATCTCCTGACCTTGTGATCCGCCCTTCTCGGCCTCCCAAAGTGCTGGGATTACAGGTGTGAGCCACCATGCCCGGCCCCAATTGCTAAGTCTTAGGATTTTTTTTTTTTTTTTTTTTTGAGATGGAGTCTCACACTGTCGTACAGGCTGGAGTGCAATGGCAAGATCTCAGCTCACTGCAATCTCCGCCTCCCAGGTTCAAGCCATTCTCCTGCCTCAGCCTCCCGAGTAGCCGGGATTACAGGTGCCTGCCACCACGCCTGGCTAATTTTTTTGTATTTTAGTAGAGATGGGGTTTCACCATGTTAGCCAGGATGGTCTTGATCTCCTGACCTCGTGATCCACCCGCCTCGGCCTCCCAAAGTGCTGGGATTACAGGCATGAGCCACCGCACCCAGCTGAATTTTTAAGTACAGTTTTTGAAAGTTGATGGGTCCTAGCCAAAAAAGAGAAGTTCTGGATAAATTTGATGGTGACTCAGACAAAAATGAGCATACCATATGCTCTATATGGAAACAAGAAAAAGTGATATTTGAAAATGTTTTAGCCAGTGCTCAATTCAGAATTTACGTTAATAGCATTATAAACGACTTTAGTTCTGTTTCTATAGACTCATTAGGGGTCTACAGGGATCATTTAAATATTTCAGTTACACTTTACTGCATTTTATGAGGAAAATTATATATTATAATGATACTTGGGGATTTGAGAAGGTCTTGGGACATATCCCTCATGAATATCTAAGTCTCAGCACTAGTAGATTTACTTTTCCCCAATAATTTCTTGTTAATTTTTCAGTAATTGCAAAAATTTGGCTTACTTAGCTTATTATGGAACTCTACTTTTTTGAAGATGCAGAGTTTTCTTGCAAGTTATTTTAAATTTGACAGTAAAATGCCTAAAAACTTAAGACTTAAGATGCTAGAGGAACTGCAACTGCTCCAGATGTACAAGTGCTAGCATGGGGTATGGTTGAAGTTATAACCCCTGCTCTTGCTAATTCCTGCTGCATGGTCATTGTTCAACTCATCTGTCTACATTAAAAAACAAACAAACAAAACAATAGCAGAATTACGGGATTTGTAACATGCATATTGCGTGGTCTGTGACCATAAGTCGCTTTCAGGCTAGGAGCAAAGACAAAGTCCGAGTAATCAAAGTATTAATAGAAGGTGGTATAGAGTAGGGACTGCAACTTGCAAAGCAATGAAAAGAATGTTGGCTTTGGATCAACTAAGCCTCTGCTTTCCTGGCTCTGTTGAATAGCAGCTGTATGACTGGTGCTGACCACATAGTAGGAGCTCAATAAATTATAATTATAAGATCAGTGTCACAAACTACAGTAGAATTTAGAGAAGAGAAGTCATTTTGGATATCAGTGCTCAGCAGAACTATTTAAATTTGTCCTTGGAGAACAAATAGACTTGATGAGGCAGACATTAGAGGGGAATTTGTGCCGCCACCTAAGAATGAACAAAGGTGCTGTAGGGAACAAGAGAGCCCGGTGCATATTGGGAAAAGCACTGTGTGTAAGTGTGTTACCACGGAGGTTCTGTGTGTGTTGGGGCAGTGGGGAACAGACCCAAAGAGTAGGTTTTTAAAAAACGACAGAATGCCTGTCACTGTGACAAACTTCTAGAGAAAATATTTCCTGTGTTTTTCATCATGCTTTCCTTTGCAGCCTGCATAGAAAACTTTGCTGTCAGCTTTTGTAGAGGCTGCTTCCTAAATTTAATTAGAAGATGTTTCCTAACAGGGAAGCAGAGCCTCCCCTCTTCTTTCCATGGCTGCAGTTTATCTAATCAAACTAAGCTCATCAAATTCCTGGCTTAGTTGTTCTTCACGCTGGCTATGCATCACAATCATTTATGGAGTTAAGTACACACACACACACACACACACACACACACACACACACACACACACGATGCCTGGGATCCAGAATTCCTGAAGAATCTCAGGAAAAAGGCAGTCCATGTAACTGTTTAAAAGAGCTTCACAGATTCCAATATTCAGAAATGATTGCAGGAGAACTTTGAGCTCATATCACCTTCCTTAGAAATTTTTTAAAACAGGGTGTGAAGGTGGAATCTATTTAGATATGATAATGCTGTGTTTCTCCATGGGAATCACTATATATTTTTCCTTAAAACAACTGAATACATAATCATCAGGCATTATTTGTAAAGATGTCAAAACTCAAAGAGTTCCATTTACCACAGCTCTCTCTAACTTAGTTGGGTCCCCATAGCCCTCTGCATTACCTTTTCCACTCAGCCAATTCAACAGATAGGTATCAAAATAACTCTAAATTTCTTGCATTTTAAAATAACATATGGGAAAAGAAAATAGTACAGTTGCTGCTTTACTTCAAAGAAGTCCACCTGCCTTTTGAAAGCAAAGACAACAGAGTCAATTTACTCTTTCATATTTTTTGTCCTTCTGTTCCTCCCCCTCCATCCCAGTGTTTCAAGGCTACCCAGACCTCCTTCTCCCTTTGACTCTCATGGGCATTTTCCTTTGCCCAGTGTTTCGTATCCTTGTCCTTCGTGTCTTTCTCTATCTCTTCAAGTCTCTCTTTGAGGTGACTGGTTTCATATTTTAGTCATGAAGTTATAAACAGCTTAATAGTTTTTCCTTATAAAGAATATTCATATTTTAAAAGAAAGCTCCAAAAAAGCAACAATGTGACAGTGTCTCCACCTCACAGAATGACTCAATAATAGTGCATAATTCAAACACCATGGCACAATAATAGAAGAGATACATTTGAGCAAGTAAGCCTTTATGGAGTGCCTCTTGAATTACACCTGGTAGGCTATTCAAAGCCTGACCCAGAACAGGTAAATGCAGTATCAATGAGCCCAAATCAATTTTGAAAGTTTTACAGCAGTTTTTAAAACATAACTGCAAAGATGATTTAAAGAACTAAGTCTAGTAAAACCACCAGGCATCAAACCTGAGGTGTCGATACCTACTAGGTTCTCAATAAGTGTTTGTAGAATGAATGGATGTACTAACATATTTAAATCATATCAAGGAAAGAAGGCTGGGTGTGATGGCTCATGCCTGTGGTTCCAGCACTTTGGGAGGCCGAGGTGGGCAGATCACCTGAGGTCAGGAGTCCAAGACCAGCCTGGCCAACAAGGCAAAACTCTGTCTCTACTAAAAATACAAAAAATTAGCCTGGCACGGTGGCGTGTACCTGTAGTCCCAGCTACTCAGAAGGCTGAGGCAGGAGAATTGCTTGAACCCAGGAAGCAGAGGTTACAGTGAGCTGAGATTGCACCACTGTATTCCAGCCTGGGTGACAAGAGCAAAACTCCATCTCAAAACAAACAAACAAATCATATCAAGGAAAGAGATGTGAATCAGGAGCTAGGAAAGCTGAGTTCTACTTCTGACTTAGGAACAAGGTGAAAATGGAACAGCAGAGGGTAGAAACTGAAGTGGTCACAGAGATGGGATTGAATGGAAAAATACAATGTTAAAGAGGTTTCAAGGAGAAGTTATAAATAAGGTCAAATTCTGTGCAGTACATGAAAAGGGAGATGATTGTGAAAACGTGACTGGTGACACTTCTGATAGTGTTTTGAGCAGAGTAGGAGAAAGCACAGACAGAAAGAGTTTGGAGAGTGGAAGCAAAGAATTTTCTGAATGACCAGAAAGGAAGGAATGATGAAAAATAGACAAGTGTATTGAGAGGGTGGCAGAATCAAAGCAATTTTTATCATGCATGTAGGAGAATGGGAATGGACCATGAAGAGGCAGAAATGAAAAATGTAAAAGCTGAACAGAGAGTAAGATTTTTAAGAAGTTGATGAGGCTCAGATTAAGCATATGAGTAGGGAAGTTTGTCTCCGAAAGGAGAAGTTCTTCTATCTGATACTGAGCTTAAAGTACAATGCCGAGCAGAAACAAATATTCCCAGGTGAGTCAGAGCTGGGAGGAAGCAGAATTCCTCAGGACTCTATCAAATACCTCGTGTTATGCTTCCTGTCCAAACGAAAGCTACTAATTTCCCACTCTCCATCCTTCTGCCCTGACCACCACATGCTGGCTCACCTCTGTAGTGTAACACATCTCATTCACCTAGGCCTCCTAAGACAGCCCTCTGATTTCCACTGTTCTAAGACAGAACACCTTCAAACGAGATCTTAGCTGATGGCTGACCTCCTAGGCCTTTTGCTAAGAAACTACCAGGGCTAAGTTGAAGGCTCATGACTTAACACATTTTTTTTTTTTTTTTTTGGAATTGGTTTCCAGTTAGGAGATTGTCTCAAATGAAAGCAATACAGATCTGAGTGGAATTTTTAAAAAGCTGTATTTCCAGAGACACTTTAAGTCTGGCAGAATGGCATGGGATTGCTTAACAGTTGAGTACCATTTAACTATGTTAACATTTATGACTGTGCCAATACTGGGCAAGGGTTATTCCCCGGCAAGAGGACCTGAAGCTGTGGCACTCAGTCTGGCTACACAAAGAACTTGCTTTATTTCATGGGAAGTGAGTTGCCACTAAATCTCCCAGGCAGAATGGGCTCTGTACTTAGTACCATTGACAACTTACACCTTGATTCTCTCCTTCTCCTTTTCTAAATGTAGTGGTTCCTCCATTCCTGTTTGCTAAATGTGTCTGTTATTATACAGTCTATTTGTTACAGAGTTTTATACATGAAGTATCAAGACATTATGGTGTCATTATTTTCACCTGCCACTTTAACCCCACAGCTATTTTTACTGAGACATTGGGAAAATTAGATTCATTAGAGATAATCTAAGCAAAATAAAGGTGAAAATAAAAAAAATTGTATACGGTAAAACCTTTACACTTGGTGGCAATATTTAAAACTGTGAAAATGGATTCTAGGAAGATGGGAAGATGCCAGGGTAAGTCAACACTTAAATAAGCCAAGTAGTACCACTGAAGCCTTGAGTTTCCTGGAGAAGAGAGCAAGTGTGAGGATTCATTTATCTTGGGGAAGGGAGAAGAACAGAGGTCCCAACAGGTCTGAAGCTAATATATAGCAGATTCCTTGGCCACTGGAGACTGCCCAGCCACATATGCCGGTGGAGCTTCGATCATCCAAAGAAGAGCACGTCTGCCAAGGTCTCACACAGTCCTTCAGGAGGTTGCCTCATGCGGCTGGTAGGCAGTCCTGGGAGGGTAGGGGTGATGCAATAGGTAGGACAAAATGCTACAAGTTTTTATATTTTAGAAGGAACTTTGTCCCCCTTGGACCTAGAGAGTCTTAGGTCCTGGTCTTATACCTGTCCCAGTGAAGAGGTTCTGGTATGCTAGGGTGTAATCACTAGCTCACCAGACAAAATTGCCATTGCACCCACAAACCTCCAGTTTACCAGTGCTCAAGAAAACCTCAAACCTGGCCTGTTCTTGTGTGGCAAAATCTACATTACAAGGAAGTCAAAGAAAAATTGCTACCTATTTCATGTACTCTTAAACTTGTGGGAGGGAGGTCAAGCTTGAACAGGTAGCTACTATTAAGGAAGAGCTAATGAATGAGACAGAGGAGAATGTTAGTTTCAATGTAATGAGTATTCTCAAAGAGATACAATTAGAAAATAAAAATAATAATTACTTGAACTAACAATAATGATTTTCACAGTTCTAAAATCAAAGAGAGGAGGTAAAAAAAAAAGAGAGTAGCTACTGCTGAGACCTGAATTAACTGTCTGGATGACCAAAATAAAGGGACAAAGAAGGAAATTAGTGATAAAATAAGTGATTTAGAGGAAGATCTAGGTGACATAACATGCAAAGAGAAGTAGTTCCAGATGGGGAAAACTTCAGCTTCTATCAAATAGAAGTCATAATCATGGAAATAACAGAATAAAAATTCTGTTGAAGAAAGGCTTGTGCCTTTTGACTGAATGGGCTCACTAAGACTCAGACAGGATTAATTTTACAAAAAGCCACACACCTAGACATAATCAGGGAAAATGTCTGACCTCCAATGCTAATGAAAAAAATTCTTTCTTCTACTCAGAACAAAAAATAGTTTTCTTACAAAAGAAAGATTATGCGACTATGTTATTAAAAGAAAATGACTGTCGCCCAAGAATCTTTATACCAGCCAATCAATATAATAATCAAATGTTAAGAAAAAAGGCACAATGGTTTTCAACAATCAAGAATTCAGAAAATATGCCACCCATGTACTGATATCTTATCTGAAGAAAATACTCAAGGAAGTACTCCCAATCTCATAAAATTTCTACCAGAAGCAAATCTCTTCTTTACAAGAAGAGCAAAGCACAATGCAGTGTTAATACAGTGAATAAACAGTGTTAACTTGTTTTAGTTTATGTGATGATAATTCTATAACTAAGACAGAATAGAAATTATAAGACAGTGTTCTTAAAATTTATGTTTGTGTGTGTGTTTAATTAAAACCCGTAACAAAGAGCTTTCAGCTACTCAGAAAAATCCAAAAATTGTGGAGAAAAGAAGGAAGAGGAAGTAAGGTAGAAAGGAGTTTAAAAGTCTCTAAAAAGGTACAGGGAGTAGAGATTCAGGAGTAAAATGGGCAAGTAGGCTGTCTTAGTGTGATCATTGTCATTACTGAACTGGATATACTAAGCGAGAAATATTGTTTCACATATTATTGTGAATAGCAGAAGAATGCAATTTCCAAATTAAGAGACTTTTAAAAAAGGAAAAACACCCAACAAAGTAAATAAACAGTAAACACAAAATATTATAATAATAAGTAAATAGGTCATTTACCACTATATATGTTAATGGAATGAATTATGAAAATAGAGAAAAGAAAAAAAGAATGCAGGAATGGAAATATTAATGTTAAGAAAACAATGAAAACTCAGGTCAAAAGCACTAATAAAGATAATTAGTGATATAATGATTACAGGAATAATTCTCAAAGCTATATGCATAAACTATATATCAAACAAGAAAAGACATATAGGGAAAAAGTGGGAAATGATATAAAAACACAACGATGGCCAGGCATGGTGGCTCTGCACTTTGGGAGGCCAAGGTAGGAGGGCCACTTTAGCCCAGGAGTTCAAGACCAGCCTGGGCAACATAGGGAGACTCTGTCTCCACAAAAAAAGTAAGAATAAATTAGCTAGGTGTTGTGATGTGTGCCTGTGGTCCCAGCTACTTTCGGGAGGCTGAGGTGGGAGGATCCCTTCAGCCCAGGAAGTTGAGGCTGCAGTGAGCTGTGAGCACGCCACTGCACTCCAGCTTGAGCAACAGAGTGAGACCCTATCTCAAAAAATAAAAGAAAATAAAAACACAACAATGGGAAATTTTAATAGGTATCTGTTAGATTTTGACTGATCAGTCAGATTGAAAACAGTAAATACGTAGATAAGTTGAGTGATACAATTAACTTGCTTGATTTAATAGATAATTGTGAAATTATGTAGCAACATACATAGCACATGTATTTTTCTCATATACTCATGTGAATTACTTGACATACAGTTGGCCACAAGAATACCTTGGCAATTTCCCCCAAAATAGCTGTTTTATACATTGGGTTCTTTGACTAGAATTTAATAAATCTAAATCTAAACCAACAGATGACCTACCTCACCCCTTTATCAACTGCTTATATTTGCAGGAAAGTGACAGTAAAGGCTAGTTACCAAGAGAAATTGAAGGAGGAGTACCATGACATTAGGTCCTTGTCTCTGGTCTTCCCCCATGTCAGGAGTACTGCCATTCCTATGGTTTGGCTCTGAGTCAACAATTTCTCTTACTGGGCTTAGGCTAGTTTGCCTTCCTTTCTGTTTCATAGCAAAAGGAGCTGATTAACACAGGGTTCTCTCTTTTTCTCTCCCTCTGTCTCTGTCTCTCACTACATATACATGCGGACATGTATATTGAATTCATACAAATACCTTCAATTACATCAAGTTGAATTGCAAAGCCCCTAATTTACTGCAGATATGCTTAGATTGATATTTCTATGCACAAGACTTGACAAGTAAAATTTTTTCTCATGAATCCTTCTCTCTCCTAAAGTAATATAATTTAAGGAACAGATCTCCTGAACACAGGATATACATAGGAACCCATGGAATTTTCATCTCTCTAAGTTCTTTTACTGAACAGAGACCACACCATTAAAGAGGAACATTTTGAGTTCTCTAGGTTAGCATATTAAAAAGGTGAAATTTACATTAAAAACTTTTTAGTTTTACCTTACCAAATTAAGGATCCTTATTTCCTTTATGTCAAAGCAGATAATCACGAAGACCTGGTAAGAACAGCTGACTTTCTGGTCAGCCATTTTATCACTCTGTTTTTCTCCTTAAGGAAGATTAGCACATCCTTTTCTACTGTTAGTGTTCTAGTCATGCTAACAGTAGCTGCAGAATCAAGTCTTTCCTAGAGAAAGCCTAACTGTTTCAGTGTTGTCCTGGAGTCGATTCCATGTTGAGTGACATCAGGTTGGTAGCTTGAAATTGGCTATAGTGAGAGAATTCATAACACAGAAACCAGCAACAAATGCTACAAATAGGAGATTTGTTTTCAGGAGAACTGCTTCACTAGCATAGTAGTTGTTTTGTTCCAGGTAGCTGATCTGACGAAGTTTAGAATCTCATACTCTAGTGAGAAGAAATAAACTGGGGAAAAGAAGTATTAAAAATTGATTATGTTCTTCTTGAGTCAATGAATTTATTTCAGAGAAGTATAATTTTTTAGAAAAATAATGGAGTCCTTAAACTAATAATTTTGGAAAATGTTAAGTGTGAAAAATTGTCATATAAAATTGTAAGCTGAGAAAAAATAGTACTTTTGCTTAAGGCGACTTAAATACATGATCTTGTCTACTTTCTTCCTTTTAATCTCCTGTATTCTTGTAGTATTGAATCTTTCTAGTTTCTACTTCGAAGAACAACTAATTTAATTTTTCAAAGGATGGTTGGAATGGTATTTCAGTGAATAAGAATATTTCATATTGTGCCTTAATAAAACTTGGAAACCTGTTATTATTATAAGGATAAAAATTACTAAGGCTTTTTCTTTCTAGAAAATCACTGAAACATTCTTATTACTTCATACAGCTTCACAGTGCTAAGCAAAGTCGACTTATGTTCTTAGTGGAATTAATCAATGTACAGCCAATTATAACTAGTAGTAGGTTCAGAGTTGACAAATATGCGTATCAAAGTCATGTATGGAAACTTGAACTGAAACCCCTTAATTTACATTCCCCAAATGTCCAGAAGAATAAGAAAATTAAAAACAAAGTCAAAACTGAGCACTGAAAGTTTAGCACTGATGAATGTTCAGAAGTCTAAAAGATACATTTGTGTTGGGAGTTGAAGTCGTGGTAAGGGTGCTGTCAGTGGCATGCAGGGATCTGGCTTCAAGGATTTTGAATTGTTTTTATTTAGTGGCCTTTGCAATTACTGGCCTTGCCAGCTCATGAAGGAGCTTATCATCACTCCCCCTACCACTTACCATCACCACCACTTTGAGAAGAACAATTCAATTTATTTTTATGATAGAGCACACTTTTTGATCTCTGGATGAAGTCAGTTACATCTCCTGTATTTGACTTAAAATTTCAGGAGAGGAAAAAAAAACACTCAAAGAAACAAACAAACAAACAAATAAACAAAGCCTTTTAAAAAATACTGTGAATCAGTACATTTCCTTAATGTTATAAAAGTCTTTTGAGATTCTTGTATGTGTGTGTTTAATTGTCCCAGCTATCTTCTATGAACTGAGAAAGGCCTTCTTTTGTTTGAATGTGACAGATCAGTTAGAACTGTGGCAACTACCATTTACAGCTATTGATTTCAATGTGACATTAAAGGCCCCAAATTCCACCATTATTCTCTTCAATTGTCACAAACAAAGGTTAATAATAGTTGAGTTTGGACTGAAGGAATCAAGTAAAGATTGCCAACTGAAATTACATGTTGTTTATCTGAGGCACAAGTCAGTATGAGGGTCTCTGGTCCCTAGGTTGCATGTGTATTATCATTATTTTAAAAATATGCCTTTTGCTAAAAGTAATATTTAAAATACAGAAAATGAAAGTGTAGTATAAGAAATCATGCTATTTAAAATAAATAATTTAAAAAATATACTTGTCCTTAACACAGAGTAAAAACATTTTGTTTTGTTGCTTCTATAGCAGCAAAATAATGTTTCTCATAACTGTAAAAAGTGGTATGTAGCATGATTAAACAATATTTCAACTCTTTAGTTCATGCAGAGGTTACCAGCTAGAGGGTAGAAAGGTTTGATTAGGTTTATGTCTTCCATGAGAATTTTTTTTAAAAAGCATACAACTCCCTTAATATATGAGTGCTAAAGCTACAAATGGCTTTCTTTTGTGGTCAGGTATGAAAGAACAAAGTCCCTTTACTACAATAAATAGGTAGAAAATAGCTAGTGAGATATTATAAATCTTCACAAAAGCAATGCCAAGTTAAAAAAGTCTGTAAGTCTTTAAAATTTTAACTCGTTTATATTTATATCATCACTTACTACCTATTTACTCCAATGGTAAATGGTAAATAGTTTCATGTGCTGTTTCCATGGTAAAGCTTCTTAAACAAGCATCTTATTTTTTAAAAAATTACACTAATAATTGCAATTATATTAATACATAATTATTCAATATTTACATAGAACTGCAGAATTACACTTATTAGTGGAAAATAGCTATTTTAAAGTATTTTATGAAAAGGAACCCTAGATTAAGTAAATGAATTGAGGATAATTTATTATTGGTCATTATTTCTTAAAAATAAAAAAAAGAGAGAGAGAGAGAGAGAATCTCGCCAAAAGTACTTGCTAGTAACCATTCTAAGGAATTCTAGAAGTAGGGCAGTATGATTCCAAATAAATATGGTTTATTTTTTGAATAGACAGACCAACATTCACGCTTGAGTTAATGCTATGCAGTACCATTTCATAACTCAGAAGATAACAATAAAACACACAGGTGTTGAGAATTGTTCATATATAGACAATTGTACAAAGAAATGAAAGTTCTCCTTTCCCAGTACCAGAGGTTCTAAACACTAGTAGTGTTGGTGTCTATTCTTTTCATTCTTTAAACCCTATGTTTATATATGTACATCTTTATATAATACATGTATTATTGTTATTTTAACATTCAATTTTTTTCTCTTTACATTATATATAATCTATATATGTCACCACACACACACACACACACTACATTGATATATGCGAAAATTGCTTTACTTTTTCCCTTTCATTAAGACATAGAGATCTATCTCACTGTTTTTTATAGTGACAGAGTATCCCATTGTGTACATGCCATAAGTTACTCAACGTTCTTTAAGGATGGACATTTGTCTCCAGTTGTGTTATTAAAAATGGTGCTAACTTGAACTACATGAAACATGTTTATGCATGTACTATAATTTTTATAGGAGAGATTTTTAGAATTGGCCTGCTGGGACTAAAAGTATATGCCATGAAATTTACTTAGATGCTGCAAAATGCTTTCCCAAAGGGTGGTACTGTTTCACTTTCCACTAGTAAAATATGAAAGTGACTGCTTCCCCACACTCTCTATAGCACTAATGGTAATCACTCTTTGCCAAATTAGTTGATGAAAAATATAATATCTGTGTTGGTTTAATTCGTATTTCCATTCTGACCAGCTGGGTTGGATATCTTTTCACGTTTACCGGCCATTGGTAATTTTGCTTCTTTAAATTGTCTATCCATTTTTAAAAATCTGAATTGTTTGTCATTTTCTTAGTAACTGGCTAAAAATATTTTTTCCTAATGTCCCATTTTCCCCTGCTTACATGAAGAGTGCATTATCATTTTAAAAAATACATATGGACAAAAAGAAGATGAAAACTGTCCATAATATTTTTGGTGTATATTCTGACATTAGTGTTAAAGATGAGATGGAATCATGCTTCCCATTCTATTTGTCATTGCTTTTCTTCACTCAACAAAATGGGCTCTACATTTTTGTATACCCTTAAATGTTCATTCACAACTATGCTTTTTAAACTTTGTGATCAAAACAAAAGTAAGAAAACATTGAAATCCTTTCACCAAGCAAAATTTCATTTTGAAAACACAAAAATGGAGTCCAAGTGGAATGGCTCAATCACCTTTCCCTCATAACTCATATCCTAGACTGGATAACGGTGACTGTCGGGATGCGAGAAAATGCTTTTTAATTGACAGGTAGAAAACAGCAGGAAGAAAAGTGATGGGTACCTCACTTGCAATTATGTGTGTAAGAAGGCTTCTAGTCTTGATTACAACTCCATGAGATGAATGCTGTTATTAACCCATTTTACAGAAGACAAAATGAGTGCAAAGTCACTTGCTTTATATGATAACATATAGTATGCATAGCATTTGAATTCAGCAATCCAGTTCTGAAATATGTGCTCTTAATCACTATGAAACCTGCCTAATAGAAGTACACAAACAATATTTACACTTGGGTCATATTATTTTAATGATTTTTTTTACAAGACTTTCCCAACATGTTGCAAGAACTGTAAAAATAGGTTTAAAATTTTGTTTAATGCAGTAAATGCAAAAGAATATTTATAATACATATATTAGGTAAAGTAAGTTTTTATTTCTCATTCCTTTGCTTTTAAAAGTTTTACCATATACATTTATATCTCCAAAGAACATATAATTTAGTATTAAATGTTTTTATCTTCCATATACATGAAATAATATTCTTCCTTATTCTTCAGCAACTTCCTTTGTCAATCTGACATTATATCACAGAGATTTATTTATGTTTTCCATATAGCCATATATCATTCATTTTTATTGCTACAAAGTATTCCACTGTATAATTACAAGTCTTTTTATCTCTTCTACCATAAATGGGCATTTGGTTGTTTCTAGTTTTTAAATTATTACTATATCTTCTCTTAAGTGGTTGCTCGATCCTTTTTTTAGTTTTTATATTGAGTTGTCTTCCGCTTCTGAATTTGAAGAAATGCATATATTCTAAATATCACTCTTCTGTCTCTTGTTTGTAGAACAAGTGTTTATTCCTAATTTATATCTTGTCTTTTCGTTTTCCTCATGGTATTTTTTGATTAAGAAATTTTAACAAACTTTTATGATCTCTGTATTTTCTGCCTTGTTTAAAGAATCCTTATAGATTATAAGGTCCATAAGGCATTTTTCTATACTGTTTTTGAAACATTTACCGTACTGCCTATCACATAAAGGTCTATCTACTTAAACTTGATTTTTATGTATAGATAATGATTGTCTTACTAGTATTTAGTTAATAGTTCAAAATTTTCTCACTGGTTTGTAATGATAGCTCAGACAAAAATCAAGCTTCCATATCTGTCTGGGTATCTTTACGAGTTCTGTGTTCTGCGAGTTTGCTCAATTTATCCAACTGTGTGTCAAAACCCCTATCTTAAGAGATATAGCTTTATAAGAATTGTTGAAAGTGGTTATGACCAAGTTAATATATGTTAAGTGCTTAGAACAATGTCTAGCATAAATGCTATATAAAATATTTTATTTTATTATTATTATTGAATGCCTTGGTGATTTGGGGCCTTTTAAACATCCATATAAATATATAAATCAGTGGATTCTTTTGGATATTTTTTATAGATTATCAGAAGATATGTGAATAATGTCATTTTTCCCAATCCTGATATTTTCATTTTTTATCTCTTTATTTTAAATTCATTTTTCAAGCCTTACTGTATTGGCATTTTATATCTAGTACAATGTAGAATGAATATGCTAACAGCAGGCACCCTTGTTTTATTTCTGATTTTAAAGACATGCTTACCACATTTCACTATTAAGTTTGATGTTTGCAGCAGATATTTTGCAAATATCTTTGATCACTTTAAGGAAGTTCCTTCCTATTCACAATTTTCTAAGATGTTTTTAAAATTATGAATGAATCTTGACTTCTACCAAACATATTTTCCGTATCTAGTGAGATGATCATATAATTTTTCTGCTTTAACTTGTTAATATGATGACTTACATGACATGATGTTTTCTTTCGGTTAAGCCAACCTGGATTTACTGAGATAAGCTCCATGTTGTCATGCCATATTCATCTTTTTAATCTTTTAATATGTTGCTGGATTCTGCATGTTAACATTTTGTTTCATATCTTGCATTGATGCTTATGAGTGAGACTGACCTATAATTTCTTTTCTTACACTAATCTTTCAATATCAAGGTTGTACCGGGCTCATAAATTGAGGGAGTATTGTGTTTTTTTATTGACTGATTGTTTTTTCAATTGACAGACAAAATTGTAGGTATTTATCATGTACAACATGATGTTCTGAAGTATATATACATTGTGGAATAGCTAAATTGAGCTACTTATATGCATTATCTCACACAGTCTTCATTTTTTGTAGTGAGACCACAATAAACATTCTCAGTATTCTCAAGAATACAATATATCATTTTTTTTGCTATAGTCTGTAATAGCTTAAAACCTTTCCTCCTGCATTTCTGACTTTCTAAAGCCTGTTTGGAAGGCCAGCTTTCTCTTGTGTACTGAAAACCAATCTCACTGGAATGCTGGTCAGCCATTCTACAGTTAAAATGGAAATTAGGAATCTTTTTGACTAATTAGATTTCAAATAGCTTTTGCTTGTACAGTATATTCATGGATGTTAAGAAGGCATTGTCACAATTAAGGTTTTTGAGAAAATCCTTTCCAAGAGGATGTTTTCCATCAACAAACAGAAGAAAAATTAAATGCCCGATTAACAAACATAATGTCCTCTTTAATAATTCTCAGCACTCTGGTAATTCTGTTAATATTACTGTGCTATATCTACAGTTCTTTCCTTTTGTTTCATGTTCTGAATAATTCAATTAAAAGTCTGACAAAGCAATAACAAGGGATTGAATGCTGTCGAATCGTAATTTGAAATAAAAACATAAGCTCTTTGGGAACACTTATTTAAAATTCTGCAAAACCTTTTCAAGTATCTGAGATTGTTGCATTCTACAAAAGAAACAGTTAACTACTTAGCTAAGTTATCCTGCTTCCTTTCTTGTAACCAATTTCCGTAAATAAGGAAAACACAGTTGTGTAAAACAATGAAGTTCTTGCAAAACAGACCACTTTGTCTGCACCTGGCTTACATGGAAGGAAGAACTATTCCTTTTTCCTGAATTTTGAGGAAAAACAGTGGCACAGCTTGAGTACTGAACAGCAGAATTGCCTGGAAGGCTCATCCACAGGGCCTACAATTTCTGTCCTTTTATCTGGAAAATATTAATATACAAGGTAATGTGAGGGAAATGAAAAAGAATGTGATAAAGACCTTGCCCTTAGAAAGTGGCCACTCTAGTAACAGAGATAAGAGCTGTCATGTGTGACACAATCTCATGCAGTTGGCGGACAGAAGGGAGCCAGAAGGTATGAAGGGGAATATTGATCCAGATGTTAAAGCCATAGGCTTCAACTTCCCCTCCCCCAATATGGACACTATTCTGCTTCAGTTCTCTGAGCTGTCATCAGAATTCATGATAAGGAAAGACACAGTGAGGAAATCACTTATTCTGACATCAAGAAGAAAAGCAAGTAATATAACCTGGTGTCATTTTACAGAAAAGCTACGGAGTAGTGATTAAGTGTACAGTCCTGTAGTACAGAAACCTGTGGTCAATTTCTGGCTGTAGAATTTCAGCCAAGTTGCTCAACTTTTCTATCCTGCAGTTTCCTGATCTAGAAAGTACGAATAATAGTACACTAGCTCAGAGAGTTGTTTGAGGATTAAATAATATAATCTACTTAAAATGTTAACCATTTCCTGGCATAAAATAAGCTCTCAAAAATGAGAACCATTTAATATTATCAATGTGAGCCAATCCTACAAGTTCTTACTGAAGAAAGTAGCAATGATTCTTTTTTTTTTTTGGAGTTATTTCTTTTTATTAATTTTATTATTATTATATTTTAAGTTTTAGGGTACATGTGCACAACGTGCAGGTTTGTTACATATGTATACATGTGCCATGTTGGTGTGCTGCACCCATTAACTCGTCATTTAGCATTTGGTATATCTCCTAATGCTATCCCTCGCCCCTGCCCCCACCCCACAACAGGCCCTGGTGTGTGATGTTCCCCTTCCTGTGTCCATGTGTTCTCATTGTTCAATTCCCACCTATGAGTGAGAAAATGCGGTGTTTGGTTTTTTGTCCTTGTGATAGTTTGCTGAGAATGATGGCTTCCAGGTTCATCCATGTCCCTGCAAAGGACATGAACTCATCAATTTTTATGGCTGCATAGTATTCCATGGTGTATATGTGCCACATTTTCTTAATCCAGTCTATCGTTGTTGGACATTTGGGTTGGTTCCAAGTCTTTGCTATTGTGAATAGTACTGCAATAAATATACGTGTGCATGTGTCTTTATAGCAGCATGATTTATAATCCTTTGGGTATATACCCAGTAATGGGATGGCTGTGTCAAATGGTATTTCTAGTTCTAGATCCCTGAGGAATCAGAAAGTGGCAATGATTCTAAAAGAATCCAAAAAAAAAAAAAATGCTGCAGATTCAAACAAGAGAAATGCTATGTAAGCAAAAAGAGAAGAAATATGTAATTAAAGAAACAGAAAGACAAAGTTAATTTTTAAGCAAAATTCAGTGAGAGAAACCAGTCTCAGAGCTGAAGACCACTCCTCTTGTAGGCTGGGAAACAGATAGAGGTAGGAGTGACAAAGAAGGAGACCAAAGAAAAAGAAAGGAAGCCATGGGAAAATTGAAATCTGCTTTTTAACTAAAAAGAATTAAACTTTATTGTAATACTGGCTGGGATATAGCTGGTAAGGAGGAACATATTAAATACTCAAACCATAGGCTTTTGTCCAAAATGTCTTATTTAAACAGTTTTCTAATCTGAAGTTTAGTACTAATCTGAAGCTTAGTACTATATACAACTGATACTTAAAAATAATTTAGTCATTCAAATTTACTTACATTCTTTCTATGCTTACAATTTATAATGGAATGTGGGTTGCTCATAACATTTTTATATTTACTCCTCCATATATAAGACTGAACTTTTGTAGGCAGCCATCCCATTTGACAAATCCAAGGTGACCTAAAAGTTTAGGTTACAGGGGTCAGTGAAATAAATTAACTGATATATTAATAGCTTATTATTGGAGCAGTTGTGTTTAAATATGACAGGTTTTGTATTAAAACTGGCACTAGTTAAGCACAGCCAGAACAGAGTTTCAATTATTAATAATGCTGTGAGTCACAAAATCAGAAAAAATTTAAAAACATCTGACATAGTTGTTCAGGGTTGTTTTACATACTGACTTTAAAATGTAATCATTTACCCAAGTGTTTATGTTATAACTGGAATCTGGTCAATAGAAATGCAATATGAGATTCAACAGCAACCGATACTGTGTGCTTTTAAAAATGAGTGTGTCATGTCAAAGACTTGTAAAATGGGAGCAGTGCCTTACCAAGGCTGAGTCTTTTAGTAATGAAATGAATGAAACTCTATATGGTGAACTTATAGAAAAGCCACTATGTTTGATGCAATTGGCTACAGGAAGTCGTGGCCTTCAGGAAAGAATCTGTGGGAGGTTTGCTGAACTTTGTATCTCCTATTCAGCCACTATAAATAATTTCCCTGTGACATCCTCTAAGGAAGCAAGTGTCCCCGTTATCACATTTGCTTATTTATTTTCAGTTTATTATCTCTCTTTCAAAACTTCATAGCTCTTTATATCTGTTCCTCCCTCTTCTCCAAACCGAGAAGAGAGTAATTAAAAATTAGAAGTTTGAAATATGTAAGATCTAACATGAACATTCCACTGCATCTGGAAGCTGACAGGGCAACTGACTTATTCTTGCAGGTGCTTAAAATGAACTATATGACAAGTTGGAGAGTTTACTCTGAAAGCCCAATTAGTAAAAATAAAATGAGAGAAGATGTTCCCACGGCGTTTGCAAAATGATATTAAAAGAACCAATGTTTCTTTTAAAAATAAGCCTGATACAGGAAAAAGGTAAAGGGCAGAATCAAAGTGGCAAGAAAAGAAAAAAATAAATCATGGAATGAAAGAAACACTGAACTGGAAATTTAGAGATATGAGGTCAAGGGGAAAGGTTAAAATTATAAAGGACATGAATACAGAGATAGAAGAAATCATGTCCGTGGTAGAAGACAGTACACTAACTTTTTTGAGCTACTATCCCCAATCTTATTTAAAATAATAACTACAACAAAAATAAAAACAGCATTAATCTTAGAATACAATAAGGCAAAAAATGGAGAATTAGCAAACACGATAGGGAGAGAAACAAAATCAAACGTGTTTCAGGAGAAACAGGATTAGAAAAGAGAATGTTTATAAAAGAGGAAATCAGTCAGGCAAATAAAAGCAAATGGAGAAAAACATTTAAAAGGAACAAGGAACTCAATACCGTAAAAGAAGAATTGAATTGCAGATTTTGATGTAACTCACTTATATTTCATAACTATACATCTCAATTCAATTTAATTCAGCTACTGCAAGTATTACAAAAATTTGTAGCCATACCAGAGGTGGAGATTACTATTTTTATTTCATTTTGAGTGTGACACAAAAATGGGGTTAAAGAATCTGGCACATTCTTTGGTATTCACTGCCAAGGAGGTTTGAACTTTCTAAAATGATGCAGTGAGATTTTCAAGCAGAAAAAAGTCCTTCTCAAATAACTCTAAATAAAAAGAAGGAGCTCTAGATCCAAAGGGATCAAGGAAGTGAAAGTGGAGGAGGTCAGACAACAAGTGCCAATGTGGCGTGTCCACACAAAGAGGAAAGAAAAATTGGGAATGATGGACATAACCAACTAAGGAATATAAAAGATTGAACAAAACCTAAACTGATGGTTCCCAGTGTCTCTAACATCTGCATGAGGCCTGCTACCTAATAGTTGCTCAATTAATAACTAATGAATTAAATGAATCAGTGAATTAACTGAATTCCACTTAGTGGAACTATCTTTTCAGGCTGTACTCATCAGTGGGAAACAATGAAAGAATGAGCAGACAGCTGGATTTACAAGAAATAGTGTCAAAAATTTGTCACTTTGGAAAAGACTTGCTCTTGGAGAAAAGAGGAAAATATTGAACAACCTGAAATAGTAAAAAAAAAAAAAAAATCTTACAGATTCTATGTGAACTGATCTACAGGGAAGAAATAGGTCTACACTGTTTTCAAAAAAAACTACTCTGGTTGTTTGATTTTTTTTTCCCCTTCCCTACTTTGTGGGATGATGTTTGATTGTTTTTTATTGCCATCAGCATTGGCACTCCTCCGGACACGTGTTTGGGGTTCTTGGAACCAAAATGAATAGTACATACAGTAAAGTGCACCTTTCGTGAAGGGAAAATGACAACTACATAACACCATGTAAAAGAATGCAGGCAAAAAGAGAATTTGTTTTTCTGTATTATATGAGACAATAAGGCGGAAAGAGAAAGAAAAGTAAGGCAAACGACGCATGACAGAAAGGAGAACAAGGCTCAGAACACACAAGATCAAGCAAGGGGGGTGGGGGAGCCCATGAAGGCAGAAACAAGGTAACAAAAAGGACAAAACCAGCAGTAGAAAAGAACTGTCAGACACAAAACCCTCAAAACAATAGATAGGAAAAAAAGGAACAAGATGACAGGAAAAGAGCAGCATGGAATCTAGTAAGAAAAAGAAACAAAAATTTCAAATAATGGATTTTCTAACACCCCCGCTGTTCCTCCAGTGCATTGTGTCACAGTCTCACAGAGCAGTGCATAATTTATTATGGTCACTCGCTGCCAGGCTGCTATAAAGGGCAGTAGCTATATGAAAATACTCCTCACTGCCTGGATGGCTTAATGATCTACCATTTGTAGAGGGGCAGGGCTGCGGAATGGCAGGCAAGGGCAGGAGGAGCACTTGTGGTGCTGGATGGCGCTCTGCATATTTAGTGCTTCCCACCGTTTGAAGAAGGGGTGTATTAACTCTCAAGACACCTCGGTGGGGTTTTTTCCCCCTTTTAAAGCCTTTCCTAAATAATAAACTTCTGTCCAGAGCAGTTTCTTAATCTGAAACTACATATACCCTCCTTTAAGGCAGGGGTCATGTCAAAGTAAACAACCACCAAAAGATGGATTTTAAACATAAAATCTGACTTGGACAATTAACATTAATAACTGGAAAACTGCATTCTGTTTTTTTTTTTTTTTTCTATGCTACAGTTTCTCTTTAGAAATGAATTTTGGGTGCAGAAAAACTTAAAAGTCTCAAAAAAAATAGAGACCATACAAATCATTTTCAGCAATCATTTTCCAGAAACTGGACTTTTCGGTAGTATTTATATAGAGGAACTTTCATAACTTCCACAAATAGCACTGTCTTCAAACTGAAATGCATCATCAAGATATCTATCAATAATTTCTGTGATTGATAAAGCCAGGGATTACTTCTTTAAAATTCTTCTTTGAGAGGCAGTCATGTCTGAGGGACAGGAGCACAGGCTCTTGAGCCAGATGGCCGAGATTTGGGTCCAGATGAGGCCACTGACTTGCCGTGTGACCCTGCCATGTTACTTACCCTTTCTGAGTTCCTTCATCTGTAAAATGGGAACAATAATAGTAAATATATCATAGAATTGCTGTGAGAATTAAATGAATTAGCCCTTGGGTGAGAGCCTGCTAAACAAAAAGCACGGCAGGTGTCAGGTGTTGTACCTGCTCTCAACAAAGCATGATGGGACATTAGGGCATTTGTAATCCAGAACCGTTCGCCATTTGGTCATAGGCATAGAGACAGCTGAAAAGTGCATCCCTTAATTCCACAAAAGACCAGGCTAGACAGTGCACTTTCTCTTTCTGTCCTCTCATCCTTGGATACAACCCTTGCTTATATAGGACAACAGATGTGTAAAAGGAAGTCACAGTCAGCTGTTTTGACATCTTTCATCCTCCAAACTCCTATAGTAAAACGCAAAATGCAAAAAATGCTCATTCTTAAACAAAATGATTTTTGAGTTCCAAAGATAAAATATTTTGAAAAAGATGGTCCAGATCACAGAAAATTGTTAATAATATGCATATATAAGTAGTATGTAATTCTGGACAAGGACAAACATATTTAGGTTGGAGAAATCAGACATGTGAAGCTTAAAATAGTAGAAGGTGGAAAGATAGCAAAAAATCAGAACAAGTTATGGAGAGTGGTCACAGAAGGAAGAAAATTAATTTGAAATGTAAGTTCTCAATTTAAAAAAATCAGAACTACTTTCCTGGGTCATACTCAAGAACAATCCTTCTCAGGATCTTCTCACTGCCAATGACACGAAAAGACATTTTGTGTCAAAGGTGAATTCATTCAATTATCCACTCATTCATTCGTTCATTCATTAATCTATCCCCAAATTATTTACTGAATACCTGCCATGTATCACATTAATCACATTAATCCCTGGAGAATCAATGGGGAACAAGTCACTCTACCATCAGTTTCTTTATTTTTCATGTGGAGAATATTCTATCTTCCCCCTCAAAGTTGATTGAGGAATGAATGTGATCCCATGTGTAGAAATAGGCACTTTGCCTAGAATACAAAGGGAACTGACTGAATAAAATCAGTTTCTAATCACCATAAAAATCATTTATGAATTTATTATTTTGGGATATATTTACATCATGATAACTATACTTTTATTGCAATCACCTTAAGACACACTTATTTACTACCTAAAGGGAAACTATATTTCACTTTATGTATTCTAAATCTATCATCTCTATAGGAATAATAGGTATATGTTTAATATTCAAAATCTTTCATTTTTGAAATTTTATTTTTTAATAATTGAAAAATTATTGTTGTATATATTTGAGTTACCAAGTGATGTTACAATTTATGAATACAATGTATACGTTAAAATTAAATCAAGTTAATTAACATATCCATCACCTAAAATACTTACTTTTTGTGGTGAGAACATTTGAAATTTACTCTCTTAGCAATTTTGAAATGTACAATAAATGGTTATTTACTATATTCACCATGTTTTACAATATATCTCATAGTAAAAAGAACCCTTATTATTCCTGTCTAATTGAGACTTTACATCCTTTCACCATCTCCTCCCTATTCTTTGACCATCTTCTCCCTATTCTCCCCACCCCGAGCTTCTGGTAATCACCATTCTACTTTCTGTTTCTTTAGTTTTAGATTGTTTCATTGTTTTAGAGTCCACATGTAAGAGAATATGCAATATTTGTCTCTCTAGGCCTGCCTTCCTTCACGTAACATGTTCTCTAGTTCCAGTCATATTGTTCCAAGTGACACAATTTCTTTCTTTTTTAAGGCTGAATAGTAGTCCATTGTGTATATATACCATATTTTCTTTATCCATTCATCTGCTGATAGACACTTAGGTTGATTCCATAAGTTGCCTATTGTGAATAGTACTGCAAGGAACATAGATAGGCATGCAGACATTTCTTTGATAAGCTGATTTCAAATCTATTGCATAAATACCCAGAAGTAGGATTGTTGGATCATATGGTAATTCTACTTTTGGTTTTTCGGGGAACTTTTATGATGTTTCCATAAAAAGTATACTAATTTACATTTCCACCAACAGCGTGCCAGGGCTCCCTTTTCTCTGCATCTTCTCCAACACTTATTATCTGTTGTCTTTTTGATAACAGCCATTCTGACAGGTGTGAGTGATATCTCACTGTGGTTTTAATTTGCATTTACCTAGTGATCACCGATGTTGAGCATTTTTTCATATGCCTATTGGTCATTTGTGTTATTTCTTTTAAGAAATGTCTATTCAGCTCCCTTGCTCATTTTTTATTCAAACTATTTCTTTTCTTTCCAAAGAGTTGTTTAGTCTCCTTATATATATTTGATATTAACCCCTTATCAGATTTATGGCCCAAAAATATTTTCTTCAAATCCATGGGTTGCTTCTTCACTCTGTTAATTGTTTCCTTTGCTGTGCAGAAGCTTTTTATTTTGATGTAATCCAATTTGTCTATTTTTGCACTTGTTGCCTGTGATCAGGTAGCAATATTTGCTGTTCTGCAATATTTGCTGTTCTGCAGCCTCCGCTGGTGACACCCAGGCAAACAGGGTCTGGAGTGGAGCTCCAGCAATTAAAAAATTAAAAAATCATTATCTAGACCAATATTGTGCACTTTTTCTCCTATATTTTCTTCTAGTAGTTTTACAGTTTAAGGTCTTACATTTACCTCTTTAATCCACTTGATAATATTTCTGTTAATGCTGTGAGATAATGATCTAATTTCATTCTTCTGCACATGGATATACATTTTTCACAACACCCTTTAATGAAAAGATGTCCTTTTTCCAATGGTTATACTTGGCACCCTTGCTTAACATCAATTGACTATATATGAATAGGTTCACTGCTGAGTTTTCCATTCTGCTCCACTGGTCAATTAGTCTATTTTTATGCCAACATCATGCTGTTTAACTAACATCACTTGGTGGTAGAGTTCAGAATCAGTTAGTATGATGTCCACAGCTTTGTTCTTTTTGCTCGGACTGACTTGGCTATTCAGGGTTTTTTTGCAGTTCCATACACATTTTAGAATTATATTTTCTATGTCTATGAAAAACTATATTAAATTTTCATAGGTATTACACTGATTGTGTAGATTGCTTTGGGAGATAATATGAACATTTTAACAAACCAATTCTTCTAATCCATGAACACAAGATATATTTGTTTTTGTATCTTTTTCAATTGCTTTCATCATGTTTTACAGTTTTTAGTATATGGGTAAGTTTCTCACCTCCTTGGTTAAATGGATTCCTTTTGATTTCTTTTTCATATAGTTCATTGTTAATGTACAGAAACATCATTGATTTTTGTTTATTGATTTTGTATGCTGCAACTGTGCTGTGTTAATTTATTAGTTCTAACAGTGTTTTTTTTTTTTGGTGGAATCCTTAGTATTTTCTACATATAAGATCATGTTAGTAAACAGCAACAATTTGACTTCTGCTTTTCCTATTTGCATGCATTTAATTTCTTTCTCTTGCTTGATTGGTTTGGTAAGGCTCTTGCTTGATTGGTCTGGTAAGGACTTCCAGTACTATCTTTTTAAAACAGACTTACGGGATACAAATGCAGTTTTGTTACATGGATATATTGCATACTGGTGAAATCTGAGTTTTCTGTATAGCCTTCACCCAAATACTGCATATTGTACCCATTAAGTAGTTTATCATACCTTAACCCTTTTCCACCCTTCCACCCTTCTGAGTCTCCAGTGACTATTATTCCATTGTCTTTGTCCATGTGTACAAATTATTTAGCTCCTGCTTATGAGTGAGAATATGTTTCCGTTTCTGAGTTATTTCAATTAAGATAATGACCTCTAGGATTCCATTCTGAGATGGCCGAATAGGAACAGCTCCGATCTGCAGCTTCCAGCATGATCAATGCAGAAGATGGGTGATTTCTGCATTTCCAGCTGAGGTACCTGGTTCATCTCATTGGGACTGGTTGGACAGTGGGTGCAGCCCACTGAGGATGAGCTGAAGCAGTGGGGGTGTCACCTCACCTGGGAAGCACAAGTGGTTGGGGGATTTCCCTTTCCTAGCCAAGGGATGCCGTGAGAGATGGCACCTGGAAAACCAGGACACTCCCACCCAAATACTGTGCTTTTCCAATGGTCTTAGCAAATGGCACACCAGGAGATTATATCCTGCGCCTGGCTCAGTGGATTCCAAGCCCAAGGAGCCTTGCTTATGGCTAGCGCAGCAGTCTGAGATCAACCTATGAGGCAGCAGCCTGGCAGGTGGAGGGGCATCTGCCATTGCTGAGGCTTGAATAGGTAAACATAGCAGCTGGGGAAGCTAGAACTCGGTGGAGCCCACCGCAGCTCAGCAAGGCTGGCTGCCTCTGTGGTCTCCACCTCTGGGGGCAGGGCATAGCTGAACAAAAGGCAGCAGAAACTTCTGCAGACTTAAACATCCCTGTCTGACAGCTCTGAAGAGAGCAGTGGTTCTCCCAGCATGGTGTCTGAGCTCAGAGAAAGGACAGGCTGCATCCTCAAGTGGGCCCCTGATGCCCGTGTAGCCTAACTGGGAGACACCTCTCAGTAGGGGCCGACAGACACCACATATAGGCAGCTGCCCCTCTGGGACGAAGCTTCCAGAGGAAGGATCAGGTCGCAATATTTGCTGTTCTGCAGCCTCCGCTGGTGACACCCAGGCAAACAGGGTCTGGAGTGGAGCTCCAGCAAACTTCAACAGACCTGTAGCTGAGGGACCTGACTATTAGAAGGAAAACTAACAAACAGAAAGGAATAGCATCAACATCAACAAAAAGGACATCTACACCAAAACCCTATCTGTAGGTCACCAACATTAAAGACCAAAGGTAGATAAAACCACAAAGATGGGGAGAAACCAGAAGAGAAAAGCTGAAAATTCTAAAAATCAGAGTGCCTCTTCTCCTACAAAGGATCACAGCTCCTCGGCAGCAACAGAAAAAAGCTGGATGGAGAATGATTTTGACAAGTTGACAGAAGTAGGCTTCAGAAGGTTGGTAATAACAAACTTCTCTGAGCTAAAGGAGGATGTTCGAACCCATCGCAAGGAAGCTTAAAACCTTGAAAAAAGATGAGATGAATGGCCACCTAGAATAAACAGTGTGGAGAAAAACTTAAATGACCTGATGGAGTTGAAAACCATGACACGAGAACTACGTGACACATGCACAAGCTTCAATAGCCAATTTGATCAAGTGGAAGAAAGGGTATCAGTGATTGAAGATCAAATTAATGAAATAAAGCAAGAAGTTTAGAGGAAAAAAAAGTGAAAATAAACGAACAAAGCCTCCAAGAAATATGGGACTCTGTGAAAATATCAAATCTACATTTGATTGGTGTACCTGAAAGTGATGGGGAGAATGGAACCAAGTTGGAAAACACTCTTCAGGATATTTTCCAGGAGAATTTCCCCAACCTAGCAAGGCAGGCCAACATTCAAATTCAGGAAATAGAGAGAACACTACAAAGATACTCCTTGAGAAGAGCAACTCCAAGACACATAATTGTCAGATTCACCAAGGTTGAAGTGAAGGAAAAAATGTTAAGGGCAGTCAGAGAGAAAGGTCGGGTTACCAACAAAGAGAAGTCTATCAGACTAACAGTGGATCTCTCAGCAGAAACTCTACAAGCCAGAAGAGAGTGGGGGCCAATATACAACATTCTTAAAGAAAAGAATTTTCAACCCAAATTTCATATCCAGCCAAACTAAGCTTCATAAGTGAAGGAGAAATAAAATCCTTTACAGACAAGCAAATGCTGAGAGATTTTGTCACCAGCAGGCCTGCCTTACAAGAGCTCCTGAAGGAAGCACTAAACATGGAAAGGAACAACCAGTACCAGCCACTGCAAAAATATGCCAAATTGTAAAGACCATCAATGCTAGGAAGAAACTGCATCAAGTAACAGGCAAAATAACCAGCTAACATCATAATGACAGGATCAAATTCACACATAACAATATTAACCTTAAATGTAAATGGGCTAAATGTTCCAATTAAAAGACATGGACTGGCAAACTGGATATTCAAGACCCATCAGTGTGCTGTATTCAGGAGAACCATCTCACATGCAAAGACACACATAGGCTCAAAATAAAGGGATGGAGGAAGATCTACCAAGCAAATGGAAAGCAAAAAAAAAGCAGAGGTTGCAATAATAGTACCTGATAAAATAGACTTTAAACCAACAAAGATCAAAAGAGACCATTATGTGATGGTAAAGGGATCAATTTAACAAGAAGAGCTAACTAACCTAAATAAATATGCACCCAATACAGGAGCACCCAGATTCATAAAGCAAGTCCTTAGAGACCTACAAAGAAACTTAGACTCCCACACAATAATAATGGGAGATTTTAACACCCCACTGTCCACTGTCAATATTAGACAGATCAGTGAGACAGAAGGTTAACAAGGATATCCAGGACTTGAACTCAGCTCTGCACCAAGCAGACCTAATAGACATCTACAGAACTCTCCACCCCAAATCAACAGAATATACATTCTTCTCAGCACCACATCACACTAATTCCAAAATTGACCACATAGTTGGAAGTAAAGCACTCCTCAGCAAATGGAAAAGAACAGAAATCACAACAAACTGTCTCTCAGACCACAGTGCAATCAAATTAGAACTCAGGATTAAGAAACTCATTCAAAATTGCACAACTACATGGAAACTGAACAACATGCTCCTGAACGACTACTGGGTAAATAACGAAATTAAGGCAGAAATAAAGATGTTCTTTGAAACCAATGAGAACAAAGACACAACATACCAGAATCTCTGGGACACATTTAAAGCAGTGTGTAGAGAGAAATTTATAGCACTAAATGCCCACAAGAGAAAGCAGGAAAGATCCAAAACTGACACCCTAATATCACAATTAAAAGAACTAGAGAAGCAAGAGCAAACAAATTCAAAAGCTATCAGAAGGCAAGAAATAACTAAGATCAGAGCAGAACTGAAGGAGATAGAGACACAAAATATCCTTAAAAAAATCAATGAATCCAGGATCTGGCTTTTTGAAAAGATCAACAAAATTGATAGAACGCTAGCAAGACTAATAAAGAAGAAGAGAGAGAAGAATCAAATAGACACAATAATAAATGATAAAGGGGATATCACCACGGATCCCACAGAAATACAAACCACCATCAGAGAATACTATAAACGTCTCTACCAAGTAAACTAGAAAATCTAGAAGAAATGGATAAATTCCTGGACACATACACCCTCTCAAGACTAAACCAGGAAGAAGATGAATCTCTGAATAGACCAATAACAGGCTCTGAAATTGAGGCAATAATTAATAGCCTACCAACCAAAAAAAGTCCAGGACCAGACAGATTCACAGCCGAATTCTACCAGAGGTACAAAGAGGAGTTGATACCATTCCTTCTGAAACTATTCCAATCAATAGAAAATGAGGGAATCCTCCGTAACTCATCTTATGAGGCCAGCATTATCCTGATACCAAAGCCTGGCAGAGACACAACAAAAAAAGAGAATTTTAGACCAAAAACCCTGATGAATATCGATGCAAAAATCCTCAGTAAAATACTGGCAAAGCGAATCCAGCAGCACATCAAAAAGCTTATCCACCACGATCAAGTCAACTTCATCCCTGGCATGCCAGCCTGGTTCAACATACGCAAATCAATAAATGTAATCCATCACATAAAGAGAATCAATGACAAAAACCATATGATTATCTCAATAGATGCATAAAAGGCCTTCAATAAAATTGAACAGCCTTCATGCTAAAAACTCTCAATAAATTAGGTATTGATGGAACATATCTCAAAATAATAAGAGCTATTTATGACAAACCCACAGCCAATATCATACTGAATGGGCAAAAACTGGAAGCATTCCCTTTGAAAACTGGCACAAGACAGGGATGCCCTCTCTCACCACTCCTATTACACATAGTGTTGGAAGTTCTGGCCAGGGCCATCAGGCAAGAGAAAGAAATAAAGGGCATTCAATTAGGAAAAGAGGAAGTCAAATTGTCCTTGTTTGCAGATGACATGATTGTATATTTAGAAAACCCCATAGTCTCAGCCCAAAATCTCTTTAAGCTGATAAGCAACTTCAGCAAAGTCTCAGGATACAAAATCAATGTGCAAAAATCACAAGCATTCCAATACACCAATAACGGACAAACAGAGAGCCAAATCATGAGCGAACTCCCATTCACGATTGCTACAGAGAATAAAATACCTAGGAATGCAACTTACAAGGGATGTGAAGGACCTCTTCAAGGAGAACTACAAACCACTGCTCAATGAAATAAAAGAGGACACAAACAAATGGAAGAACATTCCATGCTCAGGGATAGGAAGAATCAATATCGTGAAAATGGCCATACTGCCCAAGGTAATTCATAGAATCAATGCCATCCCCATCAAGCTATCAATGACTTTCTTCACAGAATTGGAAAAAACTACTTTAAAGTTCATATGGAATCAAAAAATAGCCCACATAGGTAAGACAATCCTAAGCAAAAAGAACAAAGCTGGAGGCATCACACTACCTGACTTCAAACTCTATTACAAGGCTACAGTAACCAAGACAGCATGATACTGGTACCAAAAGAGCTATATAGACCAACGGAACAGAACAGAGGCCTCAGAAATAACATCACACATCTACAACCATCTGATCTTTGACAAACCTGACGAAAACAAGAAATGGGGAAAGGATTCCTTATTTAATAAATGGTTCTGGGAAAACTGGCTAGCCATATGTAGGAAGCTGAAACTGGATCCCTTCCTTACACCTTACACAAAAATTAATTCAAGATGGATTAAAGACTCACATGTTAGACCTAAAACCATAAAAACCCTAGAAGAAAACCTAGGCAATACCAATCAGGACACAGGCATGGGAAAGGACTTCATGTCTAAAACACCAAAAGCAATGGCAACAGAAGGCAAAATTGACAAATGGGATCTAATTAAACTAAAGAGCTTCTGCACAGCAAAATAAATTACCATCAGAGTGAACGGACAACCTACAGAATAGGAGAAAATTTCTGCAATCTACCCATCTGACAAAGGGCTAATAACCAGAATCTACAAGAACTTAAACAAATTTACAAGAAAAAAACATACAACCCCATCAAAAGGTGGGCAAAGGATATGAACAGACATTTCTCAAAAGAAGACACTTATGCAGCCACAGACACATGAAAAAATGCTCATCATCACTGGTCATCAGAGAAATGCAAATCAAAACCACAATAACATACCATCTCATGCCAGTTAGAATGCCCATCATTAAAAAGTCAGGAAACAACAGATGCTGGAGAGGATGTGGAGGAATAGGAATGCCTTTATACTGTTGGTGAGACTGTAAACTAGTTCAATCATTGTGGAAGACAGTGTGGCGATTTGTCAAGGATCTAGAACTAGAAATATCATTTGACCCAGTGATCCCATTACTGGGTATATACAAAAAGGATTATAAATCATGCTACTATAAAGACACATGCACACATATGTTTATTGTAGCACTATTCACAATAGCAAAAACTTGGAAGCAGCCCAAAGGTCCATCAATGATAGGCTGGATTAAGAAAATGTGGCACATATACACCATGGATATTATGTAGCCATAAAAAAAGGATGAGTTCATGTCCTTTGCAGGATCATGGATACAGCTGGAAACCATCATTCTGAGCAAACTAGCACAAGGACAAAAAACCAAACACTGTGTGTTCTCACTCATAGGTGGGAATTTAACAATGAGAACACTTGGACACAGGATGGGGAACATCACACCCCAGGGCCTGTCATGGGGTGGGGAGCAGGGGGAGGGACAGCATTAGAGAAATACCTAATATAAATGATGAGATGATGGGTGCAGCAAACCAACATGGCACATGTATACCTACGTAACAAACCTGCACGTTGTGCACATGTACCCTAGAACTTAAATTATACGTATAAAAAATGATAATGACCTCTAGTTCCATCCATGTTGCTACAAAAGACATTATTTCATTCTTTTTATGGCTGAGTAGTATTCCATGATATCTATATCTATATCTATATCTATACAGATATTAGAAGAGAAAAGATACTGTTATCCCTTCATATATCAATTTCTTCCATGTTACCCAAAACACAATTACAGGAAAAACAGGAGTGCCAAGCCTGCCATGTTGTTTACAGTTTTGGTGTGGTCAAGGAAAGAAAAAATGTTGGCAAAGGAAAATTGCAACAAAGTTTTCCATTCACTTAATAGAAGGTTAGACATTTTACAAATAAGAGAAGAAAGCTGCATGTTCTTTTCTGATGAATCATGAACACATACTAAGGTTAATGGAATTTGCAACCTATCTATGAGGACTTTCAAAACTGAATAGACCCAGTAGCAACAAATAGGGAGAAAGGGGCAAAAACTCAAGCAATCAATCCTAGAAAAAAATAAATAAATAACATGAGGAAAGAGTCAAAGATGTTTAAGACATCTCAAAGACAGTAAAATTGTAATTCATGCTTTAAATTGATTTTTCCTTAAACAAAACTTTTTTTTGGAGAGTACATATATTCATTAAGCATACTGATACTTAAAGTGCTTTTGGTGAGAGAACAAAAACAAAGTTAGGTATAAAACAAAATTTTCAATAAGATCTCTGCAATATAAACAATGTCAAGAGAGACTTCATGTTGGTATAAAATCTGTGATTATCAATAAGCACCACCTCGTGTTTGTCTGGGGGGTTGTAATAGTTCTCAGAGAATATGGCTTCCCCAATGATCATGACAAAAGAGCCTTCAGTCTTCAGCCAATACTCCTAAGTTGTAAAATGCCGTAATTTTAATAACTTTATTTTTCTTGACTTACCTTATCTCCTTCTCTAGTCAGGCAAATCCATACGCCTCCTTCCTGACAGCTCACCTATCGCAGTTGGAAACCTTAAACTGACTGCACCATAAAAGACTGACTACCTCAGCAGGAAGCGTGTACAAATTTCTCTTTGCGGTAGAAGTACCTTAATTTTAAGGTCTTTGTGAAGGTGGTGCCTCTGATACCTTCGTTTAATTTGTCTTATTCCTTATCTTCTCTCTTGCCTTATCTTGAACTCTGTTGGCTCTACTCTCAGCCGCTGAGTACTTACTAGTTTTCTGGTCCAATATTGCTTTTTAGCCTGAAATGCAGTCTCCTTTACTCTCGAGTCATTTGTGGCTTCTAATACATGACTCAGTCTTGTCCACCAGTTCTTCCAATATTCTAGGCCAGTCAGATCACGTAACTAGACCCTCCCTTTTCCTGCCAATATTCATTTCTTAGCAATCTTGGTGTCCCACCTTGTCTCTACTCTGCCCTGACAATCTCTATTATTCTTCTGTGACATTACATTACCTGAACTCTTCATGAAATCATGAACTAAGACCATAGCCTCTCCTCCATCTCACCTCTGTCTCTGTCTCTCTTTATGACATTTTTATTTCATCCTTATGCTATAGTCAACAAATACATAGAGAATTCTGCTATATTTCTCAAACTCACTGTGATGTGAACAAATATTTGAGGGTGATTTTTAAAAAACTTAAAAAATACTTTTGTTGCTTATTTCTGGAATAAAACAAATGAGAACAATAAAAACCAAGTAAGTTAAAAAAATCCATAGTTAGCTGTTTTTCCTGTAACATTCACCAGGCTGGAGTGCAGTTGTGTGATCTCAGTTCACCGCAACCTCCGTCTCTCAGGCTCAAGTGATCCTCCCACCTCAGTACCCCAAGTAGCTGGAAACACAGGTGCACACCACCATATCCAGCTAATTTTTGTGTGTGTGTTTTTAGCAGACACGGGGTTTCGCCATGTTGCCCAGGCTGGTCTCAAACTCCTTAGCTCAAGCAATCTTCCTGCCTCAGCCTCCCAAAGTGCTGGCATACAGTCATGAGCCACCATGCCTGGCCTATATATAATGTTTTTTACTGCCACATAATGGTTGGGCTACACAAAAACAACAATATTTCCTGACCTAGAACTGATAATTCAGTTAGATTTAAACGGTGTTGCTTTCAACTAAAAAAATTACAACTTTTAAAAGCAGCAAAAATTTTTACATCATTACCAACATTAATAACTATAATTGAAAAACTCATAGAGAACCAGCTGTAGGCAAAATATTGGCAGTTACATAAATGTCTCTTACAGATTTCCTGTAGTTTATCTACTTATGTAAGCACCCATGTCTATCAAATGGCTGAGAATTAAAATCAAATAAAAAGTTGGGCAACATAATATAGTATAAAGCAGATTTTTTTTGATTAGAGATAGTTTTTCTCATAAACAAGTGGATAATTTATTTTAAAGAACTTCAAAAATTATAATGCTATGAGGAAAATAAAATAGGATGAATCCAATGAATATGGCTAACATCAGATTTTAGTCACTTTTGCAGAAGCTTATACCACACAGTCATTTCTCATGTTTCTTCATGGAACTATGTTATTTCATAGTGCAATGATTTTCAAACCCATAAAAGTGATGCCTCAGGGGATCATCCCACTGAGGCCAACCTAGTCTATCCCATACTTATCAAGTCAAATCATAGACCTGGAGTTCCAACTCTCTAGCCCAAACCTACATGTGTCCATGCTGATTCCGGCATAACTAAACATCACATTCAGGATAATTCTCCACATACATAGCTCATAGAGGCTTAAGTCACAAGGAATGAGAAGAATCAAGAACCTGCAGAAGATGTCTCAGGAGCACATACCTAATCAGTATCAAAAAGCGAACAGAACTCAGCAGTGATCCTCACCTTAGATTCTCCATGAGATGCCAGGGAGGCTACTGTGGCTTAAGTTTGTTGTATTTTACAAGTGCTGGGGCTCCCACATTCTTTTCTCTAACCTTTGGGATTTCTTATATTCCCAAACTCCTGAGTTTCAACTCTGGGAAATATGGAAAATACTATGACTTTTCAGCTGTTTTGGTTTTAAAAAAGTGTCTTCATATTGTCTCCTCCACAGACATCTATGGGGGTCTGATCCAAGCAGGGCTGTGGTCATTGCTCCCTGGACACTGCATTGCATATGAGATAGAGGGTCTGCTAAGCCAGCTGCTGAAGGAAGACTTTATTTCCCAGGGGAAATTCTAGCACATCTGGGGCACTGTGGTCCTCACACTTGGTTTGGATTCTCTTCCTGATGACGGACGTCTGCTTTCTGGCAAGGGTAAGAGTAATAATCTGTGGTTAATGTCTAATGAAAAAATGCTGGCATGTTGAAACAGAAACAAAGCCTCTCTCTTTTTTTTAAAAAAAAAAACATACAGTTTTATGCAAATTAAGTTTGAACATAGAACAGATCGTGAAAGAATTATCAAAGTATTGCTCTGGGTGGTATTTGGAGTAATAATCTTTAAAAATCAATTTTAAGGTTTACCACTTTTAAACCTTTTATTCTTGCTTAGCTAAATCGTCATGAAAGCAGGACTTCATACATCTCCCTGATGACAAAACTAATGTTTGGACTGTTTGAGTTGAACATTCTAATATTTAAAAATTCTATGCATAGAATTGAACAATATGATTAAACGCAGGAAGGGGACTGTGAGGTGGCAAGATATAACAGATGATAGCGGTTGTACTGCCATCTTTGTTCAGGTCCTTATTTGCCTGTAAAGCTACGGCAGTCTTCTCTCTGATTATACTATCATTTTTGAACTTTCTATCCAAAGAAATCATTACTAAATGAGTGTATACTAAATAGTTGTTCACTCTTTAGCAATCATACCTACAATGAAGGCACTCAAACCACTGAACAATTGGAATCCATCGAGGGCTAGGGAAATAACATCTTTGTAGCCTCTTGGAACTGTTAGGTAAAGAAATCAAATTCTTTGACAGTGATTCAAGCTCTAGGTCACTACAGATTCAAATGTGAGTATGCACTGGGTTTCTATCTTTAAACCCTTTCACATATATTCTTCTTCCTTCCTCATGGAAAGTTTGATTGACTGATAATATACACCCAGCTCATGAATTAGAATGTCATTTGAAATAGAATTAGAGAGGTGATTTCCATTTGGATAATTCCAGCTGAGAAGGTATAAATTCCAAGCAGAAGGAATAATAATTGTATGCAAAAAGGTATAGTAGGGAGTAGCCAGGGCAATGCGTTGACTTTTCCTGCTTGACCAGAAACTTTGATACGCCAAAATAACACAGTTGGGAATACTAGACAGAACACTAGACAGGGGTCAGTAACAAAGGCACTAAAGCTGTGGGACTTGCTACTTGGTTACCTTAGGCTAAGGCAGATTAAGCACTTTTCTGGTCCTTAATTCCTATCCTGTATATAAGGGAGATGAATTGGAAAATCTTTAAGGTTCTTCTCAGTCACAAAATTCTGTGCTTTACTATGCCCCGTCATCAACTCAAGGAAAAGAAGTAAGCAGCTTTAGGTTTTCTGATGGCAGGAAAAAGAAAATCATCCCAAGAGGGTTATATGACTAGCATTGAGAAGTCCTGTGGAGCATGCTGCATCTTGCTCTTCTTTATTGCCATATGGAAGGCAAGGCCTCTTACCACATATCTCACTCCATTTATAGCTCCTGGGCAACTATTTTTCTTTTGATAGCTGATGGAAGGTCTAAGAATTAAAGGTACTGCTGGCCAAAGAAGGCAGCCCAAAGACAACAATGTCAGGAACTCAGAGGTTCAGTAGAACTCCTGGGGAAGGTTGGTCTTGATATTAAAAGGTGAATCAGAAAGATATATACTGGTCAAATTCATGTTTGAGAATGAGCACATATTCTTAGTCAAATGTTTGCTACTATTCACATGCACCAGAAACAGTGTCAGAGGAGCCTAGTTAAGGTCTACCTTGTTATTGTTGCATGACAATGCAGGCCAGGGAAGGCCATATCTTGTCATTATTTTAACAGAAATAATAGGATTTTTTTGCCACCTATTGTTGGCAATAATTTTAAAAACACAACAACCACAACAATACAAAGGCCTACTCGAGGTCTATTCAGTACTAGCCTGAACTGGGTAAGAAGGTTCTGCAGGATGGAAGTAAAATATGTAATATAATTTTAGTAGGCTAAAAGAGGGTTAGTACTCAATGTGGTAAGAACATGTAGCATGTAGGAAAAGGGGAAAACCTCAAAAAGGTGTCATTTTGGCTGAATTTTACAGAATTGGTTATAAAACAATTAAATCTATTAAGTAATATGCTGTTACAGAAAATGGAATTATATAAATTGCATGTAGACAACTTTAAATTTGGATGCTAATACACCAGAGAAGCACCTTGAGTCGCAGGAGACAGAACCTAAGTAGTGGATTCAGGTTTGCTTGTAGTTTCATATATTTAGAGAAATGAAATAGAATTATAAAGACAACTTTAGAGCCTATGTAATCCTGCACTTAATTTTCAGTTAACAATACTGATACTTAACATTGATATTGCAATACCTACTTATTAGGAACTGTTCTAGACAACTTCCCTTTATTCAGGCTAATATCAAATCAAAGTGCAGGTCTAGAAGCCACTGACCAAATCTTTGACCTGGGAAACTCGAGGGCCTCTGCCTTGTGAAAAATGGAACAAAAACTCAACCGGCTTCAGAGGGTTGTTGGGAGGGAATGGAAGAAGAGTCATATTTTATTTTTCATGCTGTAATACAACTTTGATTCTTTGGAATGAATGCAACCAAAGCCGAATGATATTTTCACCTTTGCTTAAGCATCAGGGTTATTGACACCGTTAACTAAAATGGAAGCGCAGCCTCCAGTATAAAAGACCAAGGGTTCTATTCTAGCCACTTTAAGTACAAGATGTCCACTTAACCAATCATAGCCTTTTTGAGCAACTGCTGCCTAGATTCTCATTCATCAAAGTAAAATATACCAAAAAGCGAGCAGCATTAGTTAGGGTAAGCATTAGTAAAAACAAGAATCACTAAGTAAAATACTGCCTTAATGCAGGCTAAAGAAATGTTAGTGTTTTTAAAAACAGCAACATATTTTCTTTATCCACTGTATCATTGATGGGCATTTGGGTTGGTTCCAAGTCTTCGCTATGTAAATAGTGCTGCAATAAACATACGTGTGCATGTGTCTTTATAGTAAAATGATTTATAATCCTTTGGGTATATACCCAGTAATAGGATTGCTGGGTCAAATGGTATTTCTGGTTCTAGATCCTTGAGGAATCACCACACTGTCTTCCACAATATACACCATGGAATACTATGCAGCCATAAAAAATCGAGTTTATGTGCTTTTCAGGGACATGGATGAAGCTGGAAGCCATCATTCTCAGCAAACTAACACAGGAACAGAAAACAAAACACCACATTCTCACTCATAAATGGGAGTTGAACAACAAGAACACATGGACACAGGGAGGGAAACATCATCACACACCGGGGCCTGTTGGGGGTTGGGGGGTCAGAGGGCTGAGAGCATTAGGACAAATATCTAATGCATGCAGGGCTTAAAACCTAGATGATGGGTTGATAGGTGCAGCAAACCACCATGGGACATATATACCTATGTAACAAACCTGCACGTTCAGCTCATGTATCCCAGAACTTAAAGCAAATTTTTTTTTAAAAAGAGCAACACAATATGCACTTGTTTATTTCTTTGTTTTTGTTTTAACAATGCTCTTTAAAGTTAGTTTAAAAATAACAGTAGCCTGCTATTTTTAATGTTAACATTAACAGAAAATTAAAGCTTAAAGGAGATTTAAAGATCATTTAGTTCAAATCCCATATTTTAGAGATGGACACTTATCCTTCAGGAGAGCAAGTGGCTTGATAAAGGTGACACAGATGGCTGATGGAATGAATACATGAGACTACTTTTAAACACTTAGCAATGCTGAGGTGTTTTAAGATTTGATATGAAGCTTTGTTTTGCAGGAATACACAATGCAATTTCCCAAGGTCAGCTTGAGATTCTGTTTCCATAAATTTCATAAATAAATATGGAACCCATAATGTTGCAGAGTATGGATTACGGCCTTCCCTCTTCATAAATTTCATGATTTTTAATCACTTATTTTATATAGATGTGTATATATAAGCTTATATATATGTATATATATCAGTGTTACATCTATATAATGTTGATTACACACAGGCAAATTACTTAGGTACAAAGGCAGCATTTTTCACTCATTAAATATTTGTGAGAAAATATTTGAGATAAAGGAGAAAAAAATCAAGTATTTAGAGAGGAATGTGTACTGAACAAGAAAGTGTCTCTGGCAGATAAATATTTTAGCCATGGAACCGACAGCATGTCTAATTCGTGAAGCAAATATTAATCAGGCTCTGACCATGCATGCAGCTCTGTGCTTAGCACATAGTAAGTTTTCAACAGATGAAATGCAAGATCACATAGCAATGGGGAAGAGGGACTAGAATGACTCTTCAGTCCCCCACCACTGAGTATAAATTCTGCACCCCACCAATTGGCAAGTGTTCAAGACTTTGGAACTTAGAGAGGTAAAGGGAGAAGCAATGGGAATAGGAGGCAGAGAAGGGGTAAAAGGAACTAGAGGAAAAGGCAAATAAGCCCAAGTGTGTTTGTGCTCACTTCAGAAAGTCAGAGTCACAGAAAAGCATTTTTTAAAATGCACTAATATTCTGCCTTCCCTTTATTTAAAATATGGAACATTCATGTGTCCTCAGGCAGAGAAATCATTTAAAATATGTTGGAACAAAAATGATTAAATTAGCTTTATTCTTCAATCATATAATTTACAAGAGAATATCATTCAAAAGAAAATTTCTAAACTTGGCTGATATGAAGAATTGGTTTCAGTTGTAGAGATTATAACTAATAAGTGAAATGGAAATGTTCCTAAATTTTTTTCAGCCAAGATATCATGGTTTTTGGAACATGTGTTTTCCAAGAGTTTTTAGAAAGCTTAATGATATCTCTGATTGCAAAGTTTTAGCATTTGGCATTCTCATTCAGCCAAAGGCTGTGCAAAACTTTATGTGGCTAAATAACTCTCCAGAAAGGATGCACCTAAGACACTTAATGGCTGAGTAAATTCAGATGTGCTCATATAGCAAAAGCCTACTCCAAAAAATAAACTCAGGTGGGACTAGGGCAACATTTTCAAAATAATTGTCGTATTTGTGGTAAGAGAGAAATATTGAATTGCATTCTCCCCTAACAAAGCAATCAATAGATTTAAAACCTCCGTAGTTGTTTCTATCCATGTAGCTAAAAAATACTTCGGTTCTGAGATTCACAGACTGTGAAACAAGTGGAGGGACAATCTTGACTTGAGATGGGAAAAGAATACTAACTCAGCCCCCATTCCAGGTATCCTTTAAGGAATCCTTCTCATTTTAATCACATTACTTAAATGCTACTATCTAATCATGTGACTCATAAAAGTCACGATTCAATGTCATGTTTTCCCTATACTAGATAGTTCTGAGTCTTGGTTCTGTTATCATATATCATAGTTACTGATCTTCTGGGCAACCTGTTGTGAGTGGAACAGAGAATATATTTGAAGAATATTTGACTAGACCCTCCTTTCTTGTTGTTACATAAAAATGGTTTCTCCTTAAGTCACAAATCTATTCTGCATGTTAAATATTTACAAAGTACTTTAAAATTCTTCCTGAATGCTAATACAAAGATAGCAATCTATGTTCATTTAAATAAGCAGAAATGTTTGCCCTCCCAAATTAAGGGCCTCTGAGTTTAATTCAAATCAATTTGATGACTTGAGAGAAAAAAAAAAAGGTGGGGACCTACTAAGTACAAGATCCTGTGCCAGACATGGAGATAAAATAAACTTTCCAGGACTAGACAATCCGTCAGAAATTACTACATTTCACATTATTTAATTCACACCATTTCCTTCTGGGCTTAAAAGGTAAATTATAAGATGCAAAATACTCACCTTTTTAGCATTAAGTTTTTACAGTGCTCCTTAACATCCAACATTTAACTAGTTACATAAAGATGCAGTGTTTTCTATATATTAACATATTATTTCACATTTTGTTCATTAGGCTTTTGAAAGTATTTTAGTATGAAGGTTCCATTTATTGTATCCAAAAATAAAAATAGCATCAAAGTCTTTTTGCAACTCCCCAAACACAGTTAGTGAATAATGATCGTATGCTAAAAAATGTAAAATGCAATTTGTGCCGTGCCCCATTTACTACAAAATCACTACGAACAATGCATTTTGTACAGTATATTGCTCCAGGGAAACTGGATCGGCATCAGGAATGAATAAAGAACACTGCATTTGAAATCAGCTAATTCTGCTTCAGCGCTTTTAAAAACTATTTGTTATGATATTACTTCCTGTCAAGCACATAATGTGATATTTTCCTCAATAAAACTAAACAGTTGCTATAATTTCAGCTTCCCTCATTTTCCACTTTTTAAACACTAAATATTTAAACAATGCAGACCTGGAAGTCTCTAGCCAGTCATCTGATCCATGCATCTCCTTGCCTAAGGTATAGTAACTATCCATACGGGGGCCTGTTATGTCACACTGACATACTTAGTGGCAGCTGTCAAGGTCCTTACCTGCCCACAGGCCAGGCCCATTCCTCTTTCTCCCATGCCATGTGGACATGATAAATTTAACTCCAGGGCATCTGCTCCAGAATCCTTTAAACAAGAAAGGAAAATGAAAGAAAAGGCAAAGCTTTATTTATATACCAATAGGCTTTCACCGTTGATAACACAAGTCACATTTGTCAAGTGTTAACTATTCTGTTTTCTGCATCACAGCTATCTTGTGAGGTATAGTCTCTCTCTCTCAAATTAAGGTCTATATAACAACCACCACCACAACAACAATCACACACCAAATATTTACTCAGTGCTCATAAGGGGCCACTCACTGCTCTATATGTTTTATATTTGTTACCTCTAATTCTCATAATCTTTGTATTATTATGCTACCAAGTTTACAGGCATGTGAACTGAAGCATAGGGAGGTTAAATGACAAGCTTAGTTATTAGGTGACACAGTAGAGATTGTAACTCAGATCTGTTTGACATCACATTTATTCCTTCCTAAATAGCTTCTATTTTTATGGACACAAATCTTACTAATTATGGATAACTGATGCTGGGATTAGGCATACAAACAAAAATGTAGTAGGCTAGCTAGAATGAATAAGCAAAATGTAAAATGTTTTTAACAGAAAATCAACATTATCATACTTAAAAACAGTTTGTCTAAGAAATAGGAAGTATTGATAGTTTTGTCTTAATTACTTAATAGGAATCCTTCTTATTTAAATCATTAATTCCTTGATATACAAATAGATCTTGTATAAATGAACAACATAATTCATTCTAAGTATTCTTGGAATACTTTGAGAATCTTAGAATTCGTGGGAAGTCTTCTGTAAAGAACATGAAGAATAAACAAAACACTTTTAAAAGTTATTATAGGCCGGGCACAGTGGCTCACGCCTGTAATCCCAGCACTTTGGGAGGCCAAGGCAGGCAGATCATGAGGTCAGGAGATCGAGATCATCCTGGCTAACACAGTGAAACTCCGTCTCTACTAAAAATACAAAAATTAGCCGGGCATGGTGGTGGGCGCCTGTAGTCCCAGCTACTCAGGAGGCTGAGGCAGGAGAATGGCGTGAACCCAGGAGGCGCAGCTTGCAGTAAGCTGAGATCGCACCACTGCACTCCAGCCTGGGAAAGAGCAAGACTCCGTCTCAGAAAAAAAAAAAAAAAAAAAAAAAAAAAAAAAGTTATTATAGTGGCCGGGTGCAGTGGCTCACAACTGTAATCCTAGCACGGTGGGAGGATTGCCTGAGCTTAGGATTTCAAGACCAGCCAGGCAACACAGTGAAACCCCATCTCTACCAAAATACAAAAGATTAGCTGGGTGTGGCGGCCTGTGCCTGTAATCCCAGCTACTTGGGAAGCTGAGGCAGGAGAATCGCTTGAACCTGGGAGGCGGAGGTGGCAGTGAGCTGAGACCATGCCACTGCACTCCAGCCTGGGTGACACAGCGAGACTCCAGTTCCAAAAAAAAAAAAAAAAAAAGTTATTACAGTAATTTTAGAGATGGAGGAATAAACTAGCTGATTCAAATTTTATATTCTTTTACCTAACTTCTATAATTTTTCCAGTGCCGCGGTTTATTTTTCGGTAAGGCCAACTAGAAGCTTGAATTGGTTATAAGAGTATTTTAACAGGTTTATCACATGCAAAGGCTTAAAAAATAGTTCACTACTTTCTAAGTACACCAGACCTTTCTTTAGGGCAACAGTTGTTTCTTCTTTCTCTTTCCTTCCTAATTGTTTAAGATTTTAGCCTATTTTTTCCTGCTTTGTGAATTTTAAGTAGGACCTCAACAAATTTAAGAACTCCAGCTAGTCATTAATCGGTTGATAGTCTTGCCTATCTTTATTCATTAGTGAGTCTGCTTTTTCTTCTGCACATTTGTTAAAGTCCATTTGATCATTGAGCCTGTTTTTAACATGGTTTCCTTATGGTTTTGCTTTCCTAATCCGATTTTAAAGGTCTTCATGTTATTTGAGAGTTGCTGAAAACCATGCTGCTCTTTCCTTGATGGTTTGGTAGTGAGCATGGATGAGCACAGCCTGCTGAACCCTGAGTTCTAATCTTACGCCTGTAGCTAAGGAATTGGGGATGATTTGGACAAGTCAGTCAATCTTCTTTGTCTCCAGCTGCTCAAGTGTCAACTGTGGATAATATGACCTGTCTCAAAACCATGTCATGCGGTAATTACCAGCTTAGTGAAAAGATTGTATAGTGCAAGTATACACTTATAACATGTTTCTTATTATTTCCTGGTTACTTCAAATATTTCCTGTAGACTTCTCTATTTAACTGAAATGCAGCAATTAACAGCAAATCAATTCAACATCATTTTGGATTAAATAAGGCTTTGCATAATAATTTTATACATATTTACATTATGCATATTTCATTTCAAACTTACACCTAGCTACCATATTACACAATAATAGCTTACATTAATTGAGCATTTACAATATGCCAGATACTTTACTATGTCCTTTGTATGTTTTATCTTACTTTATCTTCACAGCAACTCTAAGAGGTAGGATATATCATCATTTCTACTTTACAATTGATAAAACTGAGACATAAAGAGTTCAAGTGATTTATCCAACATCCCACAGCTTATAGCTGATAGTAGGGTCTTGAACTCAAGCATTTTGAGTCCAGGACCTGCATTTATACCCACTATTATAATTTACTACAAATCACTTATTTTATGGCTGGAGTTGTCATAGTGTGTTACGAAAAACATAACAGCTCAATATCCTTACAGCTTCCAAGCTTGAAGTAAAAATTAAAATATTTTAAAATCACCTGTTCAATATAAAATTTTTTCACTGACTAATTATTATAATTTCCCCAACATTATACACATATACAAATGCCCACTCACCAAACACACCTGGCAAGGCCTTTGAAATGTGTATCCAAGCCTCAAAAACAGACAATGCTGTTCAAGGTGACACCATGAGAACAGGAACATTCATGTGGCCTCTGCTTGAAAATTCCTGTCTCAGGATGCACACCACCTTAAAAGGCAGTTAATTCCATTTCCAAGCAACTCTAACCATTCAAAAAGCCTTAATTGCTGAATTAGCATGAAATGTTAAATTAACTGAAATTGGGCATGCATTCTGATTCTTGTTAGTCACAAGCTTTTTAGTTTAGTCACTTACCCAGAGTTTATTCCACCTCACCTAAATGGTTATAAAATGAAATATCCTAGTGATGGCAGTGACATAGGAAATACACTGTTACTAATTTCCTACATTATCTATTTATCATCCATCTATACACAGTAGAAAGAGAGAGTTTGTGTGTGTGTGTGTGTGTGTGTATATATATATATATGGTGTGGACTCTGAGCCAAACTATAGGTTTGAATCCCACTTTTACTCCATCCTAGCTGTGTGAACTTGAACACACTCTTTCACTACTTTTGGCCTTAGTTTCCTCAAAAAAAGAAAAAAAAAAGGAAAACATCAAGTCAGAGAAGCTAGAACTCCAAAAAATATTAAAAATTAAAAATAAAAATATATTTAAAAAGTGGAACTAAGTCACAGAGTTGTTGTTGTAAGGCATAAATAAATTTGATATTTGCACAGAAGAGTTCTAGGGAGATGTATTTTTAAATGTTTCCAAGGCTAACACAGGAAATGAAAGGTGCCAAAAAAGAAAGTTTATTTTTTACAGTTTTAAGTAAACAGAAAAGAAAAATAAGAGCTTTAACATATATAAGAGTTTAAAGAGGAGTGATAAAAAATAAAAGTAAATGACTTCTGGAATGTAGTAAATACTATAAAGGTGTATACTATCTATCTAAATACTTTATCTATCTACCTATCAATCATCTATCTATCTAAATACTTATCTATCCATCCAAATAGACCTCTGACTTGTCCTTCCTCTGCCTTGATATGAAAATGATTTAAGATAACTCACCTGGTCCTACATTGTCTATACCTCAGGAGGGAAAGGAAAACTATCCTGAGAAATTCTTGGAATATGACAGTGGTATAGTTTTTAAAATTCTCTGAACCACTTTATAAAAACACCCAGAGAAACTAAGGTGGCAAAACCACAAACTCTTGTGCAACATATACAATGAAATCATGCACAAAGCATTTCTCCTCTCTTCTCCTTCTTTCCTTACCTCTTCCTTTCTTTCCCTTACCTTCCTGATCAATACAGCTCTAAAGTCACTGGTCAGGCAGGGCAAGACAGGTGAGCACGAGCATTTGAGGAGCCATGAGGGCCCAGTGTGGGATGTCACAGCCTAAGCGGAGCAGAGCCAGAAGGATGTCTACATGGCCAGTGGCATGGTGTGGTATATCACGGTCCAAGTGGGAAGGGAAGACGTCCGTGGGTGATAAGGTCTGGCAAAGGACATCAGAGCTCAAGTAGGGTGAGAACAGTGTACTGTACTGGGGCATGAAAGGCACAGTTATTGGATTCCCTCTTAACTTCTTCTGTTAAATGAATACATGGGGTCAGATGTTGACTTTCCAAGTAGCAATGCTATCCTCTAGTCTCAACTATTCAAAACTGGAGTTAAAGTTCTCTGGGATCTTAAACCTCTCTGAGATAGACCTGGGACAGGTAAAACACTCTTGGCTTGGGCCCCACTGGATGTAAAGTCAGTTACTATCTCTCATCTCCAGCTGCGTGTCTATCTCCTGTGATTCCATTCTGTCCTGTTACTGTCCCTGTTCAGAGACTTAACATCCAACTGGTCCTACATATCTCTGTAATGTGCCTCTGTTTGATTTTTACCTCAAACTATTTGGGATTTCTAACTCTCACAGCTATTTAATTCATGACATATTGCTGTCCAGATTCAGGTAAAGAAACTGATAGGAAACTGGCTTGTTAGTGTTTTAGTGTTTTATTTTGGCCCCGCCAGGAATAGTGTGGTCACTTGGTTTTAATGCCTATGCCTTTCTGCTGGACCTTCCTTGTCTCTTCCTACCAAAGGTGGTCAGAACCTTGGCAATCTCTCATCAGGTACCTGACTTAAAATCATCATCACTGGATTTTAAACACTTCAAGTTCATGGGTGCCAAATAAAATACCATTCTTCCCATTTATTCTGTAATGGCTTCCTTTTTGTTTGTCACATGGCAATACTCGAACTGTATACTTCTTTTTTACTTCATTCAACAAATATCTGCTGGTAAAGAAAGCCTTGTGCTTGGAATTGAGGATTAAGCAGTGAACCATGCAAGGGTCTCGACCCCCACGGAACTTGCTTTCTAACAAGCAGGACAGAGGAACTATTAGTAGTGGCCAATGACACAACTGTTAATCACCACTTTATTATATGCTACAGAGGAAAAACACAGACAGAGGTAGATCCAGATTTTGGGGAGCCTAATGCTTAAATAATTTGGAAAACCCTCTTTAAGGAAAAAACAATAATCAAACATTGTAAACACAGAGTTAGGTACAGGGACTTGCAAGTGGCCCATGCAAGTAAATGCCCTGAAGCTTAAGCTTCATTAACTATCTGGTCAACTGGCCTCTGAAGACAGGGTCTTACAGAATAGGACAGGGAGGTTTAAACTACGTAGCCAGAGGCTCAGGACTGAGGAAGAGAGAACATTGCAGGCCAAGGGAACAGGAAAAGCTCTGAGTTGGGAACGTGTTGGAGGAGGAAAAGAAGGCAGCGGGATCTGGAATGCAGAAAACAGACCCACAGTGACAATGGGGAGAGGCAGGCAGGGCAGGGGCCAAGTAGCACTTAATGGTCAAGTTAAGGGTTCTGAAATTAGGAAAGATGGAAAGAATTTGGATTGGTTGAGAGCAAGAAGATTAGTGGAGCTATTGTAGTTAAACTTGGTAATGATGCATTTTGGACCACAGCCAATTATACGCTTCCTCAAATTTGATGGCCCTACTTGTCACCCAGGAATTTTGCCACTAGTTAAAGGGGAGCCCCAGTCCCTTTTGCTATCTTCACATCTCCTATAGTAACTGTCCGCTCTCACAGACTCCCTCCAGATGAGAGTGGGTTGTGTCACAACCTCCACTGAGCCTGTCAAAGTGAGAGCTCCAGGAGCACCAGTGCCCAGGCCCCATCAGGAGGCTCTGGCCTTCCCCTACAATTCTGGGTTTAGAAGAAGCATCACACCCCATGCTAGCAAATCTAGCTTCCCTAGCAGCTGCCCTGAAGGGGCAGGACATGCAACTCAAAAGTTCAGAGGAAAGGAGAGCCCTACGGAGTGAAATGGGGCCAGTGAGAGACAGGAGACTGAAGGAGCCAGTAGACTCATTCCTTCCACTTCCTTTCCTAGAAAGTGATGAGAGAATGGGTGATTCTATCATCTTGTGAAATGATGTGCTATTCCCTGTCCCATATGACTGAGCAATTGGCTCCATTTCCTTGTGAAGTTGTGGCCAGCTCTGGAATGCACCATATTGCACTTGTTTTCCCTTCTTCCCATCTCATTTTTCTTTTCTCCTCAGTCTTTCTGCTCTGAGATTGTATACTTCAATAAAGCTTTTTCACATTAACTTTTACTCGGGCTCTATTTTCAAGGCTGATTACAAATTACAAAAGAAATTGATTCAAGATCGACTACACTGGATTAAAGATCCATTTACAAGTGAATATTGTGAACCTTCAGAAATGGCTCAGTTTGGCATATATCTGATTGCTCCCTATTACTCATCTTTGTTTTGGCTAGCCAGGGACTTTATACATAGTAGGTGTTTCATAAATCTTCTTTTGCATAGAATTGGAGTAGACTACCAAGGTTCCAGAAAAGCAAGAGAGCCTGTGATCAGGTACCTGGATCAAGAAAACTAACTAGATTCTAACAATGCTACTAATTTGACACAAGCAGTAGAAACTTCTTTGTGGTGCTCAAAAACATGACAAATTCAAACCAGGTTGAAGAATATAGAACATGAAATGCATGTGCATTCTAAGGCTCTACTGCTCCATATGTGTCATTTCTGTTTCAGATGAAGTAGTAAAAAGCTGATAGCAGGTTTCCTCAGCTCTCCATTGTGTAATTCAAGAATTAATCTGCCATAAAGACAGTTTTATAAACTTAAGGTTTAGTATACATCATCATCACATCACAGCATTAGCTAAACTTGAAACAGTTGGCATGCTAGAGTGTTGGTGTGGTGTCTCTGATTTCTTACATCCCTATATCACCACCCCAAAAGAAATGTATATGTTAGGTAGTACAGTAATTTTGACTTGAATATGTTTTTGTTGGTTTGTTTTAACGTGGGTTTTTCCATTGTAAGGAAATCTGTTTTAACCGGTTTTGAAGCATATTCATAAAACCAAAACCAAATACTGATTCTACAAAACGTTATTGGGTGCCTACCATATGAGCTGTGATGAAATCATGCTGCTTAATGCTACCCTCCTAGAAGCTGTGAAGGCCTGCGGGATACTTCCTTCATATGATATCTCCTGGGCTAGTCCAGACTTAAGATTATAGTGAATATTTTTATTTTTTAATTGACATTATCATAACCTCTTGTTATGTAGACTGCTCTCCTATGGAGAGATTTTGCAGACTGTTTTGATTGAACAAAAGGCATACCTTTTCCTCCCTTCTTTCTTTTTTTTCTTTCTTCCTTTCTTTTTATTTATGTTTTTGCTACAGAGTAATTAGAAGGTGATATTAAATAAAACTGAAATTAAAGAAAAATATGAAATGTGAAAAATATCTTTAGGTTAGCTAGTTTGCTTATAATTAAAGGCTTTTGACTTATAAAAAGTAATGTTGTCTATTTAAAAATTAATGTCTAATATTGAAAAAAATAATTTTGAAAAGTATTTTGTTCTTACAGAAAGGCAGAGAAGCAAGCGGCATGATAAAGCCATTCATCATAGTCAGCTTAAAATTGGCAAAGCTCATGCCAAGCATGGGCTCTGTGGAAGATTTCATGGTCAATTAGGTAAATACATGTATCAAATGAACCCAGCATGGAAGATCACGAGGCCAATTACTGATCATGTTTAATTTCACCCCTCTAAGTCCCAGTAGTAATTTTTCCCTTCTCAGTTTTAAAATATCCAAATAAAATGTATAATCAACATTTTTGAACACTACAGACAGCTTTGCAATATTTTATAATGTAGCGTCAATTAGTTCATTGGTATAGTTAGATTTAGTCTTCTACATTACTGAGAGGTTTTCAAGGAACCCCAGCTAAGACTCTCCAGACTATTTTCCATGACAGCATGATGGACATAAGTGTATAATTTTAAGTATGTATTTTTCTATTTGAAATACAAATTTAAGGCACATGGTTACTTGTTTGCATTTGTGCAGGATTCAATTTATATTATGGAAAACCTGCTGACTAGTGTTCCATTCAGGAGCATTCTGTCCCGCTCTTTTATGCATGTCTGTATTCAAACTAGAATAGTATTAAATGAACCTTTTATACTTTAAATATTCAAGAGTTTTATATTCAAAATTTCTTCTCTTACTGTCAAACTAGTTTGCCTAAAGGCAAGGTAAGATCAAGTTAGACTCTCAAAGGTAGAATTAAATTTTATCATGGCATCCATCATAATATACAGTTTGCTTAACATGCAAATAAAGAGTGTATGGATTCAGAGAATAAAGGATTTTTAGGTAGTGTGTGAAATCCAAGGGACCGCTTTTATAGAATAAATTCCTTTTAAATTTACATTTCCATCATTTTAATGAAAACACAGGGTAAACAAATTATAATAGAAATGTTTTAAGTTACATTTTCAATTCAGTTTTACTTCTACTGTATTATTTCTCATGGCAGCTCTTTATTTAAAACTAATAAAAATAGGAGAGAAGAAATAAAATAAATATATACTAAAGTAACCATTACCTCAGACTTCTTGGCAAGTTCCGTCCAGTCATTTTTATTGTAACTGCACATAATGCTAGCAATCACAATCTTTAAAAAGAAAAACAAAAGAATATAAGTTCAAGTAGTTATCCAGTTGTACACAAAGATATATTAATATTTACATAAATTTATAATGGTAAACTATATTATAAAATTAGTTTTCAAACTGTGAAAAAATAAATCATTAGAAAATAGCAGGGTAAGATAGCAAAACACTGGATGACATTTGGGGCTTTGGAATTACATTAGGAGATTTTCTCATTTACTATCTGTGAACACTTGGGCAAGTTACTTAACTTTTCTGATCCTCAGCATTCTCTTTTTCAAAATAGAGAGGATTTTACTGGCTTTGCCATCCTCTGAAAGTAGCAATGTAAATACATGCATGTACGTGAAGGGATTGTCTAATTATACAATGCCATTAAAATGCTGTTTGTAATTACTGGTACAGTGAAAAGGTTTTAAGTGATGGAAAAGAAAAAAAATAGTGTCTCTTTCAAACATAACTCACTATAGTACACATAATAATATCTTAAATATTCATAGTGCATTATAGTTTTAAATTTTATTATGTATTGATTATTTAACTACATTATTACAGAAATCCCATAATGGAGACTGTATAGAGTAGTAATTACCAATGCCTCCTCTGAAACTAGGATGTCCAGGTTAGAACCCTGACTCTGTCACTTACTTGTGGCCCTGAGCAAAGTATTTAGTTTCCTGATTGGTAAAATATGAATAATCGTGCCACTTATTAAGAAAAGTAATAACAGAAATTGGCCAGGCGTGGTGGCTCACGCTTGTAATCCCAATACTTTGGGAGGCAGAGGCGGGTGGATCACTTGAGGTCAGGAGTTCGAGACCAACCTGGCCAACATTGTAAAACCCCATCTCTACTAAAAATACAAAAATTAGCCAGGTGTGGTGGCGTGTGCCTGTAATTCCAGCTACTCGGGAGGCAGAGACAGGAGAATTGCTTGAACCAGGAGGTGGAAGTTGCAGTGAGCCAAGATTGCACCACTGCACTCCAGCCTGGGCAACAGAGCGAGACTCTGTCTCAAAAAAAAAAAAAGAAAAAAAGAAAAAAAGAAAAGAAAAGTAATAAAAGAAATTGCTAAGACTTACATAGCTCTTACAGTGTGCTTGGCACTGTTTCAATGGTTTTTACTTTATTAACTTATTTAATCATTCCCAATGTTATTCTCCCCACTTTATAGATGAAGACGCCAAGGCAATGACACCTGACAGTCATATAGCTGATAAGGAACAGCGCCAGGACCCAGAGCCAGGCAGTGTGACTGAGCAAGAGTCTGTGCTTTTAACGACTAGGTTTTGCTAGCCCAAAGCACATACTTGATACACGTAAGTAATTATTTCCTACCATTATCATTTAAAGACTATGAGATTGAGGCTGGGTGCAGTAGCTCACGCCTGTAATCCCAGCACTTTGGGAGGCCAAAGCAGGAAGATCGCTTGAGCCCAGAAATTCATGACCAACCTGGGAAACAGAGCAATACCTTGCCTCCACAAAAAAATAGAAAAATTAGCTGGGTGTGGTGCCCTGCCCCTGTAGTCCCAGCCACTCAGGAAGCTGAGATGGGAGGATCACTTGAATCCAGGTGTTCAAGGTTACAGGGAGGTATGATTGCATTACTGCACTCCGGCCTGGGCAACAGAGCGAGATTCTATCTCCATAAAATAAAAAAATAAAGACTAAGAGATTGAGACACAAAGAGTTTGTGCCAAGCTTAAAGTTGCAGAGTCTAGTGGTAAGAGTCCTCTAAAAGCCACTGTGCTCTCACTACATAGAGCTTTTTTATTTACTTTGAGAAAAAAAAAAAAAAAGATATGCTGTAAAAGTCAGATAAACGTTTTCATCAGGAGAATAGAAAGTTGTGACCATATTGGAGAGAGTTCTAAAAACCAGGGAAAGAAGCATGTCTTTAAAGTTTTTTTTTTCTTTTTCTTTCTGGATAGACTATAAACACCATGAAAGCTGGAGCTGCTCTGCATTAGTCATCATCTATCTACAGTAACTAGCATGGTATTTGGCACGTATCAAAGACTGAAAGAATAAATGAATGAGGTCACCAGAGGTTTAGGAGCAAGGGGTTGCATTATCAGCTAACCCTTTTAAGAAGATTAAGTAGAAATGGATACCATAAGTTAGAGAAGTGAAAAATAAACAATTGAAAACTGCTGGCGATTATATGAGTAAGAGTGAAGAGTGATTAGGGCTGATGAAGGTATCTGTCTTGGTGATGAAAAAATAATCAGATATTAAAATACACAGGACTAGTCAACTAGAGAAGCAATTAAAAAGAAGGAAGCAAAAGATCTGAGACTCTGAATCAAAGCCACTGAGAAATTCGCAGACCATTAGTCACAAAAAGGTTGAACAACGTTCCGAAATATGGAAGCCAGAAGAAACAGCAATTTTGAATAGATTCCTTAGAGAGAGGAACAAAGAGAAGAAAGTAAAAGTAGATGATGGATAGAGAAGGAAAATTAAGCATGCCAAATTATTGTTCATTGAGTTTAGGATTCAATTTTTTTCGTCTAGTGAAACTACAGCTTTTCAGAATTGGGGAGAAAAATGTAAGAATGCTTGTTCCATGGCCTTTTCCCTAGGGGCTAAAAAAGTGAGAAGTCATACTCCAAGCTTCATTTGCAAGTATAAAAGGGGCACCATGTAATTACACAGCTTCAGTTAGAGATGCTTTCCGCCCTTTCCAAGTGATCTAAGAGCTCAGGGATGCTATGCCCTATTCTCCAGTTAGAAAAAAGATCAGGGAGAACTATCAAAGAGGGCACCAGATCTTCCAGGACTAGACCTAATACCTCTTGGTGTAGGCATTCCTTGCAAAAAAAAAAAAAAAAAAAAAAAAAAAAAAAAAAAAAAGAGAGAGAGAGATTAAGGACCTTATTTGAAAGGAAAAATCAACTGGGGAATGGGCAGAGCCCTGAGGCTTATTGCTAGAACTTCAAGGGCAGAGACAGATACAGAGATACAGACTGAAGAAGAAGAAAAAATTAGCTATTAGATACTAGTTACCCTGTGGCGAAACTGATAAGCAATATGCATAGATTTTTAGAAAATTTTTTTCTTAAAAAAAAAAAAACAAAATAAAACAATAACAACAACAACCACAAAACCCCCACCTCCTAACATAACAAAATAATCCCCCAATTCACATTCTCATGCAACTATGAAGTGGCTGCTCAATCAGCACAGTCACAGCATGTGCACCTCCCTCTCCAGCTCCCCTCTCAGGGTTCCACAGAGGACAAGAAAAACCTTTCTCGTGGGCTGAATCTAGCCAGGCAGATGGGTTGACCACAGAAATCCACAGCAGGGAAGCAAGGTTTAGCAGCCTTGACAGTAGGATAAGATATATCCTCTCAAGTAGGGACTAACACTGTTTCTCTCTTTTACATGGCAATTTTAATTTTAACAGAGCTATTTTTGCTTCAAATTTATATTGACTGTGCCAGGTTGGTTAATTGTTCACCCTGTAGGTTGCTGAGAAGCATGAGGCACTACAATTGGACTTGATGAAGGGAAATAAATATCATACAGAGAGTTGTTCAGGACATTGCGAGAATCATGCCACTGAATGCTGGTGGGGCAGCCTCTGACTGGGGAGGGGTGACCACAGATGGGAGAGATACATTATGGTAAGCAGTGGTTTCCATTGTATGCTCTGAGCAGCCAAGCACTACCCTGTTCTCCTTTCCCTATCCATTGAAAGCAGACTCTATCTTCTTGCCCAGAAAGATGAGAAAGTATCCCCACCTGCACTGATCATAGGAATTAGGTACTCTGCTTCTATCAAAATCCCTCAGTGGAACTGGGAAAGTTAAAACTTTTTTTTTTTTCTCCTTGGTCACTAAACTGGAATGAAGTTTATTCAGAGCTGCTGTTGATCACTGATTCCTCATTTAACCACTTTCCAATCCCAAAGCTTACTACACTGGGAAAAAATAAAACAGAGACAGGAGAAAGTAGACAAACACACAGGATGGAGAGAGATCCCCTTTGCAGCCACTTTTAAGGCTGGGTGCCTCACTAACATATCTGCATATTTAAACTAATAAATACCACACTTTGGCTTAAGGAAATTCTATTTTTACATTCTTGTTTCTATGATTTAACAGTCTTGACAATTACTACATGCAAAACTAAAGTTGTCATGTTTTGAAGAAATTTTCAAAGCAATTTTTTAAATCAATTAAATTTCAGGAAAAATGACTTTATATTTATTTTAAAAATGTGAAATGGTCTAAGGATTCTAAATATCCTTATCTAAAGCCAGAGGATGGTTTGTGAAAATATGTGGTAGCATTCTATTTCTGAGAAATAAAGATGACCAAAAAATAATTTTACTTTTTATTAAAAGAGAAAGCAATTTTTAAAAGAGTCAGGCTAAAAGACATTAACAGTAAAAGGACACTGGACATAATTTAATATTTATTTGATAATTAGGAAGCCCTTCAGTATTTTGCTGTACTCCGTTTTTAATCAAGCAGGAGGGAACAGATTTTTTTTCCTAAGAAAAAAAACCAGAATGATGGATATTTTATATCGTGAAACATCATGCAATGTTATTAGAAATAAATACCCAATGAAATATATTTTTAAATAAAAGCAACATTTTTCTATATCAATATTTCACTTAATTTATGCCATTTCTAGTGCTCAATTTTTATGGCTCATATTTTAAAACATTATTGAATGAAGAGATAGTGAAACCCAGATGCTACACAGTATTTGAACTTTGTCTTCCCCCATCCTACAGTTTATGTTACACAGTCTGGTGGGAGATTCAATGTCACCTAATTGATTAATAAGCAAATTGAGCATCTAATATAAGAGGAATTAAATGGCACACAAAAAGGAGCTTGAGACATTGACTTAGCATTTTCGTGTATTCAACTTCTAACCAATATTTCTTGAGCTCCACTATATGCCAACAGCTGTTCTAACTCAGAAGTGATGAACAAGACAGAAAAAGTCCCTGCCCTCCTGAAGCTTACATTTTAGGGAGGAAAATGTCATAATGAGTTAAAAAAAGATACTTTAATTGGACCATTTCCAGTTCCAATTGTTAGACCTATTTATAATATTATTTTTAGGAAGGTAGTAATAGAGGAGGAGAGCATGACAGAGAATCACCAGAATACATAAATGCATGTCAGACACATGGTCAGTAAAAAGCTCCCTGAGTTGAAAACTGAGAGATGAGATGGCACCTCACATTAAATAAAATGTGGAAGTGAGTAAAAGCAGCCAGGTATGTAGAAGTAACTGCAGGTGCAAAGACTGAGGTGGGAATGAGCATGGTATGTTCAAGGGGAAAAAAGAAGGCTTTTGTGGTTGTAGATTCATGAGAGGACAGGAATAGTATGAAAGAAAATGAGAGAAGCAGGCAATAGCCAGATCTCTGGGAGCTCTGAACCCTGTGGGAGATTGGGTTTTATTGTTGGTGTAATGGGAGGCCGCAGAAAGGTTTAAAGGAGGGTGATAAAATAATCTGATGTACATTTTCAAAAGATGCTTGTGACTATAGGGAATAGGATAAGTGGGTTAAGGGTGAAAGCAAGGAGTCTGATTATGTTGAAATAATGTGGCTTTCATAATATCCACGGAGATACAGAGAAGTGGATAGTTCTGAGGTTCTAGTTGGTGAATGCTTAGATTCAGAGAGACATAGAGAAAAGTAGAAATTAAGAATGATCCTAGATATTTGGCTTGAACTACTGAACTGTGGAATGTAGACAATTTACTGAGATAGAATAAAGCCTAATGAAGAAAGTATTGAAGAGGTCCAATTTTAATATTTTATATTTAGTATGTCTAGTAAGCATAGCATTAGTGAAGACATCAATTGTGCCACTGGATATATGAGTGGAGAATTCACTAAAGAGGTCAAGGATAAAGGTGCAAGTTTTAGAGACTTCAAAATAAAATGGTATTTGAAGTCACCAGGCTAGATGACTTCACAAAAGGAAGAAAATAATATAGAGAAAAAGAAAGGCCCTAGGACTGACCTGGGGGCACAAGAGAGTGTGATGTCGTGCCAAGAGAAGGAAGTGTTCCAAAAAGTAAGGAACAATCAACCGTGATGAATGCTTCTGAAAGTCTGTGTCAAAGAGTAGAAACGTGTCCACTGGATTTGAAGAGACAAAAACCATTCGTAACCTTTAAAACAGGGGTTTCAGGGAAGTGACAGGACAAAAGTCAGGCTAGAATGAATTGAGTGAATAGAATATGAAGAAGTAGAGGCAATACATGAATCTCTCTAAAGGTTTTCTTGGGCTAGCTAAAAGACAAATGAAGGCAGCCTGTACAAGATCACGGGAGGACTAATGATGTTTTCTTAATGGACTATATTTGAGTATGTTTTTACACTAGTGAAAATGATTTGGGAAAGAGAAAGAAGCTCTTGAGAAGGGAAGAGGGGATGATGAATCGAGAGTACAAGTGGAGAAAGTGGGCTTTAAGAGAGGCAGAGGCATTGTTTGTATCTAACAGGATAGAAGACGAGTAGAGAGAGAAACAAATAAGTATGGATGCATTTAGGTTTCTAAATTCGATGTGGAAAAAGTAAAATCATTCTTCTTGGTGTCTACATTTTCTTTATGAACTAGGGTGTAAGGTCTCTTACTGAGAGTAAAGAGAACTAGTTATGGGTTTGTGACTATGAGGAAGAGATAAAATGTGAAATAGTCTCTAAAAATGGGCCAAGCATGGTGGCTCATATGCCTGTAATCCCAGCTACTCAGGAGGCTGAGGCAGGAGAATGGCTTGAGCCCAGGAGTTTTGAGGCTTCAGTGAGCCATGATTGTACCTCTGCACTACAGCCTGGGCGACAGAATGAGATTTTGTCTTTGAAAAAAAAAAAAAACGAAGAAAGAAAAGAAAGGGAAAGCAAATTTACTAGAACATGGTATGATTATGAGGTCAAAAAGGCAGATATTTAATCAGTGTTGATAATATTTATGAAAAATATGATTAGTAAAAATCAAAGGACAAGTTGATTTACAAAGTTGGAACACAGATTACAGTCCCCTTTATATTACTGAAAACATGAAATTGGGTTTTATAGATTGTCTTAGAGTTGAGACCCATCTTATCAAGATGCTTTTTAGTGCTTAAGTCATTAAAATTTGATATGCTCCTGAAAAGCCATTCTTTTAGTGAATTCTGCTTCGTAGAAAATACTTTTAAATTGGAGTATTTAATAGTTTTGACTTTCATTTTGACTAATTAATACAACTTAAGAAAATGTATACACTTTTTGTAAACATCTAATTTCTATGAGACATTAACATTTTGAAGCATATAAAATGCAAAGTATGATAATTTACTAATCAAATTTTGCATATTTCTTTCTCTCTAAAAGGTATCTCAAAGGTGAAAAACAATGTGCAGATGCTTATTTGGCAAAAAAAAAAAAAGTAGTGCTATATGGCTTCCATTGTCATCCTTTGAAATTTTAAATAAAAGAATCAAATTTAATGGTCAACTTTTTTTGTTTTGACAATTCCATTTCCTTAGGGAATAAATAAAATTATTTTATTAAGTAGCTTTTAAAAACTGAATTTCATTAAAGTTTACACATTAAAAATTAAGGTGAAGAACAACATAAAACTTGCAATGGCTTACAATAACATGCAGGCTGTCTTGTCAAATTCCCATTGACTTCAGGTCTATGCTTTTTAAAACACATTGACAATGCTATTTTGGTATTCTGTAACCATACTGTGAACTACATAGGAAATCCAGTCAACAATTCAGCTTCAAGACAATCTAAATTTTTTAGTAGGGAAAAACTGCAAAGTGACGGGGGTGAACAACTATAAATTACAAGCAGCCAAGTTAGGTTTTGTCAAACAATTCAACAAAATCATTCCTAAGACTACTGGGATTACATTGATGAGGAAAAACAGCATGAGACATTTGATTTTCAAAGACATTTAAACAAAGAAAATAAGTTTATTAAATGTTAATTAACCATACAACATTCAAATTTTAGATGTCCTTTATGCCTTAGTTCAAATTTAGTGAAAGTGAGATTGGTGCAATATTCCTGAAATATATACATTGACTATAAGACATTTAAGGTGAAATAATAAGCTTTTCTAATTTTATTTGTTCATTGCTTACTTAATGGTCATAAATGAGACTAGTATGCTTACAAGTTGTCTTTTAAAATTATTTAAAAATTCATCATTTTTTGGTTTATTTTGGGGCTGACAAATGTCTTATTTACACAACTATTTCAAATATAGAAAAGTAACATTTAAACAATATACAAGAGTTTCTATAAAAAATCAGAGATGTTTTCCAACACAACAGGAAACAACCACTGTACCACTCTAGGAGCTACAGTAACTTGCTTTTTCCTCCCCTTTTGATCACTCCATAATATATTTTTATTTAGTTTCTGTCCCCAATATGCTTAGGAACTGATCTCCCCAAGGTTAACAGTGACCTCACCAAATATATTATATACTTTTCAGCCCAGATCTGTACTAAACTCTCTTCAGCATTTAAGACTACTAACCACCTCCAGTTTCTTGAACCCCTCTTCTAACTGAGCTTTGGAGATACCACTTACTTTTCCTCTTTTTTTTTTTTTTTTTGGTGTTCTTTTTCTACCTCTGTCAATTTCTCACATGTTGATGCTCCCAGAGTCCACTCACAGTCCTCTTTTAGTCTCATTTCACATGCATTCACTAGACATCATATTCGCAATGACTGTAAATAATATCTATTAATACATGCAGAAAATCTCGAAAGTGTATACCTCTAAACTGCATCTTTTTCCTAAGTGCAAGAATTGCATATACGACTACCCGTTAGCACTTAATTTCCATTTGTCCAAAACCAAACTTAAATTTCTCCACTCTAAATTTGCTTATTTATCCACACTATATATGCTTTTGTTTCACTCTTTTGTCCCAGATCAGAAAACTAGGAATACCTATCTTTGTCGCCCACATCCAGTGATTAACCAAGTACTTGGCTGAGCATTGAAATTACCTAGAGAGTTAAAAAATAATAATAATTCCAAGGATTCTGTGTTACCTTGTATGGAGTGAGGTGCAGGCATCAGAGTTTTTCAAGTCTCTCTAGGTGGTCCTAAAGTACAGGGAAGTTTGAGAAGTACTGCTCTAGTTTATTTTCCAAATATCTCCAGGTTCCTCATTGTGACTACATTAAGATCCTCACCATTTCTTCCCTGGATTACTGCAGAAGATTCCTTATTAGTTGCCCCATATCTGATTTCAGCCAATACTATCTGCCAAAGTATTCTAAAGAGACAAACCTCCTCATATCACACTTTGGCTTCAAATCCAATTTCAGGATAAAATAATAGGCTATACAAGACCATAGTGCAACTTTTGCTTTGACCACACTGAATTGCTTTGCTTTCTGAGTGTAATTTGCATGCTGAATTCTCTTGATCATATGTCTGTTTCTTTTGTCTAAATGTATAAGGAATGGTCAAAGCACATGGCATAATAAAGGAAACATGAAAATTGATACAAAAAAAATAATACTAACTAAGATAAAATGAGAGCAAAAGAAAGGGTAATCATTTGTAACTGTGTGAATCAGGGAAGGCACCATACAACAGGAACACTTGGCCAATTATGAAATCACCCATGGACATTTAGAGGTATACCTCGAAGATATTGCAGGTTTGATTCCAGATGACAGCACTAAAACTAATATCACAATAAAGCAAGTCACACAAATATTTTGGTTTCCCAGTGCATAAAAGTTATGTTTTCACTACAATCAACTGAGCCTTTGGTGAATCATAATCTTTTTGCTAAAGGAATGTCTTGTCTTGATGGTGATAGCTGCTGATTGATCAGGCTGGTTATTACTGAAAGCTGTAGCATTTTCTTTCTCACTCTTTTTTTTCCTTCTTTTTTTTTTCTAGATAGGGTCTTGCTCCGTCACCTATGCTGGAGGGCAGTGGTGGGATTATAGCTTACCGTGGCATCGAATTCCTGGGTGCTGTAGCAATTTCTTAAAATAAGACAATAAAGTTTGCTAGATTGATTGACTCCTCCTTTCACAAGAGATTTCTCTGTAGCATGTGATGCTGTTTCATAGCATTTTATCCACAGTAGAACTTCTTTCAATCCTCTTAAATCTCTAAAACTCAGTTACTGCTTTATCAAATAGGTTTATGGAATATTCTAAATCTTTTGTTTTTATTTCAACAACGTTCACAGCATCTTCACCAGGAGTAGATTTCATCTCAAGCAACCACTTTCTTTGCTCATTCATAAGAAGTAACTCCTCATCTCTTCAAGTTTTATCATGAGATTGCAGGAATTCAGTCACATCCTTAGGCTCCACTTCTCATTATTGTTCTCTTGCTATTTCTCTAATCTGTAGTGACTTCCTCCACTGAAGTCTTGAATCCCTCACAAGGCTTGCAATCAATTTCTTCCAAACTCCTGTTAATGCAGACATCTGACTTCCTCTCATGATTCACAAATGTTCTTAAGGGCATCTAGAATGGTTTGATATTCTATCCAGACCACTAAAATGTTATCCAGACCACTAAAATGTTCTCCATACCAGCAATAAGGCTGTTTTCTTTCTTATCATTTGTGTGTTCACTGGAGTAACATTTCTAATTTCCTTCAAAAACTCTTCCTTTGCATTCACACTTTAGCTAACTATTTGGAACAAGAGGTCTAGTTTTTGCCCTATCTCAGCTTTCAACATGTCTTTCTCACTAATCTTAATCATTTCTAGCTTTGGATTAAAGTGAGAGACATGCAACTCTTCCTTTCACTTGAACACTTAGAGGCCATTGTTGAGTTGTTAAATAGCCTATTTTCTTTTTTTTTTAAATTATTATACTTTAAGTTCTAGGGTACATGTTCACAACGTTCAGGTTTGTTACATATGTATACATGTGCCATGTTGGTGTGCTGCACCCATTAACTCGTCATTTACATTAGGTATATCTCCTAATGCTATCCCTCCCCACTCCCCCCACCCCACAACAGGCCCCGGTGTGTGATGTTCCCTACCTTGTGTCCAAGTGTTCTCATTGTTCAGTTCCCACCTATGAGTGAGAACATGCGGTGTTTGGTTTTCTGTCCTTGGGATAGTTTGCTCAGAATGATGGTTTCCAGCTTCATCCATGTCCCTACAAAGGACATGGACTCATCCTTTTTTATGGCTGCATAGTATTCCATGGTGTATATGTTCCACATTTTCTTAATCCAGTCTATCATTGATGGACATTTGGGTTGGTTCCAAGTCTGCTATTGTGAATAGTGCCACAATAAACATATGTGTGTATGTGTCTTTATAGCAGCATGATTTATAATCCTTTGGGTATATACTCAGTAATGGGATCACTGGGTCAAATGGTATTTCTAGTTCTAGATCCTTGAGGAACTGCCACACTGTCTTCCACAATGGTTGAATTAGTTTACAGTCCCACCAACAGTGTAAAAGTGTTCCTATTTCTCCATATCCTCTCCAGCACCTGTTGTTTCCTGACTTTTTAATGATGGCCATTCTAACTGGTGTGAGATGGTATCTCATTGTGGTTTTGATTTGCATTTCTCTGATGGCTGGTGACGATGAGCATCTTTTCATGTGTCTTTTGGCTGCATAAATGTCTTCTTTTGAGAAGTGTCTGTTCATATCCTTCACCCACTTTTTGATGGGGTTGTTTGATTTTTTCTTGTAAATTTGTTTAAGTTCTTTGTAGATTCTGGATATTAGCCCTTTGTCAGATGAGCAGATTGTAAAAATTTTCTCCCATTCTGTAGGTTGCCTGTTCACTCTGACGGTAGTTTCTTTTGCTGTGCAGAAGCTCTTTAGTTTAATTAGATCCCGTTTGTCAATTTTGGTTTTTGTTGCCATTGCTTTTCGTGTTTTAGTCATGAAGTACTTTAAATAGCCTAATTTCAATATTGTCGCATCTCAGGGAACAGGGAGGCCTGAAGAGACTGACGGAATGAGGGATTTGCCCATGAGTGTAGCAGTCAGAACACACACAGTATTTATCAATTAAGTTTTCCATATTCAACGGGTGTTCGTGGCACCTGAAAGCACTTAACAATAATATCAAAGATCACTAATCACAGATCACCATAACAGGTGTAGCAATAATGAAGAAGTTTGAAATATTGCAAGAATTACCAAAATATGAACACAGAAACATGAAGTGAGTGTATGCTGTTTGAAAAGTGGCACCAATAGACTTGTTAGAAGCAGGATTGCCACAAACCTTCAATTTGTAAAAAAAGCAATATTGCAATAAAATGAGGTATGTCTGTATTGGAAATTGATTTCAAAATCCAAGGAGGTAGAGTACTCCAGGTAGAGTGAGCAGCAAGATCAAAAGCAAAGGATGGTGTATTTAAGGAATATGCTGTGTTTAAGAAATCTCAGGTAGTTCAATTTGGCTGACTTTGAAACAAATGGTTACGTTTCATAAAAAATGAAGCAAGATATCTAAGTAGGAATCTGGTTTATGCAGGTAAGGGACAAAACAATGGTTTCTAATCAGCTAAGCATTTGGATTTGAATTTTCGATCATTTTCTCTAGTAAATTCGTGCTTCTCATGTAGACATTGCCTTCTGGGATGCCTCTCCTGTGCCCTATTGCTCCTCTGACTTCCTTTGGCACCCCTCTTCTGAGATTCCTCAGTATCCTTTGCATTTTTCTGCTATGACATGTATTTGTTTATATATTTTATATATTTTTAAATTATATATTTTAATATATATTGTGCCTTTCTACATTCTAGAGACAGAATAAGGACACATAGATGGTAAAGGTAAGGGGTTCTAGATCCTTTTATAATTTATAAAGTACATTTTATATCAAAAATAATTTTTCATTATATTTGTTTCTGTATTTACAGTTTAGTACAGATTTTCACATACATTATCTCATTTATCCCCCACAACAATCTTGAATTTGGAGAATCTTATACTGATAATAATGAGGCATGGATAATTTAAATTACTTTACCAGGGTCAAGTTAATCAATAGCAAAGGCAGGGATTAAGCTCAGGTCTTTTGATTCCAAGTTCCTCTCTACTACATCAAGACTATACCATATTGATTTCCTATCCTTTCAATTTACATTAGAGATTCTAGTTGATTTTATGTCTTCAACCCTCTCGTGGTAGATTGTTTGAAAAAATTGTTCCCTCCTGGTTTCCATGCCACTTCGGAAGGACTCCCATCAAGTGGGGGCATTTATCTACCCAACCTTTGGGTGTGCGCTGATTTTGTGACTTGTTTTAATCAGTAGAACATGGTAGAGGTGATGATGTACCAGAGTTAAACCAAGGCTTGAAGGGGCCTGGTGCTTTTCTGCTTACTCTCTTGAAATCCTACCAAGACGACAAGCCAGCATAGGTTCCTGAAGGATGACAGACCACATGACACACAGACAAGCCATCCAGCTGAGGCTGACCTAGATTAGCCAGTCCCTAGCCCACCTGGAACTTGACCACAGATGGCATAAGACCAAGTGAGGCCAGAAGAACCATGCAGCATAGCCCAGTTAAGCAAATTGCTAACATCCTGAATCAAGAACTAAATTAATAATTGTTTCAATCCCAAATTTGAGGTATTTTGTTATATAGGAAAAGCTAACTGATGCCACTTTTACTAAGTACCACAATAAGAACTATTACATGCTGTGTACTTGCATATGCTGAGTACTATGTTTAGAATTTCACATGACTTATCTCTAATCCTTAGAACATCATAGCATAGAAGTTATTAGCCCCACTTTACAGACAGGAAAAAAAAAACTTCAAGAAGTTAAATAACTACTCACAGTTGCATGGCTAATAAGAGTAGATACAAAGCTTGATCTGTTTGACTATAATATTTATACTTTGAATGATTTTTTTGTGCTCCTTATACAACCTTTATAGAAAATGTGTTGGTTTACTTTTATAGATGGTTAATTTTATTCAATGTGTGTCAGTTTTTTATTATATTCATTCTCAGAGGCTAACCTTATTTATATGATCTTCGCCAGTGAGTTATTTCACTACAGCTCTGCATACCATCTAAGCTAGACCAGCAGATGGAACTGCCTAAGAAATAATAAAATTAGAGGAAAGAATGAGTGAGCAGGAACCAATGGGATGATTCACAGCTTCCTGACCATTACTGCATGTTAAGGGCTGATGATAGGGTAGTATTGGCCCTTTATAATCTGGCTCCAAATCACCTTGCTGCTCCTTATCTTGACATATCAAACTGAACCTCTTATATATACTGCCTACCGCATGCCACATGTACTTTTAGATGTCCATTCTTTTCCTCATATTGGTCCTTCTTGTAGTGCCATCCTAGACGTCTGACTGTACAGCTCCTACCTACTTCTCAAGGTCTAACTCAGAGCTAACCTCAACTGTATCATCCTCAATGATCTCAGAGACAGAATCACTGCTTTCTCTTAATATTCAAGTGTGCTACACCAACCACTACTCAGTTCCTGTTGGACTGTGTCAGATAGATGTTTATTTATATACTTCTCTTCTCTTGTCCCACTTCTCTTACCTCACTCAATGTGAGAACATGCTAATTATTATCCACCTTTAGTTTCTTATCATTTGGTGCAGGATTGCCTAGCACCTAATGTAATTTAGTAAATGTTGGTGGAAAGAAAGATGGCTTATTATTAATAAATTTTTTAAACCTTCCGTTTCATCCCTATGAAGATTGTAATACTTGCTACAAGCAAAAGTGCATGCAGGAAACTACCATGACTAATATATACGCATGTATAAAAGATCATGACTACTACTGTGTAGACTGTAGTAGTTATGTAGTCATGTAGTAGTAGTAGCAGCTGTCACATATGTATGACAGATATATATATGGTATGTCTTATATGTATATGAACCTATATTGACACAGCATCATCATACAAATCCACAGTTTACATCAGAGTTCACTCTTGCTGTTACACATTCTATGGGTTTGGACAATGTATAATGACACGTATCCATTGTTTTAGTATCATACAGAGTATTTTCACTTTCCTAAAAATTTTCTGTGCTCCACCTATTCATTCTTCCTCACCCCACCCAACCCTCCTGCCTATCACTGATTTCTTTACTGTCACCATAGTTTTGTCTTTTCCAGAATGTCATATAATTGGAATCACACAGTATATAGCTTTTTCATTATGGCTTCTTTCAGTTAGTAACATGCATTCAAGCTTCCTCCATGTTTTCATGGCTTGATATTTATACCATTTTAGCACTAAATAATATATCACTGTCTGTATGTACCAAAGTTTATAATTCACCTACTGAAGGATATTTTGGTTACTTCCCAGTTTGGGCAATTATGAATAAAGCTGCTGTAAACATCCATGTGCAGGTTTTTGTGGAAATATAAGTTTTCAACTCCTTTGGGTTAATACCAAGGAGTAGAGTTGTTGGATCCTATGGTAAGAGTATTTGTAGTTTTACAAGAAACTGCCACATGCTGTCTTTTTTTTTTTAAATTATACTTTAAGTTTTAGGATACATGTGCACAATGTGCAGGTTTGTTACATATGTATACATGTGTCCATGTTGGTGTGTTGCACCCATTAAATCATCATTTACATTAGGTATATCTCCTAATGCTATTCCTCCCCACTCCCCCAACCCCACAACAGGCCCCGGTGTGTGATGTTCCACACCCTGTGTCCAAGTGTTCTCATTGTTCAATTCCCACCTATGAGTGAGAACATGCGGTGTTTGGATTTCTGTCCTTGCGATAGTGTGCTGAGAATGATGGTTTCCAGCTTCATCCATGTCCCTAAAAATGACAGGAACTCATTATTTTTTATGGCTGCATAGTATTGCATGGTGTATATGTTCCATATTTTCTTAATCCAGTCTATCATTGTTGGACATTTGGGTTGGTTCCAAGTCTTTGCTATTGTGAATAGTGCCACATTAAACATATGTGTGCATGTGTCTTTATAGCAGCATGATTTATAGTCCTTTGGGTATATACTCAGTAATGGGATCACTAGGTCAAATGGTATTTCTAGTTCTAGATCCCTGAGGAATCACCACACTGACTTCACAATGGTTGAACTAGTTTACAGTCCCACCAACAGTGTAATAGTGTTCCTGTTTCTCCACATCCTCTCCAGCACCTGTTGTTTCCTGACTTTTTAATGATGGCCATTCTAACTGGTGTGAGATGGTATCTCATTGTGGTTTTGATTTGCATTTCTCTGATGGCCAGTGATGATGAGCATTTTTTCATTTGTCTGATGGCTGCATAAATGTCTTCTTTTGAGAAGTGTCTATTCATTTGCTGTGCCCTCTTTTTGATGGGGTTGTTTGTATTTTTCTTGTGAATTTGTTTGAGTTCTTTGTAGATTCTGGATATTAGCCCTTTGTCAGATGAGTAGATTGCAAAACTTTTCTCCCATTCTGTAGGTTGCCTGTTCACTCTGATGGTAGTTTCTTTTGCTGTGCAGAAGCTCTTTAGTTTAATTAGATCCCATTTGTCAATTTTGTCTTTTGTTGCCATTGCTTTTGGTGTTTTAGACATGAAGTCCTTGTCCATGCCTATGTCCTGAATGGTATTGCCTAGGTTTTTGTCTAGGGTTTTTATGGTTTTAGGTCTAACATGTAAGTCTTTAATCGGTCTTGAATTAATTTTTGTATAAGGTGTAAGGAAGGGGTCCAGTTTCAGCTTTCTACATATGGCTAGCCAGTTTTCCCAGCACCATGTATTAAATAGGGAATCCTTTCCCCATTGCTTGTTTTTGTCAGGTTTGTCAAAGATCAGATAGTTGTAGATGTGTGGCATTATTTCTGAGGGCTCTGTTCTGTTCCATTGGTCTATATCTCTTTTGTGGTACCAGTACCATGTTGTTTTGGTTACTGTAGCCTAGTAGTATAGTTTGAAGTCAGGTAGCATGATGCCTCCAGCTTCGTTCTTTTGGCTTAGGATTGACTTGGCAATGTGGGCTCTTTTTTGGTTCCATATGAACTTTAAAGTAGTTTTTTTCCAATTCTGTGAAGAAAGTCATTGGTAGCTTGATGGGGATGGCATTGAATCTATAAATTACCTTGGGCAGTATGGCCATTTTCACGATATTTATTCTTCCTGTCCATGAGCATGGAATGTTCTTCCATTTGTTTGTATCCTCTTTTATTATGTTGAGCAGTGGTTTGTAGTTCTCCTTGAAGAGGTCCTTCACATCCCTTGTAAGTTGGATTCCTAGGTATTTTATTCTCTTTGAAGCAATTGTGAATGGGAGTTCACTCATGATTTGGCTCTCTGTTTGTCTGTTATTGGTGTTTAAGAATGCTTGTGATTTTTGTACATTGATTTTGTATCCTGAGACTTTGTTGAAGTTGCTTATCAGCTTAAGGAGATTTTGGGCTGAGATGATGGCATTTTCTAGATACACGATCATGTCATCTGCAAACAAGGACAATTTGACTTACTCTTTTCCTAATTGAATACCCTTTATTTCCTTCTCCTGCCTAATTGCCCTGGCCAGAACTTCCAGCACTATGTTGAATAGGAGTGGTGAGAGAGGGCATCCCTGTCTTGTGCCAGTTTTCAAAGGGAATGCTTCCAGTTTTTGCCCATTCAGTATGATATTGGCTGTGGGTTTTTCATAAGTAGCTCTTATTATTTTGAGATATATCCCATCAATACCTAATTTATTGAGAGTTTTTAGCATGAAGGGCTGTTGAATTTTGTCAAAGGCCTTTTCTGCATCTATTGAGATAATCATGTGGTTTTTGTCATTGGTTCTGTTTATATGCTGGATTACGTTTATTCATTTGCGTATGTTGAACCAGCCTTGCATCCCAGGGATGAAGCTCACTTGATCATGGTGGATAAGCTTTTTGATGTGTTGCTGGATTCAGTTTGCCAGTATTTTATTGAGGATTTTTGCATCGATGTTCATCACGGATATTGGTCTAAAATTATCTTTTTCTGTTGTGTCTCTGCCAGACTTTGGTATCAGGATGATGCTGGCCTCATTAAATGAGTTAGGGAGGATTCCCTTTTTTTCTGTTGATTGGAATAGTTTCAGAAGGAATAGTACCAGCTCCTTCTTGCACCTCTGGTAGAATTCAGCTGCGAATCCGTCTGGTCCTGGACTTTTTTTGGTTGGTAAGCTATTAATTATTGCCTCAATTTCAGAGCCTGTTAATGGTCTATTCAGAGATTCAACTTCTTCCTGGTTTAGTCTTGGGAGGGTGTATGTGATGAGGAATTTATCCATTTCTTCTAGATTTTCTAGTTTATTTGTGTAGAGGTGTTTATAGTATTCTCTGATGGTAGTTTGTATTTCTGTGGGATGGGTGGTGATACCCCTTTATCATTTTGTATTGTGTCTATTTGATTCTTCTCTCTTTTCTTCTTTATTAGTCTTGCTAGTGCTCTATCAATTTTGTTGAGATCACATGCTGTCTTCTAACGTGATCAAATCATTTTGCATTCCCACCAGCAACGAATGAGAGCTCCTTTGCTCCAGATCCTCATCAGAATTTGGTGTTGTCAGTGTTATGAATTTTGGCTATTCTAATAGATGTGTAGTGGTACCTCATTGTTGTTTTAATTTGCATTTCCCTCCTGACATGATGTAGAGTACCTTTTCATATGCTTATCTGCTATCTGTTTATCTTCTTTGATGAGGTGTCCGTTAAAGTCTTTAGCTCATTTTTTAAAATCTGGTTCGTTGTTTTCTTATTGTTGAGTTTTAAGTGTTCTTTGTGTATTTTGGATAACCGTACTTTCTCCAATGCATCTTTTACAAATATTTTCTCCCAGTCGGTGGCTTGTCTTCTCATTCTCTTGACATTATCTTTCACTGAGCGGAAGTTTTTTTTTGTTTGTTTGTTTGTTTGAGACGGAGTCTTGCTCTGTCTCCCAGGATGGAGTGCAGTGGCACAATCTCTGCTCACTGCAACCTCCGCCTCCCAGATTCAAGCGATTCTCCTGTCTCAGCCTCCTGAGTAGCTGGGATTCCAGGAGGCTACCATCATGTCCAGCTAATTTTTGTATTTTTAGTAGAGATGGGGTTTTGCCATGTTGGCCAGGCTGGTTTCAAACTCCTGACCTCAGGTGATCTATCTGCCTTGGCCTCCCAAATTGCTGGGATTACAGGTGTGAGCCACTGCGCCCAGCCAGAGTTTTTTATTTTAATGAAACCCAGCGTATCAATAATTTCTTTCATGAATATTGCCTTTGGAGTTGTATTTAAAAACACATGTGTCATCAACATATTCAAGATCATCTAGGTTTTCTTCTGTGTTATCTTGTAGGAATTTTATATTTTTGTGCTTTACATTTAGATGTATGATCCATTTAGAGTTAATTTTGGTGAAGGGTGTGTCTAGATTAATTTTTTGTTGCATGTGAACATGCAGTTGTTCCAGCACCATTTGGTAAATTACTATGTATTCTCCACTGAAGTGTCTTACTGCTTTGTCAAAAATCAGTTGATTTAATTATGTGGGTCTATTTCTGGGATGTCTTTTTTGTTCAATTGATCTATTTGTCTATTCTTTAACCAATATTACACTGTCAGATTACTGTAGCTTTATAGTAAGTCTTGAGGTTAGGTAGTGTCAGTCCTCTAACTTTGTTCTTCTCCTTCAATATTGTGTTAGCTATTCTGGGTCTTCTAGCATGCCTTTAAACTTTAGAATCAGTTTGTTAATGCCCACAACACAACTTGCGGGGATTTCTACTGTGATTACATTGCATCTATAGATCAAGCTGGGAAGAACTCACATCTTGACAGTACTGTCTTCCTATACATGAACATGGAATATCTCTCCATTTATTTAGTTCTTGTTTGATTTTGTCCATCAGAGTTTTGTAGCTCTCCTCACACAGATCTTGTCATATTTTGATAGACTTACACCTAAGTATTTCATTTGTTTTGATTCTAATGTAAATAATATTATGTTTCTTTTAACTTCTACTTTTTCATTGTTGGTACAGAAGAAATCAAATGACTTTTGTATATTAACCTTTAATCTTGCCACATTGCTATAATCACTTGTTAGTTACAGGATATTTTTTGGTCAATTCTTTCTGATTTTCTATGTACACAATAATGTCATCTGCAAAAACAGTTTAGTTTTTCCTTGATAACTTGTATACCCTGTTCCCACCTTTATTTTGTCTTATTAGCTAGAAGTTCCAGTATAATTATGAAAAGAAATGGTGAAAGGGGAAATCCTTGCCTTGTTCTTGATCTTAGTGTGAAAACTTCTAATTTCTCACCATTAAATGTGATATTAGCTGAAGGTATTTTATAGATATTCTTTATCAAACTCAGGAAGTTTCTCTGTATTGTTAGTTTACTGAGAGATTTGATCATGAATGGGTGTTGAATTTTGTCAAATGCTTTATCTGCATCTGTTGATAAAATCATGTGATTTTTCTTTTTTAGTCTGTTGATGTGATGAATTACATTACCTGATTTTTTGAATGTTGAACCAGCCTTGAATGTCTGAGATAAATCCCACTTCACTGTGGTGTATAATTCTTTTTATACATTGTTGCGTTGAATTTGCTAATATTTTGTTGAGCATTTTTGCATCTTAAGAGATACTGGTCTATAGTTTCTAGCATGTCTTTGTCTGGTTTGCTGTCAGTGCAATTATTAGGTATTAGGGCCTCATATAATCAGTTAAAAAGTACAGAGGCTCCTTGACTTACGATGGGGTTAAGTCCTGATAAGGCTGTAATAAACTGAAAATATTGTTAAGTCAAAAGTGTGTGCTTCAACTTCTGAGATTTTCAACTTACAATGAGTGGAGTTATCTAGACATATCCCATTGTAAGTCGAGGAGTGTAGTGAATGTATGTTGCTTTTGCATCATCTTGAAGTTGAAAAATTCTAAGTTTGAGACTATCGGTATTCCCTCTGTTCCTGAAAGATATTGAGAGAATTGGTAGGAATTTTTCTTAAATGCTCAGTAGAATTAAATAGTGAACCCATCTGGGTCTTTTGCTTTGTTTTGGAAGGTTGTTAATTATTGATTTGATTTCTTTAATAGATATAAGCTGATTAAGATTGTCTATTTTTCCTGTGTGAGTTTTGGCAGTTTCAAGGAATTGGTTCATTTAATCCAGGTCATCAAATCTGTGGGCATGGAGTTGTTCATAGCACTCTTTATTTTCCTTTTAGTGTCCCTGGGACCCGTAGTGATGTCCACCCTTTCATTTCTGATATTATTAACTTATGTCCTCTCTTTTTATTCATTAGCCTGGCTAGAGGCTTATCAATTTTGTTGACTTTTTTCAAATAATCAGATTTTGTTGATTTTCTATATTGATTTTTTTTATTTCATTGATTTTTGCTAATTCTTATTATTCATTTTGTTCTGCTTATTTTAGACTAAATTTGCTTTTCATTTTCTGTTTCCTAAGGTAGAAACTTAGGTCATTAATTTTAAATCTTTCTTCTTTTTTAATATATGCACTCAATGATATAAATTGCCCTTTAAGTACTACTTTTGTAGCACCTCACAAATTTTGATAAGTTTTCTTTTAATTTTCATTTAGTTCAAAATATTTTTAATGCTTTTTGACATTTCGTTTTTGGCCCATGTGTTATTTAGAGGTGTGTTGTTTAATCTCTGTATATTTTGGGATTTTCCAGATATATTTTGTTAGCGGTGTCTAATTTAATTCCATTGTGTTCTCAGATCAGAGACTTTATGATTTCTGTCCTTTTAAAATTTAAGGTATGTTTTATGGTCCAGAATGTGGTCTATCTTGGTGAATGCTCCATGTAAACTTGAGAAAAATGTGTATTCTGTTATTGAATGTTGTTGTCTATAGATGTCAAATTATATCCAGTTGACTAATAGTGTTGTTGAGTTTAACTATGTGCTTACTGATTTTCTACCTGCTGGATCTGTCCATTTCTGACAGAGAAGTGTTGTAGTCTCCAACTATGCTAATAGATGCACTACTTGTCTTTGCTGTTCTATTGGTTTTTCCTTGGCATAGTTTGATGCTCTGTTATTAGATGGATACACGTTAAAGATTCTTATGTCTTCCTGGATAATTGATCATTTTATCATTATGTAATACCCTTCTTTTGTCCCTGATAACTTTCCTTGCTTTGAAGTCTGCTTTGCCTGAAATTAATATGGCTACTCCTGCTATCTTTAGATTAGTGTTAGCATGATACATTTTCTTCATCCATTTACTTATAATCTATGTGTTTTTGTATTGAAAGTGACTTTCTTATACGCAATACATAGGTGGGTTTTTAAATCCACTTAAACAATCTTTGTCTTTTAATTGGCGTATTTAGATCATTGATATTCAAAATAAGTATTGATATACCTGGATTAATATCTACTATATTGATTAATGTTTTCTATTTTTTTCTCTGTTCCTATTTTGTCTTCTATACTGTTTCCGTCTTTTGTGGTTGTATTTCATTATTTTATGTGATTCAATTTTTTTCTACTTCTTTTTAGCATATCACTTGTACTTTTTTTTTTTTTTTACTTTTTGTAGTGGTTGCCCTAGAGTTTACAATATACATCTATAGCTAATCCAAGTCCATCAGATAACCCCGTACCACTTCACAGATGATATGAGCATCTTATAATAAAAAAATCATATCCTCCCTCCTGTCCATTGTGTCACTGCTGTCATTCATTGGACTTATATATAGGTATACATAAGCACATATATTATACGTAAGTATACACAATCAAATATATTGTTACTATGATTATTTTGAACAAATTGTTATTAGATCAATTAGGAGTAAGAAAAATAAACATTTTTATTTTACCTTAAATTATTCCTTCTTTGATGTTCTTCCTTTCTTTATGTAGGTCCAAGTTTCTGGCCTATATAGTTTTCCTTCTCTTGAAAAACTTCCATTAACATTTCTTGCAAGGAGGTTTATTCTGAATACATTCTTTCAATGTTTGTTTGTCTGAGAAAGTGTTTATTTCTCCTTCACTTTTGAAGAATAATTTTGCAGAGTATATAATTCTACATTGGTGAGTTTTTTTCTCTGAATACTTTATTTATTTATTTATTTATTCTTTTGTTTGTTTTTTTGAGACAGAGTCTCACTCTGTTACCTAGGCTGGAGTGCAGTTCTGTGATCTTGGCTCATGGCAACCTCTGCCTCCCAGGTTCAAACAATTCTCCTGCCTCAGCCTCCCAAGTAGCTGGGATTACAGGCATGCACCACCATGCCCAGCTAATTTTTGTATTTTTAGTAGAGACAGGGTTTCACCATTTGGCCAGGCTGGTCTCTTAAACTCTTGACCTCAAGTGATCCACCCATCTTGGCCTCCCAAAGCTTTGGGATTACAGGCGTGAGCCACTGTGCCTGGCCCTCTTAATACTTCAAATATTTAACTCCAGTCTATTCTTGCTCTTTAGGTCTTGTTAAGAAAAACAGAATGCTCTGCCATATTATGAAATGGTTCTTCTTCTCTTCCCCCTGCCAGAAGCAGCGGGGGAATTTTCTCTAATACTCACTTTGAGAAGTTTGTCAAGCTTCTCTAGATAAATCTCACAATATCCTTGGTGTCCCCTATGCCTGGGCCCTCCTGGAGTTTTTAACTCTCAGACTTGTCTGCACTGATCCTCCAGAAATTCATCAATTATAGTTCAGGTTTTCCTACGCTGGTCCTGGATCCTGATGTGGTTTCCGCTAGTGAGTCTCTGCTTCAGTAAGCCATAGTTCCCTATATTTGCCTGTCTATCTCTCTAACCTTGGCGTAGCAGTTTTGCCCTAAGTCCTCCCATCTCTTACAATCTAAGAAGAGCTGTTGGTTTTTAGTCTCTTTAGCTTTTTTTTTTTTTAAAATTATTAATTTATTTTTTATTTTTAAGTATATCTTATTTATTTTATTATAGAATAAAACCTATTTTAAAATATTCTTTTTCTTCAGACATCAGGAATTTTTATTTATTTATTTATTTATTTTTATTATACTTTAAGTTCTGGGGTATATGTGCAGAATGTGCAGGTTTGTTACATAGGTATACACATGCCATGGTGGTTTACTGCACCCATCAATCCTTCATCTACATTAGGTATTTCTCCTAATGCTATCCCTCCCCTAGCCCCCCACCCCCCGACAGGCCCCAGTGTGTGATGTTCCCCTCCCTGTGTCCATGAGTTCTCAATAGGAACGCTTTTACACTGTTGGTGGGGTGTAAATTAGCTCTTTAGCGTTTTACTTGTTAAGATGGAGTGGCAACTTCCAAGTACCTTACATGTGTAACCGGAAACAAGCTATCATATATTTTTATGCCTATAAGTCATTCACTGTTTTCATAGCATGTCTGGTATTGATATTAATCTACAATATCCATTTGAGTTGTTCTATCACTTTTGAGCTCTCATTGAGGCTGTAGTAAGTCAACTAAAGTCATAAGATTTGAATGCACTATACACAAACAAAAAGGTGTGTTTTCCACATAAAATCTGTGCATGATATTTTCTTTGCTTTTATTTAAAAGGTCATGATATAGTACCTGCAAGGTTATGGTTCATTTAGGAATAGAGCTTTTCAATGGCACATAAAGAGCTTGATTTAAAATGTGTTATTATGCATTTATATTCCAATTATAAACTTCCTTTCAGAGGCTTTAACAAATATTCATTTAATAAACTACCTTTCTAAATTAAAAAGGTTAATAATTAATGTAGTATTAAAATGTAACATAGGAATAAAAAAGAGGTTAATAATAAAATAATGAAAACTCTTAAAATAATTACATGGAATGATGCACAACATCAAATAGTCTGGGTACATTTTCCAAAACCATACATTTAAGCACATGGGTGTTGTAAAGATTATTAAAACATTTTCTTTAAAGATTTTACATTCCCAAAATAAAATTCTATGTCAATACTTATTTTAATAATTTTATGAGATTTAGCTCTTTGCTCTCATTAACTATGATTGCATGTTTAATGCATGTTCAATTAGATAATCCTGGCGTGTACATTAGTGGTACTGTGTCTTAGGCAACGGATGGCAAACTCCTAGAGGACATGGGCTATGTCTTCTAGCTCATCATGTCCCTGTGGCCAGAAACTCATCAGCCTGAAGCAGCTGGATTAATAGAATGGTGGAATGGCCTTTTGAAGTCACAATTATAATGCCAACTAGGTGACAAAGCTTTACAGGGCTGGGGCAAAGTTCTCCAGAAGGCTGTGTATGCTCTGAATCAGCATCCAATACACGGTACTCTTCCTCCCATAGTCAAGATACATGGGTCCAGGAATCAAGGGGTGTAAGTAGAAGTGACACCACTCACCATCACCCTTAGTGACCCACTAGCAAAAGTTTTCCTTCCTGTTCCCACAACATTATGTTCAGCTGGTCTAGAGGCCTTACTTCCAGAGGAAATAATGCTGCAACCAGGAGACACAACAACGATTCCATTAAACTGCAAGTTAAGATTGCCACCTGGCCATTTTGGGCTACCTCTCAGTCAACAGTCTAAGAAAGGAGTTATAGTGTTGGCTGGGGTGATTGACCCAGCCTATCAAGATGAAATCAGTCTACTACTCCACAACGGAGATAAGGAAGATTATGCATGGAATACAGGAGATCCCTTAGGGCATCTCTTACTATTACCATGCCCTATGATTAACGTCAATGGGAAACTACAACAACCCAATCCAGGCTGGACTATAAATGGCCCAGACTCTTTAGGAATGAAGATTTGGGTCACTCAACCAGGCAAAAAACCATGACCTGCTGAGGTGCTTGCTGAAGGCAAAGGGAATAAAGAATGGGTAGTAGAAGAAGGCAGTCATCAATACCACCTACGACCACGTGACCAGCTACAGAAATGAGGACTGTAATTGTCATGAGTATTTCCTTCTTATTTTGTTAAGAACATGTTTGTGCATGTATACACTTTTACTAGGAAAATATCTTCATTTTATTTCCTTTTTTCCTTTATCATGTGATGTAAGATTTATTGACTTCATATAAGAATTTAAGTGTTAACTTTATGTAATAGCAATTAGGGTAAGGATTAATGCACTTCTGGTTGTGCAAAGAATAGCTGTGTAATTATGACCTTATTATTGTCTTTATTTGGAGATTATGTATGATTTCAGGAGATGTGTATGGGTTCATGTTGACAAGGGGTGGACTTGTGATAGTTAAAATTGAGTGTCAACTGGATTGGATTGCAACGTATTGTTCCTAATTGTGTCTGTGAGGATGTTGCCAAAGGAGATTAACATTTGATTCAGTGGACTGGTAGAGGCAGAGCCACCCTCAATCTGGGTAGGCACCATCTGATCAGCTTCCAGCATGACTAGAATAAAGCAGGCAGAAGAAGGTGGAAAGAGCAGACTTGCTGAGTCTTCCGGCCTTCAGTCTCATGCTGGACACTTCCTGCCCTCCAACATCAGACTCCAAATTCTTCAGCTTTTGGACTCTTGGACTTACACTATTCATTTGTCAGGGGCTCTTGGGCCTTCATCCACAGACTGAAGGCTGCACTGTCAGCTTCCCTACTTTTGAGGTTTTGGGACTTGGACTGGTTCCCTTGCTTCTCAGCTTGCAGACGGCCTATCATGGGACTTCACCTTATGATCATGTGAGTCAATAATCCTTTATAAATTCCCCTTCATATTTACATCAGATATACATCTATCCTATTAGTTCTGTCCTCTAGAGAACGCTGACTAATACAATACATATAAGCACATGGGTTTTGTAAAGATTATTAAACATTTTCCGTAAAGATTTTAAATTCCCCAAATATGATTTTATGTAAATAATATTATTATAATTATTTTATGAGACGTAGCTCTTTGCTCTCATTAACTATGATTGAAAGTTTAATGCATGTTCAATTAGATAATCCTGGTGGGTACAAGAGTGGTACTGTGTCTTAGGCAATGTATGGTAAGCTCCTAGAGAACATGGGCTATGTCTTCTATCTCATCATGTCCCTGTGGGTGGTAATTTGCTGGTCCTTTTTATCAAGGTACCTGATACATAGTAGGAACTGAGATAATATTTGTTGAATCAAGAACAAATGAAAGAATCATTGAGATGTAATTAATGCTTGTTAAATGCAATGCTTTAAAAAGTCAAGGACTTGTAAAAACACACAACTTACTCTTTTCCAACTATGTCTATCCTATTACCTCACAGAAATTCTAAGTGAAAGCTTAGATTCATTCACTGTGAAACATGTTGCATACCCTCCCACTTGAGAGACTCTACCTTGGCTGCCTGCTCAACCTTATATATTCTTCCCCAGACATACACATGGTGTTCTTCCACATCTTCTTTAAGCCTCTGCTCAAATGTCACTGTCTCAGTGGCACTCTTTAAAACTACAGGGCCAGGCACAATGGCTCACACCTTTTTGCTGAGGCAAGCGGATCACCTGAAGTCAGGAGTTTGAGACCAGCCTGGCCAAAATGGTGAAACCCTATCTCTACTAAAAATACAAAAATTAGCTGGGTATGGTGGTGCTCACCTGTAATCCCAGCTAAGGCAGAAGAATTGCTTGAACCGGGGAGGTGAAGGTTGCAGTGAGCTGAGATGGCTCCACTGCACTCCAGCCTGGGTGGTAGAGCAACAATCTGTCTCAAAAAAGAAAAAGAAAGAAGAAGAAGAAGAAAAAAAAAAACTACAAACGACCTCCTCCCAGCTCTATTTTATTTTCCATAGAACTTTCTATTATATCATTTTCTTATTTAATATATTTATTGTCTTTCTCTCTGCAGCTGAAATGTAAGCTCCAATAAAGTGAGAATCTTTGTTTTGGATACAGAATACTGCTGACATAGAGTAGATGCCCTGTAAATACTTGTGGAATGAATAATTAGACACTAACATATCATTTGAAAGTCTTTTTGCATCAGCTACCCGATATATAAAATGAAAATAATTTGGTTGCCATACTTATTTCATAGGACTGTTCTTAGAATTATATTGTATATTTGACATTAAATAGTTTTCAATAAATTCAACGATTATTTTGATAACTGAAAGAATAATGTCATATTCAGATTTGCCTTTTTTCTACAATTTAGCTAGAGTGCAAACAATGACATTTTGAAATAGCAGAATACTTTGGTTTTAAACATCCGGAGATAAGACTTTAAAAAATATGCCATCGGAAAGGGTAAAAAGCATCATCTTTATATGCTCCTTTGATCTTTCTGTAGTGTCACATTGTGAGCATATTATATTTGTGAATTAATGCAGTTTAAAAAAGAAGTAGAGCTATAGAACCAAAGTTTATAGATAGATTTATATTTTATAAATATTTTAAAATTATTTTTAGATTTAACCAAAATGCTAGAAAATTCACCAATATGTAACATCACTTTTTAGCAAATTATGTTTCCTAGTTTACATTGCTTGAGCAGAATTGATATTAAAAATTTTTGTCCTACTTACACAGAAAAAGTTCCTAGAACTGTGAGCCCCAGACATGTGTGCCTCTCTGATTTGAAGGACCCATAGAGGGCCACTATTGCAAACAGATACTACGTCAAAGATAGAATAGTGAGCTGGGAATGGCTACAATGTTGGGTGAGGAAAGAATGGACGGTGGGGTCAAAACTAGGAATCATGTTCTTTACCTGAATGGTCTAAAGGGCATGCATTCTGATCACGCAGCTGGATGATTCTTTTCCAATCCAGGCTCTACATGAGACATAAAGATTTTCATTGCACTTATCTGTCTCCTATGCACTTCAATAATACTCATCCTCTTTTTCCCCGTGAGATCATCTCCTTCAGTACTGCATCTTCAATGCCCATCTCTGAGCTGGCACAATAATGAAGCTCAGTGTAAATAGTGAATGAATAAGCTAATGATCCTGTGTACTATTCCTGCACAAATCAAGTCAACTTCACTTTTTTTCTGCTCTCCTTCCTCCCACTTTATCATATTCCATCCTCACTACAATTTCCCTCATCTCTATAAGATCTTTCTGTACAAGAAGGTATTTCCACGTTTGAATTCACGAGCTTCCACCTCCATTTTGAGCTGTCAATCCTGCTAACAATGAGCACCCCAGTAAACAACAATAGAAAAAAAAAAGTAAAAACAACCTCTAACATGTCTCACTACTTAGGATAATGATTAATGATACTAAAATAATAAAATATTCATTTATCATTGAATACTCATAAATCATTCCTTTGCCTTAATATGCAGTTGATGCTTAGGGATCAACCAAAAATGTTTCCCACATTTTTAAAACATCATAGGGTTTAATCTTCATTACAAATTTCAGTTCAAAATGTTTCTTCTCAGAAGCATGACAAAGTGATTTAGAGTAGAAGTAGTGAAAGGACCTTTTTCAAAGTGATTGGAACCTTTCTGGTATAGACGTTAAACAGCATAATGAATGTGTTGGCATTTGTTTCTTATTTGCATACTATAAAAATAAAACAGAGTGTACAACAAGTTCCTGTTAAATTCATATTACCTGTTTAAATAAGGATATTCAAAAGGCAATGTGATCTAATTAAAATCAAGAAATGGTATTCAAGCCATATTTATATACTTCTATGATAATACACATGCACTAATATTTACAATGCATGCAAAGGGTATACACCTCATTAAGCATACCGGGAGGAAAATTCCCCAATTTCTTCAATTCAACTAGTCATTTCATAATTTTTTTCTAATGTGAATGTTAGCTATTTCAAGTGCTGAACTAAAGTCACATTTAACTATAATCAATGCATTTGCAGTTGTAGTCCAAAGCAAACTCTGAAGGACGTTCTCATAGTCTAAAACTTGACGCATTTTGAAGATAATACACTGAAGGCTTGAAAACAAACTATTTACTCCCTTAAATGTGCCTTTTTCTCATTGTTCATACTTTCCAGCTTGCTCACAAATGCCCAAATGTTGATATCAATGCTGTTTCTAAGAAACTACAATAAGGGGTTTGTTTTGCAATCTTTTTTCTCCCTTCTCCCACACATAATCACATGATCTTTGAAACTTACAAAACGAATAGGAGAAACGTATCCTTTCAAAATGAAGTAACTTTATGGGGTTATAGTCCTCTAAGAGCAGATTATGCATTTTTTATACCATAAAAATTTGTCAATTTGGAAGTCTGTTTAAAATATAAATGTATAAGCATACCTTTGTCTTAGAAATTATTATATGAAAGTATGGACAATTAAGTTTTAGGAAAAAAGTGTACGACTACAGTTTTGGGTCATTAAATGCATCCTGTTTTGAGAGTTGCTATGTATTTTCAAAGAGCATTATAAAATCTATAGCACTGATTGTTTTCATTAATTAGAATAAAGCAAGAACAGCCTCTAGAATCACTTGATTTAAAAGACAAATTCTGGTTCAGAACCTTCTGAATTATTTACAACCAACTCCACTTGGTCTATCATTTAATGAAAGAACAGAAAGGTGTCCTTCCCCCACACCACCCTAAACGAGTCATCATAGTAGAATGCCATAAAAGCCTGTGATGAGGATTTTAGTCTCAGATGCAGCCTATGTCCCCACATGTCTCATAAATTCTTCTAATGCATTTTCACATCCATGATCATGAATGCCTATTCAATGAAAGGGTTTATCATATGCTACACTTTTCAACTACCAAGAACAAAGAGTAAATGGTCCCTGGCCCCATATTTGGAACAAAAAGTATGAAAGCAAAACAAAAACCTCTTACATTTTTACTAAATAAAAGAATGAATGCAGACTGTAAAGGCTGAGTGGAAACTTCTTTTGGCACCATGATGTTCTTTCTTGAGACCATGCTGCGTTTTCTCTGCTCAGTGAGGGACAGATAGAAAAAAATGGAGATACAAATGTAGTCAACCTCATGTGTCACCCAATCCATCTTCTCCCTACTAAAGAACTATTCACTACATTATAGCATTAAATGTTTCCATCAGTATGCTTTAAGAGTAATGCGGATTTTTGCTATCTATTTAGGAGGAATTCACAATATAGTAGAGGTAGCTACTGTCAAGAGTTTTTCGTTGTTTTTTTGTTTGTTTGTTTGTGGACTGGTTCTGGCTCTGTCACCCAGGCTGGAGTGCAGTGGCTTGATCTCGGCTCACTGCAACTTCTGCCTCCCTGGCTCAAGGGATCCTCCCACTTCAGCCTCCCAAGTAGCTGGGACTACGGACACTACAGGCCCATGCCACCACACCTGCCTAATTTTTTGTGTTGTTTTTGTAGAGACAGGGTTTCACCACGTTGCCCAGGCTGGTCTTGAACTCGAGCTCAAACAATCCTCCCACCTCAGCCTCCCAAAGTGCTGGGATTACAAGCTAGTTTTTGTCTTTCAATTTCTCCCTCAAGCTACTCGTAATTATACCCCTAGATCAGGCTAAGCAATTTCCTATCCTCTTTTTTTTTCAACATATTTTCATGACTTGGAGTATTATTTCTCATTAGGTAACTATCAGCCAAGCCAGAGAGATTTATGCATTTCTTAAGTGCACAACATACTCACACCAAATTATATATAAATAATACATACATATGTATACATAGAAGTTATATGTAGATTATAATATATACAAGTACATATGCACTTTTCCTTCAACCAACTGCCCCAGTGACTTCACTCAGAAATAGCCACCTATGAGACAAAACTACTCAACAAAAAGAAATAAAACAAAACAAAAAAACTAAAAGAACAGTAAAAAAACAAAAAACACACACACACATATTAAAAATTCTACAACTTGGAAGGAGACATACCAATATACACATTTGATGGCAAATTTTTGTCTAGTCTAGGAAAATGCCTTCTTTTCAAATTATAATTTATTACAATTAGTCTATCAGTTGGTTATCAGCCTTGGTTGAGTAGACAATTTCCATTCAAGGACTCACTGTATCAAAATACTATTTAAGGCAAATATACAGTAGATGCTGTGAAGCTCAGTAATATGGGATATTATCCCTATCTTATGGTCTTGAAGAAATCTCATAAAAATAATTCAAAATTAATTAGTGGCTACATTTCATGTATTATAGGACTTGTACAGTTTCGGTCAAGCAGTGGTTTCATGGTGCCATTTTTCTGATGTGCATCAGAGGGGGCTCAGAATAGAAAATTCATTTGGGTTTTTAACTATAAATGTAGGAAGCTCACCTTCTAAATACACTCTTGCCTTAACAGTGTTTATTCTTATATAGAATTACTCTGTCCCACTTCATTTCTTACTGGACTCTTATTTATTTGTAGAAGAGATTGTATTCTTCACTGAATATGCTGTAGCTAGAAAATGTCTTAGTTAAGTCTTTCTAGGTGCGAAATAGGGTCACAGCCTATATCTTACTAGGCGTCCTAGCAGTAAGCAGTACTGAAGCAATAATATTGCCTGGCATTGTGTTTGGCTTTTAGTTTGGCTGGCAGGGCCAGCTTCTTCCATCTATTCATCCTAAATAACATTGTCAGCAAATCTTTTTTTTAGGCAACTGCAAATAATCTTCATTAGACTATCTCATTCTTTTTTTAAAAAACTCATTAACTTATTTCACTTTTAGCTAATATTTTCTTTATCAAATGAGTTTCTGTGTAAGTAGCATGGCTGTTTTTACTTCCTATGAAGCTACCCTTCCTAAAGCTATAAAAGAAGAAGGAGAAAACTTTCATTACGGGAAAAACAAACAAACAAAACCAGAACAAAAGCAAACAAAACTCTACAAAACCAGAATAAAGGCAAACAAAACTCTAGGACATTGGTAGAATGAAAAGCTGGGAAAATTACTATCAACACACATAGTTTTCAGACTTTCTTAATTTAAGCAACTGTTGTAGCACAGTCATTGATCCTATCTAAATGAATCAGGATCTTTTTCACAATCTCCAGCCTCAATGAAATAACACTTCATCTACAATTATATTATTATTATTAGAGACTCACACTGTCACCCAGGCTGGAGTGCAGTGGTGCAGTCTCGGCTCACTGCAGCCTCCGCCACCAGGGCTCAAGCGATTTTCCTGCCTCTGCCTCCCGAGTAGCTGGGATTACAGGCCACCGTGCCCAGCTAGTTTTTGTATTTTTGGGTAGAGGTGGGGTTTCACATGTTGGCCAGGTTGGTCTCAAACTCCTGACCCCAAGTGATCTGCTCACCTTGGTCTCCCAAAGTGCTGGGACTACAGGCGTGAGCCACCATGCCTGGCCTTCATTTACAATTATTAAAAAATACTATGCTTCCTGAGTTGTCCATATTTGAATGAGATACTTATGAGGAATGTGGCATTTTCCATGCTTTATTACTGATAAATTTTTTGGACATTTCTGCTGCATCATCCATTCTCTGTGATAAAGATTGTGGTACACTAACAGGTATGTTTACTCCTATAGCATGTGCAGCTTGTACAGGGTATGGCTTTTAGGAAGTAATATCATTTTAAAATTAATTGTTAATTTCTATGTGTTTGTCCTGTCTTCCCAAGAAGTTTATACTCCTTTGATGGTGGGGTCTCTTTCTTATAAGTTTTATTTTCTCGTATATAATGTCTTATACATTTATGAGTCGTACTCCTGATTAGTAGATAAGGTAACTATTCAATAATACCTGTCTTACAATAAAAAAGATGAAGGAGATGACATATCTAGCAAGAGAAATCCAATAATATTAATGCTTAAGAACCATTGATGTTTCAGTTCTCATTTGTCAGAATTTGATATTAAATTGCTTTTTGTCAAGAATCTGGAAAAAACATGTCATAATATAGAATCCTTTATAAAAAGGGCAATCTAATTCCTTATAGCTCGGAAAGGACTTCAAACTGTGTCATTCCATTTGCCAACAAGGAATAAATTCACATAAATTAATCTCTCATTCATGTAATGTAGTACAGAAATTTATAGTCTTGTCAATAGTTCATGTGGAGCTATAATTTGGGATAGGTAAAGGAAATGTATCCAGTGACTGTGTATGGTGCTATATCCTTCCAGAATCAATGACTGAGAAAATGTTTTACTCTCTGATTTTCTTTATCCATTAGATATCAAATGTTTGGACTTCTCTCATTTTTAACTTTGAAAATGCTATTCTGTTTTAGTTCCAAGGTATACAGTGACATGCTTCCATCAGAAATGGATCCTAGAATACTTTGAAGCCACTGATATATCACTTCTCTTGAAGTATTTCTGTGGTAGTCAGCAGTTGGCATTGCCTGTGGTAGAAAGCTTCACATTATTCTTGGTGAAACAGAAAAGAATTCTGTCTGGAAATCATTAGGGATCCATGACCTATAAAGCTCTTTGCAAACACAACACAATTTTAAACAAATGCAAAAGTCTTGCTCCACTCATCACTGGAATGGCAGGATTAATTAATATCCTCCTGAGATATCCTTAACCCAGAGGTGCTCATCGAACCCCCTTTTAGGTAGACCTTCGCTTCATGTGCAGCCTTAAGGATTAGTTGTCAGCATTTACCCTCAAATAAAATATAGCCACACAAATATTAATTAAACAATTTCAATTTTCAAAAGAGTGTCTGGAAAGATCTGGAGCCAGATATAGTGAAGTCTGACTACTATTTCCCCTGCTTGCTAGCTGGAGAAATATGTTCCTTTTTAAAATTATTACTAATTAAGGCACATTATTAATTATTTAAAAATGAACATATTTCCCTAAACCCTACAAGAGAGGCCATATAATCTAGTAAAAGAGCATGGGCTTTCACATTTACTAGCTGTGGATCTTGGGTAAGCTTCATAATGTCTTGGATAAGTTAAGTAACCTCTGTGACCCTCAGTCTCTTCAGCTGTAACATGAGGTTAATAAGAGTTGTCTTAGTGAATTGTTGAGTTGGTTTTTAAAGCATTTCTATTTGTTTATTTGTCTATTTATATCTCTGTCTCTATTGCTATCTCTATCTCCATTGCTTCTTTTATATCTGTATTTTAAAGTGAAAACTTAAAAGCACTCAACCAATATTAGCTACTTCCTCTGCCCCTGTAATTATCTAAAATTATTATATATGTCTTGCATTCAAATAATCAACCAAATATGTAAATTTCAATTTCAACAAATAACATACTCTAATATATGCTTTTTACTGTTTAGTAAAATTGAGCTGAAAGATTGAAGGAAATGTTCATTTCTTTTCAACAAAGCTACACATAGTAAGCAAAAATTCTTTAAATAGCCATATTGTGTTGCCTGATATATTTGATTTTGAATTTATTTTACGATGTTGTTTTCACTTTAATTTTTTTCAATATTGAAATACAAATGAGCTTCTTATTAAAAACTACCTAGAACATTGAGTCCCATACAATAAGAGTGTTAACCATTGTAAACCCTGTCATGTCTCTGGGAAGCAGAGGAATTATCTTGTTATCAGTTTAATAATGGAACATTGAAGTAAATGATGCCATCCACTGACACCAGTAACACTGTCTCTCTGGGGAAATTCATGTCTGTGAGAACTGTCAATCTAGATGGATACAGACATATTAAACATACTCCCTTCAATCCATAAATCCACCCTTTCTGGGTTGCCTTAATAAAAAGATCCCTTATTTTGATAAAGACAAGCTATGCAGAATATCTTGACATTACTGATCTATAATCCCTTTATTTTAAAAAAGTATTTTGTGGAAGGATTTAGTAAATAAGTTAACAAATTTTCATCTACTTCCTTTTTGTGCTTTAGCATAACTTACATGTAAACATGTTCCTGAGGTTTTAAATTAATAAAGTATTAATAACTACATAGAGATGTGGGAAATACATATAATGTATTTATTTCCACTACTTGCTTTGGCAAGCTTTCTTCAAAACACAGCTTACTTTTGTTGTTTTGCATTAAAATTGCCTCTAGTTCTAATTGAGATAGATATAAGATGATTTTTTTTTTTTTTTTGAGATGGAGTCTCTGTCACCCAGGCTGGAGTGCAATGGTGCGACCTTGGCTCACTGCAACCTCTACCTCTCAGGTTCAAGTGATTCTCCTGCGTCAGCCTCCCGAGTAACTAGGATTACAGGTGCCTGCCACCACACCCAGCTAATTTTTGTATTTTAGTAGAGACGGGGTTTCACCATGTTAGTCAGACTGGTTTCGAACTCCTGACCTCAGGTGATCCACCCTCCTCAGACTCCCAAACTGCTGGGATTAAAGGCGTGAGTCACTGCACCCAGCCTAAGATGATTTCTTATATTAAAAGTATCACACGTTTTCCCATGAGAAAATATGACAAGAAAAAGTAAAAATTATCAACATAAATATATCAATGAAATATACAACAGTAGAACATAATGAAAACCTTCTCAGTGCAAAAATACACTGTATTACAGAACAAGCAAGAACCAAGAAACAAGTTGAATTGCATTGTTAGTTACCAAAATGTGTTGGTATATCTTAGTTTGCCAGAGTAGACTAAATTGCATTAATGGACACAGGTTTCAGCCAAAGCCTAGAAGCAATGACACTTACCCTAAAGACTGAAAAAGGAAAAATAAGTATACTGAAAAAAGGAAAAGAAATCCAAGGTGGCAGCAGGGATTCTAAGAAAAGGCTCTTATAACCTCTAACTGATTTTGAATTCTTACTCCCAGACAATGATGTTTCAGGGTAGAGAGGGCCTACTTGCCATGAGATCATTTGACTTTTTCTTATCTAAGTGCTTCCTAGACAACCCAATGGATATCCCACAGGCACCAGAAACTCCATTATGCAAAACCAAATTCTTCATCTCCCTTCCCAAATCTCTACCTCCTGGTGCATTTTACCTTTAGTGAATGGAGCCATCCAACATACAGTTGCTTAAGTGATAACTGAAAATCACTGTATAATACTTTCTTCTTCATATGCAATATATGCCCTACTCTTGCTACTTGAATAATCACCATCTCTGGTAATTCCAACTCCTATACCACTCAAAAACTCATCACCTCTTCCACTTCCATTAGTCTGCTGTAGTTCCGGTTATCCCCACTTATTACCAGGTCCTCTAGACCTGGTACGTAATCACTATTATAATACATTATGATTTTTGTTATTCACAACAACGCTGTAAAATAGGCACCGATATTCCAATTTTAATGACATCTTTGAAAATTAAAAACAATTTTTGTTAAAAGTTAATTGAAACAGTTTAGAAGAATTGAATACGATGAGACAAAATCTACCTATAACCCCACCCTCTGCCTCCAGGCCTTTTCCACATATGTGAACACTATTAATGTTGTGTATCTTTATAAAAATATATTTTTTATACCAAAAAGATAATATTAAGCATACAGTTCTGCAACTTGGACTACATTAAAAAATACCACAGTAAACATGGGTTTATACCTATGTTGGCAATTTTATCCACTGAGTGAAATTTTAATTGAGAAATTTCTAGGTCAAAGAGTGCATGTATTCAAAAATTTTATTGCTATGTTCAAATTGTTCTGTAGAAAGAATGTACAAATTTATAATCCTACTAACAGATTCTGACAATGCCTATTTTCCTTTATTCTCGCATAGTCTTCAGAATCCTAGCAGGAAATAGAAAGGACAGTCAATTGTGGATAAAATGAATAAATGTTATGTAACCACTTACAAAGATATAGCCTTGTGCAGGAAAACCACAAGGGACAGTAGAGGACACTGGGAGTGGCAGTAAGGACCCAGGACCATCTTAAGACCAGAGCCTGGCAAAAAGGGCCACCAGACATGAGCTGAGATTTCAGTGGCATCCACAGGTACTTCACAGTGACCCTGCAGGAGGCCTCCCCCTCCTCAGTCTCTCTGATCTGTCCTGACTGAGTCCAGCTGGAACCTAGAGGGCAAGGTGGCCAACTGAAGTAGGTCCGTCTTCCAGATGCAGATACTGCGTCGAAGGGAGGCGAGTGGATCTGAGCAGCAAATTGAAGACATGGAGAACACTTCGTAATTTTCTGGGGTTGAAGATGAAAGAGTCTGTGTTTAATGTGAAAACTTGTAGATTTTTTTACCTTGCCATGTTCATTTCTGAACTCTTATTTTTTCCTTGGCTAACTGGTTTTGTTGTCTCTATCCTTGCTTTCCCTTCCATCAAGTTTCTGCAGAGCCACTCAAGGATCTTTCCAAAATGCAAGCAGGATCATATAATTTCTCTGCATAAAATCTCTCACTAGTTCTCCACCTCTCCAGGGTAAAGCTGAAACTCCTAGGCAAGCATAAACGGCCTTTCGTAACTGGGCTCCTGCGGTCTAGGGATCTCTTTCCAACCATCATGTCTGCTATTCTCCCATCTGTATTCAGCACTCAGGCAGTACAGAGCCATTTGTAGTTCCCGGTTGTGAAATATTTTCTCAAACTTCAAAGGTACTGCATCACTCTGCTGGTAATGCCAGTGCCTTCTCTGCCCACACGCTGAACTTCTAGTCATTCTTCAAGATGCCAATCAAGAGTCACTTTCTCTGGAAGGTCCTAATCAACTTGCTCTTGTGGTAGAGTTAGGTAATTAATACTCTGAACTACTATGTGACATTGTGTGTTTCTCATCTGCACATAGTTTTCTGAAACTATTTAGTTGCTGCCTTCCCCCTTGAGATTGTGAGCACTGTGACAGCAGGGGTTTGTTCCTTGTTCACTTTATTCATTTCTCTCTTCAGTATTTAGCACAGACTCTGATGTCTTACGGCCTATATATTATCTTAGTATCTTCACTAACTTGCCATGTGTACTTGGTAAAGCCCCTTAATTTCTCCAAGTTTCCTAGCTATAAAATGGATGCAATATTAGTGCTAAGGGTCTGGCAAATATTAACTCTTTTAACTCTCACAACAACCTTAAGAGTTAATTTTAGTTAAGCTCTTGGCAGTATGTCTGGCACACAAGTGGTCAAGAAATGTTAAATCTTCATGTATTGTATCAAATCACCAAGGATCTTACTTCCAGAGATTAACTATTTGCATGAAAAACCATTAGATTTCCCAAGAGAAACGTGAAAAGTTTTGGGGCCTCACACTAAGACTCGTGAGGTTATCAAGCTTAAAATTTCTGAGCAAAAAACAAAACAAAACAACAACAACAACAACAAAAGTGATTGCCTAGAAACTTTGGGTGTTTGAGAAACGTAAGGATGGGTTTTTGGTCAGTTTTTATTTATTGCCTAATCCAGAGAATACAAGAGTGCCTATCCCATAACAGGTGACAATAAATATTTGTTGGAAGAATGTATTGTATGTGCTTTAGTTTGGGACACAGCTGCTTATCAATATGGATCAGTACTGTGGCCCAAGGTGAGACACAGGCACCCTGTCTCCATGTCAGGGGGATATTACTGCAACTCCTCAGGGAGGTGGAAACACACCATTCAAAGAGTAAAGCAACACTCTGAGCATCTTAAAGACTATTATCTCTGGTGGAAAATTCTCAGCTTCAAAGACTCCATGGCAAGAGCATTAGGAAGAATGTTTCCAAAAACTGATATGGGGGGATTTTCTGGCAGAGGTGAGTTTCTGAAATGGTACGAGTGAAATAGTCAGGCATATAAAGCGCTAGCCCCTGAGGATGGGAGCACAGAAATACAGAATAGGGGCAGTGGGGATTGGAGTTCTGTATTACAATACCCCTGAAATTGTTGTTTATTCCTACACCTTGTGTTTTACCTCAGGAAAGCAAGAGATATGGAATTGTTCTCACCAATAGTTGAAAGTGATATTAGGAATTAACTTTTTTAAAAAAGCAAAGACCTAACAATCTTTTAGTTATCAGCATTGGTTTTGGGAAGTATTTTTAACATTATTATATTAAAATATTAATATAGGTAGCAATATTTGAATATGGAATTATTTACGTTTTAGAAAATGTGCATTTCAAATAAAATAATGCACTTATTAGCGAGAGTTTTACAATTAAAGGGAAGACAGCTTGCACAATTTAATTGTTTAGTCTTTAACAAGGGACCATGGAAATGACTGGAGAAGCCTTCAGAGGACAAATGACTTTGAATTAGAAAGCTAAGGTCACATTTACAGACTTACTCTGATAACATGTTTGCTGCTAACTAGAGATTGTAGTAGACTGACCTAGGAGAAGACCAAGAATGTACCAAACAAAGGAGAGGTAAAGTAGAGTAACCTTTTTTAGAATGTATTTTTCTGGTCTGGATTTCAGATGTCTCATTTCCTACCTCCACGGGCTACTGGGTCACTAGTATTACTTCACATTGTACAGGTCACAACAAGGACCCTGAGCACATGACAGGGTGGTGGATTCTGGGAGTTCATTCCCTGAGCACCTACTATGGACCAGGAATTGGACTAGATTCTGAGAATACAGTATTCAAGAAAACATATATGACACTTGCATACTTCAAGCTTGTGATCCAGTGGAGAAGAGAAACATTCAAGGAACATTAACACAATGGTATACATTACAAAATGTGGTAAGTGCTACAAACAAGATGCTATCCAAAATAAATGAATGAGTAAATAAATAAGTGGCCTGTAATACAGTTCACCCTTTCAGGCAATGTCTCCATGTAGAAGTGACATGAAAATGGAAATTTCACAGATGAGCTGGAATCTGTTTTGGGTGAACAATGACTCAATTCAAGTAAGGGGAATATCATACATCAAGGTCCACATGCACCGAGAACTAGGCATGTTTAAACACACAGAAAAAGCCAGTATTGCTGGATGTTAATGACTGAGCAGGGAATGGAGTGAAATGCTGTCATGGAAGCAGACAGTAGCCACATAAAAATGTTGGTCCTAGCAAGAGAAATCATATTGTAATGATTTTACTAGGGATGAGGTAGAAAATGCTCCAGCTCTCCTATGCTGCCCATATGCCCATTTTCTTTGACTTGAAGATGGAGCTGAACAGCACTGAATTCTTGATTTTATTCAAGTCTTTGAGTAACCACACAACCTCTAAGCTCATTTTCTGTCTGGTTCATAGTCTGGCCAAGTGGAAAGAGGGGTGTGATTATGGCTAAGTGGGGTAGGTGGAAGGAAAGCAGCAACTTCCTTTGTTCCTTCCCTTTCAGACCTGATATTATCCTAAAGAAGAGAGTACAAAATGACATTGCTTCCCTCCTGCTGGGGAGAGTGCAGAATTGGTCATGGGCAATTGTGAGCACTGAGCTGACATAGTACCCTGGTGACCCGAATGAGTTAATGCATTGTCCTAAAGCTCTAATTTACAACCAGGAAGAATTTGGGGCATTGAGAGGCAGATTGAATAGGTCCATTTTTACCCATTGTGATTTCAGTGACAGGACCAGTTTGCTCTCGTCTAAACTGGCCCACCAAATCATGCATTCAGACAATTGAATCACCAACCCCCTGACATACTGCAGAATCTCTGCAATGTAACACAGCACTGTCACTTCAGGTTCCAGCTTAATGTACCCTTTACTTTCTAGTCCTCTTCTCTCTTTGGACATTTTGCACTGAAAAGCTTCTCTGACACTGATTACAAAATAAGAAATTAATATTGTCATTCATCTTTCCACTAGCCTGTGAGTGCAAAATCTTTCCAATAAACCCACTATAAAACCAAATATGCAGCCAAAAATAGACCTAGTCCTCCTGATTCTCAGATTTGCACCTCTTTAACACACCGACACTATGACACATCTGTTTGTCTTTTTATGTAGAACTTTCTTAGTATATAATGGTATTTATTTTTATCTACTAATGATAACAAGAGACAATTCCAATAACATCTAAAGCCAGACAATTAAACAAACTACATTAAAAGCTGTTCATAAGTTTAATAAAAATGATTATCTTGAAAGCTCTTAATATTCTTCAGATCAAAGGATATGTGGAAAGGATATGTGAAAACCCATTACACCTATAGTAATGGGTGTTTCGTGGTTACATGGTGAGGCTCTAGAACTTTTGATAGGATAGTTTATGCAGAAATAACCATAATGCTGCAGGATGGAAACAGGGTAGAAATTTCTCTTTCACCTCCTGAATAGAAAAGACAACTGAGAGTGGTGGTCAGAATACTACTGGGAAAGGAAACATAGACACACTGTTCAGGCAAGACACAGAAGCACAGTGTGAAAACAAGACCTGCTAGAATATGAAAGAAGCATCCTTTACTCCCATAGGTTAAAGAATGTCACCAGAATCACAGTAAGGAGAAAATGAACACTGATTATAGTTGCTATGTGTCTTTATCATTTCTTATGCAAATATTCATAGTGAATTTCTCTATAACACTCATTATATAGTTTGGGCTCACTAATTCTTATAGGATACCTTTTGTCACCTTCGTAAGATCGATGTTTCTCCAGAAACCGATACTAGCATCTGAGCTAGTATGAACCCTTTAAATATTATATTTTGGATTCTTCTGCCCACAGTGAACTGAAAAAAATCCTTTTCTGAATGCTGTCTTATTGAAGGTTAATTTTTTCTCAGAGTTTTCCACAACATATAAACCCAAGCAATTAAAAGTTCTTAAACTGACCATTGTCAGCTTCTCACATTACCTTTATTTTAGTATGTTCTGAATTAGTTAAGCACAGACTTAATCAATTCAGTTTTTCAGATCTGAAAATTTTTTTGTGTTAAAAATATATGAAGTTATAACAATAATATCACATCAATTTCATATAAATTTCACAGACTCTGCCCTAGAAAACCTAGGGTATATGATGACTATGCTTAGGGTATCGCATTATAAAATACTGATAAACTTTTTTTAGAAAGGATTAATTAATTTGAAATCTCCAGATGATAAATATGTGTGCTTCTGCATCAATACTATTTTTTAAGCCTATAAGAAAATCAGCAGTATAAATAGATGTTACCACATTTCAACTAAAGAAAAACAAATAAAAAATATCTGCCATAGGTCTCCCTCTTACAACAATATAATATAACAGATTATGAAAGTGATCTCCAATGATTTGCCTATTTAGAATCTTTCGGTAGAAAACAATTAAGCAAATCGAGATATTTCAGCATAACATTATAAAGGCAAAAACCATCAAAGTAGACCAAACAATTATTATCCTATTAAATATTAACCAAGAATATTGTTACTAAAACTGTAAAAATGAAGAAAGAAGGGAAACTTAGAGATTTCGGCTTTCCTGTTATGACTATAACTTTTCAAAATGTTAGTCTCCTTTACTGACCCAGCACTTCATTACTCCAGAGGGAAATTTAGAAAAGGTCTTTTATAGAAACAGATGTCTACGAAGGCATCTATAATGATTCATATATGGTTGGGATCCTACATCTATAGTTGAACTTCAATAGCCAGAAAAGTACATCTGACATTTTGCAAACAGACTTTGTCCAATCATGCTATGGCTTCACCTAAATCCCCCAACTCTGGTCAATTCCCCTGCATAGGATTGTAAACAAGTTCACATTTGAACCCTGACAGCATTCTTTTCATTAATGCCTTTTTCAGAAATTTCACTTGTTTGCATTTTAGCTGTACAATTTCATACATATTATACATTTCAGCTTCAGTTTACCAAAAAAAAAGTCTGCATCTTAACTCTTTAAAACTATAATCAAAGAAGAAAGTAAAGCAAACATTAAAAAAAAAAAACAACATTTGTCAGTTCTGAGTGGTTCTATGCAAAGGTGTTATTACATTATTATTCTATGAAAATAATTTCATTATTTTTCATTTTTTCAAAATTAAAAGAAAGGCATTAGTTGACATTAGTGTTCATTAAATATAGGCTGGAAAAGGAGGGTAGCAGAATCAGAAATTGGCTTAGAATTAGAGCAGAAAGGAGGTACGAGGCAAGAGGTCATGAAATTGTTAAAAGTACACGTGGTGGGAGATATAGAGATAAGGACTTCGGTTCAGATGACAGGAACACAGCTTTCAAAACTGCAGAGGTGGCAAAATTCTTTGGGAAAAGAAGGGCAGGAGCTGTCTATGGAAGAAAGTCAGTGACATGATGGCAAAAGTAACTAGAGGATGATACGTGGTAGCAAAGACCATAAATGCTGACAGCAGACAAAGATTAAAAGTAATATACCAAAGGTCTCATGAATATTTGGGGGTAAGGAGGAAGAAGAGAAAGAAATGCAGAGCAAGGACCCATGAGGCTGAAGGATAGAAAGAGTGTGGCTTAGTCTAATAGAATATGGTTTGGTGACATAGAATGCTGACTCAACCTCTCTCCAAATGGCACTGCGAAGCAGGAAGAGTACTGGATGCAACTATTGGCTTAAAAATAGAGGAGTGGCTCTATAGTGGGGTGGGATGAAGGGTAGGCAGAGACAATGGAAACTAGTGACTTCTATTTGAGAGATTTTTAAGGAATACTCCTCTTTTTCAGGGTTAATAGATATTTTAGTAAAGGCAAAGAGGTAGATACTAGGATCTAGAAAAAAATTTAGGTTATCAAGAGATGTTAAGAGGATATGTTTCAAAGAGCAGAGTCAAAAGGGAGGTGCTCTAGAAAAGAGGAGAGTTAATTCTTGTTGGGTGGTAACTGATTAGAGAATATTAACCTTAAGCAATGATGCATGATTTTTATAATGTCTTTAACTTTTTAGGCCAAACTAGAATTTCATTTTATCTGATGTCTCTGCAAATTTCTATGGCATAAGAGATTTAAGATTCAGAGTTGGTAGAAGAAGGACTTTATTTTTATGCAGTATATAATATGTGAATTAAGTTGTTATGAACCTATAGTATTTCTTAGTTAATCTTCAAATAAGTCCTTTAAGAAAATTCATATCTACAACTACTACCTCGGGATACTATGACCCAAAAGGAGGGCTATATATCCAAAGATTTATCTTTTATTGTTTGTTTTTGAGATTAATTATCTGTTTATGAAGTTAAATATTTGTTGGTACTATCCATCAAAAGGTAAGTTTTCTGATATTGGAAGTCTTAAAGATCAGACAAAAATGACCTTCACTTTTTTTTTTCTGATTGTTATCTCAAGAGCCAACATAAACCTACTCTTATTTCTGCCTGGCCAAATGACTGACATTTGTGTTTACCTAAAGATCTATACCTTCAGCACATACAGGCGATAATATAAAACTCCTGTGTGTCTGTTGTAGGAAATTACTAAGAAAACATAACCCCAATCCTTCACTCTATACTAGGTACCAAAATAATTTCACAGGTGATTTAAAACTCTTACCCTAATCTTCATGCCCCAAGTGCAATGTGACCTGTCTAGCCAGGAAACTAACAGAGCATTCTCTCCCTTCCTCTTTCGGTCTTGTGTTCCCCAGCTCCCAGCAGTGGTCTGTTCCCATAGTTAACCTCACAGAACAAGATAAAGCTTTCTTGCCCAATGAAGCAAGAAAAAAAAAAAAATCTCTCCCTGAAAATGCACCTCCGTCTCAAACATTTTTTCCAGAAATAGATATTAATCCTGCCCCTTTGCCCACTCAGCCAACAGTCAAAGAACCTCAGAATATAAAAATTCTCAGTAATTTTCTATGTTGCTCCCATCAAACCATTTCATTACATATGACTAAAATGGAGTAGGGAATAGAAAATAGTATGTATTCACCTCTGGAATGATCTCATATATTTTCCAAGCATGAGATCCCACTGGTTTCTCTTATGTGCAATTCAAAGATGCCTAAAAAATGGCTAAGTATTTATGGTTCAGTTAAAATATAAAAGCTTTTTCTTCTACTATTCAATACACACTGTAACAATACAATAAAAGTTATACATTACGAAAGTGATTTCTGAGCCTCAGTGAGAGGTCCATTTAATCAAATCATTGTCAGAAGTGTAGTATCTCTAGGAGAGTGACCTTGCCCAACCTCTTTGTTTATAGATGAGCTATGACTTGCCCAAGTTCATATAGTTGGTGACACAGCCATGAAAGGCTCTAGTTCTTCAAGATCATGGTACAGTATTTAACCATTTATTTTAATGTGCTCCATGATTTTCCCCCATAACATCAACAATCCCACAAATTACAGATTTCCTAATACATAAGTCAGTTTTTTAAATCTATTTTTGGAAAGAAAGGCAGTTCTTCAAATTCTGAACATGAAAAAGAATTTTTTAAAAATTTAGTGCCCAGTGAGTACTTATGTAAATGAATACAATGAATCAGATACTATAGGACAAATTAGTAAGATGGAAGCAATAGAGGCAGGAAAGCAGTAGGTTTTGTTCCTGGAAGTTTCAGAGTTTGAGCTCATTATTTAGAAGTAACCGGGAGATCCTATGCTAGTAGGCAGCTAAGACTAAGAAATTCAATCAGCCAGCCAAGAAACAACAACCACTAAAAGCAAAATAACAACAACAAAATCTACTTCAGATTTTTAAAAATTAAACTTCATAACATCTCTTACAGACACAAGTGATTCAGATAAATTGAAAATGAACATGTTGTCCAAAATTCAGCAAGTCCTTAAGTTTTCTTTTTTTTTTGAGCATGTGTAGGTGTTTTTATGTTTGCTCATGTGAGTGACAGTAAGAAAGATTTCAAAATGTGAATATGATTATGATTAAACTGTAGTGTTAATTTAGCCTGAGAAAGTGGGCTTTTTGTTAATAGATTATTAGGTAAATAGGGTATTAAATTTTTTAAATCATTTAAAAAGTTTTATAAGGATTCAAATAAAATCAAAATATCAGTTCAGGAAAATTTAAGAGCTTAAGTAGTAAAATAGTGTGGGCATTTTTAGAAATGAACATTAGACATGAATTTGTATTTGGGGAGTATTATAAATTACAACACAAATTATTATGTAGTCTTAATAATCATACAGAGATAATGTTAAACATTCATCTCAAACTATTAACCAGGGTAACCTGATATACATCTTGGTAAATCTGAGTTAATGAAGAATTATCATTTGTTTTACTAAATAGGATAATATAATTGTACCATATGTAGGAGTAGAAATATTGGTATGCTTTCTAAGTTGTTTTATTTTGCAAAATTTGATTTTCTATTTTACCTAAAAAAGTGGTATGCTTCTTAAATTTAAATCAATAGTGTATCTGTAAATAAATTTTTACTTAAGAAATAACTTCAGCATACATTCATCTGCCTTAATCATAAACAGAAAGAAGTATCTTATTTTCTCTTTATTCTTTTTTTGGAGGTCAGGAAATATGATTAGGTATATGGTACATTTAACCGTTGTGTATATAGGAGAGATTGAAAACTCTGAGGTTCAATTCCTGGGTTTGCCACTTTCTAGTCTTTTTATCTTGAGTAAGATACTTCTTATTTTTTATGATTAGTTTCCACATTTGTAAAGTAAGGATAATGATACCTCCTGTCTAAAATTGTGCTGAGAATTAGTGATAAAGTATGTCTACTACTCAGTCTAGTAACTGGCACAAAAACAAGTAGCTTCTACTAACGAATTTAGTCATCATTAATTATGATACCCTGACTAATCAATATTGGCAACACATAATTCTAAAAGATGTGCATCTGAAATTTAATGCTATACTCTTGTGTTTTCTCTGGATTTAAGAGGAATAGGGATGTGGAGAAGAGGGTTGTGGAGAAGGGGGGGTAATCAATAATCAAAATCATATTTAAGAAAAGAAGTATGATATGCTTAATAAATGTGGACAAACTGAACACTAGTTTGCACAAGTTTGGAACCAATCTCTTTAACCCTTAGTTTTTCCCTTGGTAAACAAACAGACTAAGTCATATAATGCTTGATAATTAATTATTCAAAGTTTCTCTGGCATTCAGTGTCTCTATGATTAATAATTCAGTTACGTTTATTGAGAATGCTAAATAATGGCAACTCACATTTTTCCTACTATCATTAAGACTGTCCTGTTCCAGTGATGGCTGGGAGTAAATCTGAACATAAATCAGAAAATCGCAGGAGATGTGTAGTAGTTCCTTAGTTACAACTATGAGAATGAAGTCGTACCCTTGGAGAATTCTAGTGTGTGACTTGAAATATACTTAGTAATCCAGTCACTGAAAGACTGACAGATTTGCTCATTGGTTTCTCAGATTCCGCCTAACAAGGCCTACGGGACATGGATTCTAAATGAGAAGAATAATTTCTAAAAAGTATTTTGACAGTTGCCTTTAAAAAAACAGAAACATTTTATGGCATATGTCCTTTATTTATAAGACTGATTTTTATAGATTATTTAGCATGCTTGAACCCAGGAGGTGGAGGTGGCAGTGAGCTGAAATCGCGTCACTGCACTCCAGCCTGGGCAGCAGAGTGAAACTCAGTCTTGGGAAAAAAAAAAATGTCCTCTTTCACGTGAATTTTAATAAAATACTATGATGCACATAAAAGAGAAGCAGTTGAACTGTGCTAAGCATGGGGCTTGGCCCTAGGAACACTGCGAGACTGCTGTCTGGTTAGTAAGCAGAGTCTTATATGCACATAATTACAAGATGCATGGATTCATGCATTAATAGAAGTATGATTATCCTTCCCCAACATCTGATTCCTCTTACTGAAATACAATTTTACATCTATATACTTTTTATATCTATCTATATCAATTTGTAAACATTGCCTATATGTGAACCAATCCTACTGAGAATTTAGTAGAAGTGGAGCCTGAGTTCAGAAGGAAAAAAAAAATAACAGATAGCAGAACAGGCTTAGCAGTTTTTTCCAGACAATCCTGGAGGAGGAAATTAAAAAATAGGGTTTTAGAATTGACCTGCAGGACAATTAATTAATTTATTTTTTCTTAAGAAATATTTATTGCGCTCCCCTTATGCACCAGCCATTCTTCAAGGAGGTACAGATTCAGGGGTAAATGAGAAAACAAAGAAAAAAGATTCTTACACATAGAGAAAAAATGTTTTGTGAGAAAACAGACTCCATCTGTCTTGTTCAATACTAGGTTCTAAAATAATGTCTGGCATTTAGCATACATTCAATAAATATTGGTAGAATAAAAAGAAAAAAAATGAACAATTTATACAGAAATGAATATTATTGAGGCACTAAAACCTAGCAATGTGATTGAGAATGACTGGAGTCTGGCATAGGGGCCTGCTTTTAAAATGATGGCCAAGGAAGGCCACTGGGAGATGGTACCAAGCGAGTTGATGATTTCTGCTCCAATCTCTATCTTATCTCTTTATAACATTCAATTATATGAATGTTAGAACTTCTGATATTGTTCCACAGGTATTGGACACTGTGGCATATTTTTTCTCTTTGATTTGTCAGTTTGGGGAATTTCTTTCAATAATTTTTATGGTTATATAATAATTGTACATTTTTATGGAGTACCTATGATATTTTGATACAAGCATACAATGTGTAATGATCAAATCAGGGTAATTAGGATATCCATCACCTCAAACATTTATCATTTCTTTGTATTAGAAACATTCCAATTCCACTCCTCAGTTATTTTGAAATATGCAATTAATTATTGTTAACTATATTAGCCCTATTATATTACTGAACACTAGTTCTTATTCCTTCTATCTAACTATATTTTTGTAACCATTAACCAATCTCTCTTTACCCTTCCCCTTCCCCTCCCACTACACTTCCCAGCCTCTGGTAATCGCCATTCTACACTCTATCTCCATGAGATCAGTTTTTTATCTCTCATATGTAAGTGAGAACATGAAATGTTTGTCTTTCTGTGCCTAGCTTATTTCACTTGACACAATGTTCTCCGGTTCCATCTATGTTGTTGCAAATGATAGAATTTCATTCTTTCTACGGCTGAAAAATATTCCATTGTGTATCTATACCACTTTTTTTAGTCCATTCATCCATTGATGGACACTTAGGTTGAATCCATATATTGGCTATTGTGAATAGTGCTGCAAAAAACATGAGGGTGCAGATATCTCTTTGATATAGTGATTTCTTTTGGATATATTCCCAGCAGCAGGACTGCTGGGTCATACGGTAGTTCTATTTTTAGCTTTTTTAGAGCCCTCTCCCACACCCATACTGCTTTCCATAGTGCCTATGCTAATTTACTATGTCTTCAACTTCACTGATTCCTTCCTCCATCTTGTCTAGTCTCCCTTAAGCCTGGTCAATGAATTCTTCATTTCTCATAATGTATTCTTCACTTCTTTTATTTCTCTTTGGATCTGTTAAAATATTTATTTTACAACTCTCTAATAAAATTCCACATCTTTTCATGACTGTTTTTCCACCTCTCCCACTAGATTTTTTTTTTCCACATTTATCATGGTTATTTTACGTCTCTATCTGATAATTCCAATTCTATGTGTGGGTCTGCTTCTATGGACCACTCTCAAGAATATTCTGTTGATCTTGGGCCACACTTTTTTTCCCTCATGTCTTATAATTTTTTATTGAGTGCCAGATGGTTTCTGTAAAAGAGCAGTAGAAATTTACAGAAATAATAGTCATCCCCAGAAAAGGGCACACCACTTCTCTTATTAGGCTGCTAATTAGGAGACTGAGTGGATTAAGTCTACAGTTAAGCAGAGTCTGGGTTGTGCCGCTGCTTTAGTTAGATTCGGTTCTTCATTGCCTTCAAATGTGTCGAGAGCAGAACCTTCTCTTCAGCAGGACTTGGGACTTGAGTCCCAGAAAGACTCTAGAATCTCTTTACTTATTGTTAATCCAGTAACCAACTTTCTGAACCAAGGGATATCTCTTGCTGCTTTACAGGCCAGCTCCTAGGTTTTTAGGTTGCTCGGGAGTTCTCTCTGCTCTCTAGTTTCACCATGGTTTTTTGTGCTTCAGGATATCTTTCTACTGATCTTCCCTTCCTCTAGTCTTCCAAAGAGCCACTGCAGTACAACTAGTGAAGGCCTAGAATGCACTGGGGGGATTTCTCTCAAGGCTTTTTCCCTGCCTTAGCCTTCAGCAGACCTCTTTTAACTGGAGGAGGCCCTGCTTGCCTTAGGGGGGATATCTCTCAGCTTGGCTGCCTTGGCTTTACATTTGGTTGACAATTCAGTGAAGTCCCATGAGACGGTTGGTTGATGAGTGCAGAGATGGTCCGTGCCTGGGCTTCTTGGGGTTCTCACACATCACACAACTCTAAAAACATTCATTAAAAGTTCTTTACAATTTTAACTGGTGTCTCTACAGTGACATCTTCCTTTCACCATTTCTCCAGGGAGCAAAGCAGTCATGAGTTTCTGCTCTCCTTGTCACTTTCTGAAATTTAGTTCATTTAAGTTTATTTGCATTTTCAGATTTTAGGTAAGTTTTTTAAAAGTCTAATTTTGTGGCTTATATCTTTTGTTATGGTTATTAGGGTAGGAGTAATAATCTCTTATAGCTTTCTACATCCTTACTAGAAGCAGAAGTCCTGCCTGAATTTCAAAGTCATAAGCTAACCATATGGTATCTATTATCCTAGCAGTCTGAGTTTGAATTGGAAAGGCCTTGGAAGGTTTTAAGCAGAGATTAGGCAACAACTGTGAGTCATAAAACATTTCATACAACTCTGCAGTTGAATAGTATGTATGAAAATATATGAAATGTAAAGCATTTGAGGAATAATTATAGTCGAGGTAACAATAATAATTACTGTTATATGGTGTTATATGTCATTTCTCATATTGATTGCTACACAGTTTCCAGTAATTCATTTAAAAACTTATTGTACACGTAGCCATTCCAGCCTTTAATTGTGTTCATTTCCTATATTAAGACATCTCCCCACCCATACTTTGTAACCCAAGAGCCATAACTAAATTTACAATTTAAACTAAATCAGGCACAAAACAGTCACTGATCATTTTAATATTGAAGGTTTTAAAGGACACATTATGAAAAAATTAAAATGCAAAAAGCAGCACAAAGTTAAATTAAATTATTTATTATGGAAAGATTAGTCAATCTGGTTACTTCCCTAAATTTTGCATGACTAAAATATTACAGAAAATTTCCTTTTGGCTGATCAGTATATAGATCAGAAACTCCCCAAAGAAGATGTATTAATAAAGTTAACTCATTCCTTATTAATGCTCTAGGCATTTTAACAAATGCAAAGTGAAATATCTACCTCAAAAATGACTTTAATGATAAGTTATTTCTTTGCTTCATGTACACAATGGATAATTAGTTCAGGAAAAGAATCTCAGAGGGAGAAAAAATAGCCAACTGTGAAATTCACAAATACTTTCCTTGGATTGGGTACAAATGCTATTCAGGCTAATACCAGGGATGCATAAATTCTTTCTATCCTATTTACAATCCAGTCTTGATTAGTTAGGAGCTCATTTTCCAGTTTGTGAATTATCTAGGTCTTTGATTCTTCTCTTCCCTCTGGCTGATTACCTTTCCCATTTCTCTGCTCATTAGCACCTCCACCAAAGGAAATGAAAATCCAGGTGAAAAGGAAAAGTAAATCATTCATAGATAATTCTAAATAATCTGATGTTTGGCTTTAAAAAACAATCTTTTTATTGTGCGTAAGTATATATGCATAGTTTTATTTAAGAAAATACAGTTTCTTAGCAGAACAGTGGGGACTGTGTGGTCAGATGTTCTGTGTTCAATTTGAAATTCTATCACTTACTATTTAAAAACTATCCATAGGAAAGTCCTTACCTTCATCCAGATATCAGTCTTATCATGCAATCAGGATGATATTCATATCTTTTTTGTGAGGTTATTGTGAAATCGATTCAGAGAAATACACATCTGTATCCTATAAATGGCTATACAAAACTAAGAAACTGTTATGTTTTCAATTTGTAAAACCCCTTTGTCAATTCTTGTTTCTTCTACTTTCCTTAAGAATCAGTTTGTTTTGGGGAAAAGGCTCATTGCCAAAGTATATCTCTTTTTTTCTTCTTCCTTGCTCCTTTTTAAAAAATTGTACCTTTTCTCTCTAACATGGTTATGAAATACACTGGTAGAAAGGTTGAAGAAACTGGTAGAAATATGGTTACATCTTTACCAACAAATTTCATTGACTGATTCTTCCCTGCCTCCTATTAAAATGGATAACTACTAGTTACCTGTATTAGTATATATTCTTACCAAAATGGCCCTCATTCTAATTTGTACTTTTATAAATTTTGGTTATTAAAATGAAGACATATCCCACATAGTAAAATTTTCAGTAAATTAAAGAATTCATTATACACATTTAACTGTTATATCAAAGTATACTTCATTTGTCTTATTTTAAGGATGTCTGGTTTGCCTGGTGATTAAGCTAGTAGTCCTGTGTCTCTCATGAACAGTCTCTTTTTAATTGATTTACAATTAATTGGATCATATTTGTGGATCACAGATATAGTTTAAACTGAATCAATTATCTAATCAAAAATAACAATTAAAAAAGAAAAGCAGTCATTAAAATACAGTATATAAACCCTTAAAAAATAATGTGTTAAGTATTGTTTTTTATAAGCTATTTTAAACAATAAAGAGGATGCTTTCAAGTAAATATCTTAGAAGACCTCAGGGGGAAAATGTGAAATTAGTTCTTTGTGAAAAATAAATATCTAAAGAGTATTCCCTGTAGGGTACAATGTAAAAGAATAAACTAGCTACTGGCAAAAAAGGAAGCTGGGGGAGAAAAAAAATATATAGTTATCAATAAGCCCAAAAAAGAGTAAAATGAAATGAATAGTTTGTAACAGAGCTAATGAAACACATATACTTGTAGCATATTCTGCTAAATAAAAACTTTATATTGCCTCCTACATTTAAGCCTCTCATAAAACAGTTGTGCATTTTTCTAAAATTGCTTACAAATTAGCAGATTAAATGGGCCCTTTGCACATTTTAAAGGCTTGAGGGGATAAGTAGGAGGAAAACAATTGTTACAGTTTTCACATTATCCTTTCTTTCTCCTTCTTTCCCCAGCCCTTTAAGAGAAGATTGCATTAGAGTTGAGTTCTCAACACTGATTGTTATGAAATAGTACCAAATTGATACTAAGTAAGATTACATTGGAGTTGAGATCGCAACACGAATTGTTATGAAATATTACTAAATTGATATTATGTAAGCGAGCCTACTGAACAAAGCTTTTCAGCTCTTTGAATATGAATTTTATTTTCATTTTTTGACATGAACTGGGTATGTGACAAACATAAGCAATTTATAAATTGTTTCCATTGCCTCTCTCATGAGCTAGTTTATACCATGAAAGACTCCACATTCACTGCATCATTGCCATCCCCAGGGTCTCTTTCACATGGTTCAGTGTGTTAGATGCTATACTTCCAATGTGGAAAGACAATATTCTCACCCCAAAGGCAGCCTGACAAATTACAAAATGAAGGGGTATTTGAGAAAGAGTATGTTGTAGCCAGTAATGCTTGTAAAATGACTCTTTTAAAAGGTTTGATGGATTTTCTCAAGATTCTTCTTTTACTGAATGACATGAACCACCAGCATTTTAATCTTCAGCAAAGCCAAAGCTTAACAATCCAACCAATATTTCTTTCATTTCTTAATACTATCTAAGGTCATTTTTAACTTCATGTTAATTCCCATGACTCAGTATCAAAGTGAGAATGATCAAAATGCTAGAGGGTGTTAATTGACTGGTAACTTGAAGAGTTGGGTAGGGACTGAAGAGCTAGGTAGCCGGGTGTTAGCGATTCAACTCAACCTAAAAGTAATTCCCAAGATGCATTCCAGGAAAAGGGCTATAATAATTTTAAGTTAAACCAATTTTTTAAACAGATTTATGGAAGTATACTTCTATATATGTTATATAAAGAATAAAATAATAATTTATTAAAGTATACAATAAATTATACATACTTAAAGTATACAATTTTATAAATTTTGACATATGTAATACTTTAAGACCATTATCACAATCAAGATAATGAACATATCTATTTTGCCAAAAAGTTTCCATGTGACTCTTTATAACTCCTCTCTCCCACTCATAACCCCTCTGTCCATAAGACAACCATTGATTTACTTTGTGTCACTACAGATCAGTTCACATTTTCTAGTTTTAGGATGACATAATAATATATGTACTTTTGTGAGGTGTTTTTTTTTTTGAATCTGGATTCCTTCACTTGAAATAATTATTTTGAGATTAATCCATTTTGTTGTGTGTATAATAGTTCATTCTTTTTATTGCTAAGTGATATTTCATAGTATGAATATACCACAATTTGTTTATCTTTTCAGTTGTTGATGAAAATATGAGTTAGTCCCAGGTTTTTTGTTGTTGTTGTTGTTACAAATAAAACTTCTATGAACATTCCCGTACAAGTCTTTGTATAGATATATGTTTTGTTTTCTCTTGGGTAGATATCTAAAAGTAAAATATCTGGGTCATATGATGGGTATATGTTTAAATTTCTAAAATAAACCCACCAAAGTACTGTATCAGATATATGATTTGCAACTATTTTCTTTCAGTCTGTCATCTGTATTTTCATATTTCTTTATAAACGAGTTTGAAGAGGAAATGTTTTTAATTTGTATCAAATCACATATATCCTTTTTCTCTCTTTCAAAGGCAGTAATTTTGGTAGGTATCTGACAAATATTTACCTAACAAAGGTCAAAAGTTTTCTTCAAAAAGTTTTATAGTTTTAGGTTTCTCATTTAGGTCTATGAGTATTTTAAGTTAACTTCTATATATCATGTGAGATCTGAATCAAGGCTTACTTTCTTGTTGCATAAGAACACCCAATTTTTCCAGCATATTTGCTGAAAGACTATATTTTGTCCACTGAATTGCCTTTTTGCATCTTTGTCAAAAATCAGTTGTTCATATAAATAATTTGTGGGTTGTTTGTAGGACTTACTATTCTGCCACATTAATCTATTTGCCTATCTTTATGCCAACACCAGACTATCTCATTACTGTAATTTTAACATAGCTCGGTATCAGAAAGTTTTAGACTTCCAACTTTGTTCTTTATCAATTGTTTTGTAAGTCCTTTGCACTTCCATATGAATTTCAAGATCAGCTTGTCAAACTCCACAAAAAAGGTTTGCTAATATTTTGATTGGGATTGCACTTTATCCATAGATAAAAATGGGAAGACTTGGCATCTTAACAATAGTGGCTCCTCTGATCTATGAATACAGTATATTCTTCCATTTATTAGGTTGTCTTTAATTTCTCTCAGAAATGGATTGTTGTTTTCAGTGTTCTTATCTTTCACATCTTTTGTCAGATTTATCTGTATTTCATGATTTGCTGCTACTGTAAATGATATATTTATTTTAATTTCCAGTTGTTTATTGCTTGCATATAAAAATACAATTAATTTTTACAAGCCAATCTTATATCCTTCAACCTTGTCAAACTCACTGATTACCTAAAGTATTCTGACAGGGCCAAATCTAGGATAGGCAAGTTAGGTATTTATCTCAGCTGCAAAAATTAAGGGAATGGCAAAAGTCTCAGTAATGAAGAGAAGGTGTTTTACTGTAATTAAAAAAAAAATACAATCTAAAAACAACAGCCTGTGGGCTATCTGACTGTTCCTGTAAATTAAGTGATTTTTTTGGTTGGTTGTTTCTTTGGTATATTCCATGGATTTTCTACACAGATAATCAAATTGTATATAAAGACAGTTTTACTTCTTCCTTTGCAGTCTTTTATTTTTTTCTTCTAATTGGACAGGGCAGAATCTCTAGCATAATGTGGAATGGAAGTTGGTGAAAGCAGATATCCTTATTTCACTTAGGAGGAAAGCATACAGTCTTTCACTATTTAGTATGATATTAGTTGTAGGCTTTGTTGTACATACCCTTCATCAAGTTAAGGAATTTTCCTACTATTAATTTGCTGAGATTTTTCCCATTTTAACTAGAAATAGATTTTTAATTTCTTCAAATTTTTTTTTCTATTGGGTTTATTGAGATAATATATTTTGTGTGATTATCACTATTTAGTTTATAACATATGAACTATGCTACTTTCAAATATTAACCCTATCTGGAGTTCCTATCTGGAGTTCCTTGTACTCTTTCTCTAATTGTGGTATCAGGGTGTTGGCCCCATAGAATGTGTTGAGAAGTATTCCCTCTATTTTACATTTCTGAAAGGTATGTATAGAACTGGCACTATTCTTTTCTAAGTAGTTTAGCGAATCTACTTGTGAAGCAATCTGGGCCTGAAGTTTTATTTTCTCTAATGTTATCTATTGTCTCTTGAATAAGCTTTTATAGTTTGTGTCCTTCAAGGAAATTGTCCAGTTCACTTAAGTTGATTAATTCATTTACATAATGTTGTTCATAATATGATGTCATTTTCCTTTTAATATCTGTAGAATCTGCAGTGATGTTATCTCTCTCCTTTTCTATATTGGTAATCTGTGTTTCTTCTTTTTGTTTCCTGATCAGTCTGGCTAAAGTTTGGTCAATTTTTTTCGTCTCCGCAAGGAACCAGCTTTACCTTCATTGATGTTCTCTATTTTTTTTCTTTTTCCAATTTCATTTCTTTTCCACTCTGATCTTTATTATATCATTTATTTTATTTACTTTGGGTTCAATCTGCTCTTTTTTTAGTTTTTAAAGGTAAAAATGTAGGTCATTAACTTGAGACTTTTTTTCATTTTGATACATGCATTTGGTACTATAAATTTCCCCATGAATAATGTTTTATGGCACACCACAAATATTGACATTCTGTATTTTCATTTCCATTCAGTTCAAGGTACTTTCTAATTTCTTTATGATTTTTTCTTTGATCCAAGGGTTATTTAGAAGTCTATTTTCGGCCGGGCGCGGTGGCTCACGCCTGTAATCCCAGCACTTTGGGAGGCCGAGGCGGGGGGATCACCTGAGGTCGGGAGTTCGAGACCAGCCTGACCAACATGGAGAAACCCTGTCTATACTAAAACTACAAAATTAGCCAGGCATGGTGACGCATGCCTGTAATCCCAACTACTCGGGAGGCTGAGGCCTTGAACCGGGAGGCAAAAGTTGTGGTGAGCCAATATCACACCATTGCACTCCAGTCTGGGCAACAAAAGCAAAACTCCCTCTCAAAAAAAAAAAAAAAAATCCAATGTGAAAATCTCTGCCCTTTAATTGCGGTGCTTAGACCATTTACATTTTTCATGAGATTATTTAATGGTTAGGTTTAACTCTTATCATCTATATACTATATGGATTCTATTTGTCTCATCTCTTTTTTACTCCTCTTTCTTCTTCTTTCTTTTGGATTAAGTACTTTTTATTATTCCATTATATATTGATTGTTGGTTTTTTGGCTATAACTCTTTGAGGCTTTATTTTAGTGATTGTTTTAGAGTATCTTTAAGGTACTCTTAGAGCATCTTTGAATTATAAAAGCCTACCTCCAAGTAATAGAAAAATTTACAAAAGGTGTTAGAACCCTAGAGCAGTATACTTCCATCTCTTTCCTCCCAACTTTCGTACTATAGTTGTACATTTAGCTTTATGTATGCTATAACCCCCATATTATCTTATTTTTTGTTTAAACAACCTATTTTCTTCTAAAATGAGTTAATTAATGGGAAAACATCATATATTTACCCATGTAGTTACAATTCTGGTGGTCTTTATTCCATTGTGTAGAACCACAGTTTGACCTGGCATCATATTCCATCTGCCTAAAACAGTTTAACATTACGCAGTGTAGACCTCCTTTTATTGTGCTTGAAAAATTATTTATTTCACTTATATTTTTAAAAGGTATGTGGCTGGATTTTGAAATCTAGGTTAATATTCGTCCTTTTCTTTCAGTACTTTTAAGATGTTGCCCCTCTGTCTCATAGCTTAGATTGTTTCTGACAATTAATCACACTAGTAACTGTTACATGTGTTTTTCTGTACAGAACATGTCTTTATTCTCTGGCTGCTTTTAAGATTTTTCTCTTTATCACTGGTTTGATTAATCTGATTACATTACTGCCTGGTATAGTTTTCTTAATGTTTCTTATGCTTGGAGTTGATGAAGTTTCTTGGGGGTTTTTTTGGGGAGGGGTGTTTTGGGAGGTTTGTAGTTTTAGGCAAAACTGGAAGCTTTGCACTATTATTTCTTGAAATTTTTTTCTGTATTTCCACAACTTCCTTCAGGGACTCTAATTACACATATATTAGGCCACTTATTGTCACCAGCTCCCTGATGGTATGTTTACTTCTCTCTCTTTCTCTGTTTGCGTGTGTGTGTGCGTTTCATTTTGGATAGCTTTTATTGTTATATTTTTAAGGTTACTAATCATTTCTTATGCAATGCCTAAAGTGCTGTTCATAGCTTCCAGTTACCTTTCATCTTATTCATTGTAGTTTTAATTTCTGGAAGTTTTATTTAGCTCTTTTATCTATCTTCCATGTCTTAGCTTTTTGAACATAAGGAATATAATTATAACAGCTTTATTGTACTTGTCTGCTAATGCTAATCTTGTCACTTCTAGGATGGTTTTAATCTATAAATTTTCCTCCTATAATGGCTTATGTTTTTCTACTTATTTACATAACAGGTAATTTTTTATTGAATGCTGGATATTGTGAATCCTACCTTTTTTGGTGCTAGGTATTTTTGTATTCCTATAAATATTCTTCAGCTTTGATCTGGGTTGCAGTTAAGTTATATGGAAACACGTTGATCCTTTCAGATCTCACCTTTAACATTTGCTGGGCATGACCAAAGCAGTGCTCAGCCTGGGGCTAATTATTTCCCAATACTTAATTAAGAGTCTTATTTATATTCTATTCAATGCTTGTGGTCATAGAGTTTTCCAGTTTGGCTGGCAAGAACAGTCACTATTCCCAGATATATGTAAGAACCAAGGAGTAGTCCATGTCATTCCTCCTTTTTTCCAGTCTCTTTGTTTACTCACATGCATGAGCTGATCTGTACTCAGTGCTGCATACTCAAGAGAACACCTGCAGGTCTCTGGAATTCTCTTTATGTAGCTCTCTGCTTTCTGTACTTTATCTTGTGAATTCTAGCCTCCTCAACTCAGGGCCTGGGGCAAGTCCTTTGTTTTCTATCTCTCAGTGACCACTCTCCTTTATTGCCTGATGTTCCAGGTCTTAAAAGCTGTTGTTTCATGTATATTCTAAGATTTTTGTTGTTGTTTCCATTGGGAGGTTAAATCCAGTCTCCATTTCCATCTAGGATGCACTAACATTTTATTTTAAAGAACTACGAATGTCCTATGTCAAGAAAATACTTGGCTACATGGAGCCGTAAACTAATCACAGAACTGTGAGCCATATTACATATTCTGATTCATTTTTTGCTACCCTTGTTTTGTGAAATTAAATATATTTTATTTTTTTCTTTGCTTCTATGCTGATACCAAGAAAAGAACTCACTATTTAAGTGTTTTAATGAGAAGCTGTGAAGTAAAATGAATGAATGATATTAAAGCAGGGGAGTATAATAAATAAAACATTAAACAAGGAGTCCAAAAACTTACATGATATAGGACATATAATGAACTCAAATTGAAGGAATCACTGAAAAACATATTTAGTGAGTTAGTGTTTAATTTTTAAATTGGTAACTATTTCTGAAATGAAGTATTTTGTATAAAACCACTAGTTCACCAAGTTTTGAAAATCAATTGGGCAATATACTTTAAAAGCTATACACATGCTGTTACCTTTGACTTGCCAAATCTCCCTTTCACAACATACAAAAATATTATTTTAAAAGTAGGGATAAAAACCAAATGCATAAATATTCTATGCAATCTAATTTATGGTAGTGAATAATTACCGTGTGTCAAAATGTTATATGTAATCTTTCAAAATGTTTAAACTATCTCTGAGGGTCACACAGATGAGGAATTGAGGCTGAGAGTGTCATAAAAAGCAAGTCAGAGGAGATGTTGAGATTCAAATCTGTTCTGACTCTAAGCCCTCTGCCTTTAGCTCCTAGACTACAACTCTAGAAAAACAGAATTTTGTTAGGATAAGTGGGCATGGATGTTTTTACTCTTAACCACTCATATTTTAAATTTCCACTACTATTATGATATATTCTCTTTTTTTGTAAATTAGAAGAATATTTTTAAATGTCCACAAAATAATGTCACTAGATAATCTGAGTTAAAATTTGTCCCGAATTTTGGCAAAGAAAGGAGGATGGGATGTAAGTATATATTGACTCTAGAATTCATGAATATCAGAAAATCACTACGTAAGCTCTAGCACAAAAAAACTGAACGGTTTCCTGGGGATACACTAGTCTTCCCTTCAATAGTTGCTTCAGCAGTTTCCTAATTTATTTAAAATAAATCAGCATGGGACTGTGTAGAAATCAACAGAAACAAGGACTTGACAAGCTCAAAAAATTTCAGAGGGAACAAAGGAGAAGTCCCTTCAGTACAGAGACTTACATTTCTCTTTGTGAATATCCTCTTTGGGGTACAAGGCAAAAGAACTAAGGTGATGTTCATGCTCTCGACGTTCTTTGATAAGTAACAAAAGTAATTATCTTGCACTAGCCATTGCTGGCCTGACAACAGATATAGTTTCACCTGTTACAAAATTTTATTTTTTTAAACGAGTTGTCTGAGTGACAAAAATCCCCCTATTTCTAATAAGTGAAACTTAATTATAAAAACTTCAAAGAAATAGAAGCCTACTTTTGCAGAGGTAGTCTTCGTGGAGATGGCAAGAAGACTGTACAAGGGCTCTGGACTAACGTACGCCCATCAAGTAAGCAATAAGCATCCTCCTCGCTTGCAGGACACCTAAATTTGACTCAGTTCCCTGATTCCGCCATTTTGGAATACAGAATTTCAGATGAGGCCAGGTAACAGCTCAAATCCAAGTCCAAATGGAGTCCCACTGACACTATTTTCAATAGACAGCTACATCCTTGCAAAGCATTAAGAGCTGGGCATAAAATATCCTTAGCTGGGATTAACAGCAAAACAATGCTTGGCTGATAACATATCTTCTTTCCTTGTCAGATCATTTGTTTTCTTTTTTGAAAATTTATATTTAAGATTGCCCACTTAAGAGAGTTGGAATAACACATATTCTTAATTTCTCAGGCTACTTAGGGCCAAATGAAATATTTCTTCAAGGTGTAATGGAAAGCCTTCCTGGCCTAGTGCTTTCACTCACTAGCTGTGTTACCCAAGACAGTCAATGCAATATCTCTAAATGTCAGTTTCATCATATGTTAAAATGGGAAAAAAAATCTCTGCTTCACAGATACATAAAGCCCTTAGCACAGTGCCTGAAACATATGAAATGCTCTTAATAAACTGTTCTGATATAGGAGTTTTAAAAATATTTAATAATATAGGTCAAGAGCCATAAATAACACTGGCTGTGTATGTAGTAGAATCAATTGATGAACTTTACAAAAAATACACACACATATGTATATACACATATACATATATATACATATATACACACACAAACATACATATATATTCATTGTATCCACAGGAGATTTCTGAAATGATTGAACAGAATAGGGCCTAACCATAAGTATCTTTTTTAAAGCTTCTTATAAGGAGATTCCAATATCCAAACAGAATAGAGAGCTACTGGACATAGGTTCTTAACCGGCGGTCCAGAAACTCTTTATAGAATACAGAAATCCATAAACTTGGGTGAGAAAACATTTAGACTTTTATTTTTACCAATCTTCCAAACTTTGGCATTTTTCAATCATGAATGTATAAATTAAAAATAAGGGCCCTTGGTCCCCAGGTGAGACAGAATGGACTCTTTGTGTTCAATAAGATACCAAATTATAAAGGAGACCTAACGGCATGCCAGGCAAAGGTAAAAACAAGCACCTCTGCACTTGAATAAACTGTTCTCAGTGCCACAAGGATCCTTTTTTCTTTTTCTCTGGCAGTTAAACAAGCACTGGCCTCAAGATAAGCAATATAAAAACAATTATAGCTCACTGATCACCAGATGCTGACCGACTTCCCCTCTTCCACAGTCATAACTACAGATTTGATTGGACAAGAGATGGATTTTAGCAACTTTCTCCTAATAAGGGACTACAAACCATCGACTGGTTCTGCCCAGTTTACAGAGGCTGTGCACTGAGTGCCTTCATGTCTCTGCTTCACCTTTTGATGTACACAGCCCAACTGTAATACATTCAAATGTTAAGTCTCCACTGCAAAGTGAACATTGCATGTATATAACATGCATGTTTGTTCAGCACACATGCATTAAGACCCCTTCATGCATATTCATAGCTTCTCCTATAACCTAATATGTAACTTAAATGTTAAGGCCCCTTCATGAATATTCATAGCTTCTCCCATAACCTAATATGTAACTTAGATGTTAAGGTCCCTTCATGAATATTCATAGCTTCTCCTATAACCTAGTATGTATACTTAGCCAACCCCTTCACCATAAATTCCTGTCTCACCTTTCTTCCCTTGAAGTTTCTGTCTCTGGTTTTGGCCAGAAACCTGCTTCCTAGCCCACAGGTAGTAATATTTTCTAAGTATTACTCCTTTCTAAATGTATAAATTGTCTGATTTTTTTTTTTTTTTTGGAGATTGAGTTTCACTCCTGTGGCCCAGGCTGGAGTGCAGTGGCATAATCTCGGCTCACTGCAACCTCTGCCTCCTGGGTTCAAGCAGTTCTCCTGCCTCAGCCTCTTGAGTAGCTGGGATTACAGGCACCTGCCACCATGCCTGACTAATTTTTTGTATTTTTAGTAGAGACGGGGTTTCACCATGTTGGTCAGGCTGGTCACAAACTCCTGACCTCAAGTGATCTGCCTGCTTTGGCCTCCCAAAGTGCTGGGATTACAGGCATGAGCCACCACACCCAGCCAATTGTCTGATGTTTTTAAGATGACAAATGCAATAAACCATAGTGGCACTATTGATATCTGTCACTTTGGACCAAAAGAAATCACAGAAAATCACAGTAGAGTTGCTGCAGAAATCTGAAGTACTTATACTCACCACGACATCAAAATTTGAGTAGTTATTAGACCCATCACTAGATTGTTACTTAGTGCCTTAATAAAAAAAATACATTACTATATCGTATATTTTAAGTGAGATAGTGAGAATCCTTTGTAACCCTATGAATTTTGTTTTATGCCTTCAAAAATATTCTGGAAAGAGGCTCCCAAGCTTCGCCAGAGTGCCTAAGGAGTCCCTGGTACACATAAAATGTTAAGAACTCAATATTTAGAGGCTATTTGTCAGTAAAGCACCTTCAGGAGTGCTGATGTAGATCAACTTCTTTGGAATCACTTTGAACCCAATGTGTACAATGCTGATCTCTCAGTAATTAACCGAGGAAGTGTTTTTTACAGAAATGAGGTGTATTGTAATAGATGTATATTTACATATCAATTGTTCTTCCTTATTAATTTCTCTAACAAAGCCATCATTTCCTTTTCTATCTTCACTACCTGATTCACTGCTGAAGCCCTACCTTCTGCTTCCTACTTTAACTGCCACAAATGATAAAAAATTTCAGTCTTTGCTTCCTAATTCAGTGCATTCAAAGTGCAGCATGTATTTTTTGTTAAAAAAAATTTTCCCCGGCCCAAAATACATGATTCATAAGGCGTTTGCATTGAGAATAAAAGGATTCACTTTAAACTGACTTCTGCAAGCCCTAGTTATTCTGCACATTTAATAATAAGCATTACAAAATCTCAGCTTAGGAACAAAAAGCTCTTAGTCAGTAATAAATTGTCACTACAATGATCAATGTGCCAAATTTAATTCACAGATAAATAAAAGGAAACCTTGAAAGCCAAGCAGAAGTCTAGTGTGAATGTAGGCTTTGGTATAACTGTGACAATTCAGAGATGAGCCCTCACAATATATTTCAGAGGTCTCTCTGCCTTTACATTCAAGAAGTTCATCAGCCATCTCCTCTGGTTCATGGTCAACTGGTGCTCACCCTCTCTGGAAACAGAGACATTAGCTACTGATATTAGCTGACCTATGTCCACACCCAGCACAATTCTTTTTATCAGAAAAGTTAGCTTTTGCTTAGAAGCTGCCACAGTGGGTTGAATTGTCCAGTCCCTGTCATTAAAGGTGGCAGCCATGCACTCGAGAATGATGTGAAAAAACTCCAGCAAGAGTGATAATTAAACTTGGAAAATGAAGGGTCACCTTCTTTCATTCAGCTCATTGGGCAAACCCATCAGAATAATTCCAAAACAGCGGGGGACTGTCTACTCTCAGCATGGCAATATCGAGGTGCACACACATTATTTCTATGGGTTCAAATGGGAATGCCATTTTAATGGTATTTAAAACGTTATCTTCGATATGAGGAGTAAAAATGTTAGAAATTAGTTCTAGGAATACAGAAAAAGAATGATGTGTATAATCTAAATAGGGAAAGAATCAGAAACAAGAAAAGTATGCATTTTTTTCTCAAGAAAAAGCATTCTAAGAGAAGAAAATTATCTCCAGGGAAACTGAAAAGAATATTAACTATGTCTCTTCTTTCTACTCAACTGTAGAATCACAAGGCAAGGGTTTCATCTCAGCTTTCTTGTCCACTTACTGTCATTTCTTGGTGGTCATTATTACAACAACTTACTCCTACCCAAAAAAGAGAAAAAGTGTCACATGAAGTTAAGACAATCCATTGGTAGGAGTTATTTTCCAGGAAAATTTTTTTTTTCAGACACATTAGCTTATCTAGATACTATTGAATCAGTATTTGGGAATTTATATTTCATACCATTCTCATGTTGCATTAAAATGTAATACTAGAACAGTGGCTTACACCTGTAATCCCAGCACTTTGGGAGGCTGAGGTAGGAGGACTGCTTGAGTTCAGGAGTTCAAGACCAGCCTGGGCAACATAGCGAGACATCATCTCTACAAAAAATTAAACAATTAGCCGGGCATGGTGGCATGCACCTGTAGGCCTTAGGAGGCTTAGGCAGGAGGATCACTTGAACCTAGAAGCTGGAGGCTGCAGCGAGCCATGATGGCGCCAATGTACTCTGGCCTGGGCGGGGGGACCCATCTCTAGTTAAAAAAAAATGTAATACTGAATATTTAAGGACAACATAGGCAAATGCACTGGATCAGAACAGAAGCATGGATGGTAAAAGCAAATTTCAAGTTCAAATTCTAGCTTCACCATATATTAGGTGTGTAACGATTGATATGGTATTTAATCGCTGTGTGCCTCAGTTTCCTCATCAGTTAAATAGAGAAAATAATACTACCTATCTTATAAAGTTGTTCAAAAAGATCAAATGAGCTTAAAATAAATAAAACTTTTGTAACTGTGCCTAGCACAGAGTGAGTGTTATATCAGTGCTCATAATATATTATAACCATTATTATTATGTTGCATGTTCAGTACCTGGCAGAGTATTTAATACTGTAGATCAGGTTTACAAACATATTATTTCTTTTTATAGTTGATCTTTTTTTTTTTTTTAGTCCTTATCATTCTGAGAAAGGCTTCCCAAAAGATGTGGGTCCTTTAATAAACAAATAGCTCAGCATAATTCTCATATAGAGTTAATTATATAATATGAAAACAGGGATAATTTTCACATCAAGCTCAGGAAGAGAAAAATTTCTAATAAGCAGAAACTATAGATTTTAGACGGGTCACGATAGTTCCCTTCACATCCAAACGACTATCTTGAGGAAGATAAATTATATTTGTCCTATGTGCATGTATTTTATTTCAAGTTAGTATTTTATTTTATTTCACGTATTTTATTTCAAATGCATGTATTTTATGTCAAGTTCTATGTGCATGTATTTTATTTCAAGTTTATTTTATTTCTATGTGCATGTATTTTATTTCAAAATTATCAAGAGATAATTTTGAAATAATTAGAGCTGTCTAAAACAGAAAAAAAACTTGATGGGCAAGGCAATCATGTGATTTCTATATTCCTTTGTAAGAATTTGCAATTTATCAGTTTGTAGACAAACATCCACCAATTTCAATAGATTTAAAAATATTTATCATTAGTATATTTAAGTGTTGTCTTTTGTCTTTGAAAGACATATGTAGGTAAAAAAATATTTTCGATGACATAAACCCACACATTGCCTCAAACCTCAACCTCCATTCACTAACAATTCATTGAAAGAAAGAATGAAAGAAAGAGAAATAAGTTGTGTATATTTGAAAGAGACAGAGAATTGAGGAGGAGGGAGGGGAAAAGAGAGGAAGGATGAGAGAGAGAAAGAGGAAGAAGGAGTAGGAAAAAAATAGGAAGTGGGAGAGGGAGGTGGGAGGGATAGGGACAATAAATGAATGACATTAAGGATCACCCTAATCAGACTATTGAAGAGAAAATATTATCTATTATATTCAAGCCTGATTTTACTGCAATATTTAGGCATGGTTCTTTAAGAGAAAAAAAAGATTTTATAAAAGATAGTTGACTAATTTAGTATAGGAGTGTTAAAATTATTTAATAAATTATTTCCCACTGAAAAAATATAGACTTCATAGGAAGATATGCTGCTTCTGCCTCAGGTTTATATTTAAAATGATTTATAGTTTACAATTTCTTCCTAAGGTCATCACCTTCATAAATACCAGCCACATACAGTGAAAACCAACTCAATAAAATGAGTATTTCATTTCTCTTCCTTCTGCTTATGTAGATACTTCTTCCATCTTACATGGCACCCATTTATAACAAAGCTTCACATTGTGTGGGTTTTTATGAGTTCTTGAGCTTTTCTTTCTTTTTTATCTTTCTATGCATCAGCAAAGCAACTGGCAGATTCTTTAATAAAATATACACATTAATATTTATAAGCCTATGAATTGGATGTTTAAATAAACATTCACCAACTTATGCCAATTCTCTTGTTTTAGATGTTAAATCACACTTACGTTGTCTGGAAAGTCAGCCTTTAGTTCAGTGACACTTTGACACCAATATGCAGCCGTTTTCTCACTGATGAGCTCAATATTCAGAAAGGAGCTTTGTCCAGGGCCATACATGGGGCCAGAGGTGGTTCCCCGGATGATTCTGGGGGAAACATTTGTCACAATGTCCTGATGAAAGAGTAAAGATATTGAGTCTCCTTTTGACAAAGAAAAGCTATAATCTTTATTATCTGCTCATTTCCATATGACAATATTTTATGAGGTCCCTTCTCACATTTTTGCAGAGGAATTTTTAATATACATTAAATTAGAATTGAACATAAACTACTTGCAAATAAAAAGGTAAAATAAAGTATTTGTTAGCTTTAGCTAAATTACTTCTTGTAATTCTAGGTTTAGAATAGCGCAAAAATAAAAATATTTATATTCATTAACACTCATTTAGGGCATACTCATTTTAATTTGTTTGCAATTAAATAATAAAAATATGATAGGTAAAATGCAAAAGTTTATCATTTCTGTCTATTTAATCTAGGTATCTCCAATCATAGTTTAACTCCAATAAGAATTAATGTTAGTAAAAAGTTTATATTTTTTTTTTCTGAAAAAAGTAACTCCGATGTAAATCAGTGAAGGAATAATATTAGTATTACTGGCTCATCAACCATTAACACACATTCTAATAAACTGGTTATGTGAAATTACTTATAGGATTATAACTATATATTCACTTTAAATGAGAAGAAAGTCACTTTCTCCAAGACTGAAATGAGTATATCAATAACTTCCTGATACCTATAAACAGTAAACAGTAAAATTAACTTGCTTGTTAAGTGTAATTAACAATCCACAACTGCTTCTAAAGCTGTATTAACGAAGAAGAATAACATTCTTCCATTACTTAAAACTAAAAAGAAACAAAGAAGGAAAATGTTTCTTTTGCCAACTTCCAATTAAAATTAATTTTGAGGAAAGGTCATTTAGTTAAGGATTTATCAGAATTAGTCATTTAAGTACCCCTCCTCACCATCTTGTCACTTTTAGTAAGATAACATGAACCCCCATTAGTATATAGCAATTAAGGTCAATTTACATATTTTAATTAAGAACCACCCCATATAAAACAATTAGCGTAATAGGCATACTAACTGGATTTCATAACATTTGGACGTTTTTCCAACTAGATAGACAGGAAACCTTAATTAGCATTAATTAGTGCTGATCTGCATATGTTTGATAAGGCATACCCTTGCCACAAAAGATTATTTATTCCTGAATCTGCCAAATGCTACAGTTGCAGAGGATAAAAGGACTTTTCTTCACATTGCATGTTAATTTCTGGTAATTTACATTCACTTTTACATGCGAATTAGTATATTATAAAATAAATGGTATAAATGTTACAATAAGCCTCCTTAAATATGTACATTTTAACTTATAGGAATCATGCCAGTTAATTTTTTACTAATTAAGCCATTCCATTTCTATTGTAATTGTGTGCAACATCACCAGCCTTGCTTTGATTTGCTATTGTGAAACCATGTTTCACAATCCTAATGGGTAAAATGACAAATAGAGTTACTCCACGAAGCTCAAGCCTTGTGGGTCAATTTCCATCTTGGCAAACGCTTAAATGTATGTTCTACGTCCCTACAGGTGGCTCTGTGAAGCTCATCCAGTGGGTACTCCGGTGTTTTCATGGTCTGAGAAGGCAATTCTTGAAATATTTCACTCAGATGAGGCTGGTTTTCTTCTGTGTTCCAATTTTCAAGAGCCATACCCTTTAAACCTTGAGATCCTCCTTTCCTCTGCTTTACTCCCTACTCTAAATGCTCTTCACCTAAGTAAGTCCAACCTAGGCCACAAGTTGTTCTCTACACAGGATTTCTTAGCCAAGGAGGAGTGAAGTCTGTATTTAGTTCACCAAGTCAAGTGCCCTGGTACTGTGTTGGTGAGCAAATAATGGGGCATCTGGTTTTGATGACCATTTTTTAATTCATTGGTCTGGAAACAGGTGCTTCCTGCTTATTCAACAAAACTGATTCACGTTAGCAGCATCCCTACTCCCGCCCATTCTCCATATCTTCACTTAGACTTCAGTTCCTTTGAGAAGTTTTTCTTTTCTCTCCAACTCCATTGAGTCTTAGTAACATGCTCTGACTCATGCCACCATAACAATATATACCTTCCTCAATTGGCATTCTTACTACCATTTATTGTGGTTGTCTATATTCCTGACTGTACCTTCCACTACAGCATAAGACTTGTAAAGAAAGAAACTATATTTTGTTTACTATTACATGCCCAGCTTCCAGCCTGGCCTTTAGTGGTGCTAAAATAAAGTACTGTATCTTCAATGAGTCTAGACTAAAACCATAGGCACTAGAATAAGTCTTGTCCTGAGGTATGAGAACCAAAGACATTTATTGCTGGCTGCATTCTGCTGCTGAACAGACCAGTGGTTTGGGCTTTGATATAGTTTGGATGTATACCCCACCCAAATCTCATGTTGAAATGTAATCCTCTGTGTTGGAGGTGGGGCCTGGTGGAAATGATTGATTGCATCATGGGGGAGAATTTCTCATAAATGGTTTAGTATCATCCTCTTGGTACTGTCCTCATGATAATGAGTGAGTTCTTGTAAGATGTGGCCCTTTAAAAGTGTGTAGCATCTCTCCCCTCTTTCTCTTGCTCCTGATTTGTCATATGATGTGACTGCTCCCCCTTCCCCTTCTGCCTTGATTGGAAGCTTTCTGAGGCCTCCACATTAGCAGATGCTGCTATGCTTCCTATAGAGCCTGCAGAACCATAAGCCAATTAAACTTATTTTTCTTCATAAATTTCCCAGGCTCAGGTATGTCTTTATAGCAAAAACGGGCCTTTATTCAAAGTTCAGGATTTATTACTATGCTTAGATCTTTTCCTGCTAGTCCATTTGTCTAGAATTGGGTTCTTGCTTGCTTCTTCTGATCCTTCAGGGACCCCTTTTTCTAGAACTCAGTACACCCCCTCCCTTGGATAGATCCCTGAACCAAATGCTGTGATACAAAGCACCCACTGCTATAGGCCTTCTCACGCAGCCTACTGTGATGACTCCCTGACAGAAAGCATGCTTGAACTTCATCTCACTGCAGCTTCTAAGACCTTCCTGGTTGCTAGTTCTTAACTGCTGGGTATCGCTGATCTCTAGGATTTAAATAGAATGCCCCCATTCAGATACAATACAACTACCAGTCTTTTTTGGTTCATGTGGATGTGTATTCTTAACCTGATCCATGACCACCTAGGGTATTTCCTAGCTAATGAGCCTGTCCAACTACAGTTGTCTTTTATGTTTGTCCTGTATGCTAAGAACACATCTTAACAGTATACATAGGAATTTTTAAAATATCATAGAATATAAAAGACACAGAATGGAAATTTCACCTATAACTAATAAGGAAAAAAATCTTCATGGTTCAGGAATTCTAAGCTATATGCTATATGCTATTTACAGTAACCTACTAATAACCACAAAGCCAACATCTCACATTAGCCAAAAGGATCAATAAGCTGACAATATTTAATTGGAAGACTGTCAAGAAAATGCTTCTTTCTTAAGCATTTCCCTCATCAGTAATACCTCAAAGCCTACAATTCTACCTTTAAGAATTTTTTCTTTGTGTATTATGAGTTAAGTTTCTTGTTAATGTTGGAGCTGGTTTATTTTTCTCTTCTACGATGTGGTGTTAAACTGTAAATATAGCATAGGAAAGTTATGAATGATCTCCTTAATCAAGATAATGAACAGGAAGTACAAACCAAATCAAAGGAAAATTTATTTGCTTTATGATAGAGAATGCTTATTCCTTTGTGTTGATTTATAATAGAGAATGTTTATTTAAACAGGTCAATTTTCTCATTCCTTAATTCAACCAAAGATAAAAGGTCCTTTATAACTTCTCAAATTACAGATGCCTACTGTTGTAGAATGGGTTAACTATCTGAAAGGAATTTGTTAGCATCATAGAAATTCAACATTTTCCAAATTCAACTAAAGTGCAAAATTCCAATGTATTCATCCAGTAATAAATCGGTAATAAAAATTTTATTCTAGATTTTCTTTCCCAAATTGTCATGTTTGCTATTGTTTTGCCAAAAACATTCTCCACTGAATTGAGACTTTTAGAATTTTTAAATTAAGTGAAAGATGAATGAAAACACATATATAACCAATTATCTTTGGTTATATAACTAGAGTTAGAGTTTAAATAATTGGACAATAACTTACTAAAGCTTTTGACCTGGGAAGACTAGAATTTGAGCATGATTTCATAAGAGAATATTTTGCTTTAATATTTAATGGCTAAGTCTTATTAGCATTGCTTAAAGGAGTTAATATAACAAAATAAACATATTCAAGAATAGTTAGAGTAGAGAAGAGTTCATTCTCTATAATAAAAAAGACAAACTGCCATAGCTCTCATCTTCAGTGCATTAACGATATTCAGATATTTTAAAAACAGATGTTTATAGAAAAGGAAGTGTTAGGTAATATCTTTGCTTTATGTAATATTATAACTACCATTATAACATCAAGTATTAGTGACCTTTTAACATTTGAAGTGATGATAATGATTTTTTCTCTATCAGAAAAGAGATTTAAATGGTAAGCGGACTGATTATATTTGTTTAGGTTCATTTACTTGACCTCTCTTATTATAAAAACTTATGATGTTTCTATGGTTACTACTGAATTAAAACAGTCACAATGGCCACAATGAACACAAAAAGAAAACTTTGCAGAAATGTCTGAGTAAGAGGCTAGAAAAAGAATGGGGTCAAACAAAGTTGGATGAAAACAAGAAATAAAATTTGCAAAGTGAATCATGGCTACATATACCATAGTGGATGAATTTTATAAACATCTTGTTGAATGAAAAGGGCAAGTTCTAGAAAAATATATAGAATATGACACACAACACAAAGCAATATATTATTTAGTGAAACATACTGACAGGATAAAACTATAAATATAAGTAAGGTAACAACTAAAAATAATTCAAGATAGAAGTTACCTCTTGGAGTAGGTAGATGCTGGAGGAGAAATTGGAAATGGTAGAGCAAGGAGGGCTTTCTGAAAGTACTAGTGATATATAATTATAAAGAAGCTTTACTCTTGAACTGCAGAAATGTGGCAGAATGAGAAATCTGTTCAATGAGTTATGCAGTAGTATAGTGTATATCGCTATGAGTTGTTGATAAGGTTTTATCAGTTTACTTGAAAACCTGTAACTGAAATCGAAGAAACATTTGTTTTGTTTTCTTAACTTCCAAGATTCTGCTGTAAATATTTTGTCAAAAATGTTTTAATTATTTGGTTTTACAAACTAGGAGTTCAAAAATTAAATGTACTTCATGACCAACTGTTTCCTAAAATATATCACTTTCCTAATAAAATCCTACTGAGATAAGTACAACATAACCATACATTATTTCACAAAAGAGGAAAATCACTCTACAAACAAGTCTAACAACAAATATCTTGTTACAGAGTCAGATTCCATCATTATAAATCTAACATACTGATACCCTGTGAATAGCTAAAAGTGAAATAAAATTCAAGAGTGGCCCAGTTTCTAGAACAATTGCGCTACTATGAAAGAACTCACTAACATTTTATTTTCTTCATGAACTAAGTATATTAATATTTGATTCCTCCACAAAATAAACTTTATAATGGTCAGAATACTCTCTACTTGGTTTTCTTGGAGGTGCAAAGTGGGCAAGATAAGTATTTGTTCCCAATAAATCATATTTTTCTCTTGTAGTAGCTTATATAACGACAGTACTCAATATCTGAATTAGTGACAGAATTTGCCCTTTTGTCATCAGGAACTTCAGACCTATCTACATGGAAAACACAATAAGCAAAAATAGCACTATTATCCTAGAAATAAAAGATAAATTATCAGAGAAGTTGTAGCACTGACATTGTAGAAATAATAATATTTTAGATATGTATAGCACAAATCTGTCACATATATCAGTCTTTTCAAATTATCATGACCTATATCCATGGTTGCATATCTAGTAAGCATTCGAGATGAGACTAGAACTCAGGTGTGCTTATGTGATATGGATAATAATAATGTTGTTAGTGACCTCTTAACATTTAATATATGTAATAATAATTAGAACTCATTTCAGTTGCAAGAAAAACAAATCAACTTGAATAAGTTAAATTTTTAAAAAATGGGGTGTTGTCTATTTATTTTAAGGAAAAGGAGTATTTCACATAACACACACAAATATGCAACTATACCTCAGCTAGGAATCATTCTGTGTCTCCTCTCTGCTTCTGTTGGCTTATCTCTTCATTTTTCTTTCTGTCTCTCCACAGAGGGCTTTCTCTGTCTCAGTTCATATGATAGAATATAGCTCTCTGACAAGTCCCAAGTCTACAAGTTGTAGGGAAAGACACTCCTCCAAACTTGTAATCTCTTAGGCCAGATTTTAACCCCTGGTGACAGAGGCCCTAACGGGCTTAAGCTGCATTAGTTAGTCATCCCTTGTTTAATGAACTATGTCTGGCAGGATAAAATTAATTAGGATTCACACAGATGCTCAGGTAAACAATGATGGCGTAATTGAGAGCTGGGCAACTAGTATTATAGGAATCTGTGACACCAGGACCAGTAGATTTAAATTCACCTTAGAAACTTTAGAAGAAAATATACAGGCATGATAAAGGATAATTATCTAGGAAAATGGGGTAAGACAGGCAAAATAATTATCATTTAGTGAAATAAAAACTCTCCATAGTCTTGAATCAAACATGATGGTCCATTTCCTATTCCTGTGGCCCAAAACCTTGCAAGATCAAAATTCTAAGAATGCTTTGACATTCTCCAGTGTTTTAGACTACACTGGGACTCTCTCATTATCATGTGTTAGTGTGTTGAAGACTGTCAACACAACATGGCACGGTGTGTACTTAATCTCAGTCTTGGCCTAGGCTGAACTGATGGAATGGATAGATACTCTACGTAAGCAGGGAAGACAGTGGAAGAAGTAGGTAAGGAAGAACAAAGAAGAGCACATTGTTCTAAAATGAATAAGAAAAAATGTACGACCTGATTAGGCTTAAAAGACGGGAATAATAAATGAAAACTGACCAGACTGAATGTCTGCTATATGCCAAGGAAGGAGTTTTACTCACATATTCTCCAGTGCTCACCCAACACCAAATGTTCCTCACCTCTTGGATAGTGTGTCACATATATAAAGCATGTGGTGTCTTATACCACAGAAATATGGAGATTAATTTTCTGAATTTTATTTATGTCTGACTGATAAAAATACTGGCTCACATAATCATGTAGCCTTTTGTTTTTCCTCTTGCCCTTTTTCAAAGAGCTTATGATTTTGTAAACTAGACACTAAAAGTGGTTTGTTTTGTTTTTTGACCTTCTCATCTGCCGATCCGGATAACCATCACTCTGTCACAGAGAAGTTGTAGGATAGTAAATGAAGCAATACAGCACATGACTGGCATGTGGTATTTGATAAATAAATGTTTATTCATTCACCAACTCACTAGGCTTCAGAAACAGTCAAAACAAAAGTTGTGGGAGTTCAGGTGACTGGCTTTAACTAGTTCACGGCTAAAGCTGGGAAATAAACCGGAAATGAGGATGGGAGGATTAAATAGAGTTGGGTCAGATTGCAGAGTCCTGAATGACTGTTTTAAGGAGTTCAAACTTTTTCTGCAGGCTTTGAGAATCCATTGTGTTCTGTCTCCTATTCAAGTTATTAATACCAATAGCTCACAGCAGCTGTGCATTCACGGAGATAAGTTTTACAAGAAACAGATGAAGGGCTTTTTTAGTGCTGATATCAGATGGATTAGAACGTGATTAATCAACAGACAGACTGATTAAATTATTGGGTTCACTGTTCAGATAAGAGGTTTTGGATACACTCTGCCAAACGGTAATTAACTTAGAAATTTCTGCTGGCCTGCTTATAAGATGATCATGTGATATGCTTTGAAGAAATCTTTTAAGGCCCAGAATAGCAGCTGTGAAGGTGTAAGCATGAGTCAGTTTTAACAATTATTAATTATCTTCAAGTATTAGAGCAGAATTTTCATTGGAAGTGATAAATATTTTTTAAAATCTTTACTTTTAAGAAAACTTGTGTAAATCTCTGGCTCTACTCTACAGTCGACTGCAAATGAAATGACTACTATTTAAAGGAGTATCTAAAAGAGTCAAGAGAGGAGTTTTCCATTTCTACAACATGGTTAACAAGATATTGAAAGGAATCCCTTGCAATATAACACATATAAACCTACTGGACAGGATATGATTTTTTCTAAAAGATGCATAGCTGTACTGGTATCAAAATAAGGAAATTTCTGAGAGATCAGAAATAAGCACGAAGCAGAGATTCACAAGGGCAAACTAACTATTGGGTGGTGTTTACCCTCAAGGTTTTCGCCCATCCCTGGTGGCCTATAAACTGAGTTACAAACATCTGAGACAGCAGACAAAGTCTGGGACTGAGCACGTTGTTAGGTAGAGTAGAAATCGCCACATAAATATAGGACCAAGAAAGAGTGATGCTCTCACTAGAAAATAACTAGAGAGCAATGGCGGGTCATGCGTCAGTTTCAGCTTTAGCAATCAAGGAGGTAAGTCTCTTCTAAGAATCTTAACCTGTGTGAGCCCCAAAATTTAAACTGCGAGGTTAAAAATTTGGTTTAAAAGTGGTTCCTAGTCATGGTGTCCTTAGATAACTAGTAAAAGCAATCTCAGACCCTCTCTGAAAGAATTTACTTTACCTCAAATATTTATAAATTCCCATAAATACATTTTCAAGGAATGTGAGCCCACAAGAGAAGAAAATCACTAATGACATGAGAAAAAAGATATCATAGGTGGGAGCCAGTGCAAAGAAAAAGCTACAAAATCAGATCTACCAAAAAATGTATATAATGGGATTATCAGATGTAAAATATAAAAAAATTAATATGCTTAAAAATACGAGAGACTTGAATGTATAAATAATGAGAAACTCAAAGTTTATCATGAAGATATAACATATGAGCAAATAGAATTTCTAGAAATAAAAAAAATAATATGGAAAATTAAAACCTAATGGTTTGGGGATGATATGATGATATATCTGGGCAAGTTACCTGAAAGCAAACAAATGTGATGCAAAACATGATCTAGAGGTTAAGAGACATGGAGAATAGCTTAACAAGGTAAAGGAAAAATCAAATTGCAGTTCACAAGAAGCAAATGGAGAGAACTAGGAGAGGCACCATTTCCAAAGATATTGTCAGGGGTTTAATAGAATTGATGAAGGACACCAATTCTTAGATTCCAGACAACAACAAACTGAGGAAAATACGTTTTTTAAAGAATTGATATCTAGATACATTGTAGTATACAAGAAAGGGAAGAATTAAAAAATAACCAGAGGAAAAAAAGACTACTCACAAAAATAAAAAGCAGATTGAGAGCTCACTTCTTGGCAGTACCAATGAAAGCCAGAAGAGATTAGAATATTTTATATGAATAAGAAATGTTAACTGAGAATTGCATACCTTGTAGACTTATAACTCAAGGATAAAGAAAAAATGAAGACATTTCCAACAAAAGGAATTGTGAGCAAATAGTATATGGTAGAGAAAATTAATGAACTAATGCTAATTCTGCAACTAGGATTGATGTGAAAAAACAAAATATTGAACAATAACAAGAAAAAAGCAAGCTGTGTAAAAATATAAAGGTGTGATTATGTTTATATGAGGCAAAAAAATAAACAAAACTAAATAGTACACTGTTTAGAAATACATTATGTGAAAAACATACGCAAAAGCAAGAAAATGATTATCATAAAATCTAAAATAGTCACCTTTCGAGGGAGGAGAAAGGAATATAATTGAGGAGGCACAAACAGAATCAAAGGTACAGGAATATCTTATGTTCTCTTCTTCTGTGAAATGAGAAAAAGGTATTCATTTTTACTATATCTTAAACTATATAATTTTTGTAGTATGCAATTTTTATAGTAAAAAATGAAAACAAACTTATTAAGCAGAAAAAAAGCAGGTGCAAATCTGAAGATAACAGTGTTTGATAACTCTAAGATTGTATGTTTTGCCTCAGTATTACTGCCTCTGTTGTCATATGGTTCTGAATGATGTTTTAGAAAGAATATTGATTCTAGTCATTCCACTAACAAAATGATGAGCTTGAGCTTGTATTACATGATCCTTTGGGATTACAGATCCCTTGGTGGATCCCTAATCTACCACTGATGAGGATTTCAGTCATTTATCTATACAACTACAAAACATACAACATGGGAACATTTCAGATTGGAGATACTGCTATCTGAAACCCTTGGCACAAATTTATGATTTAGAGGCATTGGGGCTCAAAAAAACGACACCCTGAAGTATGGTGCGTTGATATGCTGAGTACTTTGAACTAAAGGAATAGCCTCAGAACCAAGGTCTCTCTGGCCTTCTCCCAGCCCCCATCTCTTGTTCTTTCTTTCCTGAAGTGCAGGGAGAGGCCTTCTCAGAAGTTTCTTTTATCTGACTAAAGGAAATTCTTCCTGAAGAAATGTCATTGTCCTGAACTCCTTCCCTGGAATCTACATTAACCAGTCAAGATTAACTCCTTGCAAAAGAAGAGACACGGCCAGGCACGGTGGCTCATGCCTGTAATCCCAGCACTTTGGGAGACCAAGGTGGGCGGATCACCCGAGGTCGGGAGTTCAAGACCAGCCTGACCAACAGGGAGAAACCCTGTCTCTACTAAAGTACAAAATCAGCCAGGCATGGTGGCAGGCCCCTGTAATCCCAGCTACTCGGGAGGCTGAGGCAGGAGAATCACTTGAACCCGGGGGGTGGAGGTTGCAGTGAGCTAAGATCGCGCCATTGCACTCTAGCCTGGGCAACAAAAGTGAAACTCCATCTGAAAAAAAAAAAAAAAGAAAGAAGCGATCACACTTACACTTTTCACCTATTCTTAAGGCTACTACCTGGGACACTTTATCTGCATATAAGGCAACCTTTGTTTTCAGTTCAGTTCCTTCTTTCACCCTTCTATTGCTTGTGCTGCCACCTCCCCTCAGAAGCCCCAATCCCCTACTTCATTCTGTAGCTCAAAATATTATTTATGCTTCCACAATTTGGCACTCCTTAGAGTCTCATATTTTGTGGGACTTCCGTATATATGAAGTTGATAAATTTGTATGCCCTTTCTCCTGTTAAATCTGTCTACTTTCAACTTTATTCTAGAGATTCCAATCATAAAAACTTTGGAAAACAGAGGGAAAGCATAAAACTTCCCTATAGAGGTAATTTCAAACTCATATTAAAGTCATTTCGGGCAACACACACCTCTGTTTTGGCTACCTTAGGGAACCTTCCTCACCAATATCCTACTGACTAAAATGGAAAGAAAAAAATGAGGAGGATAAAAAGTTTGTTTCTGCCAAGAATCTATGAAACTATTCAGCTAATGAAAAATCATTTATTTGAGCATACATACAAAGTCAAACTACCCTAAATATAAGATAAGCAGCTATGCGATATAATAATTAAAATAATAAAATTTGAAGTCTGTTTTCTCATCATTCTACTCAATAGCATTCTTTCATATATTAGGCCATAAAGATGCTTGTATTATAATTACAAAACACCATTAAAAAATGTATTATGTCCTACAGCACTTAGCCTTAACAAACAATTACTGGATCTCACATTCAACTGAATACAAAAAGCAATCTTTATCACAAGGTTAAAATTAGCCTTGGAACAATAAATGCTTTCAAAGCTATTCTAAACTCCAAACTGCTTTGCACCAGTCTGTTTTGAGGAACTGAAAACAAGTAAACTGAAGGACATTTGAAAAACTTCCTGTCTGTGTCCTCTCAATTTTTTTTTTGTTTGTTTCATAGGAGACAATCATGTTATACCTGAAAGGTGATCCATATGGCCCTCACAGGGTAAGGTTTCAGAAGTTAAAATCAAAACCAAACAAAAATAATTAACCAAGTAAACAAAGAAACCCTGAGAATTCTAGATTTCACAATGTGTTATTCATAATAGCACTCTAATTATCAGCACTACTTTTCAGCCATTACTACAGAAAAAAATGAATAAATTTGATTCACGGAGGAGGGACCTGAAAGCAAATGGATTTGTTAGTTAGTTCAAACCCAGAATTCTGAGATAATACACTTCTCAGTTCATCCTTCAGAAGACAATATGATATGTAGAATTTCATCATTTAAATTACTTAACAAATTAATCAGAGTAGCTTCTCCTTCTGTAAAAGGTGTTGTAAACTAAAAATAAAATTCTAAGCCCCCCAATCATATGAATAGGCCCCCTCCTCTCAGTCAAGGGCATTGCAAAGTTAACCTGAAAAACTAGTTCAGACCATGATGGGAAGGTGGGGCTGGACATGCCTCATTCTACCCTCCTCCTTTTGAAATTCAGGCATAACTGTAGGTATTAACATTAAAACAGAGATCTTAAGACTGATGAAACAAACTTTTTGTGCAATAAGACACCAAATTCCAGCCTCACTCTAGTACAGCATCACATAACAGGCTCTGAAAGGAATTGAAGTATTTTACCCTAAACTATATTTCTTTAACATATTTTGAAATGGTCCTGCAAAGTTGTCTCTTGTGGGGAAAATCTACTTTCTGTAGAGAATCCCCTTCCTTTTCCAGGTCTTTTCCCTGATCTAGGAGAGAATTAACTAAGAGTCTGGCATATTTTTAAGTCTGACAAGGAACATTTACAATCTATTCTCTCTGTAGCCTGCTACCTGGAGGCTTCATCTGCATAATAAGAATCTTGGTCTCCATAATCCCTTATCTTAACCCAGAAACTCCCTTCTATTGATTCCAAGTCTTCAGATAAACTCTTTCAACCAACTTCCAATTGGAAAATCTCTGAATCTATGACTTGGAACCCTCCCCTGCTTCAAGTTGTCCTGCCTTTCTGGACCAAACCAATGTATATCTTGCATGTAATGATTGATGTCTTATGTCTCCCTAAAATGTGTTGATATAATTTGGCTGTGTCTTCACCCAAATCTCATCTTGAATTCTCGAATGTTGAGGGAGGGACCCGGTGGGAGATAACAGAATCATGGGGCAAGTCTTTCCTGTGATGTTCTCATGATAGTGAATAAGTCTCAAGAGATCTGATGGTTTTATAAAGAGGAGTTTCCCTGCACTCTCTCTTTGCCTGCTGCCATCCATGTAAGATGTGACTTTGTCCTCCTTGCCTTCTGCCATGATTGTGAGGCCTCTCTAGCCATGTGAAACTGTAAGTACATTAAACCTCATTATTTTGTAAATTGCCCAGTCTTGGGTGTGTATTTATTAGCAGCATGTAATGGACTAATACAGTAAATTGGTACCAGTAGAGTGGGGTGCTGCTGAAAAGACACCTAAAAATGTGGAAGTGACTATGAAACTGGATAGCAGGCAGAGGCTGGAACAGTTTGGAGAGCTCAGAAAAAGGAAAATGTAGGAAAGTTTGGAACTCCCTAGTGACTTGTTGAATAGCTTTGACAAAAATGCTGATAATGATAAGGGCAATGAAATTCAGGCTGAGATGGTCTCAGATGGAGATGAGGAACTTGTTGGGAACTACAGGAAAGGTGACTTTTGTTGTTTTAGCAAAGAGACTGGCAGCATTTTGCCCCTGCCCTAGAGATCTGTGGAACTCTGAACTTGAGAGAGATGATTTAGGGTATCTGGCAGAAGAAAGTTCTAAGCAGCAAAGCATTCAAGAGGTGACTTGGGTGGTGTTAAAGGCACTCAGTTTTAAAAGAAAAACAGAGCATAAAAGCTTAGAAAATTTTCAACCTAGCTGGGCATGGTGGCTCATGCCTGTAACACCAGCACTTTGGGAGGCTGTGGTGGGCAGATCACTTGAGGTCAGGAGTTCAAGACCAGCCTGGTCAACATGGTGACACCCTGTCTCTACTAAAAATACAAAAAATAGCTGGATGTAGTGGTAGGTGCCTGTAATCACAGCTACTCAGGAGGCTGAGGCAGGAGAATCACTTGAACCTGGGAGGCGGAGGTTGCAGTGAGCTGAGATTGCACCACTGCACTCCAGCCTGGGCAACAGAGCAAGACTCTGTCTCAAAATAAAATAAAATAAAATAAAATAAAATAAAATAAAATAAAATAAAGAAAAGAAAATTTTCAACCTGGCAATGAGATAAAAAAGAAAATCCCGTTTTCTGAGGAGAAATTCAAGCTGACTGCAGAAATTTGCATAAGTAACGAGGAGCCAAATGCTAATCCCAAAGACAACTGAAAAAATGCCTCCAGGGCATGTCAGAGACCTATGTGGCAGCCTCTCCTATCACAGGCTCAGAGGTTTAGGAGGAAAAAATGGTTTCATGGGCCAGGTCCAGGGTCCCTCTGCTGTGTGCAGTCTAGGGACTTGGTGTCGTGTCCTGTGCCCCAGCAACCCCAGCCATGACTAAAATGGGCCAAGGAACAGCTCAGGCTGTTGCTTCAGAGCGTGGAAGCCTCAGGCCTTGGCAGCTTCCACATAATGTTGAGCCTGCAGGTGCACAGAAATCAAAAATCGAGGTTTGGGAAACTTTGCCTAGATTTCAGAGGATGTATGGAAATGCTTGGATGCCCAGGGCAGCAAAAGTTTGCTGCAGGGACGGGACCCTCATGGAGAACCTCTACTAGGGCAGTGCAGAAGGGAAATGTGACATCAGTGCCCTAGAGTCCCTACTAGGGCACTGCCTAGTGGAGCTGTGAGAAGAGGGCCACCATCCTCCAGACCCCAGAATGGTAGATCCTCCGACAGCTTGCACCATGCACCTGGAAAAGCTGCAGACACTCAACACCAGACCATGAACACAGCCAGGAGGAGGGCTATACCCTGCAAAGCCACAGGATGGAGCTGGTGAAGGCCATGAAAGCCCACCTCTTGCATCAGCATGACCTGGATGTCGGACATGCAGTCAAAGGAGATCATTTTGGAACTTTTTAAGATTTGACTGCCCTGCTGGATTTCAGACTTGCTTGGAGTCTGTAGTCCCTTTGTTTTGGTCAATTTCTTCCATTTGGAATGGCTGTATTTACCCAGTGTCTCTACCCTCATTTTATCTAGGAAGTAACTAACTTTCTTTTGATTTTACAGCCTCATAGGTGGAAGTAACTTGCCTTGTATTGGATGAGACTTTGGACTGTGGAAGTTTGAGTTAATGCTGAAATGAGTTAAGATTCTGGGGGACTGTTGGGAAGGTATGATTGGTTTTGAAATGTGAGGACATGAAATTTGGGAGGGGCAAGGGCTGGAATGATATGGTTTGGCTGTGTCTCCACCCAAATCTCATCTTGAATTCCCATGTGTTGTGGGAGGGACCCTGTGGGAGGTAAATGAATCACGGGGGTAAGTCTTTCCTGTGGTGTTCTCATGACAGTGAATAAATCTCATGAGATCTGATGGTTTTATAAAAGGAGTTTTTCTGCACAAGCTCTCTCTTTCTTTGCCTGCTGTCATCCACGTAAGTAAGACGTGACTTGCTCCTCCTTGCCTTCTGCTATGATTGTGAAGCCTCCCCAGATATATGGAATTGTAAGTCCATTAAACTTCTTTCTTTTGTAAATGGCCTAGTCCCGGGTATGTCTTTATTAGCAGCATAAAAATGGACTAATACATGTGTAAAACCAAGCTGTAGCTCGATTATCTTGGGCACAAGTCGTCAAGCCCTACTGAGGCTGTGTCATGGGCAGGCTCTTAACCTCACCAAAATAAACTTCTAAATTCATTGAGCTCAGGAGTTCAAGACCAGCCTGGACAATGTGGGGAAACCTTGTCTCTACAAAAATTAGCTGAGCATGGTGATACATGCCTGCAGTCCCAGCTACTTGGGCGGCTGAGGTGGCAGGATGGCTTGAGCCTGGGAGGAAGAGGCCGCAGTAAGCTATGATTGCACCACTGCACTCCAGCCTGGATGACATGGAGAGACCCTGTTTTTAAATAAATACATAAATTGATTGAGACATGTCTCACATACACTCTGGTTTACAGTGTAATCAAAATTATAACAAAAAAAGTTGGCAAATAGAAAATCTGGATATATACGCAAAATATTCTTATTTGTTGACCTAAAAATAAATTGATTCCTGCAGAAGGTTCTACAATCAAAATCTTCCTATCACTTTGGTTAAAATACTGATTGAGACCCTATCACTAGCTTGCTGAAGTAGCTTTGCAAATCATTAGATGGTTATAAGGAACATCATCATGGTGGCAGTTTTCTTTTCGGCTGTAATCACAGTCTGACTTCACGTGTATATTCAAAATTAATTAAGTAGCAACAGTAACAACGACAACAAATACATTTTAAGTAACAATCGAGTCAGTCACTTAGATGCCTGTCTCGGTGTCAAGATTGATAAAAGCATCTCCAAATGATAGCTGATATTTTTATAGTGCTCTATAATTATCATTTGTGCTTTTAAACATGCAATAAAATTTAACATTCTGAAACATCCTATGAAATGAGAGAACCTTTTTCAAAAATGTTCTTTGAAATATTTGGGGCTAAATGGGAAGTTATGTGACCACGCTATTTTGGGGAAACACCAAAGAGACCTCCTTCTGGTGATTCACAAGGCATCTAAGCATATTAAAGGCCACCAGGCATCCAGTACTAAACCTACCTGCCTAATTTTCTATAATCCATTATCTTTCAAACCTTTTGGATTCTAAAAGTTTTTCATATATTACCCATAAATATACCAAAGAACTCTAACATTTTACAGAAAACAGGTTATTGAGATAGAGAAAGAACCCCCTTTAGGGGCCTGCAGTGGGGGGTGGAGGGTGGGAGCCCAAGCATGGAAATAAAGGAAAAACTTGAGATCCTACAAGAAAAATTCCAGGCACCTAGCTAGCCTTGAGAAGTAAATAAGCAAATTGATAAGCAAGAAGGTAACAGTAGCTTAAAACAATAGCCAAGGAAGCTATAATCACAGGATGTTTCGTTCTCTCATAGAAACTAACGATAAAATATGTCTCTAAGTTGTTTTTCGGAAATCTGTACCTCCACCGAATGGATCTGCCTGCAAGCAGGCCTCAGATAAGGGAGAACTAAGGGCTGAACTTTGACCAAAGTTCTTTGTTCTGCATTTCTTTCTGAGGTACCTAGAGAAAGTCAAACCCAAGAGCCAGAGCTAACATTCTTTTTGCTCACCACAAATTTCAAAACAAAGCTTCTCTTCCTTAACTGATTGCAAATCAGAAAACATCTGAATCTACCTATGAACTGTAAGCCCCCTGCTTCATGATATCCTGCCCTTTTAGGCCAAAACCAATGTGAAACCTCCATGTATTGATTTACAATTTTGCCTGTAACTTCTGCTTTCCTGAAATTTACCCCTGCTTTAAAAAATCCTCATCTGTAAGCCATCAGGGAGGTCAGGATTTAAATGTGAGTTGCCTGATCTTCTTTGCTTGGTGCCCTGCAATAAATGCTTCACTCTCTCTCGCTGCTATCAGGTTGTCAGTGTTTGTCCTTGCTGAGCCAGGTGAGCAGGCTTCTGATGTATTTACGTAGGTCAATGGTCTCTAAAATTATTTGATCATGTACTCCATCAACAAAGCAAACTTTTGACCTGCATCTCCAATAGAACATTTAGAAAAATAGAAATCAGAATAAAAGAGACAAATAATATAAATATTTTCAAACTTTCTTGCCATATCCCAATGCTTTAGGGATATCTGAACCCACAATGGGCACTGAACAAGATTTTTCTGGAGTGCAAAAGAAGGGAACAGATCTAGAAAAGAAGCTATTTAGTTTGGTGCAACCTCATAAAAATCTGCCCTGACAAGAGAAGACTGTCCAGAGCAGGGGTTGACAAACTCCTATGGTAAAGAGTCAGATGATAAATATTTTAGAGTTTACAGGCACTATAATCTCTGTCACAACTATTCAGCTCTGCTATTGTCACAGGAAGGTAGTCATAGACAACATTACTGAGTGAGTGTGTCTATGTTCCAATAAAAAATTATTTATGGACACTAAAATTTGACTTCCATATGTATATATGTATTAATCAGTTGTTGCTTTCTTACTGCTACTTACATTAATTTCATACTATTTTCAAATGTAACAAATCTTCTAATTTATTTCCAGCCATTTATACTATGGTCTGAATGTTTTTGTCCCTTCAAAATTCATATTTTAAAATTTAATTATCAATGTGATAGTTTTAGAAGGTGGGCATTTTAGAGGTAATTAGGTCATGAGGGTGGGGTCCTCATGGATCAGATTAGTGCCCTTATAGAAGAGACCCCTAGAGAGACCCCTTGTCCTTTCCATCATGTGAGGACACAGGTAGAGGGCATCATCTATGTTAACAGAAAGTGTGCCTTCACCAGACACCAAATTTGCCAGTGCGTTAAACTTAGACTTCTCAACCTCCAGAACTGTGAGAAACAAATCTGTTGTTTAGAATCTAACCCATCTATGACATTTTGTTATAGCAGCCCAAATGGACTAAGGCAATTTACAAATGTAAAAATCATTCTTAACTCATAGGCAGTACAGAAACAGGTGGGAGGCTGGATTTGACCCACGGGGCTATCATTTGCAGACTCCTTGTCCTAAGAATGAAGGAGTAGATTAAAGAGGAAGACCAAAGATGACTACAGAGGGTGAGCTGAAACACCGTTTTGATTTTCCTGCTAAGTTTTAAGGATGAAGGATGAATGATTCAGTTTCTTAAGGTTAGGAGGGCATAAGTCTTGAATTTATTTATAATAAGTAGCAGTAAGAAATCAGCAGCTAGCCAATGCATAATAATGGATTCCAAAAAAATTAGTTTCCTTGAAAGAGTTCAAAACATTATTTAAAACATGATTGCACTTTTGACAAGTTTTTAGGAAACTCCAAAATTATCAGAGCTGGCTCTGTGATCCTAATGGCCCTCTGTAGATAGTCACCACTAATGTTTATCAGCAGGAATTATTTCTGCAAAAATGGTATGAAAGGAACAGCCATTTAATATATCCAGCTCATTAGGAACAAATATAGTCCTAATATCTGTAATGTTTGATAGCACTAGATATAATTATTTTCAAATTTAGGTGAGGGTTACACAAACATCATAGGTCTCCAGAAGCCTTTTATCTGATAAATCTAAGTGCAATAAAACCTCATGGCTCTGATAACCAAAGGCTAAAGAATGAGTGATTTATATACACTGCAGCCTTCCAGAATTCCAACTTGTTAGCTAAAATAGCTCTAAGGGAAGCTAAAATTGCAAAAAAAAAAAAAAAAAAAAAAAAAAAAAAAGACAAATAAATAAAATGCCAGTATTTCCTCAGAAACCTTTTTGGTTGTAGTTGATTTTTTAAAAAACAGTTCTAATATTACTGAATTTTCTGGTAGTGAAAATAGAACAATAGGTATAAGCATCACTGTTTCATATTAGCTATACAGAAGAGTATGTTGAAATTCATTCATTAGCATATTGATAAGTTTCTGCTTCTCTGATAAAATTAAACTATACTAAAGGTTCACAACTTAGAATGTAGATACTAACCATAACACCATATTATGATCTTATAATTGGGTTACGATGTCTTGGATCAATTTTGTAATGGAAGTAATTTCAAAGTAATCTTATTTTTTTAAATTGCTACAAATCTAATATACAGAGAAATGTGAAAGATTCCAGGTATCTGAACAACTGGAAGCAAAGTATCTGATTGTTTACTTAGATAACATGGAGGATACAGGCTAGAGAAAAATACTTAAATGATTGTGTATTCACATGGAAAAGTGTTCCTAATATATAAAAGCCCTCAGCCAGGTCATTTTCATCGTTCTTGCAAATAACAAATGGATAGCTAAATAGACTTGAATATAGACATAAGCAGATCATATTTGCTAAATGTGTTGATGTTATTGAGAGGAATTAGGAGGTGCTCCAATGGACTGAGGGACCAGATTAAGAGATACAGGTATATATTGATTCTCATAAACTTCATACATTCCCCCTGCATTTTTCGAATCATTTTTTTGATATGATGGGGCAGTATGGTGTATTGTTTAAAAGAGAATGAAGTCAAATTAGCTGTTTCACATACTGATTCTTTTATTTTACTATCTGTGCCACCCAGACAAGTAAACAGCCTCTTTCTATTTCACTTTCCTCATTAGTAAAATGAAGATAGTCAGAGATAACATCTCAAAAATTAATTGACACAGCCATTAAATAAGGTAAAATAAAAAAGTGTATTTAGTTTGGATAAGGTAAAATAAAGGATGTTTAAAGTGCTTAAAATAATGTGTGGCACAATACAAATGATTATTATGATTTCGTGGTCTTCCATGAATTAACATTTTTACCCTCTCTATGGAAGTAATATGTGCAATATAATACTGATGTATACTTTATCTTTGGTGAATGGATGCTGGGTGTTTCAGAGGTTGTATATAGCTGTAAGCAGTATAACTGCACGAGGATACTGGGAGAACTTTGATCTTTAGGAGGGCTTCCAAATGCTAACTTGCTGAAGCTGCCCATGTTAGTGATACAGTTAGACCTACAAAAGAATTATAAGATTTCTGAACTAGGGCCAGGCACAGTGGCTCATGCCTATAATCCCAACACTTTGGGAGGCCAAGACAGGCAGATCACCTGAGGTCAGGAGTTCGAGACCAGCTTGGCCAACATAGCGAAACCCCATCAAGTACAAAAATTAGCAGGGCGTGGTGGTGGGAACCTGTAATCCCAGCTACTCAGGGGGCTGAGGCAGGAGAATAGCTTGAACCCAGGAGGCGGAGATTGTAGTGAGCTGAGATCGCATCACTGCACTCCAGCCTGGGCAACAAGAGCAAGACTTCATCTCAAAAAAAAAAAGGTTTCTGAATTAGTTATCCACACTGCTTGATCTGGTAATGGGAAAGGATTTGAGCTGGAGATTGTGAGTGCAGAATGCAGAACAACAATGCAGAACAGGTCTAGGCCATACATCTTTTCTGAAAACGTAATGTAAGAACAGAGCCTTATATGCCTACTTCACTGATGCCATTATGTATAATGAGATCAAACAAGTTTCCCTCTAAGTTTCATATTTCATTGTCTTTAACTTCAATATGTTTTAAAGGGGTCAATAGGGAAATTATAAAAACAAAGATGGGGGTCCCAGGACAGGGAATAAAAAAAACCCGAAAAACAAAAACAAAGAGTCCGGGAAGGAGACCAAATATCTTGGATACAGAATCAAGATCCAAAAAGATGTTGTGATGGACCAGAGCAATGGACTTACTTTAACAAATTAACATGTAACTTGGGGTCTAAAACTGCAACCACACAACTACAAGATAGAGACAGTAGAGTTTATCAGCTGAAAACATTAATAAAACACCATGGAGCTTATATTTCAATATAGTCAAGACAGAAATGAGTATTTTCACAGTAAATTAGTATGGGATGTGATCGTCCCACTTTCCTTTTTTTTTTTTTTGAGACAGTTTTGCTCTGTCGCCCAGGCTGGAGAGCAGTGGCACAATCTTGGCTCACTGTAACCTCAGCCTGCCGGGTCCAAGCGATTCTCCTGCCACAGCCTCCCGAGGTAGCTGGGATTACAGGCGCCCACCACCATGCCCAGCTAATTTTTGTATTTTTAGTAGGGACTGGGTTTCACCATGTTGGCCACCCTGGTCTCAAACTCCTGGGCTCAGGTGATCTGCACATCTCGGCCTCCCAAAGTGCTGGGATTACAGGCGTGAGCCACCACGCCCATCCCGTCCCCCTCTTTTTCAGAGATGTTTGAAGTAGTGCCTTCAGTTTTTGGCAAACTAGAAAACTTTAAGTGGAAAATGTAAAAAAAGAGACAGGTTTAGAGACTTAAAGACAGGTCATATGAGAAACAGTTAAAAGAAACAAGCATATTTAGCTTGGATAAGGAAAAGAGTCATACAAAAAATCTATTTTTACTTATCTGAAGAACAGTCATAGAGAGGGAGTTTAAATTTTTCTGAATCACCTTAAGATGGGATAATGTGCACAATAATTAGAAACTACTCGAAAGCATTTCAATTGTACTTTCAAACATCCAAAGCTATTTAAAGAGGCAATTGCCAGTCTCTGAAGAGTTCCTCTTAACTAAAGGGTTTGAGGATAGTGTAGTAGACACCTACTGGATTAACTACCCAGCACTCCTTTTCTGAGAATTGCCTGTTCTCTCCTTCACCCACCTGGTTGCAGCCTCTGTCACACCTTCATCTCCCCTATGCACATCACTTTTGATAGGTTCAGAGGCAACAACCTGAGAAAGAGTCCATACATGGTTCCAATTTTTAGTACACTTTCTTCCTTAGGCAAGTTGCTTTACTGTTATTTGGATGTGAGGGACACCTCCGTATATTTTTCACTTGGATTTCAGTTGTGCAACCAAAACAAAACTTATATACATATTAGCCAGGGCACTAATTGACAGCAAATTGGGGAATACAGTAAGCAGATGATGGCCAGTAAGCCTGTAAGTTCACTTCCAACTGATACTTTGTATTTGTGTGACTACTCACTTTTAGTAAACATCTATCTTTAAGGACAAGCTTTGGGAATTTGATTATAAAACCATAACCTTTTCTCAAATTATATTAACCTAAATAGCCATAATGAGAGAAAAATATAGGATAAAATGTTCCCCTAATTATTTACTGAATTTTTAATTGATTTTCCAGCTTTATTGAGGAATAACTGGCAAAACTTGTATATATTTAAGATATGCAATGTGATGACTTCATATATCAAACATTGTGAAATGATTACTATAATCAACCTAACTGACACAGCCATCACCTCACATAGTTGCCTTTGTTTTTTTGTGGTGAGAATATTTATGATCTACTCCTTTTACAAATTTCAAAAATACAATATATGCCATTATAGTCACCATCCTGTATATTAGATCCCCAGAACATATTCATCTTAAAATTGTAAGTGTGTACCCTTTAATCAACATCTTCCAATTTCCAACCTGCTTCCCAAAATCTCCTGGCAACTACCATCTTACTCTCTGCTTCTACAAGTTCAATTCTTTTAAATTCCACAAAGAAGTCAGATCATACAATACAGTAGTACTTGTCTTTCTATGTCTGGCTTATTTCACTTAGCATAATGTCTTCTAGGTTCATCCATGTTGCCCCAAATGTCAGGATTTCCTTCTTTTATGGCAGAATAATATTCCATGTGTAGGCATACATACCACATTTTCTTTTTTTATTCATTCATCAATGGACACTTAGGTTGTTTTTCTATATTGGCTATTGTGAATAATACTGCAGTCAACATGGGAGTGCAGGTATCTCTTTAAAAATGGTCAAATGACTCGAATAGAGATTCTTCCAAAGAAGATTCACAAAGAGCCAAAAAGTATATGAAGAGGTGCTCAATAGTTCCAATCACCAGGGGAATGCAATCAAAGTCACAATGAGCTATCACCCCACACCAATTTGGATGGCTAGTATCAAAAAGTCAAGGGACAACAAGTATTGGTGAAGGTGTGGAGAAAAGGGAATCCTCATACACTATTGGCAGTAATATAAACTGGTATAGCTATTATTGAAAACAGTATGTGCCAGGCACAGTGGCTCACACTTGTAATCCCAACAATTTGAGAGGCCAGGGTGGGCGGATTGCTTGAGCCCAGTAGTTTGAGACCAGCCTGGGCAACATGGCAAAACCCCATCTCTACAAAAAACATAGAAAAAAACTTAGCTGGGCATGGTGGAATATGCCTGTAGTCCCAGCTACTTGGGAGGCTGAGGTGGGAGGATCACTTGAGCCCAGGAAGTTGAGGCTTCAGCGAGCCATGATCATGCCACTCACTGCACTCCTGCCTGGGCAACAGAGTGAGAAACTGTCTTTAAAAAAAAAAAAAAAAGGAAAGAAAATGAAAAAGAAAACACAGTATAAAAGTTTCTCAAAAAATTAAAAATAGGTTACCGTATGATCCAGCAATTTTATTTCTGGGTGTATATCAAAAGAGAATGAAATCATTTACTGAATTTAAAAAAGAAGTTAAATACTTATGCAAGGTAATCAAAATGACACAAAGTCTACAATAAAATATTCTAACGATGAACAATGTTGTTTACCAGAAATGCAATTAATTTGTATTCTAAATGTAAATATAAATATTAACACAATGAAATGTAAATGCCAATATAGCCCATTATACATACTCTGAGTGTCTAACTAAACATATGAAAACATACCAAAGATATATTTACAATTAGATACAGATCAGGTGTTCTGTCAGACATATTTCACATTTAAAATTTCTGGGGAATGTCTTTAATAATGTTTAAATATTTAAAATCCTTTGAAAAGAGAGTTTAGGTATTAAATCAACTTAATACAGACTTACAGATTAATATTACTCCTAGTAATTATATATTAGATGTTCTGAATATACTTATTAATAATTCATTTAATAACAACTTAAGGTTCAGTTTTTCTGTCACAGTTTAAGATTAATAAAGAAACAAAAAATAAATGATAAACACAGAAGCTATGTGTTATTTCTATTTAAGAACAAACTTGTGGTGGCATATAATGTAGAAAATGCATGTAGATATTTAATTTTGGCATTTTGAATATTCTTCCCAATTTTATTTAATCTGAATGAGATATATGTTATAATTATAGCAAATGTTTGATCTAACTTTTATATAGAATTCTATAATTAATAAAATGCAATTCAGACATAAACTCCTATCATTGACTTTTGGAATTATGAAAAAATAATTCCAACTTTTATCTATAAAAATTATATCTTATATCTATGAAAGTTGCTAGAAAAGTTAAGAAAATGTAAAAAGAAGAACACAGGTCAATAATATATGAGAAAATGTAATAAAGGTTAATAATATGTATTAGCACACGTAATAAAAATCAGTAATTTAAACAGTATGGTTATGTTACAAGAAGAAACTGTAAGACCAATGGAGCAAAACAGCAGGGCAATGATTGCGGCATCATTTTTGTGGGCATTCATTCATGTTTGAATCTGATATATAGTTAGGCTATAATATTAAATTAATGGGGAAATATGAGTTATTCATCAATTGACATAGGATAATTGATAATTTAGTGAAAAACAAAGTTAAATCATGATGATTTGCTATATACCAAAATAAACTCTAGATATATTAAAAACATATAGATAAAACAGAAGAAGTAGAAGAAAACATATGTTAACACATGCCTCAACTTTAAATGTTGGAAAACTTTTAAGTATAAAAACAGTGACAATAAATGAATAAATAAATGACTTAATAAATAAGTAAAGGAACAAATTAATGAGTAAAAGAAAAATAGACTAAATAAAAATTCAAAATAGAGCTAGCATGGATTAATGTTCTTGATATATTGGGAGAAAAGGATTAACGGCTGAGTTGTGGCCTTTCCTCTAGCCCTGGGGTAGCCAAATTTTATTTGTAAAGAGCCATTTAGCAAATACTTACTCTTTGTGGATCTGTCTGTCACATCTACTCTGCAACTGTAACATGAAATCTGCCATAGACAATATAAACCAATGGGTATGGCTATGTTCCAGTAAGGCTTTATTTTCAAAACTAGGCTGGTGGCCAAATTTGGCCTGTGCACCTTGGTTTGCTGACCCCTGCTCTAGCCTCAGAGATGTGAAAGACTTGACTTTTGGCCTAATCCTCCTTGGCCTAATCCTCCTTGCAACAATAACTCAAAAAGTTAATACCTGATCCAAGATAAATCAGAGTCCTGCTGAGGTTACACTCTACTCACTGGATACCTATACATTGTTGAGTTTGATTATTAAGTAATCTATAACTAAGGAGATACAGTTACATCAGAAAATTAAAGCTAGATTCCTAACCCTGAGGGGAGTCATGGGCTAGCAAGGTAACAAAGAGTAAATAGATCCCAGAGCCGATGGTTTCCCTAAACTGACAGACTACATCAATCAGTCCCTTTCCTAGTGACCATGGAAGTCTATGGTGCAGAATCATCTGGGGACACTGAAAGTGGTGCCAGAGCCACATCACTTTCACTTTATTAATACTGTACCTGCTGTAACAGATTCATCTCAGATCCTTTTTAAAGACAAATAAACTTGATGCTACATTTCTGGGTTGGACTATCAATCAAAATCCAAAAATAACTGCTGCTGGGAAGAGTAAAATATATGTGTGATTATAAAATGTGTTCAAAACCAATGAGAAAAAGATGACCCCTTTAGTAGAAAATGATAAAAAATATGAACAATTCACAAAGTATAAATTTATATGAAAAAACAAAGCAATGAAAAATGTTTTTACCTTGTTAGTAATCAGAGATAAAATGATCCAATTTTATACTTATCAAGTCAGAATTTAATGATAAAACTATGCACTGGTAGCAGCATAAAGAAATAAGAATCTTTGTGAACTGTTAGTAGAATTTACACTGGAAAACTTGAAAGTAATTAGGCAATAGGAAGTACCACAAAATGTACTTTTTGAACTACAATCCCAGTTCTAGGAATTTATTTCATAAATAAGTCATAGAACGTATAAAGATATGTGCACACAGATACCATGTTTAGCATTATCGCAACAAAAATACTAAAAAAAAAACAGCTTATATGTCAACTACAGGCACACCTAGGAGATGCTGCAGGTTCAGTTCCAGACCATCACAATCAAGTGAATATTGCAATAAAGTGAATCACACAATTATTTTTTGTTTCCCAGTGTATAAAATATATACACTATGCTGTATTAAGTGTGTAATAGCATTAGGTCTAAAAAATGTACATTCTTTAATTTAAACATTCTTTATTGCTAAAAACTGCTAATGATCATCTGAGCCTTCTGAGAGTCAAAACCTTTCTGCTGGTGGAAAGTCTGGCTTTGATGTTGCTGGCTGCTTACTGATCAGGATGGTGGTTGCTGAAGGTTAGGGTGCCTGGCAATTTCTGTAAACAAGACAACAATGAAATTTGCTGTATCACTTGGCTCTTTATTTCACAAAAGATTTCTGTGTAACATGCAATGCTATTTGGATAGCATTTTACCCACAGTAGAACTTCAGTCAATATTGGAGTCAACATTTCAACAATGTTCACAGCATCTTCACTAGGAGCTGATTCTATCTCAATAAACTACTTTCTTTGCTCATCCATAAGAAGCAATTCCTCATCCATCCATGTTTTATCATGAGATTGCAGGAATTAAGTCACATCTTTAGGCTTCACTTCTAATTCTAGTTATCTTGCTATTTCTAACATATCTTCAGTTACTCCCTCCACCAAAGTTTTGAACTTCACTTGAACTCAGTGAGAGATATGCAACTCTGCCTTTCCCTTGAATACTTAGAGGCTACTGTAGGGTTATTAATTGGCCTAATTTCAAAGTCATCAATGATTATTGGAATCAAATTCTTTGAAACTCCTGTTAATATGAAGATTCTGACCTCCTTCCATGACTGTTCTTCTTTTTTTTTTTTTTTTTTTTTTTTTTTAAGACGGAGTCTCGCTCTGTCGCCCAGGCCGGACTGCGGACTGCAGTGGCGCAATCTCGGCTCACTGCAAGCTCTGCTTCCCGGGTTCACGCCATTCTCCTGCCTCAGCCTCCCGAGTAGCTGGGACTACAGGCGCCCGCCACCGCGCCCGGCTAATTTTTTGTATTTTTAGTAGAGACGGGGTTTCACCTTGTTAGCCAGGATGGTCTCGATCTCCTGACCTCGTGATCCACCCGCCTCGGCCTCCCAAAGTGCTGGGATTCATGACTGTTCTTAATGAAACCTAGAATGGTAAATACTTCCCATTCACCACTAAATGTTTTCAACTGACTATGCTCAGATTCATTAGAGGTATCACTATAGCAGTTATAGCCTTAATGCATTTCTTAAATAATAAGACTTGAAAGTCAAAATTACTCCATGATCCATTGGGTGCAGAATGGATATGTGTTAGAAGACATCACCACATTAATCTCCTTGTACATCTCCTTCAGAGTTGAATAACCAGGTTGATTGTCAAGAAGGAGTCAGTAGGTCTCAACCTTAGGCTTAAAATGTTCAGTAAACCATGCTGTAAATAGATGTGCTGTCATCCAAACTTCATTCTTCCAGTTAAAGAGTACAGGTAGAGTAGATTTAGCGTAATTCTTTTCTTTCCTTTTCTTTTTTTTCTTTGAGATGGAGTCTTACTCTGTTGCCAGGCTGGAGTGCAGTGGCATGACCTTAGCTCACTGCAACCTCCACCTCCTGGGTTCAAGCAATTCTCCTGCCTCAGCCTCCCAAGTAGCTGGGACTATAGCCATGCATCACCATGCCCAGCTATTTTTTGTATTTTTAGTAGAGACGGGTTTTCACCATGTTGGCCAGGATGGTCTCGATCTCTTGACCTCGTGATGCACCTGCCTTGGCCTCCCAAAGTAATGAGATTACAGGCATGAGCCACCACGCTCAGCCAATTTAGCATAATTCTTAAGGGCCCTAGGACCTTCCAAATGGTACATGAGCATTGGCTTCAACTTAGAGTCATCAGCTGCAATTTGCCCATTACACGAGAGTTAGCATGTCTTTTGAAGTCATTCATTCACTCCTCTTGTTTAGCTGTAAAAGTCCTAGATGGCATCTTCTTCCAATATAAGGCTGTTTTGTCTACATCGAAAATCTGTTATCTAATGTAGTTACCTTCATCAGTTCTCTTAGCTGGATCGGGATAGCTCACTGCAGCTTCTACATCAGCACTTGCTGCTTCGCCTTGTAATTTTATGTTATGGAGATCTCTTCTTTCCTTAAATTTCATAAGCCAACTTCTGTTGGCTTCAAACTTCTCTTCTGCAGCTCCCTTACCTCTCAGCCTTTACAGAATTGGAGCACGTCAAGGCCTTGTTCCAGATCAGCCTTTGACTTAAGAGAGTGTTGTGCTGATTTGGTCTATCCAGACAACTAAAACTTTCCCTATAGCAGCAATCAGGCTGTTTTGATGTCTTATCATTTATGTGTTCAGAGGAGTGGCACTTTTAATTTCCTTCAAGAACATTTCCTTTGTATTAACAACTTGGCTAACTGTTTGGTGCAAGAGGCCTAGATTTCAGCCCATATCGGTTTTCGAAATGCCACCTCCACTAAGCTTAATCATTTCTAGCTTTTGATTTAAAGTGAGATGAGTTAGTCTTCCTCTCACTTGAACACTTAGAGAACACTGTTGTATTATTAATTGGTCTAATTTCTATGTTGTTATGTCTCAGGGAATAAGGAGGCCCTTGGAGAGGGAGACAGACAGAGGAACAGCCGGTTGGTAGAGCAACCAGAAGACACACAACACGTATTGGTTAAGTTTGCTGTCTTATATGGGCATGGTTTGTGGTGCTCCAAAGCAATTACAATAACATCAAAGATCATTGGTGTAACAGATGACCCTAACAGACATAATAGTACTAAAAAAGTTTGAAACATTGCAAGAATTATCAAAATGTGGCACAGAGACAGAAAGTGAGCACATGCTATTAAAAAGAATGACATCAACAGACTTGCTCGAAGAAAGGTTGCCACAAACCTTCAATTTGTAAAAGAAGAAAAAATACATGTGAAGTGCAACAAAGCAAAGCACAATGAAACAAGGTATGTTTGTGAGGTATGTTTGGAATAAGGTATTAGTCATATAAATTATGGTGAAACCAAATTCAACAGTTACTTTTCATTGCCTATCCAACATCCATTCCTATATTTGTTCTTACTAATGGGATCCTGATATTATTTAGGGGGCAATGTGTCCAATTTAAAACTTGCTTTAAATTCCCTTGCAGCTGGGAGAGACCATTTGACTTACATCTGGCTAGTGAGAAATAATCTGAGAATTTCTGGGAAACTTTTTTTCCCTAATATAGAACTTGTATCTTCCTGCTTTTCTTCTATTTCTTTCTGCCTGAAAAATATATTTCTCAGTAGCAGCATTAAATGCTAGAAAGCAAGGTGTAATGTGTTGAAACTTTTTAAGAAAAATAATTTTTTTTTACTCTAGAAATTTTAAATCTATAAGGATACTAAAAATATACCTACTATACATCCCTTTTGAACAATCTCTGGATGACTGGTTTTAGGAAAATAAAATATCAAACTGAGAAAAAAAAGAAATATGCCACATGGAGAGTGGCATAAAGTAATTTGAGTACTCAGAAATGAAGTACACTTCTGGAATACGAAAGACTTGTCTCCAGATGACCGATGGAAACTGACAGAATCTTTGGAATTATGTGTAAAAAACATATACACTCATAACAAATCAGGTAAAATATAGAAAAAACTAATGATAGTTATGTATAACAGGAAGTCAATAGAAAATGTTTAAATTGGAAAAAAGTGTAGTGTAGTCATACTCTTCGGAAGCATGAATTTACAAATCTAAACATAGTAATTGCAAGTATAGCTTAACAAGATCAAGGAAGAAGAATGTGAAAAGACGAGGCAGGGAATTGCTGAATTTCATCAAAATATTTTTGGCATTATTTAATGTTTAACCTTGTGTACATTTTACTTTTCTAGAAGTGAAGTTTTTAGTTTTAAAATATTATAAAAAGGCTGGGCACGGTGGCTCACGCCTGTAATCCCAGCACTTTGGGAGGCCGAGGCATGCAGATCACCTGAGGTCAGGAGTTCAAGACCAGCCTGGCCAACATGGTGAAACCCCGTCTCTACTAATAATACAAAATTAGCCGAGCATGGTGGCATGCACCTGTAATCCCAGCTGCTTGAGAAGCTGAGGTAGGAGAATTGCTTGAACCCAGGAGGCGGAGGTTGCAGTGAGCCGAGATCATGCCACTGCACTCCAGTCTGGGGCGACAAGAGTAAAACTCCATCTCAAAAAACAAAAAGAAAAAAAATTATAAAAAGCTGAAAGACAATGTAATATGAAAAACTGATTTGTTAAAGATTACTATCTTCTATGTATAAAAGTACTCCTTAAAATGATAAAGGCAAATAATTCAATAGAAATGTAGTCAAAGGATGTGCACAGTTTCATAGAAGAAGAAAGAAAAATGTAAGTAATGATTTGAGAGGACGCTCAACCTTACTAATAGAAAAATGCACATGTGAACGAACCATGAGATGCCATTTTTTTTTGCACATATTATTTGGCCAATATGACAAAAATTTTAAAAGACTGATAACATCCAGTGCTAGAGATCGGAGGTAGAGGCAGGGAGGGATGCTATCTTATATTATTTAGTGTGTGAACTGTTGTTGAGATACTTTTGGAAATTTATCTTCAGTTTCTATCAACATTGAAAATATATATACTTTTAAATGAGTAATTCCACTTATAGGAGTCTATTCTAGAGAAATTATAGTATAGGAAACAAAATATGAACATTTCACAGTGACAAAAATTGTAAAACCCAAGTGTTCATCAAAAAAGTAATGGTTAAGCAAATAATACTGTATATAATCCATACTCTGAGAATTACACAGCTATTGAAAAAGTGAGTTAATAATACCAAAGCGTTTTCCTTTATCTGTTTTACATTCTATTATGAGATAATAAACAGAAAAATAAAACCAAATATATTAATACAACTTTTAAATTGGAATACTAAAAATGACAAAATTCAAGCTATTCCTTAAAAGTCATGATTCCTTTGGTTATAATGTTTCATAATTGATAGCTGCATTGGCATGGATTTTTGCCTAACATAAATATTTTAAATTACCAGTTCTTCAGAAAATTATAATCTCTACTCTCTCTCTCTCTCTGTATATGTGTGTTCATTCACACACACACATATTTAGACACACACATACAAACATTTCTAGAGAAGGATATAATGCACTGATAGTAGATTATAAACCATCGTTGCATTGAAAGTATCTTTTTTTAGATTACTTTTACTAAAGTAGATGCATTATCTTCTCCTATGGGAGTGGAGAAGAAAGGTCTATTACATTAAAAGTTATAACAAAGTATATTATATGTCAACTTGACAACAATTGAACAAGCGTAGTGCTGGTATTGAAAGAGGAGTCTAAGGGGTATATATAACAAATCCTAGATATAAAGACTTACTGTCAATCAGTGAACTATACAGTTATTTAATATGTGGATGTATCCAGTTCTTCCCATTGCATTAAACTGTCTTATTCCTCCTTTAAAGTGGTGTTATCCATCTGAACACATATTCAATTACATTTTCCACTAAGGATGAACTGCTAAAATCAATGTCACATCATAAACACCTGTATTTTTCTTTTTCCACTAGAGTTTAAGATTGCTACAATTCTATAAGTATTGACTGACATCATTAGATTATTAAGAATGAAGAACTTGAAGGAAAGATACCGTTTCCATGTGAGTGCTAACACAGAAAATGTATACTTAAATTCTACCTTTTTTCTTCAAGTAAGGGCTGAATCAGATTCAGGTACACATGGCTAAAGAACTTGTTTGGATAAAATGATACATCCAGGCCAGTTTCATTAGTGATAATAAGGAAGCACTTTTATTATTATATTGGGAATCAAAGACAGCAAATTTAGTTTTTGTAATACGAGTAGCCATTAAAGAGAACAGTTAGCATTTCTGTGTTGATTGTGGATACTGAGAATAGGCCAGTTACTTTTGTACAGAGAAAGCACTCCCACCCCACCTCACCCCACCTCTGCCTTTGCCCCTAACTTCCTATGATGGAAGCTAAGATTTCAGCTCTTTTATATAACCTCTCAAGCAAATTTATTCTCCTCCAACTTCCTAAAATATTTAACACATTTTCAGTTAAATCTAAACTCATTATATTTTATGTTTGTAGCTATATAAATATTGGTCACAACAGAACCAAATAGCAGTCTGTAATCTCATTTCTTGTACCGCTCTCTCATTTCACTCTCACCCCAACTTAAATGTTCTTTCATTTACTTGACTTTTCCCGAATCACAGGCTGTCTTCCCACATACCATGGTAACTTCATAAAATGGCTCATAATCTGACTTTCCACAAAGTCAAAGCTATCAGATAACTGAGCAGTTTGCTCTGTTTCCGGAGAAATTCCTTCTAGCTCTTGGTTACCTGATCCCAGACTGCCCTGAAGGTATACTGCATACCTCTTAGCCTCAAATTTCCTTTGCAGTCCTATCAGAATTTCTTTTTGGTGCAGTCCAGTGTTCACTTTCTTCATTTATTTACTCGTTTCAGATGAGCACGCTCTCCAGTTGCTTCCTGAGAAAGGGCTCATGGAAGGTAAATGTATTTATCTGCCCTTGCTATGGTTTGAATGGGTCCTTTCCAAAATTCAGGTGTTGCCAATGTCATAGTATTACTTATAAGTGGAAGCTGAACAATGAGAACACATGGACACAGGGAGGCGAACGACACTGACTCGGTCCTGTTGGGGCTGGTGGGGAGAACATTAGGGAAGATAGTTAACGCATGCTGGGCTTAATACCTAAGTGATGGGTTGTTAGGTGCAGCAAACCACCATGGCACACGTTTACCTATGTAACAAACCTGGACATCCTGCACATATATTCTGGACCTAAAAAAAAATTTAAAAAAAGAGATGTGGCTTTTAAGAGGTGATTAGGCCAGGAGGGCTCCTTACCCGTGAATGGGATTAAGGCTCTTATAAAAAAGGCTGAAAGAGGCTTCAAGCAGCATTGGGCTAGCTAGCTTGCCTGCCCTTCTCTCTTCTGCCATATAAGGACACAGAAAGAAGGCCCTCACCAGAGCGGATGGTGATTCCTTGATTTTGGAATTCCTAGCTAACAGAACTGTGAAAAAAAAAAAATTATCTTCTTTATACATTACCCAGTCTCAGATATTCTGTTGTAGAAGCACAAAGTGAATGAACTAAGACATGACATCTGACTGATATTTTGGTTGGTATAGAATTCAAAACTAAAAATAATTTCCAACTGGGTCCCATGGCTCACGTCTGTAATCACAGCACTTTGGGAGGACGAGGTGGGCAGATCACCTGAGGTCAGGAGTTTGAGACCAGCCTGGCCAACATGGCAAAACCCCGTCTCTACTAAAAATACAAAAATTAGCTGGGTGTGGCGGCTTGTGCCAGTAATCCCAGCTACTCAGGAGGCTAAGTAGGAGAATCGTTTGAAGCCGGGAGGTGGAGGTTGCAGTGAGCGGAGATAGCACCACTGCATTCCAGTCTGGGTGACAGAGCAAGACTCCATCTCAAAAACAAAAACAAAAACAAAAACAAAAAAATTCCCCTAGGTTTTCAGAAGTATTGTGTTCTAACTTCCAGTGTTGCTTTTTTGGGTTTTTGCTTTCTTTATAGATGGCTTGCTTATTTTCACTCTAGAATTTTCTAGGATCTTCCTAAATCCATGTTTAGAAATCTGAAGATGGTAAATATTGGTGCGGGTCTTTCTTATTTCATTGTGCCTTTGTGGCCACCATGTTCTTCATTTCTGGGGACATCTTCTCATTTTATATTGTTGGAAATTCCCTCCTCTTTATTCGCTCTGACTTCTCCATGTAGCACAACTGTTTTAAAGGTATGGAGCTATTAGTCACAGTCTCTATTTTTCCTGTCTTTTCTTTCCTGTTTTCAGTTCTGTCATTTTGTTCTTCTTTCTGAAAGATGTTCACAACTTTCCCTTCCAACTCTTAAAATACATATTTACTTTGTACTGTCACAGTTTTAACTTCCAATATTTCTTCTTTGATTTGTCAATTGTAATAGCATTATATTTTTATTCATGGAGTTAGTATATTGTACTGTTTCTCTGCACTGATTATTTTTCCGCTCACTGTATTCACTCAGGTAACTATGAATTCATCTCTTATGTTAGACTATTGTGGTCTCTGTCTTTATGTCAAGGAATTTCCTTAAGCCATCTCTTTTCTTTCTGACTACTTTTAAGGGCTTTTCTTTGTCTCCGATTTTCTGTTATTTCACTATGATGAGTGTAATGAGGAGTTTCTGTTCATTTATTCTGTTTGAGATTCATTGAGCTTCCTCAATGTATACATTAGGTCTTTCAACATTTCTGGACAGTCTCAGCTAACTTCTTTGTATTGGATCTTCCCTATTTTGTTTATTTACTAGAACTCTGACATACTCTCGTTTGTTTTTATTTATTTAGACAGAGTCTCGCTCTGTCTCTCAGGCTGGAGTGCAGTGGAACAATCAATCTTGGCTCACTGCAACCTCCACCTCCCGGGTTCAAGCAATTTTCATGCCTCAGCCTCCAGAGTAGCTGGGACTACAGGAGTGCACCACGATGCCTGGTTAATTTTTCTATGTTTAGTAGAGATGAGGTTTTGCCATGTTGGCCAGGCTGGTCTCGAACTCCTGAGCTCAGGTGATCCACCCACCTTAGCCTCCCAAAGTGCTGGGATTACAGGTGTGAGCCACTGTGCCCAGCCTGACATACTCTTTTTTAGAACTTCTCATTGTATTTTCCATGTCATTTAATATTTTATTCATATTTTCTATCTCCTTTCTTCAGATCACTATTTTTCTCTTCAGCTATTTAATCAATTCATTGAATTTTTTTATTAATTTTGATTTCTAGATTTATTTGGTTCATTTTAAAATACATGTGGTCATTTTTCAGTTTCATTTTCAGGAATATAATTGCCGATCCTCTGCAAAATTCTTCAGCTAATATTGACTTGAAGCAACTACAAGGCTGCCCCCAGATAGTTTCAGATATCTGCAGTTGGCTAAGTAACTTACAATTAGTACACTCACTTTCTGTCTTCTAATATTTTGTTGGTATCCTTTACTATGTTCAATCTCCTGATATGTTTGTCATTGTGAGTTTGCATATATACTGTAGTTTTAAAAAATTGATATTGCAATATTTAAATGAATGATATTGCAATATTGACATGGAATAGAGATTGGGAGAATAAGTATGAAGTATGATAAAACTACTATGTTTAACAGGAAGTTAATACAATGTATTAGTTAAAGGATTTTACTACTAATGCACAACCCCAAATACCCAGATTATGTGACAATTCATAATTTTAAAGAGGCACATCATAACATTGTTATTGTCTATCCAGTGACTAATTAAAGTATAATCTTTTTAAATGCTTGTTTTTGAAATTTATAAAGTTCATGGATAACAGTTCAGTTGTGATTTACTTGTAAAATATGTAAGGATAGAATCTATTTGAGTACATTAATAAATTATTTTGGCCTTCCATTTTGCAGTTTTTAAGGGCTGAAGAGAACACTCAATTTTTCATTTGTACTATACTCCATTACGTATGAAATAACAGATGCACATTTTTGTTGTTGTTGAAAGTTGGGGCCTCCAAAACTTTATGACAGATCGTTCATAAGTTTCATGGTTCTAATGACTGGAAAAATAATACAGAACTTAAGCCATGGAGATTATGGGTAGAGAGTATAGAATTTATATCACATAAATCAGTATAAGATGTTGGTGTTTTAAGAGACTGTTACTCATTTCATATCCATTACTCAGATAGATCACTTTAATTTAGAATCCTTCAACTTTAATGATTCTGTAAATAATGGGAAGGTATATCACTGTTAGTGCTATCCAAATCAAATTTTATACAAATTTATGATTAATTCAGAATTTCTAAAACTCCAAAGGCATTGGGATATTTTCATTAATACCTTTAGTTTTGTTCTTATTTATTATATGGGTTTATAACTCAGTTTTTAAAACACTAGGCTACTGAAAAATCCTAGAATTGAGTAAAGTTTTCTTTTTTATATAAGCTATTTCTAAACATAAATACAGAATTTCTCTCCATAAGTTATCAACTTGTTTATTTTTCAAAGTCACTAAATAGCATTATTAAAATAGCAAGCATTAATTAATGAGTAAAAAAAGATAAATCAGAAATAGCCATGCAAATATTAAAAATAAGATGTTTTGGAGATTAGTCATCTTTGAATCATTTTATCTGTACTCTTAGGTCATATTTCACATACTTTTTAAGAAATAAAATGCTAAAACGATTAATTTTCTTAAACATGGATATTTATTTATTGACCCATTTGAAATTAAAGATGACCAATTTCATACATAATTGATTATAGTATTTTGGTATATCCACACAATGGAGAATTATACACCAGTGGAAACAAAGACAAAGAAATATCTTTATATTCTATTAATGAGTGACCTCCAGGATATTTATTTAAATTAAAAAAAATATGGAGAAAGAGGAATTTTACTAAGGAGGATATATAAATGGCAAATAAGCATGTGAAAAGACGTTCAATGTCATTGCACATTAGAGAAATTCATATTAAAATGACAATGAGGCCAGGCGCGGTGGCTCACATCTGTAATCCCAGCACTTTGGGAGGCCAAGGCGGGCGGATCACGAGGTCAGGAGATCGACACCATCCTGGCTAACACGGTGAAACCCCATCTCTACTAAAAATACAAAAAATTAGCCGGGTGTGGTGGCGGGCACCTGTAGTCCCAGCTACTCGGGAGGCTGAGGCAGGAGAATGGCGTGAACCTGGGAGGCGGAGCTTGCAGTGAGCTGAGATTGCACCACTGCACTCCAGCCTGGGCGACAGAGCGCGACTCTGTCTCAAAAAACAAAACAAACAAACAAGAAAAAACAATGAGATATCATAACATGCATAAGAGAACTGCTAAAATAATTTTTAAAAATAGTGACAAGTGACCATATTAAGTACTGGCAAGAATGTGGAAAAACTAGATCACTTATACATTGCTTGTGGGAATATAAAATGTTACAGCCATTCTGAAAAACAGTTTGGCACTTTTTAATCAAATTAAACATATAGTTACCATATGACCCATCAATTGCACTCCCTTGTATTTATCATAGAGAAATGACAACTTATGTCCAAACAAAAGGAGTACACAAATTTTCATAGCAACTTTATTTGTAGTAACAAAAATCTGAAAATAACCCAGATATCCTTCAACAGGTGAATGGCTAAGCAAATTGTGGTTATATACATAGCATGGAATACAAGTCAGCAAAAAAAAAAGGAACTAGCTATTGACATAGGCAAAATCTTGGATGCATCTCAAGGGTATGATGCTTATTTTTTTTAAAAGCCAATTTCAAAAGATTACACTTGTATAAATCTATTTATACAATATTTTTGAAATTAGAAAATTTTAGAGATAGAGGACAGATTATGGTTTCCAGGCGTTAGGAATGCAGAGAGTGAGGGGACAGAAGTAAGTGTGACTACAAAAGGTTATGTGAGGGTTGCTTGTGATGATAGAACTGTTCTTTATCTTGGCTGTGGTGGTAAATACATGAACCTACACTTGATAAAACTGCATATAATTATATATACACACACATACACAAAGGAATAAAAGTAAAACAGGGAAATCTTCATAAGATTGGCAAATTATATTAATCCAATATTTGTGCTCTTGTAAGTTTAATCTGTACTTCATAAGCTTACCTCAAATTACTGTGAACCTACAAGTGCTAAGTCAGAAGAATCATGCCTATAACTAGGTAACACTGAGGTAGGAGGCAGGACTCAACTCTGGAGGCAGGGTTCAGACACCAGACCCAATTGAGACCTAGCTAAAACAGGGCCAGGGCAGAAGCAGCTTTCCACAAGACAAGACATGTCCACCAGTGTGCCATGTCAGTTTACCATTGCCATAGTAACAGCCAAAGGTTACCGCCCCTTTCCATGGCAACAACCCAACAATCCAGGAGTTACCACCCTTTTCTTGGAAATTTCGGCATAATCTGCCACTTAATTTGGATGTAATCAAAAGTGGGTATAAATATGACTGCAGAACTGCCTCTCAGCTGCTGCTCTGGGCACACTCTCTATGGGGTAGCCCTGCTCCACAACGAGCTGTACCTCTGCTGCTGTGTATGCTGCCGCTTCAGTAAAAGTTGCTAACACCTCTGGCTTGCCCTTGAATTCATTCCTAGGCAAAGCCAAGAACCCTCCCGGGCTGAGCCCCAATTTGGGGGCTTGCCTGACCTGCATCATCACCACTATTTGAGTACAAAAAATGTAGTTGAAGAGACAACCCATAGCTTTGTTAAACTATTTACACTCACTGATATCAGGAATCCTGTTTTTAGGAGTAATCATTGTGAGGAAAAATATATTTTCACGGAACCACAGAATTTTTGGTATGTGCTACATTAAGCAAGCGCACCAGGTTTAACACCTGAGCTCATGTTCCTACCTTGAAGTTAAGGCAAAAAGCTCAAATCTAAAGAATGGATGAATTTAGCACAATAAAGGTAGGAAAATGTTGACCAGCCATGCTCATCTATACACAATACTCCCAGAGGGTTCCATCCTTATTATTACTACATGTGATAAAACTGTCTAGACCTAAATACACACACATACAAAGGAATAAAAGTAATACTGGAAAATTTTCATAAGATTGGCAAATTTTATCAACATCAATATTTGTGGTAGACAATACACATGGTACACTTACACCAGGACACACCACAGCCTTGACCTATGGTTATTGTCCTGGTTACTCCTGTCCTATTAAAATAAGGATGAAAAACTACATTAACAATGATAGCCTTTGTTGAGTACTTACTATGCCCTGAGTACTTGCTAAAGTTTTACTTCTGTTACATGCTACAAGAGTACTTGACACATGCATGAACTCAGTAAATTACAATATTCCTATTTCATTATAATAATTTTACAAATAAGAAAACAAACTTAGCATTTTAAATAAAACTGGCACAAAGTCCCATAGCTAATAAATTGCAGAGGTGGGATTATTCATTAGTTATTCATTCAACAAGTATTAATACTTTATTAATGCTCTAGAAATAGCCTTTAACATTAATACCTATAATATTTTTTGAGGACTCACTAGAGGCTAAGAAATGTATTTAGTACTTTCATCATTACACCAAATAAACAACAATGTGTTCCTGGTTGCGCAAGTCACTAACCCTTTTGTGACTCAGCTTCCTTCCTGTAAAGTGTTAATAATTATACTACCTCTACTCCATAGTGCTATTGTGAAAACTTACACGAAATGGTATATGAAAGATGCTTAAAATACTGCCTGCCACATAATAAATGCACCATAAGCTGTCATTGTCATCATCAACTCACTGCATATTGACAATTCCTTATAGTAGAAATCTCATCTGCTATACCGCTTACTAACAGTTTTATCAAGAACAACCATTCTGTCTCATACCTTCATCCTTTATTATTATACTACTACTAATATAATATAGAATATACTGATAATATATTATATATTACATAGTATATTATATTATCATATATATTATTAACATATATATTACATATATTACAATTATATATTAGTATAACACACTAATAATTGTATAAGTATTATATAACGTACTAATTATATACTATAATAGTATATTGTGTTATAATTACTAATAATTATATTAATAATATAATATGTATTATTCATATTTAGAGGCTGCAGAGAGAAGGCAAAAAGAGGATGCATCTCAGGGAATGTTGGATGTTTAATCTCTAGAATAAAAGAGAAAGAAAAGAAAAAATAGAAACACAAATTGGTACATCTGGGCCCCCACCAGAAGGTGAACTTAGGTGTACAGTTTCAAGAAGCATAACATGAGTGGACAAGTCTACTGCCAACAACTGGTTAATATCTGCAATCAGGTGGAATTCCTCAACTTAATTTCTTCTCTGAATAAATTAAGATTCAGACTTTGTAATACTATTGCCCTGAAATGTAATGCTAAAAAAAAAAACCAAAAAACTGATTTTCAAGCTTAGAAGATGGCTACACCTTTCACTAAATACTTATTTTACTACATTTGCTCTTCTGCAGTAAGCTACTGATTTGCTATTTTTCTTAGTATTTAAAAGATGTAACTAAATAGTGAATATATACATTGCATATAAAATTCTGCATATACTTCTAAGATTAAAATTTGCAATTGTATTTCCATCTCTCATAAAATGATCTAATGACTTAAAAATATTTATAATATATAAATATGTAAAAATTTGTTAATATATAATATATTAACCTAATGATATATTATTTCATAATATAGATACTACATAATAAAATATACATTATTCGTAGTATATTATATATAATATAATTAGTATATTATTATATATTTGTATATTATATACCACTAATAATATAAGATATAATAATAATATGAATAGAATATATATTGCATAGATTTGTTGCAGAGGTTCAGTGAGTTAATTCCTTCATGGTGCCTGGGATATAAGTGCACAGGAATAGTTTTAAATGAGGGAAGCACCTAATGGAATGAGGAAGGGGGCAGATAGGAGTGGCTTCACCCTTGAAACTGAAAAATAACTAATTTTTGTATATACTACGTAACCATGAGGGCTCACTGCTTTTCTGTGTCTTCATTTCCTTTTTTAAGCTGATTTTGAGGCCAATTTTCAGTGACATCTTTAATGAAACAGAGTTGTGTAGCAGAAAAGCACTGGCTCTGCAATTATACAAACCAAGGAAGAATGCTGGCTTCCTTATTTAACAGCTGAATGATGCTGAATAGTACACTTAATTCTCTGGGCCTCAGTTTTATTAACTAAAATTTCAACAAATAACAATATAAACAATATGAAAATATTTAAAACTTCTATCTCTAAAGGCTGTTAAAGCTATTTTAATCATATTGTCTATTATATAAAGTTTTTAGATGAAAAGGGGGTTGCTATACAAAAAGATTTGATCTTACGGTTTTGCACCATCATATTAAACATGTTTTTCCCCAATAGTAGCAAATTCAGCAATTCTCCAACCAACTTCCGGGGTAGCACTGCCTTTGGAAAGGCATTTACAAGTTGGTTTAAATGTTACAGGGCTTATTATGGATACATCTCATGTATTCTGCGGCAGGTTTCCCTTTTATGTTTCAATGCCTCAAAAAGATCTCTTCTGATACTGTATTTTTAATTCATTTCCACTTGTCAAAGGGGGATATCAGGTTTTATTTCAAATTTGTGTCATCTCATTGCTATGTGATATTTGACATTACAAAATATAGTGCAAATCTCCACATATTAAGCTCGATATAGTCATAAATTTGTACTCCAAGCCCTCATTGACTTCAATAGGGCTTGGACTTGTGGAATGATTGCAGATCAAGGCATTTTGATATAATGTAATTTTTTAAGTAGCTTTTTTTCCATAAGGAGAAACATGCTGCGAATAGCAAACTACCTGCACAGCATACACACAGCAGTCAGTAATCCTGGTCCTTGTCAAAATATTTTCTGTTCATATGTAAGTATTGACTGTGGTGAGAGACTTAAAATGACTTTAAGGAAAATCTCTGTGGTCACACTCTACTCCCTATTCACATAACACAATTTGAGGAACTTCATTAAAATCCATTCTTATAGAACCACCCTTGCATGCTTTATTACAGTAAACTAGCTATCAATTGGACTATTGACGTTCCACGTATGCAGATCATAGTATCTTTTCCATTATTTTAAAATGCTTTTGTTTCTAAATGAAGATTTATTTTGCCAGTTGATCACAGAATGAGCATGCACAATAAATCATGAAGAGCACAGTCTGCAAATATATGTTTCAAGTTCAAGCAGCAATGATCTGCTACTTACAATCCTGAAGATAATAAACATTTTTATCCAATCATCCAGAGTCTAAAGAAATTCAAAAAAATGGAAACTCTTTGAAATATACAGGCTTTTGGGTATCAAATTACCTTTGAAACCCCCCACCCAGAAGTATCTCTAACAAAATCCATTTGAAATACTGCTTCAATATTCTAAAAAATCAATAATTTAAACCACAGGTTGAACATTTTTACTGCTTCCACTGCAGACTGTCATTTTTCGAAATGAAAATGCTAATGATACCGAAGGGGAAAGCACTAAGCCGAAGAGATGCATGAATGAAACGTTGGATTGGCTAGACTTGCTGGTTTGATCTCTTTCTCCCTCACTCATCTGTGACAAGATGTCTTTTAAAATCAACAACTTTCATTTCAGTGTTTCTAAAAAATGCACTTCTCTGTTGTACATTACATCCTTCTCTACAGGAAGTTAAGGAATATGCTCTAGCAAGACATTTTATAGTAAATATGAATACAGAATGTAATACCAAGTAGGCTGTCTTATTTCAGTGCAACCTATAATGTTGGGACACCTTTAAAATATTGCAGAGAGCACTGGAGAGAGGATAATCCCCTCGTACTAACGGTTTTCATATTCATACCACTGTACTAAAACACAAGCCATGAAGGAAGCCATGGAAATCCAGAGCCCAGAGGAGTTCAAATCAGAAAAAACTTTTTCATTGCCTTTGAAATTTATTTTTGTCTTTAAAGATTTAAGAAGTAAAGGTGTGAGATCAGGGTCATTGCCTTCTCCATAGGGCTCCTGGCTTTGAATTTGCTCTACCTAATACAGGATCTTGCTAGTAAACTTGGTTAATGTCAGGTGGAGCAATTTTCATCCAAGAACTGGGAATTATGATTCATGGGATGTAAAACATCTTACTGGAGGGAAGACTAGGGAGGTGGAGAAAACAAAACAATGATTGTCAATGAATAGCCAAACATGGTCCCATGAGCTATGGGACTCAAAAGGGAGAAAGCTGGTGCCCTAAAATAATGGAATTAAAAAGAGGCCCACAGCAAACCTTTTAACAAGTTTCTCATTTCTTTCTTAAAAACCTACAGAAACCTAAATTCTACCCGCAGCAAAATGATAGCACACAAATATTATTGATCGATTTCTATAATGTGATAAATCACATCATTTCCATCTGGAAGCAAAAAACTCTAACAAGATAGAAGAGGGCAACTCAGTCTTTGTTGAGTATCTGCTGTGTTCAAGGAACTGAGATATGACTGTAGGGACAGACAGAAGAGAGGAATTCGAAATTATTAAAGCTCAGTTTATCCATGCAGTGGAGATTATGACATCTACCACAGTGAGTTGCTAGTAGTAAAAGAGAAAATGTAAATTATATGGCTTTCGAAATGCTTGACAAATAATATATACACAATAACTACCCAATGCTAGTTTCACAGAGGAAAATGGACCTGGTATACAGATAACTCTAAAAAAATTTAAAATGTTTTAATTTTTGTTTGTTTGTTTTAAAGATAAGGTCTTGCTGTTGCCCAGGTTGGAGTGCAGAGGTGCGAGCATAGCTCACTGCATCCTCAAACTCCTGGGCTCAAGTGATCTTTCCATCTTAGCCTGCTAATTAGCTGGGACTACAGGCATGTGCCACCATGCTCAGCTTAAAAAAAAGAATTTAAATTTAGCATGATAGAACTGAAAAGAGCTGATAGCTGGTTCACCTATCTCATTTTAAAAGGCTTCATAGTGTGTTAGTGGCAGATTTGCAATTTCATTGCAATTTCTGTCTTTTTCCTCTTAACACAGGCGGTTCTAGGACTCCTACAGTTTATAAGAACACAACTTTAAGCCTGGGCAACATGGCAAGACCCCAAATCTATGAAAAATACAAAAATTAGCCAGGCATAGTGTCACACTCCTGTAGTCCCAGCTGCTCAGGAGGCTGAGGCGGGTGGATCTCTTGAGCCCAGGAGATCAGGCTACAGTGAGCTGTAATCATGCAACTGCACTCCAGCCTGGATGACAGAGTGAAAGTTTGTCTCAAAAAAGAAAACACACACACACACACACACACACACATACGCACACACACACATAATTTTAAGATAAAAGAAAGCTTCCAGGGTGGGTCACATCTAAGCCGGCTCCTGAGGATGAATTGTATTCTCAAAAGTCAAAATACTGGGCAGAGCTCTTCAGATACGAGCACAATGCATGCACAAGTGCTGGGGCAGAAAAGCACAAGCCATCTTCAGAGACTGTGCATGGCACCCTCAGGCAGTTTTACCTTGAGTAATGAGCGGCCTGCGCATCCATGTGCACAATCATAGTTTGTGGATTGAATAACAAAAACATCATGTGAAGTCTGAGAAATTTTATCAGGTTCCAAAGGGACAAATATTTTAAACATGTTAAGGCTTCTGTTATTGTGTCTCCTTTATGGGAAGAGGTTGGTGGGAGGAATTAAGACTAAGAGAAAGTTAAGATGAGAGAGGGCATTGTAGGCATGCTAAGATTTATGGCCTTTCTCCTGCAGATAAGCAGGAGAGAGAGAGATGTCAAAACATACTTTGGGGAGATACAGTTGGATGAAAATATGTAGATTAATTTCTGTAATGTCCAGAAAGAATACAGAAATCAGATTTTAAGAGTTTCAGGCAGTGTCCTTTCTTTGTGCTCCCTCTTCCCTTCATTGAAAGTTAAAAGTCAAAATGTAAATACAGACTTAAAAGGGTAAATCATTCTGTTTTTCAACTTTATTCATGTGAACTCAATGTTTTAATAAATTTCTCTTCCCAAGCCACATCAAAATGGTTTGTTATATTGTTGATTTTATTATTATTGATTATATTATTATTACATTAGCATTTGAATCTGTGAAGTGCTGTAAGACAGTTTGTTAACAATTTGTCATGACACCTCTGCTGGGTGGGAGGATGACACACATCATTATCATTATTATTAAGATTTTCTTTTACAGCTGGTATCATGATAAATGATTTACAGATAAACATAGCAATACTCAAGTTATTTATATCAAGTTAATTAATCATATTGATTTAACATCCTGTTCTGTTATTTAACTTTTCCCCTTTCTATGTTAGTTTTAGATCTAATTTTAGAATAATTAAATAGAATTTGAAATTTAGAACTCTGCATTAGTACCTATATCACATCTGAAAAATTATTAACATTTTCAGATCAATTTTAATAACTGCAGGTCCTTTATTAGGTTGACCTTTTCTTTCCAAATATTTGACATCATTATAGTTGGAGAATAAAAGTACCTATTGACAGTTTTCTTTTGATATTGAAAGGTCCTGCTTCAGTAACTGCACAGAACATAGTAACCATGTTTTTCTCATCTTATGTTCACTTCCTTTGCAAAACAACAATAAACAGCTGGCAAGTCAGAGATACCAGAGTTTTTCCTAACTTCTCTCTTCCCATATCTAGCCTCATGCAATCAGTCACCAGGACTGCTACTTTACTCTCTTTTATACATGTCAAATACGTTCACTTTGCTCTAGATACAACCTTGAGCCAATATCTTTTCTTCCTTACTGTATTACACTGTAAGCTCCATGAATTTAGGGCCTTATATTCCTCTCCACTCTATCCTCAACATCCAAGCACATTGCCTAGAAATAATTTGTCAATGAACATGTTCATCTGCTCTCACTCTTGTGACTATTTTCTACACTATTATCAGATAATCCTCTCTAAAATGCACATCCAAGCCTGTCTTATCCTTCTTTGCATATAGTTCATTATCCTTTAAGATAAAGTTCAAACTCTCTTTGATGATCAAACAAGGGCCTTTATTATGTGGTTCCATTCTAATTCTTATTCTCACTACATCATCCTTCCAGTGAAAGTAAACACCCATTTTTACGGGGCTTTCTTTTTCTCTCTGACTTTGCTCATGATATTCATCTATAATGTATTCTCTATTCTTTGGACAGGCACTATGCAGGGCAACTGTTTGGTATCATCTTTTTTCCAATGGCATTCCTTGCTCTAGCTTGGTTTGGTGCTTCCTCTGTAGTTTTATAGCTCTTCGTTTCTAATTCTCTCATAGCATGTTTTCTCACGCACATCACATCTAGATTTTAGGTTCTCTGAGAACCAGGATTGTATCTTATTGTTATACAATACATGATCTATAAAAATGAACAAACAAATTACACAGAGTATAAAATACTATAAAAATACAATGCTAAGGGGGCCAAGTATGTGGTTTAAGAGCACTCTATTGCCATCCAAATGAATTTGAACAAATCTTTTGATTAAAGAATAATTTTCATTATCTGTAAATGAAAGCTCTTAGACTCAAGCTAGATCTCAGGCAAGTCTTTTTTTAACACTCACAGTCTGTGCTATTATATCTAGAATGATAAAATTACCAAGCAGGGCAGAAGTGAGCAGGGAACGACAATTGATTCAGACTCCTAGAGTAATGATCTTTCTCCTTGCTATCTACAGTATATTAAATGCTTTCCTTTTGGCTTCTAATTCTGTATGTTTTGCTCAAAATTTAGCTAGGAATATTTATTCATTTCTTTGAACTATATATAAACAGTAAGAGACTACTCATTGAATATAGATGATCCTGTAACACTTTCTTCCAACGGCAAAGAACCTATATAACTAGCTATTCTTTGGAAGTTGCCTGTAACTCCAAAACTCTATTTTTAGATTTGCTATTACACCATGTTTCTAACAGAACTGGGTCAAATTGCCCCTGATGACCACACTTTCTGAATAAGGGGAAAAAAATATGGAAAGTGGAAGCTACTTTAACTGTCAATTATATTAACCAGTTGCCACAATGATTGTTAATAAGAATATTAAGGAAATTATTAGGCCTTCATATTTTTACTTTTTCTACTTATCAATAACACTAGGAGTCAATATCATAATGGGAAACAACTTCATACCCACTATGAAGTTTATAACAAAAAAGATGAACAACAAACAACAATGTTGGCGAGTATGTGAAGAAACTGGAAATATCATACATTGCTGGTGAGAATGTAAATTGGGGTAGCTGCTTTGGAAAACAGTTTAGCAATTCCCAAAAAGTTAAAAATAGAGTTACCATATTACCCAGAAACTCCACTCCTAACTATATTCCAAAGGGAATTGAATATATATGTATCTCCCCTCAAAACTTACATATGAATGAAGAAATATTTATAATAGGTAAAAGTAGAAAAATACCCCATGAAGGGTTATGAACTAATGAATGGATAAACAAGAGTGGTATATCCACAGAAAGAAATGAAGCATTACATTGATAAATGCTACAACACAGGTAAACCCTGAAATATTATACTAAATACATAAAAGAAACCAGACATTAAAGTCATATATTATATGATTTTGTTTATATCAAATGTACTCAATAGGTAAATCCATAGAGATAGAAAATACATTACTGGATTCCAGAGGCTGCGGGATGTGGGGAATGGGGAGTAACTGCTAATGGGTATGGAGTTTCTTTCTTAGGGTGATAGAAATGTTTTGAAATTAGATAGTGATGATGGATACACATTTGTGAATATACTAAAAACCATGAAAAGTTACACTTTAAAGAATGGATTTTATACGTAAATTATAAAAACAAATAATTCTGGAGATGAAGTTGATGGTTAAGAACACTAAATATTATATTTTCGTATTCTGAATTTTTTAAATTACAGGGATAAAGCTTTCCAAGTGGTTAAAAGAGAAACTGTCTTTACACTAAATATACACACACAGTACTTTGCCTCTCTCTCTCTTTCTCTGTGTGTGTGTGTGTGTGTGTGTGTGTACTTATTTAAAAGCCAAAGTAAAGTATTACATGAAGTTCTCAACAGATAATTGCATAAAATCATGATATACAGAATTCACTCTTGTGATGGCTATATATTAATGGAAGCCAGCTACATTTTAAAAATTATTTTACATTTTTTATATATTGACAAATTATAGTTGCATATATTTATGGTATACAAAGTGGTGTCATGACTTTTGAATACAATGTGGAAAGATTAAATTAAACCATTTAACATATCACCTCAAACATATCCATCACCTCAAATATTTAACATTTTTTGTGATTAGAACATTAGAAATTTATTCTTAGTGATAATGAACATACAATGTATTGAAATAGATTAAAATTTAATAGAAAACAACATTGAAATTTATTTGTAAACATAAAGAAATATTTTTTCTTAAAAGTTATGATTTATAAAGAGTTCTTCTCTAAGACCTTAATTTCACTGATAGATCTACTTGGTATTTCTTTTATGTAAACCTTTATAACTTATAATAAATAACTTTAAAAGTTATTTTCATGAGGACTAAGATGAAAAGTTGAGTGGATCAAAATATAGATGGGTTGGAGTTACAGCACTGACCTCTATCTGATTTTTCTCCCTCAGGAGATATATCTTTAAATAAACAATTTCTGTTTATTTAAAACAGAATATATCTTTAAATAAAACAAATTTCTGTTTGTTTAGCCTTGTATTCCTTTGGTAAATTTGGTAAATTCATTTTTCTGCTATCTTGAATAATTTGTTTATGAAGTCTTCCAAGACTTTGTAACCTATGCTTCAAATGGAATGAATATAATTTTTCTACATTCTTGAAATAAATATTTTTATTTTACATCCATTTTTATGTCTGAGAACTAGTATTTTAGAACATTGAAAAACACCTTTTGTGTTAAAACAGTAAATATTTTCATTTACTATGCATATATCTCCAAGATTAATGCTAAGGCAAAGACATTTCAGAGACTGCATGATGTGTATTTCTCTCTATCTAAAAACATATATAGTATATATACAACTTCAAATTCTCCTTGGAGAACAGCGGGAACAAAAAAACATCCATATCTATCTAATCACATACAGACTTACTTACAAAAATTACTTACAAAAGAGGTGACCCTCAACACTTTTCTCAAAACAAAGGGAAATTTATTTTATTTAATAAGAAAGTCACAACAATTTTTGATACTATAATTTAATTTAGGCCTTCTTATCTCATTACAAATACAATTTTTATTTAGTAATCTAGTTTGGAAATACTGAAAAGTTTTTCAAGTTTTATTTACACAATAGTGTAAGTCAATCCAAGGGTCACTGTGAACTTGTGGTTCTTTGTTACAACTGCAACCTAATGTTCTATTCAAAGTCTTATTGCAAAATCCTCAAAATATGATGAATCTGGGTGGCAAATGGTAATAGAGGCAATCATTTACATTCAGGTCTCTTATGAAGAGGCAATGTGTATGTACCTAACATCATCTGTAAAGGACCTATATTCTCCAATGGATTCATTTAATTTATTTGCAGGGTGAATTTTTATGTTAGTATTTCAGCCATAGGTGACTTATTGAAATGAAAAGTTAAACTTCCTCAGCTACAAAGAACAATAAAAACAACAAAGCAAACTTCTAGAACTTTTAGTTTTAAAGGCACTCAAATTTTACAGGTAATTCATCAAACACCACTCACATCCACACAGAAATCAAATACATTTAATTATGTATTGAAATATTTTTTCTTACAAATTAAACTACAGGCAAAATCCAGTTGCATGACAAAACTGCATAAACAGTAAAATGAAAATGCTCTCATTACAAATACAATTTTTACTCAGTTAAAATATCATCCAAACTTATATTTGTATCATGTCTAATATTTTTATGATTCACAGTGATATATAAATTAATAATTAAATAATGAATTCAAAGCTCTTATTTCAAATGTCTTCTAATCAGTCATTTTGTTATCTTATATTTTCATAAAAGAGGCATTGTTTTAGATGCATGGGATTATCGTTTTTTATTTTTTGCCAAATATATATGTTAAAAGGAGGAACTGTAGAATCATACAAGGCGTAGATTAATATAATGTGAGATAGTGTATCAGAGGTGATACATGCCACGCAAGCAGCATATTTTACATTCTGACACACATTTTAAGCCTTCTTTTACTCACGTAATTTAGGCTTCAGATGCATTTCTCAATTGCTCACTGCAGAATAGCTGCAGAACTGAAACAAAACCTTCAGTACAAAAATGACAACCCTTTTGTTTCCACTAAATCCGTATTCTGTCATCCACTGGCAGGGAGTTTTCCAGTCATGTTCTCTGCCAGTCCTTACCAGTTTGCCAATTATACAAGCTGCTTCCCAGACATCAGACACAAATTCCACAAGACTGCTGTGCAAGCGTACCCTAATTAACCATCAGCTTAATTAGACAATTTACTGTGTAATTAGCAGGCAATTAGTCAACACCTCTCAGATCTTATTGACTGCTGTGACAGCCTTTCAGTCTTTGCACATTCCAACATTCCAATACACAACAGCGACCATGTTTCTAGCACTCTGAAACCCTGTACGACATAGTTCTGGACGGAGAAGTGGGTAATATTATATAACAAAGGAAAAAATCAATATGGAGCCTGTCCAATTACTGAACTGTTTATAAACTTGTCTTTTATTTAATACCAGAAGTCTAACATTAAAACTACTTTAATATCTGCTTCAAAATGGTTATAGAGCCAACTTCTTAATATGTTCTATTTCATGTTTTAATGTAAAACACTTTAAATTTACTATGAATTATACCCCCGATTGGCTCTGCCTATAGTAACTTGAGTAAATTTTCAATCAGTGTATCAGAGATCTACTCAATTAAATCCAATTAATGTGGCCTGGTGCAGTGACGCACACCTATAATCCCAGAACTTTGGAAGGCCAGCACAGGAGGATCACTTGAGCCCAGAAGTTTGAGACCAGCCTGGGCAACATAACAACACCCTGTCTTTAAAAACAAAACCAAACAGAAACACATTAGCCAGGTGTGGTAGTGCACGCCTATAGTCCTAGCTACTTGGGAGGCTGAGACAGGAGGATCACTTGAGCTCAGGAGTTCAAGGATACAGTGAATCTACACTCCAGCCTGGATGACAGTATGAGACCCTGTCTCAAAAAAAGAAATCTTACTCATGTTAATAGCAGTTGTAGACACAAATCCTACAAACACTGATAAAAAGTGCTCTGGGGTAGGGAAGCGTTTTTTAGTTTTCTTTGAGTCAGCTACGAAGAAATCACACCTCAGCATTTTAATGTTTACATTAACACTTTACATGAGTTACATGATTTTAACATTTAAATTAACACATTAATTTTACATAGAAAAGCATGTTTACAAATGTATTCCTCTGAGGTCATGTATATGTCATATAATACCCACTGCTCTTTGTAATGCAATTTCTGACCTATATAAAATATTTTCCATTATCTCGAGATTTCATGACTTGTAACTAATGAGATCCCAACAACTGTAACAAAGAATGATCCTTTATCGCTTTTCTTTCAGAAATATTACAGAAGAGGATAAATTTTATTGAATGATTTAAAAGTCATAAGATCTTCTGTTAACCAAAAAGAACAGGAGGAAAGAATTTGTGACCACTCCTTCATAGTTTAATTGGTTAACTGCCACATACATTTTCTAACACCTGATAAACTTCCATAAGTATAAAACCACTATGACAACATAATTATTTCTGCATTATCTAAACTTTGCCATTAGCAGCAATTTTCTTTTTCTTCTTTTTGAATGTAAGGGCCTGAAAATTACCAGCAAGAACAGTTATTGAAAGGCCACAGGTTGGAGGAATCTAGAGAAGTCCATTGTGGCCTTATTGGTACCAGGTAAAGTAGAATGAGATGAGGACCGAGAGACAGGCAGGAGCTGTTTGCTGACATGATTTGTACAAAGATTCTGGATTTTATTTTAAGGGCTAAGAGAAGCCATTGAAATGTTTTAAGCAAACAGCCACGATCTGATTTAAGATGTCAAAGTCCACTCTGACGGTGGTGTGGAGGCCGGAATTTAGGATAAGAGTAGAAGCAGCAAGACTCTTTTAGGAAGCTGGTATACTATTCTGTGAGAAATGATGGGGGCTGTGATGTGGGTGGTACCAGTGGAGATGGGAAGTGACTTTCTACCCTTTAATAACTGATCACATAACTATTAATGTTTTAGTCTGGCATACAGATTATGGTAATAAGAATTATAACTTTTATTGACAGGGTATTTTACATGTTACGAATCATTTTAATATATTTATTTAAAAAAAATTCAATCTAAGCCTCACTAGAATACTGTAAAAAGGCAGAGCAGGTATTATGGTCTATTTTGTAATTCAACATGTGGAAGTTTAGATAAGTTAACTAATTTATTAACAGTCAAATTACTTACAGAAGAGGTAACCCTCAACACTTTTCTCAAAACAAAGGGAGACAACTGTAACGTTTCAATAATAACTAGTATGATTCACTATGAAAACCATAATTTAAAACTTAAGAGTATATTGTGCCTCTCTAGCCTTCTGCATGCAAGCTTGTTTTTCTCTTTTCATATTATAATACTTAATAAGATAATATTTGTATACATTTTATTTACCTGTGGATCTCTGTTGTCTATACAATATTTCTCTTTATATTGATCAACAGGAGATGTCCAAAAATCACACCAATGTTTGTTTATTCCCCCCATTTAAAAGCCATATACTAAGTGGCTGCCTACCTTATGCTGAGTATTGTAAAAGATCCAAATATCTTTGTGGCAATCTCACGTAACTCCAACTATCAGGAGTATAACTGAGCAAGGACCCCAGCTGCTGTGCTGTGAATGAATCCACTCCTGGATTTTCACTGCAGCCATGCTTCCTGTGGCTTAGCCAATGACTGAGCAGGGCAGAGATACTAAGCAGGCCCCTTCCTGAGAGACATGAAGACTCTAGATGGCTTTGTCGAAGCTTTCTCAGTCTGCAAGGCACTCTATGATGCTCCTACTCAACCTTTCTTTCTTCTCTCCCCAATGTATGGCTTGACTTCTATTGCTGTCTTATGGCTCTCCCAGTCCTCCTCAACACCCTCCATATTGTCTCCCACAATTATTTCACCTAATCAAATCCATGCATGTTTAATCACATCTTGGCAACGGTTTCTTGGAAGATCTGAACTAAAACCTGCTGCCATATTAAAAAAATTAAATGTTACTGACAAAATCCAGAAAAAAAAATCTCTATATGCAAATAGTTGTATGAAATGTAAGGGTTTTTAAATAATGCATTTTCATATACTAAATGTCCATAAGTAAAATTCAATATGGATATTATTAATGCAACAGAATATTAAAATATACATTTTGGCTGAGACCTTAAGGGGCATTGAGATAAATCACAAAAATAAATTTTTCCCTTACAGAAATGTTCAAGTAGATAACAAAAATCTGCTTAGGGAACTCTTACACCCTTCACTCCAATATGGAAACAAAATGTTAACAAAAAGTTAGGGATGGATGTTGGAGATTATGACATGGTTTCTTTGGAGCATGCTTCTGGGATTATATGAGTCCCACTGTCATCCCAAATCCTGAGAGACAGCTTTTAAAAGGGACCCTTCAGAGCACTTTATATGTGTTCCCCGCAGTTTTATTTTCTTTTTTGGAGGTTGGTGCACCGTATACAGTGTCCCACTCTGCTTGATATATCGAAAAGGTGTGAGTTGTCTGTTGCTAAAAGATGAGCTAAAAGAGATGCAACTGTACAGCAACTAGCCTATATTCCTAGAATTTGTCAGGGGAAAGGAAATGTAAGATTTTCCTGTGGACCAATTAAGGGACCCATATTTAAATAAGTAATGTGAAGTCACCTTAAGCTCTGTTCAATATGGTCCCTTGGAAAGGCAAATGTGTTGCAGCAGAGAAAAGCTAAGTTACTCAATAGCTTCCTAGGAGTTTCCTAGAGAGCAAGCTATGACCAAAGATTCAAAAGCACCATAGGGAAGAGTTCCCAAGTGATGGGAAGTATTTTTGAAGAATGCTTGGAGGTACCCATTAGATAAACGTTAGTCTAAACAAAAGTATGTCTCCTAAAGAGGAATATTATAGCTGTACAAAATTATATTTAGCCATGAAAGTGAAAATACTCTTCAAGAGGTAATAATATTTATCAATTTAAAATTCATTATATTGCTGAACAATGTATTACATTGCAAAATAAAACTGGTTGATAAGAGGAGGGAGGTAGTCAGTCAGCAGGTTCCCTTTGCAGGGCCTGGTGGTCACGAGATCTGATCTCCAAAGGCTTCCATTCAGGAAAGGGGCCGGGGGGTGGGGTGGAGTTTAAAAGGAATCCATTCCCTCTTGTGTCCATTGAGTAAAATTCTATAAGAGCTCAGACAATGGAGAGAAGATAACCATTGATTAATGTAGCTCCAGGGGACTTGGGTGGTCATTGGCCTTTTAATATTTGAAGAACAATAAATGTCTCCTTACCGATAAAGAATGGTAAAATTAAGGTATAGACGATGCAAACATAAACCTGGTGATAAAACCAGTTTTGTCAGAAAAGAGAGTTTGTATGAGGAGAGAAGTGAAAGTTATTGTTGAAATGATAAACAGTAGTTGTATTATGATTAACAGTCTCTTCCAAATTGAATTATGTAATTTCTTTGCTTAAACCTCTTAACAACAGGTTCCCTGTTTATACAACAACATTTAAATTCCTAACCCCACAGGCCTTTCTCACTATCTCTACAGCTACTTATAACATTTCATGAGACATTATGCTGCATCTTACATATGCTCGGTTCTCTCATGACCGTGACTATCCGTGTGCTATCCCTTCTCCCTAGAATAAAGACAGTTCAAATGTGAAGAAAATAAAAAAATAAAATATTGAAAATAAAAAATTATTAAAAAATTAAAATTATAAAATAATTTAAAAAATAAAATATTGCATATTAAGTAACATTTTAGTATTAAGTAACATTTTAGTCTAAGAATTCCTGTGGCCTTAAGTCATCTTACATCTTTTGGTGTATATATTTTCTGAACTACAGTTTAAGTTGTCTAAAGTGAATACCATACATTACACACATATACACACACACAAACACACACTCGAAAAATAGTATATATAAAAGGACATTATAAGAGCTCTCAAAATACATCAAATCTTGCCCAGATACCTAAAAATGGTACTTTCTTTAATGACATTTTAAGCTAATTTTTCACATAAATAGAGGGTAAATTTGGCAGGATAGAAGTGAGAAACTGTTTCAGACACATGAGATATTGTAGAAAAACATGCAAATGAGGAAAGCAGGGCAGGATGAAAAGGGCAATGGGCTTAGCTGAAGTGAAAGAAGCAGATGAGGCAGTGGGGTAAGAAAAGGTAATTGGTGTGTGATAGGGCAGTTTGAGTGAATATTTAACTAACACACCAGTAACTTCCTTGAGTTAGTGACACTTTATTTCTCATGACACCTCATTTCAGAAATAGTGGTACTTGAACATTAAGCACATTGCTAGTCCTTTAGGAAAAAGGAGCATACAGCGAACTGTAATTTTACTAAAACAGAGTCAGTCTTGTAACAAAATAGCCAATGTAGGTATGCCTTTAATAAAAATCTGACAGTAAGGTAATCATGGTATAAAGTATTTAAAATGAGTATAAAGAATATCATTACATAGTAGTTACTAGAATCTTATTAAAAAGCAATAAAGAAAATACAAAGGCAAGGAGAATATTATGGAATTCAATCCAACTAATTTCAACCAAAGATTGTATCATCTAAACATACCCAAAATATGGAGATTTTTAACTGGTTAAATTTAAAATTCACAGAAGAATTATGTGAGACAGAATAAGGGTAAAATCAGTTTCTCAAACAGCAGGACTGTACTTTAAGGAAATTTCCATTAACCATAATTATGAGAATTTTCCATTAACCTTGACACCACTTGCTTTTTTTAAAAAAGGAAACTGAATAAGAGGTACTTTCCATTACAAGTTAGATTCATCTACCAGCTAACCCAGATCAAAATTGTACACGTCAATTTATATTATTAAAAAGTCTATTTGAGTTTCACTTTGTCCACTCTACCAAAATGATTAACTAATTAACAGGTGTGAAATCACAGCCTGAAATGGGAAAGTGGTGAAGATGTAATTATATTGGAAAATTGATTAGTCTGCTTCATGGTTAAAAATATTACTTTGGCTATAATTAAAAGATTTTTACTTAATATTCGAAATACATGCATTAAATTGTGTTTGAAAGCATCTTAATCTATATTTTTTACTTAACAGACTAAGTCTGGCAAACATGGTATGATTGCGAACAGAGACTGATTTAAAACTTTAAGGATAGACAGTGGTGTATTCATTAGATTCTAACTTGCAAGATTTAGCTTCAATATTGAATGTGTACACACGAGTGTGCAAGCACACATACAGGTTCTTTTGTTGATGAAGAAATGAGGGTTACGTCATAGAAGAGCTTGCTAAATAGTCTTGAAGTGAACACTTGGATGAAATGTCCCATAGGAGTACTATATGTGAACTGTAGCCATTTAATAAACTAATTCTTTATAATTGGAGGATGAGTTGATTTTATGAATTTCAATAAAATACGTCTAAGTTATAAGAACCTAGCTAGGTGATAAACTATTAGTATACAGAAGTCATCTCAGTTTTCAGCATGTTAAAAGTCTCCCAGATAAAAAGCTTACATTGAATTTATTTAAACAATTATAACTCCTAGTTAATGTATATTATCAGGAAAACAATACTATGCAATAAATAGAAAATAATCATATACAAAATTGGAAGCTAGAACTATAGCAGCAAAAATAATGCACTGGACTATTGTTAATTTATTGTTTCATAGACTTTCATGATGAGGTAATAGATAAACTCTTAATAATAAATAAGTAAATCAGTTTTATTTAATCTTTTTAAAAAATCCAGATCTTTATTTCTAACAAGGTTTCCAAAATGAGTTTCAAAAATAAATTGTGATGTTTTGTATTGTAATCCATAGAGAATTACCCAGGCTCTAAAATATTATTACATGACATGTTTGTGAAATTTTCAACTTTAAATATTATCTTTAGCATTTACAGTCCTGACAATGTTATTCCTCAGTTCTCATCTCGTTGATAGGTGCTGGCAATTTGTGCAATTTGTGCAAACGCAGGAGCAACTTCCTCTCAATTAAGATAATGTGGATTGAAACAAGTTTCTTGGAATCCACATGGGAGAACAGACAACCTACATGGTAAAAAGTCTGCAAACCTTATTATGAAAAGAAAAACAGAACTATTTAGAAAGGAAAAAGAAAAGGCTTATGGATAGGACATGAGAGCTGTCTCCAAGTAACTGAAGAGCTGTCATGTGGAATTGTGGTTCAAATTAGAATACTATAATTATTCATTCATCTAACAAGTATGTATTGCGTCCTTTCTATCTGCCAGACATTGTTCTTGGCACTGGGCATGCTGTAGTGAGCAAGAAAGACAATATCTCTCTACTTACAGAGCTTACTTCAAGTGGCTAAAACAGAAATAGATGTCCAAGAGCATGGCAATTTCATATGGTGATAAGTGCAGTGAAGAAAAAAACAACCAATGTAATGTGGGATGGAGAGCCTGGGTTTTGAATGGTTAACAAGAGCTTCTCTGAGGAGGTAACTTTTGATCTGAGAACTGATTAAGAAAAAAGAGCCAGTCATATAAATATCTGAGAGAAGAGCATTCCAGGCAGATCAAACACCAAGCAAAATGGTCCTAAGACAGGGAGGAAGTTGCCATGTTGGAGAACTAGAAAGGGGGCCAGTGTGGCTGGCAAAAAATTGGCTTCTGATGACAGCAGATTCACAGAAGCTGTTAAATCAAAATGCTCTCTTGTATTCTCTCTGAAATTGCACATAGAAATATAAAATTTCTGTGCAACTTTTATTTCTCAATAGAAAGACAAGCATAGGTGCCACTCTATACGAAGCAGTGGGTAGAAAGTCCTCAGTGTAAATGCTCAGGCTGAACTCTAAGTCTCTGAAGACATGAGTGCAGTCAAACTGCCTTCATTTTAGACATAAAGTAATATGGTCCAGAGAGGATACATTATGTAAAAGCATGATATAGTGGAAATTGCAGGGATTTGTATCAAATAGACCTTGGTTCAAATCCTGACGTGGTGGATTTCAGTGTTTTGATGGGAGGGGCCATTTCCATGCTGTTACAACCTGATCTGGTCTTGTGATGTGCCCTAAAGAATGGAACACAATGAAAATTATATTGTGCAACTTCCGAGCCTTGGCATCAAGAGGATTTGCAACTTCTCCTCCTGCCTTTTTTGTAGCACTGACAACTTGTGAACAAGTCCAGTGTAGTCTCTTTGAAGATAAGACCATACGGAGATACAGGCCTAATCACGTCAGCTGAGGACCCAGGCATGTGAATGAAATCATCCAGGACCGGCCATCAGCCAGCCACCAAACAGTCTGTCAACTGATTGCAAATCCATGAGTGAGAAGAACTAATATCATGTGAAGCAAAGGCAAGTCAACCCAGCTGAGCCTTGGCCATACTGCCAAACTGTCGAAACAAGAGCAGAAAACGTGTTGCTGCTTTTGGTAAGGTTGTCTGATATGCAGCAATAGGTACGTGATGCTGAAATAGGTTATGTTTGCTAGCATAACAAAATATAAAACATGTGGCCCTGGCTTTGGCATTGTGAGGCAGGCAGAGCCTTGAAAAACCAAGAGTAAGATCTTAGTAAAGGCTGGAAGAATGGTGAACAAACTGTTGTAGAGGTTTAAAATATGGTATGAAAATTGTTATTGGAGGGTTGGAAAAGTGGCCTGTATTATGTGGTGACAGAACAATTGGCAAGAATGTCAGCAGTGATAATTTGGAAAACAGAAAGTGAACATAATACATCTCTAGAAAGAACACTGAACGTGTTCAGTTGAGTGTTTCTACCCAAGTGTGATAAGGTACTAAAAGAGAGAAAAGAGCTAAATAAGGCTATATTTAAATTTGCCATGCAAAACAGACAGAATCCAAGGGACCTAGGACACACTGGGTCAGAAAATAAACTATTCTTTATATTTGTTCTCTCCTAGATGGAAAAAAGGTTCTCAAAATAAAGTACCTTAAAGATCATCTCAAGAATATTGCAGTAAGACAGTTTGTTAAGACTTTAGAAAGACCTAAGGCAGGTCCTAGTAGATTCTCTCAGGGCTTCTAACATTCCTAAAGACATTGTACCACAACAGCAAGGCATATCCAAAAATAAAAGAAATCTGTTTAAAAAGAATTATGGATGTGACTTTGGGCATCAATTTAGTCCTTAATAGATTCAAAATTATGTTAACAGAGTTTTATGATGATATCACCATGAGTTAGGATTAAAAGAAACAATTCAAAACAAAGAGAGGAATAGGGTGCTATAACTTTATTTGGGCAGGAACAGGCTGACAAAACTACTCAGCTGTCAACAGGGGCCATCATTAGCCATTTACAAAACAAACAAACAAACAACAACAAAAAAAAAAAAACTCAGAGGAGAAAACCAGTAGCCCAGAGATAATCAGTAGCCCAGAAGGCAGAGCCAACAGTAGATAGGAAAAATGTATTAGGACATCCTTACCAAGGAGCATAAATGGACCCTGATTCTCCATCCCTGGAGCAAGAGGCCCTGAAAATATGTGCCAAACTGAATTTCAAAATTGCTATGGACAAGTGATTGCTATGTGCCTTCCATTTCTCCAGTTTCTAAAGGAGATTTTATCTACTGTGGTTCTCTTGACTGTATCGTTTTGTGTTGGGTATATGGAAGATAGAAAACATGTCTTTCTATATCACAGAATCCTCAGTAAAAAGAAACTAAAACCAAATAATCTCATAGGCATTTGGACTTGATGAAGATCATAAGATAATGAACCTTGAGCCTAATGCCATGATTAGATGATATTTTGGGTGTCTTGGAAAGGAGTGGATGCAGTTTACATTTGGGAGGGATGTGAATTGCTCTAATCAGAGGGCAAGTTAGGACTGTTTGCAAAGATGGCTGCAATAATCCTTCCCTACTTCTATGCATGTCCCTTTGTAATGTGGTTTTGCACTTCTTTTTATCAATAAGTGGATGGTATTTACCTACTTCATGAACATACATTGACTTTGTAACATGCTTTGAATAAAATACGGAAGTAACACTGTGTAGACTTTGGAGTCTTTGTGTCAAGAGATCTTTCAGCTTCCACTCTTGTCCTCCTAGAACACTACTAGCCTTGTGAAGTAGCCTTATCAAACCTAAACCAGCCACCTTGATAAGACATTGTGAGGCAAGAGAGATTATGAAGAGATAGAGAGAAAAGCTCAGCCATCTCCGCAATTATAGCAATCCCACATGATTGCTATATGCCCCACATGAGGCTCCAGACACATTAGTGGAACATCTTGATCCCCAGGGATCCAAACAACCAACTGTAAATGCATGATTGAGGCCAGCTGACACCCTGTGAAGTAGGAGAACTGATCATGCGTGCTGAGCCCAAATTGCCAACCCACATGACTATAGTCAAATAGATAACTGTTGTCTTAAGTCCTGGACAATTTATTTAACTTTCTCAGACTATTATTTCATCTGAAAACAATACTATCTATCTTATAAACAGATTGTGAGGATTAAATGAAATAATTTACAAAAACATTTAGTCTATACATCCTAAGCACTGAATATAGGGTATCTAATAATGTGAATAATGATAACAACTATAACAATGACCTATAATATTACACATGTCCAAGACAGTGATTTAGAAGCAGCTTTGGATTAAGACCAGGGCCTCCCAGGCCAAAGTACCTTTCCCCACACTACACTGCTTCTCCATATTTGTTAGATTTTTTTCTAACGTATTTATTTACTTGTGGAAAACAACAACAACAACATTTTATTTTAAATAATTCATTTATATTAATATTACTCTTATTTATTCCATGATGTATCAGAGGGCAGAACTATATATAAAACATGGATGAAATTTATGAGAAGGGTGATATGGGGTCAATAAAAGGAACATATTTCTAAAACAGATCTTTCTACAGTCATACAGGTTATATTGCCTTAAAGATGTAGTATATTCCTTGTCACTAAAAGCATTCAAGAACAGGTTACATTTCTTCTCTCAGGACTACCAATACATGCAGTTAGAAGTTAGGCCAGCCGATTTTTACGTATCTTCTTAATATTGTGTGATACTTGCCCTGTTTTCTCAAAAATTCTCTGCATTTTAAAGGCTTATACAACAATCTAAGTCTTAAACCACAATCTATACATTCAGAAATTTCACTGACATTTTCATTTTTAGACACGTATAGATGCACTATAGAAAAGCAACATAGAATATGAAAATTTTTTAATTGGCCTTTTCTCCTTCGATTGAGATCAATACTCAAAACATTCAATTCTTTTATGTGTTAACTGTCTGTTCATATACTGGGAAAAAAATAAACTCGATATGCTCTTGCCAAAAAAATCTATGTATTCATTTATCCAGCGAATATTTATGAAACATTTATCAAGCCTCTCCTATACATTAAGCTTTGTGCTATGGGGTATAAGGTTGTGTTTTACAGAAACAGCTACATAAATACTTTGATGCCAAAAAAAGAGGCTTAAATATTTTCAGTCTTTACTTCTTAGCATTTTATAAGAGAGACCTATTACATGGATACTTATTTACCTAATTTGATACTTATTAAAACAAAATCTATTCATTTGAGATATTTTCATAATTAAAGTTAATCACAAGTTAATCTATGTATAGAAAGGGCTTACAAGTGAAGTGAACTGTTGCTTGGGTTTAGATTTGATTTAGGATAGAAATAAATACTTCTTAGTTTATTTATCTGTGCAGTAATAAAGCTATGCAACTTGCAGTTTCATGTTACAGATTTGCAGTATATAATATGTAGCTCTCCAAGAGAACAAAATTTATGGACAAAATTAATGAAAACAAAATGTTTTTATCTACTTCCTATCAATATAATGTGAACACAGGTCAAGGGGTTATTTTATGTGAAGTCCAAACCATTTCTAATATTCCCTCTTAAACAGATCACTTCTCTGTTTTGTCATGATAATTTAGCTTTAATCAAGCTTGACAGATCGATTTCTCTCCCACCTTTCAAAATTTAAACTTGGAGCCGATATACATTTGTATAGAAAAATGATTTCATAACTATATTTTAAATATGACTTTACTATCTTTATAAAACATAAATAGAATCTCAAGAAAAGCAACCTTGTTATTTTGAAACATTCTTGGAAAGACAGATTTGAAGAGGAAGAATATAGTTAATAAAAGCCATTTTTGATGTTATTTAACACAAAAGCAAACAGATCTTTTCATATTTGACATTAAAAATATGATCATTTGCCTTTCTAAAGAAAGCACATACAGCTTTTATATAGACTGCACAGTAAAGAATAATAATATTTCTGTTTACTGAGATATCAACTGGCATTTCACTGTAAGTCAATGGTCTATCGGTGCTACAGCATATTAGACCTCAATCTGGCATCTACAAATGTCAAGAGTATAAAATATATATATATATACAGGATGAAAATCAAAAGCATGTTCCAAACTCCCAAAAAAATAAAAAAAGGGAAACAAAGTTCACGCAAACATATTTGCTGCAGAAATCAGTGCAATATTCAGCTGTCAATCCAGAAAAACAACGAGGGAGCCACACTGTCAGTAGGACAGGATAATAAAATTTCTAGCAGATGTTCAGTCAGGGCTCTAATTTTCACCGAACTCCCTTGGTAAGCATTTAATTTCTTTATCATATGCAAGCTTGGCAAATTGTACTTCATCAAAATTGTATTGTGAAATATTAATATTTCATATGATAACAAAACCCCATAGAATAACCTTTGTCATATTAAGAGCATCCAAATTTCAAATGTCAAGATTCTGAATTTTAATTCATTTTAAATAGATTCTTCAATTGCCATAATAAATTATAATAAGGCTAATCTAAATTGGTATACTATAATGTCACCGAAATGTATAGTACATGTAATATTTTAATAGACGTCTTTAGTAAAAGGCTGTGGGGAAATAAGTATGTTCATACTACTGAGTTGTATACTACCAACATTTCATCAATAGGAAAGCATAGAAATAAGAAATAAGCACATACGATGTAATTATATATTCACAAATTTAATCACTAATTAGGAACCAGATAAGGAAACAAAAAAAGTAGACCTCTATGAGGCAAACGGACTACTCTGCAAAATCACGTATGGAAAATAATCTTTTTTGAAAATGGCATTACATAAGCCCAAGGTGGCTTCATTATTTTTGTCATTGCAATTTGCAGAAATATGTTTAAAATAGTCTGCACAATATTTTGTTGTACCCACCATCAAAGTAAGTAAAATAGGGTTTCCAAAAAACCCCGCATGGTTACATTTCATGTGCCAAATTTAATTTCCATTTGTTCATAACTCCCCTTTTGAACCAGCATCACACACTTCTAAATTGATAGATTAAATTCAAATTGGAGGTTTAGAAGGAAGTTAGCTTCCACATTTATTTCTGCTGGTGATCCTAATAAAGGCAAGTGCTCCTAGGTTACTGAAAGACACAGCATCACAAATCAATGCATGTCACCAACAGTGTAAAGACTGATGTCTCTGATTAATCAGAATTCAATTATTGCAAGCGAAGAAAACATCAAATTCAAAGCAGCAAACACCTCTTTTTTTCAGCTATAATTCTTCACCTGTGCCCAATTAGCCACCTATTTCGGTTTACATATATGTTTTTTAATAGCATAACTAATATAGTCAGTATATGCTATCTGAGACTCAGTTTTCTCCAATAGATTAAACATTTGATTACAGCTTCTCAGTAATTCTTAACGAATCAATTGAAACAAAGACAAATATACTATCAATATTCTACAAGGTTATAAACAATTGATTCATGGTATTCTAAAGCTGAATCTAGTATATTCTGTTACGCTTCACACTTTGTTTAATAAAATATTCAGTTGATCTATTTGAAAAAATAACTTCTCTTTAAATATAAAAAATCTTTACGAAGGATTTTTTTCCTGCACTGTTTTTTTTTCTGACTTTTGAGAATTCTCTAGATTTTCCTGACCACACTTACACATTGCATCTTGTAAAGCTGTCAGAGTAAGACAGCCTTAATGTTTTAGCCATAATAATGCCAGCTATTGATCCTAGTAAGAGGAAAAAGAGAGAATGTGCTTAATGGGGCATGTTTGTTCTCTATTATTTTCTTTGCCTAAGGATAAAGCTGATTCAAATAATGATACTCTTTTCTTAGTCACTAAATTCACACATTCATATACATTAATTATTACTAACTACCAGTTAGTATTAAATACATTGAGAGGTTTAGCATTTGTAATTTATCAATAAATGGTCTAAAAATGTTAAAGTCTGTTGTTCTTTTCTAATTCAAAACCATATAAGGATGCAATCCTCTTGTATAAAGCATCTTACTTTGAAAACATGCATTTATATGCTTTGTGTACTTTAAAGACTCAATCTCAACTTTAATACGTAGTTTATTTCCTACTAAGTATAAGATGTCCACTTCTGGTTAAGTACAAAGTCATAATGTTAAATGAAACTCAGGGTATTTGTTTTTGAGAAAGGTTTCTGTATTCCAAATTTATAAAGAATCTATCTTATCACCAATACCAATAAGTTACACTGAGATTCTTTTCAACATAAATTGAATTCCAGAATTTTGTGCAAACCAAATCAATTGTGTCCCTATCTTTGAGCTGAGGCATCCAAAAATAATGAAACAATTAATAATACAAAAATAAGAGTTTGAGATTATTAAATGAAAAAGTCACTTTCATAATATTTATATCTTTGTTGCTTCCTAGACAATACTAAATGAGCAATATATGCCTGCCCCTTCTTCCATGGGACAGAAAGGAAGGAAAGAAACTAAAGATTAATGTGTAATGATAGGTCTTGTCAAATAGTTTAATAAGTAGTATTTCTTAGTAAAAAAAATCCATTATAATGTTTATACCTTAATTAAAATATATGATAGACATTTCTATATGACTTCAATAATATTTTCTTACCTTATCAAGAGAGAAAGTTTTGGTGAGGGCAAAACCCCATCCAGCTTCAAAAGCTCTTCGAATCATTGATGTGCTGGTGGCTGGAGTTGCGCTAGCAAGACCAAAAGGATTTATAAACTTCAATCCGGCCATTTCTACACTAATGTCCACCAGATCAATAGGAGTGTAAAAGAGGGGTAGTTCAGGCTTGGCAGAAACGGAAGCTCCATATTGTGACTGCAAAATACAAACCAATACTTGGTTTCATATTACATCTAAATTGTCCATATAATATTTTACCAAAAAAATCACTTCAACACAGCATCCGAATTAATATAGATTACAACAGTCTGTTTACAATGAAAAAAACTGGCAAAAAGTCAGTGAGCAGTGAACTGAATTCATATAATATGGCCTTTTAATTTCAAAGGCAGTATGAAGAGTACTAGCAGAAATAAAATCAATTAAATCAACAAACAACTGTATTTAAAACATACTGAGATTCAAATACAAAAGGGAATAATTTTAGAATTTTTCTCCCTGGTCCAATCCAGTCTCTTTGTACTTAAGTTATGAAAATACCTTTAGTGCTCAGAGATATGGGCAACGGCAAGTCAGGAGGCCTAAATTCAATTTCCAGTAATTTCACTACTGTTTAGGCGATTTTAGGAAAGGGAACTAATAAGTCCCTGTCTTTTCTTCTCTATAGTTTTCAGTATAGCAGCAGGAATGCTGCTTGCCTAATTTCTACCTCACAGGAAGACTGGAAAATTCAGGAAATCATAAGCTGCAGGGAGACATTTAATTTGGAAAGTGGGTAGTGTTCTCATGCATTACGGGGGTTTGTTCTTTTTTCTGAAACCAAATAGGTCCCAAATAGTTTACGTCAAAATCTTCGACTGGCACTCAAAACTGTAAATTTACCTTTGTTAAATGATCATGGTAATAATGCTTCTTTGCAGGATTATTGGAATGATTTAATAAAAACACTTACTCTTAGCACATGGCACACTGAAACATCATACATAGGTGCTTGCTAAATGTTGTCTCTTTTTCTGACTGGGGAGGTTATTAAAGATTGCATCAGGCCTTTTGTTTGTAAAGTGTCTCTCTCACTCCATTCCTCCCTCCCCTTCTCTCTCTCTATCTCCAAAAGACAAATAACATTGGAAAATATAAAAAGGATGAATTTTCTCAGCCAAAGCAGTTACTGAATGGACAGGGCTAGTTAATTCAAAAGTAGAAATCCATTCTCTTGTGAATCATCACTCAAAAGAAAAGTTATTTGAGCAGAACTTTAATTTTATAGGAGTGTGTCTTGTGTAGATAAAGATTTCCATGACTTGCATAGAAATTATTTCTGGCCCTCCACCACTTACAATGCAAAGCAAAGTTCACTTAATATGTAAAAAGGCATCAAACTTGTCAATTGAAACACTAATGTGTCTCTGGTACATGCAAAGAGATGCCTGATGGGATCCAGGCTTCAGCTATGGCAGGCACCTTCTCCCAGGGATGTTCTGGGCTTCAAGGCACATTTCTGAATATTGGTTAGTCTGGGTGTGAACATAATTTTTCTGTCCTCACACAGGATTGCTATACTATTAAAAGGATTATTAGCAAATACAAAAGCTACAATGTAAAATATAGGAAATTGGAGGTTAATTTGAGGTGTGTGTATGTATATCTGTCCACGCATGGATGTTAACAATGACAAAAACTGGCAAAAAGTCAGTTAGCAGTAAACCGAATATATACGATATCATCCTTTTTAAATTTCAAAGGAAGTATGGAAAGTATTATCAATTAAATAAACAAACAAACAACTTTATTTAAAACATACTGAAATTCAAACACAAAAGGGAATAATTTCAGAATTTTTCTCCTGGTCCCACTAACCAGCCTCTTTGTACTTAATTTATGAAACCTTGCTTGATGGTATTTTCTTAGCTTTGTGTAATCATAATGTAAATTCAATCAAGCAAGTTTTAGGGTTAGACTAAAGAAGAATTTCCTGACACTACAGGTTGATTAATATCAGTAAAAGTATAGAAGCAACTTCTCTGTCTTAGAAACAATGTTGAGCCAACTTGCCTTTGATGGCAATAGCATAACTACATATGGTCCCATGTGTCTGTACTTTACAAGGTGAAATAAGTGAACTTACAAGTATTCTTCTCTTTTTATGGCTGTGTGTTGAAATATCTATTTTTTTCAATCTTACAGATGAATTTTGGTTTGTTCATAATTGTAGCTATATATGGCATTAGGCAACAGCCCAAGGAGGCAGATATATGTGTAGTTCAACTTGCATTGCTTAATTTATGTAGTTTTAAATAAATAAGTAATTGCTTTGAAATTCTTACGAACATTGCTGCCTTAATACTTAGAAAGAAAATGATTTGGACACATTTTGCAAGATTTTCCTTAAGCTTCAAAACAAAACAAAAACCAAACACAACAAAGCAAACAATAATAAAATACACACACACACACACAGACACAATTCTTTCAAATGAGAAATACAGCTTCTTATATATTTTTTCTTTTATTCACAAAAGTGCTACTATGTATATGTGTTTATAATATAATCTAAAATCTTCACTTGTCATAGGCAGTCTTTTTTCATACTGTGCAACACAGGGCTATTTTTAGCTTTGTCTTTGTCGTGCTATAGCAACTCAGTCTGTTCAGCTTCATCATATATCCAAGCCCTAATGTACACCTCCTTTTCTGAATTTTAAAAGCCTGTTCCCCCTCTGTACCCTTGCTCAGAGAACTCAAGCATATCTACTTTCAGCTCCCATCACAAGGTTAATTCCTCCCAAACCTCAATTGCAATCTCCAAACTCAGATTTCCAAGAGACATCAAGGCCTTTGGATGTAGATGCTTTGCTCTTACACTTTAACCTCAACTCTTTTATCTCATCATATTCCCTCCTAACAAATATGTTATTTAGATTTTCAATTTCAGAAAATACTATTTTTCCATTCATCCAGTAGTGTTAGTAAATAACAGATATAAGGAAACAACCTAGGTGTTGAACAATGGGGATAGGTTCCATAATGGCTATATTGTAAAAAGGAATGCTATGCTAGTATCAGAAATGATACAGAAGAAAATAATTTATTGACATGAAAGAGGGTTTATTATGTACAAAGTAAAACTGTGAGTTAATATTATAATATTATATGTAAATTCCAAGTTTTTGGTGGAAAAACACATATATCTATTTTGCTGTACGTTTCTGTTTATCCATCAATCACAAAAGATAAACATCAACATGCTAGGAGAATTACATCTCAGAATCAGGGTTTTAGATGACCTTTAATTTTTAAATTTTTGCTTATTATAATTTTCATATTTTCAATAATAAATACAAGTTAATTGAGATAGATTTGAAGGTAAACTAAAACAATTTTTAAAAGCCATGTGTGTTAGTTCATTTTTACACTGCTGTTAAAGACATGCTCAAAACTGGGCAATTTACAAAGGAAAGAGGTTTAACTGGACTTACAGTTCCACCTGGCTGGGGAAGCCTCACAATCATGGTGGGAGGCAAGGAGGAGCAAGTCACATCTTACATGGATGACAGCAGGCAAAGAGGGAGAGCTTATGCAGTGGAACTCCTCTTTTTAAAACCATTAGATCTTGTGAGACTTATTCACTATCAGGAGAACAGCACAGGAAAGACCTGGCCCCATGATTCAATTTCCTCCCAACGGGTCCCTCCCACAACACATGGGAATACAAGATGAGATTTGAGTGGGGACACAGTCAAACCATATCATCCTGATACTCTAAAACCCATTAAGTGAAGCTCAAAGTAAAGAGCCTGCCCTTTAGTTTCCTCCATAGAGTGTCCTGAATCAACTTTTTCAGTTCTATGTATTATTATGTAGAGCTAGAACAATCAAAGAGACTATCTACTTTAAAAGCTTTATTTTACAAAGAGAAAACAAAAGCCAAAGGAGGCTAAATGAATATCTGTAAGTTGCTCAGTTACTGGTAAAGCCACAATAAAATATATAGTTTGCTGTCTTGTTGGCTTATGTTCTTAAGCCACCCCTCAGAAATAAAATGTTTCAATCATTGCTTCTCCAAAATACTTTGTGCCTCCCTACCTCTGCACTTTTCACATTCCATCTTTCTTCTCCATCTGCTGAAAATTACCCATTCTAAAGTCCTTCCCTTGTCATTACAGAGAAATTATTTTATCTGAGACACTTATAGATCATAAAAAATATAATTATTTTAATTAATTACATTGAAAATATTTGGTTATATGTTTAAGTATTAAAATGCATTAACTTCCCCATATTTTTCAGGAAACCAACTTAAAATTTCTTTGCATGGCATAGTCTGATTTTTTTATAACATAGTGCCAATATACCTGTTAGACTCAGTTATTAATGTTCATATAGAACTATTTTCATTCATTTACTTATTCAGCAGGTATTTGTTAAGAACTTGGGGTTAAAAAGATGAACAAAACAGACAAGGTCTCTGACATTTATATGCAAAAAAATACAAATAAATCTACCACCTACCACCAAATAAACACAAAATTTAAACTACCAATAGTTCATCACACTGTTACATGTATTTTACCTGCCTAAAATACAAATAAATCTAAGACTTTACTCATGCGTTAAACTCTTCATAATCCTTCCAAACTCAACTGATTCATTCAAGCATATACTTCTTGGGACATTTCCTTACTACCACCTATACACTTTTCTGAAGTAGTTACCTCTTTTTTATTTACTATTCCACAATTTTACTTTAGTATTATTCTTTGAGTTCTGGGATACATGTGCACAATGTGCAGGTTTGTTACATAGGATGCTATGGTGGTTTGCTACACCTATCAACCAGTCATCTACATTAGGTATTTCTCCTAATGCTATCCCTCCCCTAACCCCCCACTCCCCAACAGGCCCCAATGTGTGATGTTCCCCTCCCTGTGTCCATGTGTTCTCATTGTTCAACTACCACATATAAGTGATAATATGTGGTGTTTGGTTCTCTGTTCCTGTGTTAGTTTGCTGAGAATGGTGGTTTCCAGCTTCATCCATGTCCCTGCAAAGCACATGAACTAATCCCTTTTGGAGGCTGCGTAGTATTCCATGGTATATATGAGCCACATTTTCTTTATCTAGTCTATCTCTGATGGGCATTTGGGTTGGTTTCAAGTCTTTGCAATTGTGAATAGTGCTTCAATAAACATGTGTGTGCATATCTCTTTATAGTAGAATGATTTATAATCCTTTGGGTATATACTTAGTAATGGGATTGCTGGGTCAAATGGTATTTCTGGTTCTAGATCCTTGAGGAATCACCACACTGTCTTCCACAATGGTTGAACTAATTTACACTCCCACCAACAGTGTAAAAGTGTTCTTATTTCTCCATATCCTCTCCAGCATGTGTTGTTTCCTGACTTTTAAGTTATCGCCATGCTAACTGGCGTGAGATGGTATCTCATTGTGGTTTTGATTTGCATTTCTCTAATGACCAGTGATGATGACCTTTTTTTCACATGTTTGTTGGCTGCACAAATGTCTTCAAACAGAGAGCCAAGTCATGAGTGAACTCCTATTCACAATTGCTACAAAGAGAATAAAATACCAAGAAATACAACTTACAAGGAATGTGAAGGACTTCTTCAAGGAGAACTACAAACCACTGCTCAAGGAAATAAGAGAGGACACAAACAAATGGAAAAACATTTCCACGGATAGGAAGAATCAATATCATGAAAATGGCCATACTGCCTAAAGTAATTTACAGATTCAATGCTATCCCAATCAAGCTACCAGTGACTTTCTTCAGAGAATTAGAAAAAAGTACTTTAAATTTCATATGGAACCAAAAAAGAGCCTGTATAACCAACACAATCCTAAGCAAAAAGAACAAAGCTGGAGGCATCACTCTATCTAACTTCAAACTATACTACAAGGCTACAGTAACCAAAACAGCATGGTACTGGTACCAAAACAGAGACATAGACCAATGGAACAGAACAGAACCCTCAGAAATAATATCACACATCTACAAATATCTGATCTTTGACAAACCTGACAAAAACAAGAAATGGGGAAAGGATTCCCTATTTAATAAATGGTGTTGGTAAAACTGGCTAGCCATATGCCGAAAACTGAAACTGGACCCCTTCCTTACACCTTATACAAAAAATAACTCAAGATGGATTAAAGACTTAAATGTAAGACCTAAAACCATAAAAACCCTAGAAGAAAACCTAGTCAAATACCTCAGGACATAGGCATGGGCAGACTTCATGACTAAAACACCAAGAGCAATGGCAACAAAAGCCAAAATTGACAAATGGGATCTAACTAAACTAAAGAGCTTCTGCACATCAAAAGAAACTATCATCAGAGTGAACAGGCAACCTACAGAACAGGAGAAGATTTCTGTAGTCTATCCATCTGACAAAGGGCTAATATCCAGAATCTACAAAGAACTTAAACAAACTTACAAGAAAACAAACAAACAACCCCATCAAAAAGTAGATGAAGGGTATGAACAGACACTTCTCAAAAGAAGATATTTATGTGGCTATTCCACAGTTTAAAATATGCTGCTACTCAGCTGTCATCATAGTCGGCTGTACATGTTAATTTTCTCTTCAAAAACAAGCTCCTTGAGGACAGTGACCAAACATATCTTAACCAAATTATTATCTCCATTGCAATTAAAAATATGCATGTATGTCGGGCGTGGTGGCTCACACCTGTAATCCCAGCACTTTGGGAGGCTGAGGTGCGTGGATCATGAGGTCAGTAGATCGAGACCATCCTGGCTATGGTGAAACCCCGTCTCTACTAAAAATACAAAAAATTAGCTGGGCATAGTGGCGGGCACCTGTAGTCCCAGCTACTTGGGAGGCTGAGGCAGGAGAATGGCGTGAACCCGGAAGGTGGATCTTGCATTGTGCCAAGATCACGCCACTGCTCTCCAGCCTGGGCAACAAGTGAGACTCTGTCTCAAAAAAAAAAAAAAATCCATCTATATAAAATACTTATTCTTGAAGGCAATTCTTTCCTCTGTAGAGATATAAATAAAATCACCTTTTCACATGGCATTCCTCAAGTATATTTTGCAGAACTAACATATACTTCCTACATCTCCTTTTTTTCTCTAGGCTAAACATTTTTATCTTTAATAATTATTTTTAATACAAAATGCTTTTAGTATTCTAGTTATCCTTTGTCAGATATCTCATTTACCTATATGCTATGAAATTGAGGAATCCGCTAACATAGTTGAAAAGGTTAAAAATGAGAACTCGAATTTTTGCCATTTCCCTCCCTCCCTTCCCATTGTAAAGCAAGAATCATTTTATAACCTGGACATCACCATGACCTCTTTGATTGTTCAAAATACACTCAATGAAAACTAAAGAAAACTACAAAAGGAAAAGAAGCTGAAGTCCTAAAGAACTGAGATGAGAATGGTAAAAATGGAGATTAAGGAAAAGCTAAATGTCCAAGTTTTAGAGTGTAAAGATAAAGAGCAACCTTTCCTTTTTAGAAGTCCTTCCTAGACATAAGAAAAATTGAAAATAACAAGGATGTTTAAAGACTATTTTTTTAAAGTTTGCTTTCTTCACCCTTAGAATTTTTGGGGGGAGACTGAGTAAAGGTTTTATTCACTTACAATAAAATTTCTAAAAATTAACTCCATGACAAGTATAGACCATCAGGAGCCCCAAATATATATGCATTACACTTAATTTTTTTCATTTCATTGTCATCTGCAAGTTCCTTCAAGCTTCTTTACTACATACAGAATAAAGCAGAACCTCAGCATTATATAATCCCAATTGTGATCTGGGCCCTTCTCCCTCCCCGCCCTTTCTAATCTCATCTCCTATCCCTCCTTCAAAATATTTTTTGCTTCCACTTATTGAACTAGTTATAATTTCTCAAATAAAACAATATCATTAATGCATCTTTGCATTTTGCCTTTCGTTTTTTGTTTTTGCTTAGAATGTTCTTTCCTGCCGGTGTTAATGCTTTGAAAATTCCAACTAAGCCTTCAAAAGTCAGTCCTGTTGTCCTCTCCACTAAAAATCCTCCTTATGTGTAAAAAAGGGAGACAGAGGGGGAAATGATAAACTATCATTTAATGCGTATAGTGTTTTAGTTTTGCAAGGTAAAAAAGTTCTGGAGAAACATGATGTATGTGCTTAATGCCACTGGAACTGTACACTTAAAGATGTCTAAGATGGTAAATTTTATATTATGTATGTTTTATCACAATTTAACCATGAATAATTATTTTAAACTAAAAAAAAAAAGTCTAGTAAGCCTCTTGACAGAAGATACCGCAAAGGTGTCATGAAGGCCAAGGGTTGAAGTTTTAAAACCTAAACTGTGTAACAGGCTCTGTAACGGGGAGAAACCCAAGAAACTTATGGTCAAGTTGAAACTCACAAACTGCAGGAATATAGTCATTGGGGTCCCTTAGATGCAGAAAAGAAAATTAACTACAGCGAGTTATGTTTGTATTTCACATAAGAAAGAATTTTGAAATAGAGTTGTCCATTAGGGGTAGGGTCTGTCCTGGGAGATGTGAGCTCATTTCCATTGGATATGACTCAGATTATCTATTAGTCATGCCATGGGTGTGAAGTTGGAGCTAGATAAACTTTAGGATATTTTCCAAGCCCTAATTCCATGACTTTGTGATTATTATCGCCATAAACTCTGAAGTCTTGGCTGGGCACATTTTCCACAAGGGGCTTGTGGTAAAGTGTAGAACAACGAACTCAGAAAAGGCCTATTCAAAAATCAGAACTAGTCATGGTCTAAGATATATTCCCACAAAGTTCTGAGGCCAAGATAACTTACCGATATATAACCCAAGAATATTTCTGGATGTTTCAGTTACTGAGCATCCAGGAAGCCTCACCTCTGGACATTGTGTGCTAATCATCTCTTCTTTCTTTCTTTTTTTGAAAACAGTCTGTATCCATCATCAAACACCCCTAGGATGTTATCCTTCTTGATGGACACATTACAGTTTATTCAGGATATAATTTACACCCCCAAATTTCTATCCCTAACTCAGACCTCTCCTCTGATTAGATTGTTGCAATCAGTTGGATATTTCTGATTTGTATTTTAAACTTATTACACTTGAATATTTATTAGGCATTTTAAACTGAAAACCCCTGACGCAAATTTTCTGCCATCAAACCTGCTTCTTCTACAGCCTTGCCCATTTCAATGAATGGCAACTGTATCCTTCCAATACCTTTGGCCAAAAACCTTACAATCATTTGTGCCTTTTCTTTTACACCTTACAGCCAGTCTGTCAGAAAAATCTATTGTCCCTTTTTCCAAATATATTACGTTTCTCATCTCCACTACTACCTCCTGGTCTAAGCATGGTTATCTCTCACTGAATTTACCACAATAACCTCTTAACTCATCCCTTTGCTTCATGTCTCAGTCTTTCGCAGCACAGGAATCACAGTAGGCTGATGATTCCTACTCAACATTTATGGTGAGTGATTGTGGTGATGGTTGCATGACTCCATACATCAGTCAAAACTCATCAAATGGTATAATGGAAATTGGCAAATGTTATTATATACAAATTATATTGCAGTATAGCTGATGAAAACAGAAAAGAAAGAAAGAAAAAAAAACCTCCTCAGCTTCCCACAAGCAAAGCTGCTTCCTAATCGTACTCTGTACTTATTTGCTTACATATATGCTATCTCCCGCTTGATTTAATTTCAGCACCTAGCATAAGACTTGGCAGAGAGATACTCAACATATTTACTGAATGTATTAGACTAGTGACCTTGGGTACTTAGTGTCTTTTTCAAATTAGTTTCCAGTAAGGTGATAATCAGTTTAGATGAAATAATCATTAGCTTTATTCCAAATCTATAAAAGCCCATTATTCTATGATTCTAACATAGAGTGGCATTGAAGCTCTGGAAGATTGCTGATTTTAGGCCAGTCTCTCCAAGAGCCATCTAGTGGGAAGAGTAAGTAATTGCCCTGGGTAATTAGAGAGAGAGAGAGAGAGAGAGAGAGAGAGAGTGTGTGTGTGTTTTAGGCCAGTCTCTCCAAGAGCATCTAGTGGGAAGAGTAAGTAATTGCCCTGGGTAATTAAGAGTGTGCGTGTGTGTGTGTGTGCGCGCGCGCGTGTGTGTGTGTGTGTGTTTTAGGCCAGTCTCTCCAAGAGCTATCTAGTGGGAAGAGTAAGTAATTGCCCTGGGTAATTAAGAGTGTGTGTGTGTGTGTGTGTGTGTGTGTGTGTGTGTGTTTCTATAATTCAGTCACATTAAATGACACAAAGATTCACCAACATCACACTTTTGCCAAGGTCTTGCCTAAAATAGAGCATTTTTCTCCCTACTGGAATTCTGACTTCCAATTTAGAATGAACTCCTTTGGTGGGAAGTAATGAATTGGCCTCAGATACTTATCATGAGTTACAGGAAGATCTCATGAAACTCATGCAGAAATGCAGCCAGGCCTCCAGGAAGAGCTGGGAATTCTCGAGGAAAGTAAGAAGATTTTTCGTGCTTTGTCCTCTTTCTTTCTATGTACAGCTACTTTATTCTTCTCCCTCTTCCAATTGGCTTTCTCTACTTCTTTATCCAGAATGATTAATATTGTGTAGGTCTAGACCAGTAATTTTTTACTCTACTTACCAGAAACACGTAGAGAGTTTTAAAAATTATGATGTCCAGGCCAGGTACCTTCCTACTAATTATATCAGAATCCCTTGGAGGGGGACTCAAATAATAGTATTTTTAAAAATATTTTAAAAATCCCTCCAAGAAATTACACAGAGCATTCAAGGATGAGGTCACTTCTCCAGTAACATGAGTTCTTTTCCTAGTTCCTAATTATCAAGTAAGAGATTCAGGCTTGGCCAATATTGTGTTAGGTGTCTATTTTATTCAACTACGTGGCTACTGGGGGTCTGTTCAAGAGAACAGACCGTTTAAGTTCGGAAGATAGTCTAAAAGGTGCTCATGTGGACCTCTCATCTGCTAATAAAGTGTCAGCTCTGACAAGCATCAACACATTGTCCAAATGTTAAGGTCTACTGTAAAAATAGGACAGTTAAAATGTTTTTCTATTTTATTCTTAAAATCAACAAGACAGTTGTCCATTTGCAAGTAATATTTATACCAGATCCAGTGATAAGTATTTTTTAATCACGATTTTTAAGGTATGCATTATTCTCCTATTGAAGATGAGGAAAGTGAGGCCCAAAGAAAGTAAACTGCTTGTCCAAAGATTAATAAGTGGTAGAGCAAGACCTGAATTGAAAGTTTACACAAACTACATTATATCAAACTGCCCCCAACCTTTTTTTTTTTTCTTTTTTTTTGAGACGGTGTGTTGCTCTGTCGCCCAGGCTGGAGTGCAGTGGCGTGATCTCGGCTCACTGCAAGATCTACCTCCCGGGTTCACGCCATTTTCCTGTCTCAGCCTCTCGAGTAGCTGGGACCACAGGCGCCTGCCACCACGCCCAGCTAATTTTTGTATTTTTTGTAGAGACAGGGTTTCACCATGTTGGCCAGGATGGTCTTGATTTCCTGACCTCGTGATCTGCCTGCCTTGGCCTCCCAAAGTGCTGGGATTACAGGCGTGAGCCACCATGCCCAGCTGCTGCCCCCATCTTACATAAACATGAATTTTCTAAATTATTAATGTCCTCAAAACAAGAAACTAACCTAAAAAGTTATTCATGATGGTTTGATTGAACACACAGAGTACATATACACACACATTGAAAAATCTTATCAAAAATAAAAACCATACCCTATTCAAATATCATTAAGACAATCATAATGCCATTAAAGAATAGAAATAAAAATACAGTCAAACTATAATAACCCATTATTTTATTATTAAATTATTACTCTTTACCACTGGTTTCCTCTGTTATACCTCGTGGGGTCATGGAATTATAGCAGAGACATTTGGATGTGTAATGATTATGTTGTTGGGAAAAAGTAACTCACATGGTAAGTATACATCCCAGTGGCATTTTCTCCTGATTTGCTTTGCTAGAATGAAATTTGGAAAAAAAAAAAAAAAAAAAGGAAGAGAAAAGCACTACTAAAAGCAATACTAGTGGTAGTGTTTGTTATATTTGATTGAAGAAGAAATCACCATCACTATGTTCCATGCAATTCAAAATAATCAAACAGCTTTCACTTAGTCATTTTGTTTATATTTCATTGTGATATGCTACAACGGGCCCTATCTTGGAGTACAGCTGCTATAGAAACATCCATTCTGAAATTATTTTAAGGAAAAGAATAAATAACATTGCATAGCTGCTTGTGGCTAGATTAATTCACAGACTGGATTAATGCATTAATAATTAACTCAAGATCAGTTCCTTCGCTCTTTGAAGAAATATCTATTGAGGGAAAAATCTTACAGGGTAAAAATTAATTTGGATTAGCTGTTTCCATGATGGAAAGGCCTAGCTCCAGTGATTACAATTATAATATAAAAACAGATTTCATTCTCCATTTTGAGAAATTATTATTCATAATAAAATTTCCTTCTGATATAAAATCTTTTCTGATTTGAGGCTTCAGAAGTTTCTACAAAATAATGATTCCATTTTACGCATTTCTTTAAAAGACTGTGTTCACATTCTTCTATACTTGTAATCTGAGCATAAAATAAGACTAGAAAATTAAATAATATTAATTGGCTCCATGGCATAATGGTCAGCATATCTGGACTCTGAAAATTAAATGATATTAATTCAAATCCATGTCCCATCTTTCTCCATCTAAACTCTACCTCTACCCCCAATTATCAGCTCTTTAGCAACTTAATGTAGTAACATGCAAAAACTCCTCCTCCTTCAACAAAAAATAACTATTCCTCCCCAGTTTTCCCCCATTTACTTTATGACACTACCATCCATCAAGCTTGTTAAAACCTGTTAATTGTATTATTTTTGATATTTCTTCTCTCTCAAATCCCATTTCTATTCTACAGCAAATCTAATTATTTTTGACTCCATTCTCTTTGCCACTATTATCTCTTACTGAGACTTTTTCTTACTGACTTCTGCATTCTCCTTGCCTCCTACTCAAATCTGTTCTTTACTCTGTACCAGAGTAGGGTTTTTAAAACAGAAATTTGATTGTGTTATGCACCTGCTTAAACTTTTCATTAGTTTTTCATTGGATTTTGTTAATATTCAACTTTTCATGATAGCCTACAAGCTCTTTCATGATATGGTCCTGTCTGCCTATCCAAACTTACCTTATGCCAATCTCTATAAATATACACATCATAGTCACATGTGCCTTCTACCAAACTCTGCCTTTAACTGGACATTTACACTTGCTATTTTCTCTTTCTGATGTATTCTTTTTCCATACTTCTATTTCCTTGTAAACTCTTCTCCCACTGCCACGTACCAGCTCTTTAGCAACCTGAGGTAGTATCACCAATGAGCCAAGTGAACTTGTAAAATATGCTTCCTAAACCCCATTTGTCCCATGATCTAAAATATTTCCTTAGCATATAAAATTTATCTATATCTATCAAGTGCATTCTATACGGCAGGCATTCTGTCCAGGTGCTAGGAACACAACAGTTAACAGAGTATCTTTTCTTTCTTTTTTAAAAAAAGTAGTCTATTTTATTTATTAATGGTTAAAAAACGGCTTCACTAAACATTGTTTTGTTATTTAAATATTAATATGCTGAGAGCAGTATTATTACACACCTTTTTTTCCACAGCCTTATTGAGGTACAATCAGTCTACAATAAACATAATTAATGTATAAAAGTCAGTGCTTTGGATATATGCATACACTCATGTTACTATCACTACAATCCACGTCACAAACATATCCATCACGTTCAAAAGTTTACTTGTGTCCCTTTATTGTTGCTTACTTTATCCCTTCCTTTTTTTCTTTTCTCTTTCTCTTTTCTTTTCTTTCTTTCCTTTCTTTTTTCTTTCTTCCTTTCTTTTCTTTCCTTTCTTTCCTTCTTTCCCTTCCTTTCTTTCTTTCTCTTTCTTCTTTCTTTCTCTTTTTCTTTTTTCCCTTTTTCTTTCTTTCCTTTCCTTTTCTTTTTCTCTCTCTTCTCTCTCCCTTCCCTCCTGTCTTCCCTTTCCTTCTTTCCTCTTTCCTTCTTTCTCCTTCCTCCCTTCCTTCTTTTCTTTTCTTTCTCTTTCTTTCCTTCTTTACTTTTCTTTTCTTTCCTTCTTTCTTTCCAATATACCCAGCATCCCTCTCACCCATCTCCTGGAAACCATCATTCTATTGTCTATTTCTATACATTTGACTACCTTAGATGCCTCATATAGAGGGAATCATGCAGTATGTGTCCTTCTGTGATGGCCACTTCATTTGGCATGTCTTCCCGGTCTATCCATTCTTTCACAAACAGTACAATTTCTTTCTTTTTTAAGTCTGACTAATATTCTCTTGGATGTATACATCAGAATTTCTTTTTTTTTCTTTTTTTTTTTTTTTTTTTTTGAGACGGAGTCTCGCTCTGTCACCCAGGCTGGAGTGCAGCGGCACAATCTCAGCTCACTGCAAACTCTGCCTCCCAGGTTCACGCCATTCTCCTGCCTCAACCTCCCGAGCAGCTGGGACTACAGGCGCCCACCACCACGCCAGGCTAATTTTTTGTATTTTTAGTAGAGACGGGTTTTCACCATGTTAGCCAGGATGGTCTCGATCTCCTGACCTCGTGATCCGCCCGCCTCGGCCTCCCAAAGGGCTGGGATTACAGGCGTGAGCCACCGCGCCTGGCCATTATCCATTTATCTATCAGTAGACATTTAGGTTATATCTTGGCTATTGTGAATAATGTTGCAGTGAACATGTGGGTGCAGATATCTCTTTGAGATAATGATTTCAGTTATTTTAGATATATACCCAGAAGTGGGACTGTTGGATCATATGATAGTTCTATTTTAAATTTTTTGAGAAACATCTATACTGTTTTCTATAGCAGTTTCACCATTTTACATTGCACCAACAGTTGTATAAGGGTTTCAATTTCTCCACAAACTTGTCAAACTTTTGTTTTTCTGATAATAGTCATTGTATCAAGTGTGAGGTAATATCTCAATGTGGTTTTGATTTTCATTTTCCTGATGATCAGTGATAAGCATTTTTTCATGTACCTGTTGGCCATTTGTATGGCTTGTTTGAAAAAATATCTATTCAAGTCCCTTGCTAATTTTTAAAATTGGACTATTTAAATATTTTGCTATTGAATTTTAAAAGTTTCTTATATTTTTTGGAAATTAACTGCTGGTTAATTAATGGTAAATATTTCTTCCCATTCTAAAGGCTGCTTTATTACTCTGTTGATTGTTTCCTTAGCTATGCAGAAGTTCTTTTAGTTTGTTGTAATCTCACTTAATCTCCTTTTGCTTTTGTTGACTGCACTTTTGGTGTCATATCCATGAAATTATTGCCAAAACCAATGTCATGAAGCTTTTCCCATATGCTTCCTTCTAAGGAGTTTTAGAGTTGCAGGTCTTACATTTTAGTCTTTAATTAATTGTGAGTTAATTTTTGTCTGTGGTGAAAGAAAACATTCCAATTTAATTATTTTGCATGTACATAGCCACTTTTCCCAATGTAACATTTATTGAAGAGACAATCCTTTCCCCGCTATGCATTCTTGACTTTCGTATTGAAAGTCATTGTATATGTTGTATAGTTGACTGTACATGACATGGCTGTAGGATATAAGCTCTCTATTGTTCCAATGCTCTACATGTTTGTTTTTATGCCAGTAGCATACTACTCTGATTATTGCTTTGTAATTATTTTGAAATCAGGAAGTATAATGTTTCTAGCTTTATTCTTATTTAAAATTGTTTTTGTTATTTGGGTATTTTGTGGATTCATACATATTTTAGGATTACATTTTCTATTTCTGTAAAAATGTATTTGGAATTTTGATAAGGATTTCATTGAATCTGTACATTGCTTTAGGTGAAATGGATATTTTAACATTAGTTTTTCCAATCCAAGAATATAAGATGTCTTTCCATTTAGTTTTGTCTGCTTTACTTTCTGGCAGTATTTTAGAGTTTTTATTTTAAAAGTATTTCATGTCCTTGATTCAGTGTATTCCTAAGTACTTTATTCTTTCTGGTCTTATTGTAAATGGATTTTTTTCTTAATTTTTTGGATAGTTTATTGTTGGCATACAGAAACACAACTGCTTTTTGTATGTTGATTTGAATCCTGCAACTTTACTGAATTTGTTTATTAGATCTCCAGTTTTTGTGTGTGTGTGTGCAGTTTTCAGGGTTTTGTATGTATAAGATCATGTCCTCTGCAAATAGTTAATTTTTCTTCTTGTTATCTGATATGGATGCCTTTTATTTCTTTGGTTTGGCATATGGTTTTTGCCCATCATTCTGTTAATGCGGTGTTATCACATTTATTGATTTGTGTATGTTGAACCATCTTTGCATCCTAGGAATAAGTCTTGCTTTATAGAGATTTATAGGTCATAGAATATGATCTTTTTAATGTACTGTTGAATTTGGTTTGCTAATATTTCATTGAAAGTTTTTGCATCCATATTCATCAGGGATATTGGCCTGTCATTTTCTTTGTTTGTGGTGTCTTTGTCTGGATTTGGTAACAGTGTGATGCTGGCCTCATAAAATGAGTATGGAAGTATTTACTCTTCTACTTTTTACAAGCCTTTAGGAAGAAAGGATATTAATTCTTCTTTAAATGTACAGTAAAATTAACCTGTGAAGCCACCTGGTCGTAGGCTTTCCTGTTTGGGTTGGTTTTTTATTACTGACTCAATCTCCTTATTTGTTATTGGTCTTTTCAGGTTTTCTATTTCTTCTTAATTCTGTCTTTATAGGTTGTATGTTTTTAGGAATTTATCCACTTCTTCTAGGTTGTCAAATTTGTTCATAATAGTCCCTTATGGTCTTGCTTTTTATTTCTCTGGCATTAGTTGTAATGTCTCCTGTTTCATTTCCGATTTTATTTTTGAATACTCTTTTTTTTTCTTGGTTCAGATAACAAATTGTCAATTTTATCTTTTGAAAAACAATTCTTAATTTTGTTGATTTTGTTCTATTGTATTTTTATTCATTTTATCATTTATTCCTGCTCTAATCTTTATTATTTCCATCCTTCTGCTAACTTTGGGCTTAGTTGTTTTTTTTTTTTGTTGTTGTTGTTGTTTTGTTGTTATTGTTCATCGATGTTTAAAGTTAGGTTATTTATTTCAGATCTTCTTTCTTTTGTAATGCAGACATTTACTGCTATAAAACATCTCTTAGTACTGTTCTTGCATTAAGTTTTTTTTTATTAGTCTTTTGGTATTTTGTGTTTTTGTTTTAGTTTGTCCTGAGAGATACTCTAATCCTGCCCCCATGATTCAATCACCCCCCACCATGCCGCACCTCCAGCACTGGGGATTACAATTCAACATGAGATTTGGTGGAGACACAGATCTAAACCATATCACTGAACTACAGTAATATGTTGGTTTCTTTCACATTCTACTAGTTATAATATTATCTGTTAATATAATAGCATGTAGACTATTATAGCCTCTACTGCATACAAACCAAAGAGTCTGTTCAAAGAATAAAACAGTAAATTAACTTCAAGAAATGACTTTAAGTTAGACAGAGATCCCCCTAAAATAATAAATAACATGTTGACAAATTTTCAAAAGTGTCAATCAAAAAGGTAACAATTGCCATACTGACAGGCCCCGGGGCAAAGGTGGTGATACTGCTGACAAGATGTCAATGACTAAAGTAATAAAAACATGGTGACCAGCTCAGGGTGGTGCCTGACAGCAAATCCATGTAACATAAAGGAGTCAGTATGATCAAGGTGAGAGTGACGAAGGTAAATCAAATAAGCTGACATTTAAGACAGGTGACAGCAGTGATGTTAAATATTAAGCCTTGGAATAAGAAGTTCAAAATTGTAAGTCAACAACATATCAGCCAATACTTGCTCTTGTGTTAACCTATTAACCCTTATATTTCTAGAAGGAGAATTCTCTGAAATAGACTAAGGTGAGGATAGAGTGTGAAGAGAAAACCAGCGTAGTTGCCCAGAGGTCACTTCAAAATAGAAATAACAATATCTATAGGGAAGGATGGTTGTGAAGATCAAATGAGAAAAACTACAAACCCCAAGCATGCTCATTTGTATCCTTCTGTTCCCATGGTAACTCTACCCCACCATCAAACACCAGATCTTTTAGTAGTCTAAGGTAGTATCTATCACCACTGAGCCATGTGAACTTATAAAATCCATTTCCTAAACTCGGTGTCCTCATAATCTAAAACATTTCCAAAACCTACCCATTGTTTCAATTGTATTTATTAAGTGCCTACATATGGCAGGCATTTCATTGGCCAACCACCAACAATAAGGTAACCACTGTTCTAGGGATACAACAGAGAACAAAACTGATTAAAAATGTATTTGAAGGCTACATTCTCACAGGATGTTGTCTGGTATACAGTGACTGTTCAATATATGGGAAGTGATCTAAAATGAAATAAGGTAAAATTTTGAGTATTGGTTATAAGAATCACAAAAAGTCCAATACTTGTCCCCACCCTGGAGCAGAGTTCTCTGATAACTGGTAGGAACTTACTTATGTGTTCTGACTTCCACATGCTCAGCTGGAACTCAAAAAAAGAGAAAAGAACATCATGAGGAAAAAGTAAGCTGGTTATTGAAAAGAACAGTAGAACCGAGAACAGAAAAACTTGGGTTCTACCCCCAGCATTGCCATTAACTAGTTTTAACACCTTAAGAAAGGCATTACATTTTTTTCTTTTATTTTTTATGGATGTTATTCTTTTCTTTATCTCTTTGAGGATATTTAACAATTTTTACAACATTTTCAGATAATTCTATTATTGTTGTATTCTTCTGAGTAAATTATCTTACTATGTGAATTTACTCTTTTAAATCCAGTTCCTCAGCTTCCTAACTCATGGCCAACTACATCTTAACCAAATCCAGTATAGTTCTCCATTTTTTTAAATGGGAAAATGGTTAATCCATAGGTAATTTTGCACACAATGTGAATGCTAAGCCTCTAAAAACAATCAACCATAATGGGTATTCAATAAATTAGATTTTTAATTTTTTATATATATTATTTGAGTTTTAGAACCATATAAAATTATAATTCTGCCCCTTCCATGAATGAAAATGATGAGGTTCAAGATAACGTATTGGAGATTTTAAAAGTTGTTAAGTCCTTGAGCTGGGAATTCTACCTCTATGATGACAAAGTTCTGTCTCAGAGACATAAGTGAGAAAACCAAAAAGGCAACATGATATTCCCAAAAGTCTGAAGGCAGAATTACTGAGCAATTAGTTCACAACTTGAACCCAGACTGCTTGACTTTCAGGATGCCATTATACCATCCTGGATATTTTTTGATCTGATCCTTTACAGCTTGTTTGAGATTCAACTTTACTAAATCACTGAATTCAGAAGAACACAATTCTGGTCAAAATTTCTAACTAGGTTATTTTGTATTTAAATTCTCCACAGCAAACTAAAGATTTTGGGTGTTTTGTTTTATTGTGCTACATTGCCATTAGACCCAGCAGACCCCATGCATTAGAGCGCTGAAAATTTGGCATGGGATGCATAACACTTCTACTCTATTTGGACCAATTGATACTGCAGTGGTTAATTTCCTTAATACTCCATCAACATGAACTAAGGTTAGATTCCCTACGTATTGGATCAGATTTTTCAGTTAGTTTTTATTTCTGCCATTCTAATCTTCAATTATCTCTGCCTGAAGTAGCAATCTATTGCTATATGGGTAAGGAAATATTCTGTCTTTATGGAGACAATTTCATTTTAAATTACTTTTCAGGTCAAACACTGCCATTTAATAAAAGTTTGGAACCTATACAAAGTCAATAAAAGGCATTAAAATTACTTATTAGTCATGGTATTTTCTTTCTCTATCACCAACTAGACAGTTTTGTTTTGATAGCTCCATTAGGTACAGCCTCATTGCTCATTTTTTCCTTGACTTCCTTTTAGAACATATGGATGTTACAAAAAATAAATTCTCCTTTACAAACAAAAACCTTCACATTATTAGGAATATAATTGTTAATAGAAAAAGTGTCAAGTATCTGATGCATAATAATTATTTAAAAATATTAGCTGAAGAACACATCACAATTTAACCTGAATGTACTATCAAAGAGGAAAATTATGTGGAGAGTACTATAGGGTTTAATGTATGTTTATTTATAAGCAACTGAAGAAGACTTCATTTTTCTATGACTGTAAGCAAATTTGACTTTACTACTTGCCATTGCGAGAGATAAAGGTGAGATCACATACATTTCTGGTACTAGTTAAGTCTAAAGGCCCAGTTTCCCAATGAGACTGACCTGAAGTCATCTCAACAGTATGATCCTGACCCAGTGGAAAAACTTAGCATGGAAACAGCATTTAGCCATGACATACTTCAATATTATTTTTTGGAGGCTATCACTATCTCAAACTAAACCCATTATGATTTAAAACTGTCTTTTTATTGATATTCATTGTTTTTCAACCTGACAGTGGCCAATGATTTATATCAATCTTCTCTTAACACAGGAATAAAAGAGTTTGCAACATATCTTAAACTGAAGGACACTTTTTCAGTAAGTCTCAAGATTTTAATACAGTTGTCATTTCAAAAGCCTACCTCTTCTCAGTTGGAAAGGTTTAGAGAAGAAGAAGTCAGCTCTGTTGATAAGATTGTTTTTATCTGAAGCAGTAGAGGATTCAAAAATTAGTATGACATATCGATGATGCCCTTTCTTCAGGCATTTTTATTCTTTAAGTGCAAGAACACTGCAGCTGGCTGTCAATCATTAAACTACAAAATGAAATCCTTTGCCTGGCTAGGAGATTTGCAACTATACTGATGCTGGTAAACTAAACACCAAATTATAGCCTTTTCTCTTGCCTCACCCAGATTTCACAGGGGCTGCACACCCAAATAAATGCCTCTTGGCTACCCATTCATCTAACAGCTGGAAAGATGACACTTGACATTTGGAAACTTTCCTGTGAAGATTGCTGCAAGGCTTTCCCATTAGCTTCCTGGTGAGACTGTAAGGTCGAATAAGCTGCCTCAAAACCTGCAAAGGGTAACGGAAATACTCTAATATTAAGCCTGTGCAATTTAAATTTCTAATTCTCGAATCATAGTTCTTCAGATATTGTAGAAATCACTGGTATATTTCAGGGCAAAAGAATGCCTTTGAAGATGTGAAATTAAAGTGATATTTTAAGCAATGATAATGATAACAAGTGTCTTTTATTTAAAGTTGGGACTGAAGGTCTTCTAAGTAACAGGGACTTCAACACAGAGAAGTTCTTGTAAGTTTGTTTTCTAAAATCCCTGACTGTCATATTTTCAACAACTGTTCATCTTTGTCCAGAGCAGAAATCTTTAACACGAGGCAGAGTTATTACCATTCTTCACTTTTTTTCCCACATCATAAGCATTATTGAAGGTAGCTTTAAAATTCTTACAACCCAGCATTGTGGATTCATTTCAAAAATTACTGCCCCCAACATAAAATAAAATAGTAAATATGCCATTATTAAAATGCTGTCATCTTATAAAATTTTCAGGTATAAACAAGCCTTTTTTCCTCTTCAGAAAGATAATTCCTTTAAAATGTCCCCAAATCAGAAATTGTTAATAAAATGACAGTTTATTAAAGATAGCAGAAAGACAAAATTCCTCACATAATCTCAACCCAAAAAAGAATGTAAAAAATTTCATTTATTGATATGAATGCACACAATTCAATTAGATTTTATCACAATGATCTTTTTCCATGATACTCAATTTGGAATTCCATATTTTTAATTGTCTTTATAATTGTCTGTTCTTGTTTGTTAACTAAGTATTTTTCAAGTGAAAGATTAACAAGAATGAAAAGGCTTCCCTAAATGTTCAGTCATATGTCCAAATTAGATGAAATTAATGTCATGATTAAAAAGGAAACTGAAACCTTTAAAAAATATACGTTGAGGGCATTGAAGAAATGGAAGACATGAATGATGTAACTTTCAATCTTGAATTCATCATCATCTGAGACTAAAATCACTTTTTAAAAGTTCAGGACCAGCCTGACCAACAAAACTAACTGGGCGTGGTGGCATATGCCTGTAATCCCAGCTACTTGGGAGGCTGAGGCCAGAGAATCGCTTGAACCCGGGAGGCGGAGGTTGCAGTGAGCCAAGATCGTGCCATTGCACTCCAGCCTGGGCAACAATAGTGAAACTCTGTCTCAAAAAAAAAAAAAAAAGTCAATTTAGTGATGCTGAATTGTACCTCATTAGCAATGGATGTGCACCTCTTGGCCCCAAATCACGGCATAAACCTAGTTTTCTCATGCCATTCCATTAACGAATCCACCAAAAGGAAGCTCAGCTCACAGAAAGAAGATGGAATATCTAGCAATGACTGGACTTCTCATTTCTCTTCAAACCAAAACCACAGCTACCATTTGTACTCACTCTACTGCAGGTCTATGGCATGAATTTGTCTCCACTAGGTCTTGAAATCACACATTCATTTCACATAGCCTATTGAACTGCCATCAGATGGTAATGACTTTCTGTCACTCTTGACCTGGGGCAGATTTGAACTAGTGACCAAGAGGTTAAAGGCTCTGTATCTCATTACCAATCCCCTGAGATACTTAGTTCCCTCAACCACTAGTGATTTTTTTTGTGCCTCAGTCAAGCCAGAAGAAAATACACACAGAAAAAATCTAAGCAGTAGAAAAGTAGGTCACCAATGCAAGACATCTATGATAGTTCTCATGAACCTAATAAACACCTATTTCAAAATATACCCATATACTACATGTACCTGAGTAGAATCACAGTAACTGTTAAAGAACTTCATTGTAACTTTCAATAGTATTTCACATAAGCTACCATTAAGCTGAAAAACACTGCAGAGAAACTGAAGATACTTGTGCTTCATGAGCTTACAGGGTTAAGGAATGTATTTTAGATTCAGTATCATTCCAGAATATTTGTGTGTGTGTCTTGTGTATCTATTCTAAAATAATTCTGCCTCACAAGTTAGTTTCAGAGGGGGGTTGACAAATTGGAAGAAATAATATAGATTCATAAATGAAATAATCAAAACATTATCAAACACCTTAACGTGGACACTTACTATAGGAATACAGCATATTTTAATAAGGATAAAGTTTGCTGAAGAAAACAGAAGAATAGTATTTAGGAACATATATTTAGGCAAACATATATATATACAGTAGTAGAAATATTGAACCTAAGCCAACAATGAAAAAATTAACTTTTTGTTGTTGTTTTTATTGTTGTTGAAGGTTGACTTCAAATGCTGGCTGCTAATAAACAATATTCTATAACTATTCAACGGCAATTATTCTGTACATAACTAAGTAGGCAGTGACTCCTGAAGTCACTTAGAAATATGTACTCAAATTTTTTTTAAATTTAATGCCCTGACGCCTCCTTCCTTACACTTTGCATTTTCCCCTAAATGTTTGATTTTCATGGAATGAATCCCACTTGGAAGAAAATAGATCTTTTCCTTTTCATTTCTTGCCTATATTTAAAATGGTGCTCTATACAAATTATTTTATTTGAATTTCTACCTCTACCTGTTGATTCCATATTTATCCTTCTATTAATAACTCTTATTTTTTGTCTCTCAATATATATATATTTCTACCACAACTGCTTTTGTAGCAGCAACATGTACATTTAGTTGTTCCCTTCCACTACTGGTAATAAATACTGTGGCTTTTTAAACGTTGCATCTAAAATATAGAGAATTGAAAACAATTCTTAATAAAAGAATAATGACACGGCAAAAATAACTCTAATGATGTAACAAACCAGTTAGTTTTGTGATTATAATTTCTATAAAGATCAACATTATTTGACAAAATGTTCCATGTTTATAAGAGCTCCTTCTCAGGACTACCATGACTACTGAAGGGACAATGAGCTTCTGATCTGGGATTATAATTTAGAATAATTTAGTTTGTGTTCTATCTCCAAGTTTTTTCTCAGTGGCAGGACAAAACATGATGAGATATCCATATAGCCTTTTTCTCTCCACTTTTTGCAACCAAATCTGTCTATATGCTAATACTAGAACAAAGTAAGTGCTCCGCCTTCTGAATGCTGTGTGAGTGGATAAAACAAACTCAGTTTCTCCACTAAAATCTCACAACACGCTTCTGACACCAGGTGTGTGCGAACTGCTCCCCACCAGCAAGCAAGCAAGCAATCAATTCTGTAGTGGACACAAGCTGAATGTCTTCTAATTCAGCTCAATTCTGACACTATCTACCTGATGATAGCACCAGTTCCTACAGGTTGAGAGCTCATTCCCCAAAACTGCCCCCTACCACTTCAAATGCCAATAACAAGCCCCAGGTTATTTTACCTGTGCTTCTGACCAACCAGCTATAAACTGGGATTCCCACAACCCCTTCTTCGGGTTAGATTAACTGGTTAGAGCAGCTTACAGAACCCGGGGTGGGGGGTGGGGGGTGGGGGTGGCGGCGGGGCAGGGAACAAAACAAAACAAAACAAAACAAAACAAAACAAAAACCAAACTTTTACTAGTTTATTACAAAGAGTATTTTAAAGGATACAAACACAACAGTCAGATGAAGAGACACATAGGGCAAGGTCTGAAAGGGCCCCCAGAGCAGAAGCTTCTGTCCCTGTGGAGCTGGGGTGTGCCACCTTCTTGGCACACGGAAGCGTTCTAGTTTACTTTCCTGGAAGCACCCCCGTCACCCATATTTGTCTATTGGCAAGTTCTCAGAACCTAGTCCATTTGAGTTTTTATGGAAAGTTCATTACATAGGCATGATTGATTAGATCATTGGCCACTGTCAATCAACTTAACCTTCAGCCCCTTGACTCTCCCCGGAGGTTGGGGAGCAGGGCTGAAAGTCCCAATCCTAGTCCTGCCTCAGTCCTTCTGGTGACTAGCCCCTATCCTGTAGTTACCTATGGGCTGTCAGCCATCAGTCAACTCATTAGCATACACACACACACACATACTCATCACTTTGGAGATTCCAAAGATTTTAGGAGTTGTATGCCAGGAAACAGGGTAAAGATGAAAATTTCACAATATCACCATGTGTTTTTATAAATTAGTAACATTGGATATTAATTCAGTCTCTATTTGGTGCTTTTGTAATGAAGAAACTGAGGTCCTCTACATGCTCTCTTAACCAAGTTGGTTGCATCTGACAGATTTACTGGACTATTTCCTTCCCTTGTTTTCCTCCCTAAGAGACACAAAAGATGGCCAAGTAATGCTGATGCTTTATAACCAGTGGTACCCCTGTATACCTACGAAATTTCTGCTTTTATTAGTTGAGTTGTCTACTTATCAAGAGTCAGCTGTATGTTTCTCGCCCTGTTTCTGTTGGATATAAATGTAAATAAATAAACATTAATTAGTTATATGGATGCAAAAAGAAAGAAGGTTGATTCTATGAAAACTAAGTTGAATGTTCTTGAAGGATATGATAAAAATGAGTTACTTAAAAAATACTGCTGTCAAATTAGGTGTTGGTCAAACCACTGAAATGACTGCAGGACAAACATAAAAATCTGGAAAATTGCATTGTATGATTCTCGAAGGTCTTGTACCACTTTTAAAAATGAAAATGGTAGACAATATGTTATAGATAGATTTAGGCAAGATACATAATACACATCTGGCTATTTTATTTAAAAACATCTTGGCCCTGGATTTTTTTAAAAGAAAAAGGAAAATGAGAAAATATCTATATGCTTTAAATAAAATTATAAGCTTTGGTCATGTGCTGCTTATGTAATAAATAATAAAATGATGAGGTTAATGTATGTGTATATCCTTTTTACAGTTTCCCATTTTAACTTTTTCTGATTAACCAACAAAGTATTAATTTTGGTTTCATAGGAAAAGAGAAATTAAGGAATTAAACTAATTAAGGAATTCATTTAGCTATAGTCATTCTTTCAGTTACAAATTCTTTCTTTAGGTACACTGTCAAAATTATCTTTCGTATTCAGTAATTCTTATTCATTTGGTAGAAGAAAATAAATATGCCTGGACTCCACTAATATCACATTATAAACAATTAAGGTGAAGTCATATTGAATTATTAGTAGAAGTAACTAAAAAAGTAAATTTAATATTATAACAGAATGACACTTAAGAAGGGAATTTCTGACAAACTGGAAAACGCTTTTCTTCACATTAATACCAGATCTGACACTACCATATCATTTCTATACATGAACAATTCCTACCACATTACCTACTCCAAATTGAAATCCTAGCTAGGCAATCTCATCATGTTCTACTCCTGGTATAATTACTGAACTTTCTCTCTCTCATTTTTCCTATATAATCTCTATATTCAGAGCTTCCATTTGTCCACCCTATGCTTTTTGGTGAAATAAAAAGGAGTTGCTGCACAGTGCAAAACTTATGGACCAAACAGAGAACATCTTTATGAAAATTTGAGGAAGGTACTCCCTCCTCTGTATAGAAGCAGAACAACAAAAGGTTTTATTGTTTGATTAGTGGAGCTTGGTCTGGATTTCAGCCAGCTTGTACCCTGGTCTGGGTACCCCTCATGGAGTGAGCAACATATAAAATCTTATCCAGTAGCCTTCTTTAAATCCCAGTAAATCTAATTACCCAGTATTATTCTAATTTTTCTTATTCTTTTTAAATTTTGTTTCTTGTTGTTTGTGATGTCCTTGCTGATTCCACATCCTAATACCCACATCCAGATGGAATCAGTCATTGTCTCTTCCAGGTTACCTTTGTAACTTGATGCTTTTTATTATTGTGTTAAGTATGCTATATTGGGCTTACATTTACACAACTCACTTCTTTACTAGACAATAGGATTCTTACTTGCAAATTTAAATCTAATAATTGGTGCTATCTATTATATCCACTACTTTTTAAAATGCATCTTTTGAATGAATGAATTAATTAATGCATAAATGAGATTGATGGATGTATGTGGATGAATAAATTAATGACTAAATAAAATGCTTTTGCAACTACCTAAAATATCCTATTTCAATATTCATCTGTTAAGACTCTATACATCAGATTTCTATTCAAATTTCCTATTTGCCATCTTTTTCCTGATCTCGTTTTAACAATACAAGGTGAATGATTTCTAATAACCCACAACAATGGTATACACAACAAATATTCACAAAGCTTAGTCTTTACCAAGAGCTTTCCATACTTTCTTTCATAATCTTCTGCAAGACCCAAGAAGATAGCAGCTCTAATTATTATTTTAAGTAATAATAATAATTTATAATTGCTTATTCACTTCTATACCCTGGAGTGCTGAAGTAACCTGTCCAAGGTAACATGATTGGAAAGTGTTGGAACTGGATCTGATGTCTTCTCTGTAGTTCAGAGAGCCCAAATTTATAACCACTATATTATACTGCTCTTATTTATGCATTGTGGTACCCTCCCGAAGTCAAGTGTGGGCCCAAAGGCTATTACTTAATAAGTGGTAATTGAGCAAATTAACTGATGAAATTTAAGTGAAGCTCTCCTCAGAGAAATTGCCTCCACTTTCTCCCAACATGGATGTCTTCAAACAATCACATTTATCTGAAAATGCATATTACAAAGAATTTCTAAACACCCAATTGCATGCATTAATACTATAATCTGTTTATAAAATCATATTTTAAAATAAGCTATTCAATGTTACCTTTTCCCCCAAAACAAACTAATGTAAAATATAAGACAAAATGTCATAAGCCTTAGTTGTGAAACATACTATAGACATTACAGAAATTTTTTTAACAAATGCTACATTTGTGAGAAAACAATATTATATGCTAATGAACTTATCATATAACAAACTCATTAGTTTTCTTAACTCCTCCTTAAATGTATTTAAGATAAATGATTTCTGCATATTTTTCCTATGTAATAGATGAATACTTTATTTTGAGGGTACAGCAATACATAAACATGGTTCCTAGCTTGTGCAGAGACAGACCAGTAAGCAGGCTTCAAACAAGGAGCACAAAGGAAGTTCATGTCACAAACTCCCTGGACGAGGAGGAGAAAGCCAATCCTGAAGGACAAGTGGGACTCAACCAGAGGGAAATGGGTGAAGTGGGGGAAAGGCCCAGATTCAGGAGAAATCTTGGTATGCTTGGGGACATTCAAATCAGCATCTCAAAGCTAAGAAGTTTGGCCTTTACCTTGAGTGTGAGTAAAAGTCATTGAAGGGTTTTAAATGAGCTAATTAGGATTCAACTGATAATCTAGAAAGATGACTCTGGCTGCAGTGTAGGGGCATTGGATTTGACAGGAGAGAAAGTGGAGGCAATTTCAAGAGAGGTGATAGAGGCCAGAACTAAGTTAATGACAATGTGGAGAGAGAAAAATCCCACTTTGTCTATATGTACCTTGTTAGCCTTATCGCTGCTTAGCACTTTGCATCCAACACCCTGGCAGGAAGGTGGAAATGTTGATTTTACTTGACAGAGATTTTTACCTACCTTCCATCTCTACTCCATTTTAACATGTAATTCAACACTTAGTTTGACAAGTCTGAATCCTTCAACCAAATCCAAAATTCTTACATGGCACAACCTTTATTTTATATTTCAAACACTATCATTCCTAGCAATATGTGTTTTTAAAGCACATGCATGTTTTCTTCATTATAGCTAAAGGTCTGTTTCTCTCCTTTCTCTACACATCAGATTTCTATTCAAACTTCCTATCTGCCATTACATGGAAGTAAAATAATTTCTTTTTTTTTCCAGTACACATTTATTAGATTCAGGAAGTTACAAGACAACAGTGAAATGAACAGAAAAAAAAAAAACATTAAGATTCCTTTAGAATGATATTGTGAAACACCACCAAACTACAATCATAAATATATTTAAGCATTGTTTATTCATTTTAATTTAAAATCTATAAATGGATTTAAATATTTAGGATAAGAACAAAAAACAAAATCCTCCACTGACCTGTGTTCAATTTTACTTTTTCAAATCTTTTTAGCTTCTCTGCCCACATACCATTTTCACTATGAATTCACACATTCACTGGGCTTCATCTGGTCTAACACAAGAACCTCATCTCTTATCCCTTGATTCCACTTTCATTTCTTAAAGGAGCTAGCAGGCTGCTCAGTAAGATTTCTGGTCAATCAAAATTATAACTCCACACAAAAGATAAAATAAAATAAGGGTATAAAAGAGTTTTTAAGAGATAGAATAAGAATTGACCAGTTATATAGAAAAGAGAGAAGAATAAAACTTAGATAAGTAGTTGGTAAATACAGCTATGTACCGTTTTGTCTTATAATGAAAAAAAATTATGTGCATGTTGTATATGTGCACCAATGTAAATCTTTTAACTGTACTTTCTTGAGCGTATCTCTTATTCTGAGACTCTAGCCTTTCCTAACTTTTTCATAAAGTGTCCTATTAATTTATATAAATAAATGTCAGTTTCCTTTGTTCTAATATTGTTATTCTGTAAAAGAAGAAGCCATCAGCATTGTATTGATTTCCAAATCAATGTTGAAATTTTAATTATTCTGAGTAATTTATGAGGACCACTAACTTAGTAGGTTTGAACCTGGAAATAAAAAATGTTAAATACTGGAGTTGGAGCAAGTTGGGAAGAAATGTTTGACTTAAAAGCAGTGAATCTGAAATGTAGGAAAGACATTTACATGAAGATGTTTGGTGAATATGAAAAGTAGATTAGAGACACAAGGGAAGATATTCAGTGGACTGCTGGATTATGCAAGAGAGTGCCCTGTTGGAGGTACAGATTAGAGAGTTACACAGCAGGAGGTAAGATTAAAAACTGTGAAACTAAAAACTGCCAACTAATAGTAATGGCCCCGAACCGTGAAGAAAGGGAATTTCGTGCTCCAACTTTGGCATCCCTAGAAAACTGCATGAAGCTTTCTCAGATGGCCGTTCAGGGACTTCAGCAATTTAAGTCTCCCCTTCTGCAGCTCCCTTACATTGAAGAGGACAATCTTAGACAGGTTTCTAATCATAAGAAGTATAAAATTTAAACTATCCAGGATTTGGTGAGTTTAAAGAATCAGATTGTCATACTCTACTGCACTTCCTTGAAGATGAAAAATATGAAGAGGTTATGGCTGTCCTTGGGAGTTTTCCATATGTGACCATGAATATAAAATCACAGGTGTTAGATGATGAAGACAGCAACAACATCACAGTAGGATCCTTAGTTACAGTGCTGGTTAAGTTGACAAGGCAAACAATGGCTGAAGTATTTGAAAAGGAGCAGTCCTTCTGTGCTGCAGAGGAACAGCCAGCAGAAGATGGGCAGGGTGAAACTAACAAGAACAGGACAAAACGAGGATGGCAACAGAAGAGTAAAGGACCCAAGAAAACTGCTAAATCAAAAAAAAAGAAACCTTTAAAAAAAAAAACCTGCACCTGTGCTATTACCACAGTCAAAGCAACAGAAACAAAAGCTGGCAAATGGAGTTGTTGGGAATGAAGCTGCAGTAAAGGAAGATGAAGAAGAAGTTTCAGATAAGGGCAGTGATTCTGAAGAAGAAGAAACCAATAGAGATTCCTGAAGTGAGAAAGATGATGGTAGTGACAGAGACTCTGATAGAGAGCAAGATGAAAAACAAAACAAAGATGATGAAGCAGAGTGGCAAGAATTACTACAAAGCATACAGCAAGAAGAGAGCGCTCTATTGGAAACCAAATCAAAAATAACACATCCTGTGTATAGCCTTTACTTTCCTGAGGAAAAACAAGAATGGTGGTGGCTTTACATTGCAGATAGGAAGGAGCAGACATTAATATCCATGCCATATCATGTGTGTACACTAAAAGATACAGAGGAAGTAGAGCTGAAGTTTCCTGCACCAGGCAAGCCTGGAAATTATCAGTATACTGTGTTTCTGAGATCAGACTCCTATATGGGTTTGGATCAGATTAAACCATTGAAGTTGGAAGTTCATGAGGCCAAGCCTGTGCCAGAAAATCACCCACAGTGGGATACAGCAATAGAGGGGGATGAAGACCAGGAGGACAGTGAGGGCTTTGAAGATAGCTTTGAGGAAGAAGAGGAGGAAGAGGAAGATGATGACTAAGCAGTACTCTGAATGGACCATAGTGTTTGCACATATTTGCAATTTTTTGCTGTTTTGGAAGTTTATCATAAACCAGAAACAGTACAGAACTGATGTTGAGGGAGGTGTAGTTTTTTTACTCTAGAAATGGGTGCATAATATAACTAGGCAGTGGCAGTGCCTTGGTACAACCTGAAAAATGTTAAGGCTTACTGAAACCTTTCAAGTATGGGATGGTGCATTTATTTCATCTGCAAATGATAATAAATCCTTTGTTATTATTAAAAAAAACTGTGAAATTACTCTGAAAATAAGAGTAGAATGAGAAAATAAAAACAGGAAGATAGTTTGGGGGGCAGGAAATGCAGAAGGAGGCAAAGTAGGGAACCATCCACTCCCTGAGTGGATAGCTGTCCTTTGCTGCTTCCTCTGTCTGAGGCAATAAACACTTGGTAAAGCATAGTGCTGCTATCTATCCTTCAGTCACTGCAAAGACTGGAGCCTGAACCACTCACCAACTTGTCTCCTTTGGGTTTTCCAGTGTCTGTCTCTGTTTAAATTGTGTTCTTTTTCTTTCTTTCTTTCTTTGCCTAGCCTAGTCCCTTTTGATGTATAACTTTTTAAAGTTTTAAAATTTTAGATTTGGCATCTCCCTAGATGCTATTTCCTGAATCAAAGCTTTGTCTCTTTGCAAAATCCACAGGCTCCTTTCTCTCTCTTTCTCTCTCGTTGTTTTGTTGTTGTTGTTGTTGTTTAAAGATGAGGTCTCACTCTGTCACCCAGGCTAGAGTGCAGTGGTGTGATCATAGCTCACTATAGCCTCCAACTTCTGGGCTTAAGTAATCCTCCCACCTCAGTCTCCCAATTACCTCATTCATTTTGAGATTCCTACATTTCTGGGACACCACGGTTTGGCCCAACAACTCAAGCCCCACTACTCAAAGATGCCAAGGAGGAGGTGGAAGTAGGCAGGTGAATCAAACTTTTAAAAGATGATACTATCAGTGTCAAGTCCAGGCCCTACCTAGCAAATAAGTAGGTCCTGCATTAGTTACACAAACATGAGAAGGACAACTAGAATAGACAAAATGGTCATGGAAAAGAGGAAGAAATTAAAGGAAGCATTAAAGATAAAGTGAATTTTGTTAGCATGTGGGAAACAAACAAGAGAACCAAAACAAGAGTGGTAAAAACAAGAGTGGTAAAAAGGCATAGTGTGAGCACTCTTCCTTGAATAGGAAAGAAAGAATAAAAATTTTATTAACAAGAGCAAATTTTCCAGGAACATTTTACATAAATGAGGTAACTGTATCTACATTTAATTAAATCACAGAACAAAAAGAAAACAAAGCATTTAGTCGGAAAGTAAGCTACTGAGATCTGGTAGTTACACTTTTCTTCCTCAAGACCACAGTCGTTGTGGCAAAGTATGCTCAGCTTCACATCTCATCATTTCACATTCTGTATCCTAAATTGTTAAAAACTAAATTGTTTTCAAAAATTACAACTGAAGGCTGGGCACGGTGGCTTATGTCTGTAATCCCAGCACTTTGGGAGGCTGAGGTGGGCGGATCACTTGAGGCCAGGAGTTTGAGACCAGCTTGGCCAACATAGTGAAACCCCATCTCTACTAAAAATACAAAAATTAGCTGGGTGTGGTGGCATGAACCTATAGTCCCAGCTACTCAGGGGCTGAGGCATAAGAATTGCTTGAACCCAGGAGGTGGAGGCTGCAGTGAGCCAAGATCGTGCCACTGCACTCCAGCCTGGGCATTAGAGCGAGACTTTGTCTCAAAAAATATAAAAAAATTAAATTTAATTTAATTTAAAAAATAAAAATTACAACTGAAATTCATCAAATGTTTGTTTCCTTTCCACTTAGGTGCATAGAATTTGGAAAACAGACAGGACCTTATCTGGTCCAAATGAACAGATCAAACCATCTTTTGGAGTATGTAAGATTATAATTAATGTAGATTCTAGTATATGTCCTATAATATTGTATACCATCAGATTTGATAAGTGTATGATCTATGTATTTAAGCCAATAATAAATATTTTGAACACATCAGGACTAATGACTTCACAGTACTCAAATGGTAGGAATGCATGATAAATTTTCTTTCTTATTTTTTTTTTTTGAGACAAGGTCTCTCTCTGTTGTCCAGGTTGAAGTGCAAGTGGCACGATCATGGCTTACTGCAGCCTTGACCTCCTCAGCTCAAGAGATCCTCCCACCTCAGCCTCCCAAGAAGCTCGTACCACAGGCGTGTGCCACCATGCCCATCTAATTTTTTATTTTTTGTAGAGATGGGATATTCCTATGTTGCCCAGGCTGATCTTGAACACCGGGCTCAAGCATCCTCCCGCTTCAGCCTCCAAAATTGCTGGGATTATAGGCATTAGGTGGCATGCCCGCCTGGCCCAATTTTTAATCAACTCAACAGTTCTACTACCTAGTCTACATTTTAAAATTTGTATCCAAGTATGTACGTGACATATTGTATATATGCTTATTATATACCAAATAGAAATGCTCTTATAGATGAGTATCAAAAATAAATGAAGCACTTATCCATTGGAAAAGAATTAAGTGGAAATGATGGCAAATGCCTACCTGTACGTATTTGTGAATGTACCAAGAAGCTTGCTTTCCATCATTCACCGATTCCACTGTAGTGTTAGCCAAACCAACGACATCACCACCTGCAAATACCCATGCTTCACTAGTTTGCATAGTTTCTGGATCTACTTCTGGGAGACCCCATCTGTTAAATTTTATAGGGCTCAAGGCTTCTTTTACTGAAAAAACAAGTGAAAAACAATAGACAATCACTAGTCAACAGACAATTCCATAACAATAATTTTAAAATTAAGAAAAATTATGGTTTAATTATTGTTCCAGGGATTCAAACAACTGTTTTTAGTAAACTATAAAAATGAAAAGCTAACGAAATATTGGAGTTAACAACACATTTGAAGGGCACTGACTTAACTTTACACCTCACATACAGGAATTAAAGACCACAGATTTGGTCAATGTTTCAGAGCGGACATTTATGTCTACGAAGTATGGATCTATAAAGAAGGAAAGTACAACCTTTTAAATACATACAAAATACATTTTTCTAAAACTTTATTCATAGCCATCATTTTTACAAATCTGTTACTACTTATATTATCCCCAACTTGTTCATGTGTGTCACTTTTGAAAGTTACATCATGAATTCAGGTCAATGGCTAATCTCCCTTTTACAACAAAACATTTTATAAAGCAAAATGAGACAACATATATAACATTTTCATTAAATTATTTGCACTTACTATTAAGCAATTTAATGGATCTAGTATACAGTTACATTTAGCCAGCAATTTCTGCTTTGTTTTGTTAAAAGCAACAAATGCAAACATTACCATTAATTCCTTGTGGAAATTGCTCTGTAAAGTAGTTTTGCAATTATTTACTAAATATGCTGCATTCTAATGAATCTAAAAGAGTCATGGAAGAGGAATGAAGCTGTGTTTCTTTAAGAAAAATATCTAACGAACATTTTGAAAGCATAATCCTGACATGTGGAAGAGATCAATGGATGCAATTTAGAGAAAGGGTTGAGTAAGAGAAGAAATGAAGAAAGGTGGACAACACCCTATTTGATGGAGTAAACTGAGTAAGCCAGTGTTTAGGATAAAATGTTCTCTCCAGGTAACGTCATAATTTTTAAGCACAGCATCTCAGACAGACTAAGGGCCTTATTCTTTACTCCAACTCCAAAGAGAAAATATTAGTAACAACTTAAACTAAAGGAAGAGAGCTTGGGAGATTTTGGAACAGAAAAGTTAGTTGTTGAATTTATTTATGAATCAAGTATAACACAAAATAGCCAAATACAAAAAATGTTATTTTTGACACCTAAAACCAGTTTCTTCTGAGTAAAATAGAGGAAAAAAATAGAAATAAAATAAACACTGGTATATATTTGTAGCTTTCTACTTAAAGAATGTTAGAGTTGTAGAAAATTATTGAGGGTTTACTGTTGATTGTGTTTTTCCCACAAGATCATAGGTTCCATGAGAACAGCAATTTGTCCACACTGCTTGCCTGTGTTCCACAGAGCACACTACAGTTTTTGGAGCAGAGGACACTCAATTGGATTGATGGATGAATGAATGAATGAGTAGATGGGTCAATGCTATCATACTCAGGTTTTTATTTTAAAATCTTCTACTGTTTCTATTTGTTTTTTCGTCTTTCATTGAGAGGAAAATTAAATATTCATGTAATTATTTTCAAAGCAGAAAGGCATTTTAAGGAAATTTTTCTAATGTTTTTAAAGGTCACATGAAAAGAGATCTTTATCATTTGTTCCCTGTTGCATAACAGATCATCACTACCATCTGTTGACAGTTACTTGAGTTGCAAGAAAGTCAATAGTGAGTATGGCTCATCAATTCAACCTATTTTAATAATGGCAACTGTAACACATCATCATTGAATGATATATGTAATGAGCTTTATAAATAGTGGCAAGGGGTAAAAATGAATTCTGTTCTATCAGAAATGATCTTATGTTTCCAAAACTTTGGCCTACAACAGATCTGAAATAAAGATAATTAATAAAAAGATAAGAAATTCAAAATTTTATCACTAGGAGATCAAAGCATTTTTTTTTACATTTATCTCATGTTTCACAGCAATATCCTTGAAATTTAAGTAGAGATTTCATTCTATGCTTGAGCAAGGTAGGAATAATTCCTTAGTTATCTCTGAGTCCCACAACATAAATTAGAGTCAAAGACATGTTTACAGTCGGCCCTCCATATCTGTGGGTTCCACATCTGAGGATTCAATCAACTGTGCATTGAAAATATTTGGGAAAAAAATAGAATGTTTATGTCTGTACTGAACGTGTACATACTTTTTTCTTTCCATTATTCCCTAAACAATATAGTATATCAAGTATATATACAGCATATACATTGTATTAGATATACCATAAGTAATCCAAAGATGATTTAAAGTATATGGAAGGATATGTGTAGATTATATGCAAATAATACACTATTTTCTATAACAGACTTAAGAGCATAGATGGATTTTGGTATCCATGGGGGATCCTGGAACCAAGCCCCCCTAGATGTGAAGGGATAACTTTATCATGAAGTTACTGAAGCTTAAGTAGGGTCCCTCACTTGCATGGGACTCTTTCAAAGCCCTGCGCCTAATTTCAAATCTATGAATTTTTCTTTTCTTAAAGAAGAGCTCTCAAATTGTATACACTTCAGGCCTCATAAAATTTGAATCTTCACTTGAGCACAGTGAATTGTACACAGGAGGTGCTGAATAAATGCTTCACAAATTAAATTGAAGTTCTTGAAGAATGTGCTTTACCATATTTTAGGATGCAAAAAATGTACATAGAACAATTCACTTTAACACTCCACCTGTCACAAACTCGGTCCATAAGTAGTCAGGAAATGTTACTCTGAGTTTAATAAGTAACTTTATGTTTCTTAAAATATTTAGCACCAACATCATAAGCCACCCTAGGGGCATTTATTTGTGAATTCAAAAGCACTCTTCTGCTCATGGGCATTTCTATTGTATATGCATTGTGTTATTATGTATCCTTAAACATTCATAATACTCATGTATACTTTTAAAAATAAGCTTTCTTTCCTTAATATTTGATTTATTTATTCTGTGAAGTCTTAAACCTGAATATCAACTGTTTTAATTATTTTATCATTTGTAATATCCAGCTAACCTCATTAAAAATCAAACAATTCTTTGATACTCTATTCTAAAATAGAAAAAGGATTTTCTTTCATATTAAAAATCATCTCAGTCTCCTTTTGAAAATTAACTACCAAATTTCCTCCTGCTCATTTTGGAGACCTTCAAGTTTAACATGTTCCTAATTTCATTCCAGAAATAAAAAGAAAAAGCTGAGAGATCACACAGCTGGTTATGAGGTTACTAACATCAATCAAAATAGAGACCATCTGTATATATTTTAATACCCAATATTTGGCTCATCAAATATCTACAAAAAGATCACTAAGAAAGTAGAATATGGACAACATTTATAAATATAAGCAATGCTACAGTGGGTCAGAAATATTTCTTTCAGTAGCCCTAAGCACCAAGAATGACTATCACAACTGGAATATCAAATGGTTAGGATCATTTCCTTGTACATGTAGTAGACTCTAAGCACATGTAATATTCATATATAGTATGAATTTGATTCATACTATATATGAATTTACTGAAACTTTGTTAAATCTGGAGCTAAATACCTTTCCTAATTTCAACAATTCTTTTAAAATATAGCCATTATTTTAATTATTTAATCATTTTCTTAAGCTTAGAACTCAAATCAAGGATTCAGTGAAAAAATCCACGTGCATGTTATTCATAATTTCTCAGAAAGGAATTCATTTATTTAGTTGCTCCTTATGAGGAAGACTATCATCCTCATCATTGTAACTGTTCTTCTATGAACTCCTCAGAGCTCTTTTACATCTCTGCTGATAGATTTAACTTGGAATACAATAAAAATAAAACTCAGAAGCAAATCTTCTGTTCTGTCTTTACCCAGCTTGGAAGGAGTGAAAGCATAAGTGAATGAAAAATGTATATTTACATCTGCAAACCAAATAACTGCTTGCCATTTCCTCTGAAGTGTTAAATGAATATTAATAGAAGGATTGTATTATTCCTTTCTTGTTTATAAAACGGGGGGGATTTTCTGTTATGTTCATGCACAGTTTTCTCAGATTTTCCATGAGATTGCATCTTGATGGAGACTGTGGCATATGTCCCAGGAGCTCCATAGTTGAACAGAAAAAGAACTTGAAAAAGAATCCCAAAACATGCTTATTCACAGTCTATATTATTCTGCAATTGGAAGAGAAATTTGTTAAATGATATGGTGCCTGGAATTTTATGCAGTCTTTATAAAGAATGAAAACGTCCTTAATTCATACCAAACATTCAAGATTTATGTTAATTTTCTGCTTTAATTACTACTATGTTCAAATGAGCTTATTTAAAAAACAAAGACACTCTGAGGTAGCTTTATAACAAGAAACGGTTTTGAAATTGGAACTTTTAGTCAATTTAATGCTGTGCATGAAATGATTTTTTATACAGACTTAATGGTATTGTGACACACAAGTTCTTCAATAAGCCACAGCTTAAAATTGCAGAAACCGTCCCTCAGGGACACATCACTAGCAGATGCAGATTGCCAAGGTCAATTAAACTGATGTAGCTGTGCTGTCACATATGTAAAAGAGAAACCCACAAGCATATGACAAGTATATTTCTCAGTTTTTATAAAAAGATGTCAAGAATGTTATATTTTAGTACACAAATATAAATTAATTCTCCATAAACAATAAAACAATACAACAGATATCATAATGAAGAAGGATTATTAGTATTCTTTGGAGAGTTTGATGTGTTATAAAACAATGGGGGGAATAAAAACTTTCAACATTTACAATAAAATGATACCTTGAAAACATAGATGAATTCATCTATGTCCTTGTTGTTTAATTTTACATAACCTATCACCCACTAGGACCAAATCACAATGAAACTAAAAGGTGTGCTGAGGCAGTAATCTCAGTAATTCAGCGCTGAAAGCAAAATCTCAGCAAGATCAAAATAAATTCTAATTACAAGGCCAGGATATCAGAGTTCTGTTTAAATAGAATAACCTGGGGTAAGGAAGGGCCAGAACCAGAGAATGCCTCCAACTAAGAATATCAAGTCTGGATGGCTTGAGCTTTGTCTTCACATCTCCCTTCCACTTCTCAGTACTTTAATCAGTATGCTCTCCACAATGAAGATTCATTGTTTTCCTTCTGCCAGTCTCTCAGAAGATAACCTTGATTCTGTACCTTCCTGCTCCTCCAGGTCCTCAAACACTGTCTCTTACTCTTTTCAGTATATTGTATGTGTCATTTTCTCCTCTCCTCTCCAATTTGAAAAAAACTTTGTTTTTGACATGGTTATCTTTTCTCACTGCCATTCTTATATCTTCCTTTACCCAATTTCTCGGTCATATACTTGGACTGCTTACTTGTCTCACCACCAAATTATTCCTTGAATGAAAGTATGGTCTCCACGGTCACCAAATTCTGTGACCTTAGTCTTCAGCTCTTTTGCCTTTCTGTAGCATCCAACAGTTGAATGGCATTAATTTTGATCTTTTTTGATTTGCAGAATGCTCCTCTACCCTGGCTCTGCTTATCTTTAAACTGTCCTTCTTGGGCTCTAGCCCCTCTTCACCTCTTCATTTTCCTCTTCTCAGCTCTCAAATATTCAGTCCACTGCACTTTCTCTGTCAGAAATCATAGTCATTTAGGGCCTTCAATTTCATCTCTATAAAGATGGCCTCGAACTCTCCCTTGAGTTCTTCCTTTTATTCTGGAACTTCTGGATGCCTGTTTAAGATTATAACCTGTATGCTCTAATGTCCCTTCCAAATCATCACATCCAAAACTCAGTTCACAAGCTTCCCCTGGGCCTTCCCACCTCATGATTTATTATTGGTGACCTTACTCTTTCATTTCCTCCACTCATTGTGAACACGTCTTACCTTTGCTTCACTCCTCAAAACTTCTATAGACTTGACTCCTTTCTCTTGCCCCCACTGTCAGGAGAAGGCCTTGTCCCACAATTCACAGAGAATATAAAAGCCATCACATGGGAACTCTCTTTTCTTCCCATCAGCAAAACTACAAACCTACTGGATCTATACCTTCGCTCTCTCTCTCTTCCTTTTTAATACCACTAAGGAACTCTCCCTACTATCAGAAGCCATTCTCTCCACATGGGCCCAAGAATCCTCTCCTCTGACCTGGTAGGAATTTTGCCCCTGACACTATATCCACTCTCTTCTCTATTACCAGCCACTCTCTACAAATTAGAGGTTTCCCATATGTAGGTACATACATGTACAGTAGTACCTCCCAATTTAAAACCATTCCACATCTGCATTTGACTCCAAAGCTTCACTAAACCTCTTTTCACTGATATGATTAATTGGTTCCAGGTCGCCAAGTCCAGTGATTCTTCTCAGTGATCATCTTGCTTCAGAGCCTGAAATAGGGTGAGGTGAGTGAGGCAGACAAAGAACAAAATTTAAGGAGGTCCTTACTCTCAGGGTCATGCAAAGGCAAAGTTGTTGGACAGGCACCTAAGGTGCCTCCCCCTTGTTGTGCTCCTTGATTTCTCAGCAAAATTCAACAGATAACCACTTCCTCCTCATGAAAGTCTTTTAGCCTGGCTTCTGTGACATCATACTTTCTGCTTTCCACCTGTCCTCATGATGCATTTTTAATAGTCATTGCTGCTTTTTTCTATTCCCTTTTTTTTTATTTTATTTTATTATGATTTTTTTCTTTTTTTTATTATACTTTAAGTTTTAGGGTACATGTGCACATTGTGCAGGTTAGTTACATATGTATACATGTGCCATGCTGGTGTGCTGCACCCACTAACTCGTCATCTAGCATTAGGTATATCTCCCAATGCTATCCCTCCCCCCTCCCCCCACCCCACAACAGTCCCCAGAGTGTGATATTCCCCTTCCTGTGTCCATGTGATCTCATTGTTCAATTCCCACCTATGAGTGAGAATATGTGGTGTTTGGTTTTTTGTTCTTGCGATAGTTTACTGAGAATGATGATTTCCAATTTCATCCATGTCCCTACAAAAGACATGAACTCATCATTTTTTATGGCTGCATAGTATTCCATGGTGTATATGTGCCACATTTTCTTAATCCAGTCTATCATTGTTGGACATTTGGGTTGGTTCCAAGTCTTTGCTATTGTGAATAATGTCGCAATAAACATACATGTGCATGTGTCTTTATAGCAGCATGATTTATAGTCCTTTGGGTATATACCCAGTAATGGGATGGCTGGGTCAAATGGTATTTCCAGTTCTAGATCCCTGAGGAATTGCCACACTGACTTCCACAATGGTTGAACTAGTTTACAGTCCCACCAACAGTGTAAAAGTGTTCCTATTTCTCCACATCCTCTCCAGCACCTGTTGTTTCCTGACTTTTTAATGATTGCCATTCTAACTGGTGTGAGGTGGTATCTCATTGTGGTTTTGATTTGCATTTCTCTGATGGCCAGTGATGATGAGCATTTTTTCATGTGTTTTTTGGCTGCATAAATGTCTTCTTTTGAGAAGTGTCTGTTCATGTCCTTCGCCCACTTTTTGATGGGGCTGTTTGTTTTTTTCTTGTAAATTTGTTTGAGTTCATTGTAGATTCTGGATATTAGCCCTTTGTCAGATGAGTAGGTTGCGAAAATTTTCTATTCCCTTTTTCTTTTCTTTTTTTTTTTTTTTTTTTTGAGGAGTCTCACTCTGCCGCCCAGTCTGGAGTGCAGTGGCATGACCTCCGCTCACTGTAACCTCCACCTACTAGGTTCAAGTGATCAAGTGATTCTCGTGCTTCAGCCTCCCAAGTAGCTGGGATTACAGGCGCTTGTCACCACGCACAGCTAATTTTTGTATTTTTAGTAGGGATGGGGTTTCAGCAGGTTGGCCAGGCTGGTCTCAAACTCCTGACCTCAAGTGATTTACCAGCCTCGGCCTCCCAAAGTGCTGGAATTACAGGCATGAGCCATCGCATCTGGTCCCATTCCCTTCTTCAAAACTAAAAATAGAGCTTACAAATCTTAGTATAATCCATGAATCTTGTTTCCAAATATATCAACATCCAGTCAGTTAACATGTTGTGCCAATCCATCCAATGAAAATTTTATCCTAGTTACTTCTTACATTCCATTAACATCACTGTCAACTAAAGAAGAATGTTAGAAAAAATAATCAATCAGCACTTATGGATCTCTAGTACATGGCAGGCATACTGCTGGATATTTCCATAGAATATCTTATTAGATCACAAAAGAACCCTTGAAGGTGGATATTATCATCCTCAATAAAGCCAAGAGGTGGCAGAGGCAGTATTTGAATCCAATTATTTCATCTCCAAAGTCCTGCTGCTTCTGACTTTGGGTGTGGGGGCAAGAGAAAGCCAGAATAAATAGACTCTCCACAGTCTCATAAAATTCAGCATTGGGGATCATGGGAATAACTAAAGTGAAGACAGGAACAGCAAAGAATTCTAGTCTTGGCTAGCTTCACAGATTCAGCCTTGAGAGCATCCTTTCCAATGAAACCTTTTTCCCCCCCTTTCTAGTGAATTAACCACTAACGACTTTCTGTTACGCTAGGCACTATGTGACTTTATTTCAAGTATTTGTTTTACCTCTACTACTCCTAAGTTCAGATAACTTATTTAAGTCAGCTACTTCCCCCCAGCATCTAGCATATAATTGGCATATAAGGGGAATCTAGTATATGTTTTTTGGTCAAAAAATGTAGTATTTGTCCATTCCATTTATTTAGCATTCATATTATTCTGTCTTAGTTATTTTTCTTGTAGATCTTATTTTCACAATTAGTCAGTTCATCATGTGGAGAAAAAGTATTTCTACACTGACAAACATACTGACTAGGGAAGAATGGGCACATAGTGAATTTCTTTTGATCAATTTAAATATCTGATTTTCCTACTGCTATGGTTAGATAATTTTCAGTTTGAATATGCTAGTAGAATTCAGTCAGGGTAAAATACAGATCTGATCTTCTCCCTCACCCTATTCAGGATAAACTTAGGCTCCCCAAGTTGAATGGAAACGATGGATGTCAATAATAGCCTATAGCAACTCCTTTTGTGTTATTTGTATTCTATTGGAAGTTTCATTTCCACTTCCTAAACTGACCAACAAACCAATTCAGAATTAAAATAGTCCAAGCACTTCACCTTGATCTGCTTATGTCTCTGAAATAATTCTATCTATTTAAGACGCTGAACTCCTTGAACATTGGATTTCATTTTACCTGGAAGAGATCTCCTCCAGGAGGTCAGTGTCCTTGAAGTAAATATATGGGAATTGTTTTCAAATTCTCTGTTGGATTCCCAAATGCTGTACTTTGATTTGCTTATTTATATTCAATGATACCATCTCTTTAAGACTGCAAACTGCTTGAAGGAATAGATCATCCTTTAATCTGGTTTGGACCATAATCATTATAATTCTATGCACATTTGGGTGCTTAATATTTCTTGATAATTATGAGATAGTGAAAAAATAGCGTATTGAAATATTTTTTGTATACTTCTCAGCAAACAAAATTTTTTAAATGCTCAATTATGTCATCAAATGATATAAACAATTACTGAAAGGGGTTAAGAAAAATGTTTCATATAAAATTCCCATTTGCTGCATTTAACGGAAAAATAAAAACAAATAGGAAACCAGTAGTAAATTATACTACTTGTGAAAACAATATTATTAAAATATAAGTGAACACTGAAAAATATTTTAATTAACAAAATAAATCAAATGGAAAAGATTCCCTAAATAGAGCTTTAAAAGTAAGTCTATGTGTGTCTGACTGCCATGACTAATTATGTATCCATGTAATGTGTGTTCAATTTGGGCTTATTTAAATAGCAGAAATGCTCATTAGCTGCAGTATATCTGTGAAGCTTCAGTAAACAGTTTAATGGTTTTTATGTTTAACCAATTTCATAAGTTCCTGTAATTTTAGCTTTAGCAGCTCATTAATGTTATTTTTTGATATCCATCTTACGGCTTTTTTTTTTCCTTGTCAATCGTCAGTAGGCACACTTCAATGCAAACTTAAAACACACAGTAGAATTTTGTTTAAACAATTTTAGTACATAAGTAAATGTGCAATTCAAAAGTATAGTTTCTTTATATAGAGAACTAGCTGTATTATCATGCACTCAAAAAATATCAACATTGGCAAAGGCTATATCTAATGGGGATAAAACTATAATAATGGAAAACATTTATTGAGCGCTTTCATCAGCATGTAGCTGGCTCTAGGCTAGGCACTGTATATACTATCTCTTTGGATCCTCACAAAATAGGTATAACTCAATTTTATAGTTGAGGAATGTGAGATTGAGATAAGTTACCAAGGTCACACCCTTAGGATTTAAACCTCACTAGAAATTAACTACATATGTAGTTGGAAAATGCCTGAAAAATCCACAGAAGCATTTGGAGATACACACCTAGACCTCAGATGAAGGCACTGCAACTTGGGATCAAATAAATCACAAGGCTGGGTAAAGTTTCCAAAGAAAGAGTGCAAAAACAGGTGACAATAGAATCATCCACTTATTTTTAAAGTGTCAGCAAGCATAACCTGAACTAAAGCTAGAGAATAATTCCTCAGAGTTACGTGAGAATCAAAATATTTCTAAGCCACAAAAGCCAAGTAAAGAGGTAAATTCAACAAGTATTAAATACAAAAGAAATATAATGTAGGTAAATAGATTGATGACGTGGAGGTCAATGAACCGTAAAAAGGTGACACTTGCAGTTAAATAGTAAAGGCAAAAAACAGAATTCTGAAGTTATGGACAAAGTATCTGGCAAAGACATAAGACAGTGTACACAAGCTATTCTTCCCAGGTGTTTCATAATTTTTAATAGGAAAAAAAGCAAGGCATTACCTTGCCTTCATTCATTCAATTAGCAAAAAAAAAAAAAAAAAATTGTTTTTGGTCTCTCATGTATTACATCCTGCTGCAGGCACCGTAGTAAACCACAGATAAGAGACCCATCCTTGTGTGTTGTAAATTTCATCTGGCAGAAGATAAAAAATGAAAAGTAAATAAGTAAGTGAACTATATGATAGTGAAAATGGTTATGAATAGGGTTACATGAAAGAGACTAGTACAAGATGAGGGATGTGAGAAGCAGAAGGGGTGCTTTAGATCATAGCAATTATGGAGGGTCAGAGAGCGCCTCTTTGATGAGATGCCATCAGAGCTAAAACATAAAGGATAAGAATGAACCAGTCACGTGATGACTTAGAGGCAGATTATTCCAAGAAGCGGGAACAGTGGCAAGGGTGTTAAGGATGAGATGCAGTTATAGCACGTGAGGAGTAGAAGGAAGGTTTTATGTGGGTGAAGGAAAGCAAGTGAGACAAGAGAGGAAGTCTGAGAAATAGGCAGGGGCCAAACCAAGGAGTGTGTTAGAAACTGTAGTAAGAAGTTTGTTACAATAAAATAGGACAGCATTTGTAGATTTAGAACAACAACAAAAAAGAAATTAAATAATCTCTGTTTAGAAGCTCATTCTGGTAGGATTATATGGAAGTGAGAGTAGAAGCAGGATGACCAGTCTTAGGAAACCATTCTCAATGCAAAGAGAAAGCATCCAGCGTCTGACCATTCCCTGAACAGAAGGAGGGCTGGCTGGCCTTCATGACACCTCACAAATACAACACTTTCACATGATTTTGCCCTTACTGTTAATTTTCAGTACAGACATTTAGAATAAGTCACTTCATTCTTTTCATTCAACCATTTATTCATCTCTTCACTCATTCATCCATTTGGTGAATATTTATTGAGTTAAGGACTGTGCTGGATCTTTGGGTTAAAATATAAATAAAGTACCCTGCAGTGGTACTGTCAATATACTTCAGAATATGTAAGATATACAGAGTGAAATAGAAGAGCAAGAATCAAAAAGGAGAAGCATATTTAACTACATGGTCCCTATATGTGTGTAGCAAACATATTTAATCTACGTGCCTCTTTAGATTTCCAGTACCACAATTCTGGAATAAAATTCACATAGTTAAACACTAAAAACATTTCATGAATTAGCAATGATATGTTTTTCCACCCTTACTCTATTATTTCGCATATACCTTATAATCTAGACGAAGAAACTCCCCCATGTATTCATCCAGCCTGTTTACTATAACTGGAATGGGCTTTCAATCCCTGTCTCTGTTCTCCTAATTCCTACCCAATCCTCAACTATTATAAATGTCACTGCCTCCACAAAACCTTTTAATTCTTGCTGCTGCAAGTCATCTCTCTACCCTGTATGTTACACCAGAAATTTATCTGTTTCTCCTGAGTCACTTTCTACCTAAAGGTAACTTTATTTGCATGCATCTTTCCTCCTTTATTAGACTGCAAGCTCCTGCAGATGGGGACAATGTATTCATTTTTGTGAACTTTAGAGAACCTAAAAGAATCTTGTATAATTAATACAAAACACATATAATAAATACAGAATGAAAGAATGGGAAGTAACATCCCACAAGTATGTAGGAGGGCAGATTAGTAGGATGTCAAAATTAAATTGAAGCATTTGGTTTTAATCCCACCATCAGGGAAGAATAGTTTTAGATTCCAAAGTATGAGAGTAATGTGATGAGACTGGTGATGTAAAGTTCATTTGGCATCAGTATGCAAATACAGGGAGAAACACTGGGTCATGTTAAACCAAATGAATTGTAAATACACTTTGAGGAGGGCTTGGAAAATCACTGGATATTTGGCAAACACTTACTATGCAACATGCTTGCCATTCTTTCACATACTTGTATGGAAAAAATGGTCAGGTAAGTCTTGAAAACACTTTAAAGAGCTTTAGAATTACAAAATATAACAAGTATGGTTGTTAAAGAGGAAAAAAAGATTAGCACTGGTTAGCATTAATCCACATACTGTTAGGCAGGATCCCCAAATGGATGTTAACATTAATACTGGTTTCCTCCTCCAACAATGGCAGTATATTACATTTGAATTGAGTAGCTTCCATATTTTGGGAGTAGATATTGAATAAGATTTAATGTAATTTTCTAATTTATACAATAGCATATATGCAGATCAATGTCTTATTTTTTTGAGATGGAGTCTCACTCTGTTGCCCAGGCCAGAGTGCAGTGGCATGATCTTGGCTCGCTGCAACCTCTGCCTCCTGGGTTCAAGTGATTCTCCTGCCTCAGCCCCCCCGAGTAGCTGGGATTACAGGTGTGCGCCATTACACCTGGCTAATTTTTGTTTTTTCAGTAGAGACAGGGTTTCACCATGTTGGCCAGCTGGTCTCAAACTCCTGACCTCAAGTGATCCACCTGCCTCAGCCGCCCAAAGTGCTGGGATTACAGGCGTGAGCCACCATGCCCGGCCAAATATCTAATTTAACCAGAGTATTTTAGATAGGGATGTTGTCCTATTTATATTGTGCTTTGAGTCAAGAACAGAAACACAAAGTAATTAACAATAATAATCTCACTCTGCAATACAAAATACATATAATTAAGAACCTTACTATACTCTATATTATCATTTTATAGTTTAATTAAATCTTACATCTTGATTTTACATCTCACAGCGGCTTAGTTTTAGTTTAACATTTCACCAGCATGTTAGGTTTCAGAATAACCTTTTACTATACTATAAGCTAACTAGTTTTTAAAATAAAAATATTATAGGCTGTGGTCAATAAAGCTCAGTTTATCTATTACACTCACCGTATCTATTACATTAAATACATCTATTACACTCACTGTGTGTTCAAAACCATTGGCTATGTTTTATGATTTCTGTTCTCTGAAACAATTACGTTATTTTTTCCCATTTTCTACCTTCTTTCCCTAACAAAACTTGTTACATGCCACTGCTCTACTTCTTGTATGTAATCTTCAATTTGATGGAAAACTACTGATTTATCCACTGTCTCCCTGTAAGAATGCATATGATATCAACCAGTAGTGAAACCTGGAAAATAAAGATAAGGAAAGGCTCTGAGCAGAGCTATTCACTGGGGAAACAAACCTATTCCTATGCAGTTATTAGAGGGAAGTAAAATAATTACAGAAATATCATGTTGTGCTTCAAATGGATATCTAAGGCAGATGTAAGTGATGTGGTGTTGATTCCCAATCACTTTCAACACTGTTATCAGTTTGACCTCCATCCTCATCACCTCCACCCTTTCAAAATAATTCCAAAGAAAACCTGTGCAAGGATTCCATTAGTTTGGATAGTTATTCTGCAGAAATGCCAGTACTTACACTAGATTCCACCACTTCATCCTCACCCTGCACAACATATTTCGTAATAGAAAGATGATAAATCTTTCAACCAAGCAAAAATACTTCTGATAATCAGAACAATTTTTGAAACATGTACAGTGTTTCAGTTAGGTTCCTGAAAATTCTTCTTGCCCAAAATATAATTAAAGGCAAAGCACTGTACAAAGAAGGCAAAAATAGTTCATTTTCATCATTTCGCAATCGGTACACAGGATCTATCAATGTTATTATTCAGGCATTTTAAAACAACATGGCAGCACATGAGGAATCATGTGTGTTATTAAAAAGCGAACAGGTGGTAGAGAGAGTACCATGGAATAAAACTGTCCCTTCATGTCATAACCTCCTTAAAATATTTACCATCAGGAAATCAACAGTAACAAAAGCTGACCTTTTTTCTCTTCATATTATGGAATATGACAGGCTTCTGGATTTCCAGAATCAATGCCACATATACTCTTTAATCACACTCTTAAGAAGCTGTTATTTAAATGATAGGCTACAACACCTTTCATTAATTAATTAAATCAATGAACAGCTCCTGCTGTAGGCATTAAGGTATAGTAGTGAAAAGACAGGAAGATGATGTGTACTAATTCCCAATGTCTGTTTTCAGTCATTCTCTGTTTCCTTAGTTCTAGTCCCCTGCTTCAGTTGTTCAATAGCAAATCCAAATTCAACACACCACCATTTCACTCAGATCTCTTCTATCTGTGAGTTCTGTCAGCACTATAAACACCTGTTTACCTCCCAGCTAGCTACCCCACATCCAATCTCTTTATCAAGCAGATAACCAAATCCTGACTATTCTACTTAAGAAATATATCTTGATTCCAAATTTTCTCCTGTATTTCCACTTCCTCTAACTTAGTCACGGTAACTACTGAAAAAATTATTTTAATCCTTTAACTTGTCTTTCTTAATTCCAGGCCATCTTTCCCAAAATTACTGACACTGTAGTTCCACACTCCTGATGTTGCCTTCCATGTAAAGAAACAATCATTTGTATAACAGTCAGGGTGTCGCATTGTACCTTTCTCGCCTCTCTCCAAAACACTAAAATAGAATCCAAATTAGTGAATCTGGAAGAAGAAATAAGGCATATATAATCCACCCTGGTCAAACCTATAACTTGAGAGCTGCCCATCTGAGCATAGGTTCTCAGTCGCCCCTGATACTGAAAATGTTACTGGGTCAGCTTCTCATAACGGCATTTACTGTGTGGGATCATACCCTGTGACTGAATAACCACCTAATTCAGGTCACCAAATGTTAGAAAATGCATTTGCCTACTAACATGAACCATCTCAAAATGTGGTTGCTTATTTTCTAACCCCCAACTATTTGAAGATTATTACAAATGGTGCACAATCCAAGCAGAGAGAAGGAAGCTCTAACACCTGCTAGAATTACCTCATTCAAGACAAAGAGCTCTTCCTTATTTAAACCTCCTCATTTGTCACCTGCATGTCTACAGCATAAAATTCAAAATCCCTACTTTAGCATATAATCCTTTGACTCCACATATATTTTAGCCATATTTCCTGCCATCTTATCCCTACCTGCTCCCTACCCTTATGTAACCACACACCATCTGGTCCAGCAAAACAGAATGCCTCCCCGTTGTCTGGGCATATGAGGTCATTTTGTCGGCCCATACTTTTGTATATGATGTTCTCTGTAACAGGAAAACTCCTACTCAAGCTCTAAAACCCATTCCAAATGTGATCTCAAATTAGCACACTGTGTTGCTATATATGTATTTACATGTCTATTTCTCTCATTAGCCTATAGGTCCCTGAAGGGCAATGACTCTTTTACTTGTGTCTGTATTCCTAGTGCCTGAGTAGTGCCTGGAACACAGTTGTGCATCAAGAAATGTTCATTGCATGGTGAATAATGAGAGAATGAATAGTAGAAATCATAAAATAAAAAGTTCTATTTAGAAATACAAATGAAAAATTCAGACCATCATTTACGAAGATGAGAACATGCATGAAGTAAGTAGGCTGATGACAACTTTCTAAAGACATATATTTTTTACAGCTTTTTAAAATGACTGTAAAATGACTATTTAATCTAACAGTGCGGTGTTGAGCAAATTGCATAATCTCCCTGTGGCTTCCCTCCCTTCCACCCCCGTTCCACCTGGAAACTCCTACACATCACTCAGACTTCAATTTACAACCCACTTCCTCTAGGAAGCTTCCCTGAATGCTTAGACTCTGTTCTGTGCTTCCTCGGGAATCTAAACTTCTCAAAGTACAATTTATTGTAATTCTGAGCCTCCCCTGTTAAAATGTGCATTCTTGGAGGCAAAGTTTGCATTTCTCTTTTCACTACTTTATCCCTGAAACGTATCTTTAAAAAGAGTCTGCACTAGCCACCATACGTTATTTAAAAACCTGTGAAGTGAGGGGATTAGAATATATGATCTCTAAGGTCCTTCTAGCACATTCAGAAATATAAATAAGGAAAATCCTAATGCAAGTTATTGTATTGTATCCAGTGTATTATACCGGACTGATTACTTTAGTTCTTAATGTTAGGTAAGAATGTCATTCATTCTTACTTATATTAATCCTTAATAAGTCCCTTCCTCTAATGTTTTGCCATTAGTCAAAAAGGTATCCTAATTAGCAATATAATGCAGTATTCTTTAATCTGTTCTTTGAAACTTCATTGTAAATATTTGTTTATTAAAATGCATGCAACAGTGAAAATTTGATGAATTATGATAGTTTCTCAAATTAGTATTCAATTTTTCCCCCTTCCCCTTTATTTTTGATATGAGAAATTACGTAAGCTGAAGGTCATAAAGAGTGGTTAGTTGTTCAAAGAAAATTTTGCCACCAGTAGCTTCTATAAGATATGTTTTGTTGTTTGAAAAATAGAACATGATGTTAACCAAAAACTGTGGTTTATTAAAATGTTCTAGCATTCTCAATTTCATTATAAATTACCAAATAAGTTACATTTTAATAAGGAGTAAATCAAATCAAACATACTGATTCCAGGTCTTTTAAAACATAGCTAACTACCATTTTTGAATACCTAAATAATATAATGCCAACATTAAAACATTTTTCATAGGCTCTTCCCAACACTTAAACAATTGAGAAAAGAAAAATGGACACATTTGAAAAATTCTTGAATTTTTGCATCGTAAGAATCTTAGCAGGCCATTTCTTGCCTAACTGGCAATTTCTAGTTCTGAGTTAGGCCAGAACAAGGCAAATTAACCCATGGCCTGCACCTTTTCTCAGTATGGGGGCAAGTGAATCAAAGCTACACTCAAAGCTGCTATTGACAGAATGTTTGATTTACCCCATGAGGCTTTCAAAAACTTTTCTGAGGGCCTTCTAATAAGAGGAACTGATGAGTGATTTAAAAACCTTTTTTTTTTTCCTGCAAACACTCCCTTATGGAACTAACTGCAATCAATGTTATCAAGGGAGCTGATTTCTGAGAGTTGCATTTAAGATTCAGAACTATCTAGGTTTTGTGTTTCCTTGTTATCTCTAGTTCCCAGTGAGTGAGCAGAAAGAAAATGTAAGCAGTGGGTGAAGTACGTAAATTCCTTTCCTAACAGAAGGGTCGTATCTTCCCTGGCTGTGCCCTGAGCTCAGTCACCTTGTCTCCGCTCTACTGAGCAGTGTGGTGCAACATGATGCTGAGTCCCTCACCATTCATCCTAACATCTTCCTTCCCAAAACATGGGTTTTTAATCTTAGTTATGTAATCCCATAATTTTCAAGCATTTAAAATCTCAAACTTAGTTGAAAATTCAAAAGTGCCTTTCTTGTCTTAAAATACAAATGAATGATCCTTACACTAAACAAAAAAATGTGGTCCAATTTTCACCATTTCTAAGAGGAAGAACAAAAGTCATTTAAAAATATGTGCTTTTTACATACCTCATTTGCAGAAATTCAAAATGGAGATTTCTTTTTTTTTTATTATACTTTAAGTTTTAGGGTACATATGCACAACGTGTAGGTTTGTTACGTATGTATACACGTGCCATGTTGGTGCGCTGCATCTGGATCAAGAAAATTTGGCAAAATGGAGATTTCTAACAACTAAAAATAGTTGAAAAATTGTTTTCGATGGCATGAAAAACATTAGAATTGATAATAGTTTAAAAATATATAATACAGTTACAGACTGTTCAATCTTTTTTTCAGGAAAAAAACTAACCAAATATATTGAACAATTTCTCATTAAAAAAATCATGAATGTATGAGCATCTGCTTCACTTATTTACAAAGTCATGTTGACAGAGCCTCCAAAGTTCCTGATGAAGTATTGATATTCAAATGACTTTATTCCCAAACAACATGAATAGCTACATAAAAGTTAATATAAATCAATTTAATTACTAAAATATGGTTTTGTTACAGATTAATAATAACATCTGTAACTTAAGCTTACTATATGCTACGCCTATATGTAAATGATTTACATATATTATTAATTCATTTCTTCTAAATAACTCTAGGATATTCATACTATAGTCATCCCCCTTACAGCATGAGGACCATGAAGAACAGGTAGACTAAGTAACTCATTAAGACGATGAAGTTAGAAGGAGGACAGCCAGGTTTCCAGCTGGGGCAGCCTGGCTCCAGAGACCCCACTCTCAGCCAATATACCAGATAGACTCTAATTAGTGTAATATTTATTGTATTATGAAGAATACAACAATTTATGCCACAACAAAGGAAAAATTCAGAGCAATAGAATAATAGAATTATTTTTCTAACTTTTACATTTTCGAAGAAAAATAAACCAAGCAGATCCCATCATAGGAGAAAATAGTAACTCATAAGAAAATTAATACCCTAACATGAAGCAAGTCAAGTCAAATGCACAAATATTTTTGTGGATCTATTATGGGCACACTAATATGTCAGTTGCTATTGGGACTACAATTTAGTATAAAGGTGCACTCCTTGCTCTCCTTGGGGTTTATAGGATAATTTGAAAATAAAATAGATTCCGGAAGATCACAGAACATAAATCTTTACAGAGTCAAAATTTCATATAATGAAAGAGTGGTTGTGGTACAGGGTATGGAGGAGGCACAGAATCACAGAATGAGCTAAAGTACATTCATTCAGTTGTCTGAAAGCATATTCAACAAATCATAAAATTATGTCATCCAGATCTCCTAGGAATGTGAGGACACAGGCAACCTTATTGCCTTGGTTGTAAAAATGAAGCAGTGAGATTAGTGAAAGGGTGGAAGAATTCTTACTAATGCAAAACTAACAGAAATTTGGGCCCACTTAACAACTGCCAGTTTGGTTCCAACAAGAAAGAGAAGGAGAGATACACTATAAAACAAACAATAAATCGATTAAACCTGACACTGTACCAACAAACAAGAAGAAACACAATTCAATTCAATAAATATTGAAAATAGTGTTTAGCAGAAGAGGAAACATCCTATATTAGGAAATATATATATTTATATCATATATAGAAATATATATTCATATATTTATATTATATTTATATTATACATATATGTATAATAAAATATACATATACATATTTTAAATAAACGTTTAGAACTTTCCAGTGAATGGACAATATTTGTAAAGCAGAAATGCAGTTACAGAAAGTTTGTGCTTAATCTCCTGATAGCCTTTACAGTCTATCTAGAACAACAAAATCCCAAGTTAATGTGACGTGATATGGAGTCGTACATTCTTAGAGGGAATAGAGGAGACTTTTTAAAAGTAGAACCATTTTGAGTTTTTCACAAGAAAGATATTTAAGGCTGACGTTATATCAATTGAGTCAGAAATTGGACACCATTGCCTTTAAAATTTGAGCTAGTGTTTAATGAAGTATTCAATTAAATTATGCTGATCGGCACATAACATATTCCATGCACATGGATATGGAATATGTAGTCTTTTGTTCCTACTTCCCACTCCCTGGTACAATCCAAAAAGTGATGGAAGAAACAGAATTATGTAAAGTAATGATGATTACTTATCACTCTTATTATCCTTAGTGGCAACGAAATAATTAGCAACTATAATCCCAAACTCTTATCCAAGTTTATTTTATAAATGATATACTTATCTTTTCTATAAGCTGTTGAGGCACTTATCATTTTATGATAGGGAATATTTATTACAGATATATTAGGTGTATAACACTAAAAAAGTTATTTTACATTCTCCATTGTGAAACAAATTTAGAAACTTACAAAGATTGTGGAATATTTCAGAAAAAACTGACATTAAAAATGTAATCTCCTTTCAATTTTCCAATTAGCTTAGCTTTTCAAGTTCTTATTATTGATATATTTGAGATTTTAAAAGTATTTTCATTTACAATATTATTGCAACCAGAGACTTCTGAGAGTGTAATTTATCACTGTACTTTATATGTACTCTGTCAAGTTTACTTCATTACTTGAATTTTTCAGTATGTCTTTATGTAATGCATTTACCAAAGATTTTCTGTGTTGCCACTATGGAATGTTCCCTGTGCTGGATGCTGGCAGGAATAATTCAACAGGGAACAGAAGAAAATATAGGTGGATACACAGAATGTATATAAGGCCATTTGCTGATGTTCTCAAGTGTTGAGAAGTGGAAGCTTTATACCATAGTATAAGATAACATTGGTACATTTAATAAATATTATAATTAGAAATTTGAACTGGGGTAAAATTTTGAACTTTGGCTATGGGGAGTACTAATGGTACCATTTGCAATAATAGTGAATTTGAGAAAAGATCTGTTTTAGGTAAATCTGATAAGGTGAACTTTTTTTTTTTTACTTTGTGCAAATCTCTCTTAATGTACACATTCCTCACTTTGTAATAAAATTAATTGATTACAGATCTGCCTCCACCCTAGTCTATGGAATTTTAAAGCCCATGCAATGACTCGCTCATTTTCATACTCTCTAGAATATAATTTGGCACCTGGCATTCATTAGGTACTCAGTAAATGTTTGTCACATGCCTGAGCAAAAATTTAGGATGAAAGGAGGTCTTCTGCGAAATGGGGAGTGGAAAACTAGATTTAAGAGTCATTTTTACACAAAAAGGAAATAGTGCCTACTGTAAGTCTAGCCACTGTCTGGCACAGAGAAGTTCATTTATATGTCTTGAGGAATGAATGCACGTATGAATGGATAAATGAAAGAATGAACAAGACATTCATTTCACTGAAGAAATAAATACGATAAGGAGAGAAAATGAACAAATTCTGAACTTTGGAAAGTAAAAAGCTAGAGGAAGAAAAGCAGTCAGTGATAGGCTTGGAAAGGAATAGTTAAAAGAAGCAGCAAGGTAATAGAGTGTCACAAACAAGAATATGCTCTAGTTTTGTTTCCAAGTCTTTTACATTATTTCATTTTAATTCTGACAATAGTCCTGAGAGGTAGAAAGATAATGTATTACTACGCTTTTTTTTAGTAGATAAAGAAATTGAGCCTCAGAAAGTTTAAGTGACTTGGAGGAGAGCATTTTAAACAGAATTCTTAACATTATCAATCATAAAATGCAGAAAATATACTAAGGACTGAAAGGATGTCACTGCATTTGGCATGCAGTTCACTGAAGTCTGGGCAAAGTGAGGTTGAAAAGGAGAAAAGTGGAGGGGTGGAAAGAGAAGTAAACATTTTAAAAGATGAATGCATTAAAACAGGTATCACATATGTGATAATCACTAGGTACCATCCAGAAATGACATGACATAGTGTTAGGATGGGGAAGAATTTATGGTAGAAGAGGATTAACATGAATATCTTCTCTTCTTACCCAAATGGACATCTTGCTTCCAATAAAATGCTTTTCATTTTATTTTACATATATGTGTGCACATGACAGTTTTCTGACTTTGAAACTATTAAGATTTTAAATCCTATTGAGTAAGATCTTCTTGATCAAATTCTAACAAACACTGCTTCTGTGACTCCTTTATTTAATGTTTTCCATCCAAAAGAACAGTACTGAAAACATTTAGATGGGAGTCCAGGAATGAATGCTATCTCACACTGCAGCTCTGCCAGCTCCCCTCTCACTTGGAGAATAACTTCTTATTAAAGTAAACATGGAAGGCTCCTGGTAAAGTTAGTAATTCTACTTAAGGATAATTTCTACAGGCAGTTTATTATTTCAAACCAGAAGAGGAAAAAAAAATAGCGAAGAAACATTTTTTTCCTTGACTTCTCTAAATTTATAAGAGGTGGCATATGTGAAGTACTAGAAGAAATATACACAGTAAATTCTGGAATAAAATGCATAAATTCTGAAATGACCTAGTCAAACTTGAATAGATCAAATTTTCTCCTTCTTCATATTTTATATGCTAACTTAAATCTTTTATTCTTCATACATACATACACAAATACACATGCCTGCGCGCACACACACACAAGCACAAGCTTATAAAATCGTATCTGAGATTGCAAAAGCTGTTTTCTGAGCCAAATCTGTTCAGGTTTGTTTAGGAAAATATAATTATTATTAATATTAGGATTGTCAATTATGGAACACAAATTTAAATAGTTAAGCTAACCTTTTTGGATAGGCAAATAATCAACAGAATTGCTAGTTAAACATGATTCAACATTTTACTCAATTTTTGGTGATGTACATAGTATTTAATAGTAAGAAGAATGGGATTTTTAAGATAATATAAGCACTTTATATATCATTCTTTTTTCCTTCCTGAATTCAGTTAAATAAATAAACTATACTCTGACTGTGTCTACATACCACATAAATGTCTAGATAAAAAGTGACAAATTTAGGCCATCATCCAGCTATTTGAAAACATTTATCTCGATGACATTAAACATCTGGATGTTTCCACATACCAAGATGTTTGATGCCCTGCAGATAAAATATCTGATGACTAGTTGAATCCTTTACTTATCTGTGGCATAAAAATATACATTTTCATGTATATATCTCTTCCAACTTCAGACAAAAAATGTAATTTTAGCATGGATATAGTAGGAAGTCATAGGAATCATCAGGTTTAGAGAGATTTTTGGTATGGTTGTTCTTAATGAATCTCTGACCTAGAAAAACATATTTTATTTTCCCTTCAGAAAACAAAAGAGTTAATTGTCATTTCAATAATGTGAATTAAAAGGTAAAAGGATTTGTAAAATGAAAGTACCTAGATACATAAGCTTTCATCTACAATGACCCACAGAAACACTGTATGTGGGAAAAGTATAACATAAAGTAGTCTTACTTGACTGAATCATTATTCAGTTGAAATGTTATATAAAACATTTCTTTCTCTCATTATCTTTTTAAAAAACATTTTGTTTTTCTTAGCATGCTCATTTATGCCATCCAGGTGAAAATGACAGACATTTAAACTTTCTAATTTGATAATTCTGACATCTGAAGTGATGATCTGGCACAAGGATGGTAATAAACACAAATTCTATTTTTGGCCATTCATTAGATTTTGATTTGTCTGAATCATTGAAGACTGGCTGTTCCAACTACTCTGCCTCATTTTCTTACTCTAGTCTAATTGAAGAAAAAGCCATTCTTCTATAAGAAACAAGGCAAATATCATTATAGAGTAGAATATGTGTTTTGGTTATAAGCTTAAAAGAAAGATTAATGTTCTTTTCAATACTTGCCACTTTAAAAATAATTCTATATAAGCATTAAATAACATTTCTAAGCCTTTTGAATCAAGATTGCTTTTACTTCTTAACTAGAAGAGGAAAATAAATTTTAAAGTGAAAAACAATTCCCTGAAAGCTAGAAACTATTACAGCACTAAAATAACAGACAATTGCATCACACATTTCAGCTCCCAGCACTGTACCTTTAGGATCACTCAGAACTGAACCAAAGGCACTGATGACCACATCGGCTTTCAGATGGACCATCTGATCTTCATCTTCATTCCATTTTCCAGTTTCATCTTGCTCTGTCCGAACAAACTGCATAGCAACAATTCTCCCACCTTTTACTATAACCTTCCGTGGGGACAGGAATGGCAGAAATTCACACTTTTCTTCCTTAGCAAGTTCCATCTAAAACAAAACAGAACAGAGAAGAAACTTGAAAATGTTTCTTATTCCACACAGTATTTGATTTCTAATTGAATTACACATGCTAAAGCTTATGATATTAAGTCAATATGCAGCTTTTTCTTTCACCAAACCTGAGTTTCAGTTACCAGTTATTTGCATTTTGTAAATCACTGACTCAGGGAGTCTTGAATTGGAGTTGTAATGTGGACGTTTATAGATCACGGCATCATAAGGTATTTCTCAAGTTTTAAGTACTGCATGCTCTACATTTGGTAGTTTGTGAGGTTTCTGACCATAGTAGCCTATTATTTTTATGTTTTCAATTCAGTAGATTAAGGTCTCTTTTTTTAATCATGCTGCATATTAAAATAAATACTTCTGTTTATTACCAGGTTGCATACATCCAAGCTGGAAAAAAGTCAATAAAGTGGGTGAGCCAATCTGTGCAAGTACATGATTAGAATGGTAGGTAGGAGAAAAAGACTAGAGAAACTCTGTAGAACTAAGAAATAAAAAACATTTTTTCTTCCCTTTATAAAACCACAGAAGCAAATACTATAAATGAAAAACTGAGGACAGCGAAACAAGCATGTCCTCCTGATGAATGCCCAGTTCTTCCCCATTTCCTACGTAATTCATTTTGCCATAAAATCTGGATACCTCGGTTTCTGTTTGTTTTCATATGCATAATGGAATGTTCATTGAGACAGAATATTAATGTTTACTCATTTGCTTATTTTTCCATTAATTGTTTTTGGAGAAATCCAGGCCTTTGTCAATGCAATCAGAAGTACTATGTTGAATGTTCTTTTTTTAAAAAATGCAAAAATGTCCTACTGAAGTGTTTTGGGATGTTGTCTTATTATTTTCCTTCACTCTGAAAGCCAGGTAGATTCTCAATAGGCTCCCTGGGTAATGTTTCCACTGAGGTTGTGTGTATGAGGCTTCAAACTAAGAGTTATCTGAGCTTTGTCAAGATGGAAAAACTGAGACATAAAATAATTAACTCAATGCTGTAATCAAGCCATGGGCCCATCTTTCAACAACCTATCCAGAGCTAGTGCCATGCATCACAATCACCTGGAAGGCTAATTAAACCAGACTGCGCAGGCCCATTTTCAGAGTTTCTAACTTTGGAGGGTTAAGTGGGGACTGAGGATTTGCATGTCTAACAAATGCCTAAGGTGATGCTATGCTTCTAGTGCACAGATGATACTTTGTTAACCACTGTCTTTATTAGATTATAGCTGACTGGCTCAGCACTTGTTCTCTATGATGCATTTTCAAAGACAGGAATATTGCCCCTAGGGAGCAAAAATTAATTCTTGGGGGAAAGAAAAAAATCCTCAGATATCATAATGGTCTTGTCCCTTCAAGAAGAGCTAAAGTATGTAAACAGTTATACAGTATATCTATGGTATTAAAATCATAGCAGGGAGGATTAAGAAAAAAATCTAAAGATACTCCCAAAAAGGGTAAGAAGAAAATGGTTGGGAAACACTGATCTATACTATACATTATTTTGAAGCTATTCAATCTATGTCTTATTTAGGATATTTTTAATATTGTCATTAAAGGCTTAAAAATTGGAACCACATAAAAATTATTACACAGTCTTTCCCTTTTTATTATGAAAATCAAGAAATTAGCAATATAAAACAAAACATGTGGGATGTTATGCTGGTAAACATACAAAACAGTTGATATAAAACTGCTCACTCCTCAGACAGGAAGATTAGAGGTAAGCGGAATTGAATCAAATTTGAAAACTGCTCTGCTGCTTATTTGGGATAGTTTCCTTATATATAAAATGGGGAGAACACCATCTCATTAATCGGTATGTGTGGTGTTACTTAAAACAACTCCAAAATGTAAAATGCCTAAAGCAGAATTTAGCATATAGAAGGCTATGTACTCATAGTTGCTATTTTCTGAATTCACTTTTTTTTTCTCTGAATCATTCTTCAGCTATTCAATATCACTTAGAAATAAGATTGTGATTTCAAGAGAAAGGTGGCCCAATAACAAAGGTTAGTAAAAGGCAGCACAAAGACAAACCTTAGACTCCTCTTTAGTTTTCTACAAAATAAAAATGTATGATTTCTGGAAGGCAAATTATTCCTTGAATAATTCAAATTACAAAATAAATATGATTCCAATATGTAAAATATGTTTTCTGTATCGCTTTTGTCATATTTGTGCCACATATCACCTTATAACTCATCAATATAAACCAGTTTATTGTGTTTCAAAATGTCAAGTGGTGCTACATTTTAATGATAATGCCACACTTGACTGAATAACAACTCCAAATGTTTATGGTTTGAATAAATCAATATACAATGTGTACCTGTAACAGTACTGTTTTCTGTGGAGGGCAGAAATGAAACACTGAACTATGCTGTACCTATTGGGAATATGTCTTACAGATCGATTTAGGATCTGTTTGATCCCACTCTATCTTTGCTATCTATTAATACCTCTACAGTATCTGTTATTACATATAGATAATCTCTTATATATTTTGGCAAATTTGGCATTAAATTTGGAAACAAAAAATTGGACATGACTAAATCAAAAACTTCTATGAATTTAAAATAAAGATTATTAATCACTGAATGCCTAAGCATGTTTTAGTAATGTTTAGTAATGTTCTCACCATGGTTTTGATTTTTGAGGACCTTGTATAACCATATATAGTTACAAACATAAAAAAACTGGCTTTAGCATATGCTCATCTATGTGCCCCAGGTTTGATTACATGTATTCAAATATCTGGCATTCTTACCAATTATCCGACAGTGCACTGGGGATGGCATGAGCACTGGACCCCACAGAGATTCATCTGCATTTTTGCTTTTGAAACTTTGGAGATTTTCTTCACTCACTAGTACATGTAGAACTAGACTATTAAGCAGCAGACATAAATCACACCACTTCTGCTATTTAGCTCGATAGCTAGATTTTCCATTTTACATAAGAAAGGGAAAATTGTTTAAAGAAAAAATAGTAATATCATTTGCATATATATATTTGTTTGGAAAGTATTAATATTGGGAGAGTGAGATCATGTTAAGATTTATCTTGGGAAATAGGGAAATACTAGGACAATGAAAACACAGGGTAAACTTGTATAGTGAATGCTTATCATTTTATGCTGCCTTGGCATCTATTTTAAATATAAGCTGGACTTTGTTATAGCAGAAGAAAGATTCAGTCACCCTTGACACACATAGTTTCCAATTCTATACTCTACCTCCCTGCAGCACCCCCGTTTCTCAGTGTGGTGGATCAAGATATTTCCCTTATACACCTGCTCCCTGATCACCACATCCCTATGAAACGAGTAGATGCAGCCTGCTGGACTGGTCCTGCTGACCCTCCACCCTGCATGGACTGTGCAGACACACCACAGTGACTGCCTCTCAGTCAATGCTTGACGTCCTGGAACTTGTGCCTGCTTGCTTTAAACCAACCAGTTAAAATTTCCCACGAGAAACCTGTTTGGATAACGCCCTGGACCCATAAATAAAGGCACTGGCCCGCAGGTCCCATTTTCTCTCTTTCTCTTTCTCTCTCTCCATGCACTCCTAACCTCCGTGTGTGTGGCCTCTGTGCATTATGTGTACCCCTTCAGGAACTGTAAGTAATAAAATCTTTATTTCCATCTTGAGCCTGTCCCAATCATTGAAGGAATGCTCTCATCTTAAAGATCCTAAATTAAAATTGACATTACATGTGAAGTGAAATATACTTTGAAATATTTTTGGACATTATAAGGATTTACTTTCACTATTTAACAAATCTATTATTTGTCTTGTTATAAGTATTGTCTTATTATTTTTGTTATTTTTTATTTTATTTTAATTAATTAATTAATTAATTTGAGACGGAGTTTCGCTCTGTTGCCAGTTGCCCAGGCTGGAGGGTAGTGGCAAGATCTCAGCTCACTGCAGTCTCCGCCTCCCCAGTTCAAGTGATTCTCCTGCCTCAGCCTTCCAAGTAGCTGAAATTACAGGCACCCGCCACCATGCCTGGCTAATTTTTGTATTTTTAGTAGAGACGGGGTTTCACTCTGTTGGCCAGGTTGGTCTCAAACTCCTGACCTCAAGTGTTCCGCCCACCTCAGCCTCCCAAAGTACTGGGAATACAGGCGTAAGACACCACGCCCAGCCATAAATCTTGTTTTATAAGAAGATAAATAATAATGGTAATAAGTATTTATAACACTTAAAAGTATTCTTTTAAGTGCTTTACAGGTAATTCACTTAATCTTCACACAGAAAATACATATAATGCTTTACCTGTAACTCAATCTTCAGACAGAAAATGTTATGACACCCATATATTTGTTACAAAAAAAAAGTATTTAGCTTCAAACCGACTTTGTCTCCGTGCTGTGGTGCAAAAAGCCAAAACCGCACTGGGCATCATCATGATTTTACAGATTTAGCATACAGCCTTAGGCACACTGCTGCTTGCTGGCCTCACAAAGAAAAAAAAAATCTGTGGACAAGCATTATTTTCTTCCTACAGAGGAGAAACTGAGGCTCAGAGAAGCCAAAAATACACTAAGGGATGAAAAAACTTATCTGAAATTAGGATCTGGCTGAAACGAAATCCTATGTGATCTTCATTATGTCCAAGAATAACAACTGTAGTATATTTGAAATAATGAGACTGTATGATTCTAGTTGCTGAACCTCAAACAAAGCAAAGTGGAAAAGGAAAAGCTAAAGTGAAAGGTGAAGGGCTTGGCTAGACATAGTTCCCTTTGTGGGAAGAGGAGACTCAAGCTTCCCAGTCTAAGCTCATTTACAGGTACTATAAAATCATGAAATATAGGAACCACATGATGGATTTATGAACCCAATACTGTAAACGAGTTAATAGAGACACCTTGAATCCAGATAAAGAGTAAATTTAGAACAAAAAAAAGTACTACTTCACAAAGTGGATATTAGATACACAGAACATATTATCTTAAGATACAAAATTTAAAAACTAACAGAATTTAAATAAGTTTGTTCGATAGTAAACTCGTTCTCAACACTCTTTAGAGGAAGAATACCTTATTTAACATTCTATCCTTTATGTCCAAGAGTGATATTAAAATAGTCAACAATTGATAAGTATAAGCCCATGAACATTAAGATAGACACCCAGCAAATCAGAATATATGCCAGTCAATAAGCCAACGAAGAGGCATCAAGTGAATGTCACATGGAAGGACAGGGCATCAAGACTGGTCACAGCCCTACCTGTGTCTATCAAAATGATTGGCACACAGTAGACCTTGAATACAGTTTTGTTTAGTAGAATGAAGGACAAATTATTATGAAAATCTGAAGAACATTCAAATTAAGGAAAGTACAACCAACTAGTAGTATACTGAGTGAATGGCTATTAAACATCCATCCCAATGTAAGTAACAGGACACAGCAGAAGACATGCTACCTGCCCAGATCATCCTATGTTGCGAGGTTGAAATAAAAAAGCAAATGGTGTTCCTCATCAGTTGTCAAGTTATGCTGCTATCAGAAAACATGGACCAAATTGACCTGTGGTCTAACCACATGCAGCGTTACTGTTTAAATTAACCAGCCTTCTGTGACAAGTAATTCACACATGTCAGTGTTAGTGCCTTTTAACAACTAATGTTTGTCAATAATCATTAATAATCAGTAACTCTGAATCTGGATATGAATGCTTCTCCTCATGGCACCCATATATATTTATTTGTTTGATGGAGCATGTCTTTATGAGGGACAACTGGTTTATCAAGCAAACATGCCAACCTCTCTTTTCCTAGTCTCCACCAATAAAGTAGTAAGCAGCTATAAGGGTCCATTTTTTACATTTGACAAATCAGGTTGTCACTTTCTTTTTACACAGTAGTGGGAAAGTTAAAAAAAATTCTCAGCTTTGATTTTCACCTCCATATTCAGGAAAGATATGTGGCTGATGCTGAGTGAAATAAAAATAGCATGCTATAAACTTGCAATAATGATCATCATTTTAATGATTAACTTTATGTAATGCGATGATTTGGTCTGATTAATATTACAGGCATCATACTCTAGAAATTATGAAACAACTTAATTTTCTATAATTAAAAGCATGATGTCAACTCACTTTTAGATTGCACATAGGCAAAGCAAGAATAGGTTATAAAGTATAATGAGCAGAGCTCAAAACCAGCATATATTAAATTCTGGAATAACTTCTAATAAGCCAAAGTTTGAGAAGCAATATGAAGAAACAACATTCTTTATAAAGGTTACCCTCTAATACTAATTGACCATTTATCCATTCTATATGAACACAAAAACCTAAAAATATTATTTAGAAGCAAAATTGTTTAGAAGTCCACTTTGGCCAGTGATAAACCTAGAAAATATTATCTCATTTCATCACTGTTAAATTATTGGATGTACCAGAAACATTCAGAGCCATGTGGTAAGAGCACGCTCTATGCATAAATCTAACCAAACATTTGTTAAATATTATGTACAAAAATAGTGCTGTGAGCTACAGTTAAAATAAACTCTGCCTTAAAAATCTCATAGAAGCAGAAAATCAGCATTTGTAGGTAATAATGTATGACAAACATTATTTGCTTGACCCAACTTTAGTCAGGTTTCTGAACCTTTTCCTAAGCCCACTTGTGTGCTTTTTTGTAAAATCCAGATTTAGCAATAACCCTGCTAAGTCAGTTTAGCAAAATCCCTCACCCTTGATATCTAATCATCTTCAATATCTCATCAGGTACCTCATCCTCCACTATGACCCAGGTGATGTCTTACCCTCGCCTGTCTTCTGCAAGAATCCTGTTAGATTGATTTAGCCAACAGGATTAAGCCTTACCTTGATGTTTCCTTTCAGTAATATTTTATCTACTAACCCGCAACCTACTCCTTGGCTATTACTTCCTACCTCCGCATTCTGTATTTGGAGTTTAACTCGCATTTGGGGGATAAAAAGTGTCATCAGATATTGATAATGGAGGGTTCTTGCTAAAACTGCACTTTATGGGGAAGTACACAGGTGGGCCTTGGAGAAGGTTTAGGAGCCTGATTAAAATTTGGCCTTTGGGAGGCCAAGGCAGGCAGATCACGAGGTCTGGAGATCCAGACCATCCTGGCTAGCACGGTGAAACCCTGTCTCTATTAAAAATGCAACAACAACAACAACAACAACAACAAAAATTAGCTGGGGTGGTGGCGGGCGCCTGTAGTCCCAGCTACTCAGGATGCTGAGGCAGGAGAATGGCATGAACCCGGGAAGTGGAGGTTGCAGTGAGCTGAGATCGCACCACTGCACTCCAGCCTGGGCGACAGAGCGAGACTCAGTCTCAAAAAAAAAAAAAAAAAAAAAAAAAAAAATTGGCCAAGTTAGGAATCTTTGTCATGTGTAAAGGCAGTGTACTTGAATGGCACATAAATGGGCATTTCACCTAGCAGTAGTGCAGATCAAGGAAGGGCAGCATTGCTGGGCATGGTAGCTCAGGCCTATAATCTCAGTGCTTTGGAAGGTTGAGGTGGGAGAACTGTTTAAGGCTATGAGTTGAAGACTAGCCTGGGTAAAATAGAGAAACCTCATCTCTACTAAATTTTTTTTAAAAAATTTGCCAGGTATGGTGGCATCTGCCTGTAGTCCCAGCTACTTGGAAGGCTGAGGTGGGAGGATCTGTAGAGCCCAGATGTTTCAGATTGCAATGAGCTGTGATCACGCCACTGCATTCTGGCCTTGGTGACACAGCAAGATCCTGTCTCAAAAAAAAAAAAAAAAAAAAAAGAAAGGACAGCATGGAAAAGGTGCTATATAAGCTAATCTTGAAAGAAAAGTAGGAATTAATCACTGGAAAGGAATTAGTTACTAGGAAGTTCTTGTATGGAATCCATTCTCTCTCTTTGAAGAAGTGGGTGTGGAAGGGTAAAGGAGTTTATCTCAAGAAGAAAAGAAGGAAAGCAGCTTGGTTAAAGCTCTATGTAATATGTAAACATCCTACTGGGAAACAAACTATTGTCATTTATAAGTGGAAGAGTCCTTACCAATGGAATGCTTTTGGCATGGCGTATCTGTTAGTTTAGGATTGCTATAGTAAACAAACCTGGAAACGTGAATTTAGGGGGCATAGATCACTATAAAGAGTAATGCAAGTTACATAACTATCTGAGTATAAATTAGATGTCTCATAAGTGAAACAAGTTTTTTGACCTAAGTGATGGAGCTACTTACATGACTTAGAGACCACATGTTAATCTGGTTTAGAGCAAATCCTAATGCAGCAAGATAGAACCTGAGGAAATCTGTGGGCAGTGGTCCTGCACTTCTTGTTTACCTGAGTTTGTTTTTAATTGTATCCTTGAAGTTAATAATAAAGTTTGATACAGAGTGATATTTAATTCATATGAATTTGATTTCACAATCCAATCTTCTAGTTATCTTGGTTACCAAGGACATGAAGGAGGGTAAAGGAAGAGGCATCAAACTCGGCCCATTCACACTTGATCTCATATTCTTTAATTTACTAAACAGTTTTTTAATATTTAGTAATTTTTGACTTATTTTATTTTGAGTGGTGAAATGCAGAACAATTTTTATATGTTAATTAATCTCTGGCCTGTACAAGCAAATTCTGCAATTATTCTTTTAATTAGGCAAAAAAAGTTTGCTGAGACCACAAATTGACATTCCTTCTTTTAGTACCTGGTATGGTATTACAGGCTTCATTCACATATAGAATGTTTTCATTTTAAGTTTTTTAAAGTTGAAGAATCTTGAACATAAAGAAACATTTAACCAAATGAGAGTTGTACTACACATTGGATAAATATAGTCGTCCCTTAACTGAGTCCTTACTAATTTTATTGTGTCACTATTGTGCTGCAAAACCCAGATATGCAATGTAAGGAATAATTTAGAGGCTTAAAATGGCTTGACACAACTATCATTAAATACATCTCTTTTAACAAGTAAAGGGTTGATTTTTTGTTGTTGTTGTTTGTTTTTTGAGATGGAGTCTGACTCTGTCGCCCAGGCTGGAGTGCAGGGGTGTGATCTCCACTCATTGCGAGCTCTGCCTCCCGGGTTCACGCCATTCTCCTGTCTCAGCCTCCCGAGTAGCTGGGACTACAGGCGCCCGCCACCACACCCCGCTAATTTTTTTGTATTTTTAGTAGAGACGGGGTTTCACTGTGTTAGCCAGGATGGTCTCGAGCTCCTGACCTCGTGATCCACCCGCCCCGGCTTCCCAAAGTGCTGGGATTACAGGCGTGAACCACTGCGCCTGACCAAAAAGAGTATTTTTAAACACTATTCATTTACTATTGATGACATTTTCTTTTTTTATTATTATTATACTTTAAGATTTAGGGTACATGTGCACAATGTGCAGGTTAGTTACATATGATGACGTTTTCTTAAACCTAACACCTATTTTCTTCATCTTAGGTTTTGATGGATTCAAGCCTCCCTGGCAGCTGTTGGAGTATCTCACAAAACTACGTTCTGTGTAACTTGGTGCCTTTGTAGTTCCTCCTTTAATCTTAAAATGCCTCCATGTACAAATTCTTTACAAATTAGGATCATCTGTTTTCTGCCACCTGCTAATACTCTCGGATTCTAGTAATTTTTATTATTTTTTGCTTTTTTATATATTGCTTGCTCGTATTTCCTTTTTTTTTTTTTTTTTAGTTCTCAGGTATCTTTTAAGAGACTGAAAACTAGGGATAATTTACTTTTTTCAGTCTACTTTTAATGTTAGATTGACATAAAAATGTGACGCAATATTTTTTTTAACAGTTTAAAATAAAATGTGTACTTATTCCAGTCTATCATTGTTGGACATTTGGGTTGGTTCCAAGTCTTTGCTATTGTGAATAGTGCCGCAATAAACATACATGTGCATGTGTCTTCATAGCACCATGATTTATAATCCTTTGGGTATATACCCAGTAATAGGATGGCTGGGTCAAATGGTATTTCTAGTTCTAGATCCCTGAGGAATAGCCACACTGACTTTCCACAATGGTTGAACTAGTTTACAGTCCCACGAACAGTGTAAAAGTGTTCCTATTTCTCCACATCCTCTCCAGCACCTGTGGTTTCCTGACTTTTAATGATCGCCATTCTAACTGGTGTGAGATGGTATCTCATTGTGGTTTTGATTTGCATTTCTCTGATGGCCAGTGATGATGAGCATTTTTTCATGTGTTTTTTGGCCGCATAAATGTCTTCTTTTGAGAAGTGTCTGTTCATATCCTTTGCCCACTTTTTGACGGGGTTGTTTTTTTCTTGTAAATTTGTTTGAGTTCATTGTAGATTCTGGATATTAGCCCTTTGTCAGATGAGTAGGTTGCAAAAATTTTCTCCCATTCTGTAGGTTGCCTGTTCACTCTGATGGTGGTTTCTTTTGCTTTGCAGAAGCTCTTTAGTTTAATTAGATCCTATTTGTCAATTTTGGCTTTTGTTGCCATTGTTTTTAGTGTTTTAGACATGAAGTCCTTGCCCATGCCTATGTCCTGAATGGTATTGCCTAGGTCTTCTTCCAGGGTTTTTATGGTTTTAGGTCTAACATGTAAGTCTTTAATCCATCTTGAATTAATTTTTGTGGCACATATACACCATGGAATACTATGCAGCCATAAAAAATGATGAGTTCATGTCCTTTGCAGGGACATGGATGAAGCTGGAAACCATCATTCTCAGCAAACTACCGCAACGACAAAAAGCCAAACACTGCATGTTCTCATTCATAGGTGGGAATTGAACAATGAGAACACATGGACACAGGAAGGGGAACATCACACACCGGGGACTGTTGTGGGGTGGGGGGAGGGGGGAGGGATAGCATTAGGTCATATACCTAATGCTAAATGACAAGTTAATGGGTGCAGCACACCAACATGGCACATGTATACATATGTAACAAACCTGCACGTTGTGCACATGTACCCTAAAACTTAAAGTATAATAATAATAATAATAATAATAAAGAAATAAAATAAAATGTGTACTTATTTAAAAGCTATCAGAAATAATTTTGAGTTGTATGTACATACGTAAAATTATATATTTTGAAAATTTCATATTAACTTAAAGTCTTCCTATGAAGTTTTCAATGCTTTTAATATATTGGCTAATTCAACATGCCTCACTGGTCTGCCACCTTGAATCAAGGGCTGCACTATATGTTGAGTCAGATACCAAGTTGAATTCATCAATCCAATAAAGAAGCTTGTATTTCAGTTTATGGAATAAGTATAAAGTAATAAGTACCCTATGTGATAAATTCTATTAACAGCAGGAAGCATAAAAAGCCCACAGAAAAGAGAAATTAAATTGGTAGGGAACTAAGGAAGCCTTCAAGAGAAAATGACATTTGGAGCAGACCTTGAAGGATGAGTTCACGTGTAGTAGTTAGGGGCTCCCCTGGTACTAAGATATTAAGTACACCTCTAAGACTTTATGATGACAGGGGGATGACACATTCCAAGGATCTGTATATGTTTATCTTTTTGAAAGTTGTGAAAATTCAGTATAGTATGAAAAGGTAGAATGGAATTTTAGAATTTAGAATTTTAGAAAAAAATTTTAAAATTTTTTAAAAAATCACTTTTAAAACAATGACAATTCTTTGTTTTTATGTTAATTCATGTGTATTTTTCATTTATGTCTTTCGAATAGCATATACATTGACTAATGTGTGTTTAATAGATTATACAAATTACTTTTTAATATTTTCATTTTATAGGACAAGAAAAGATATTGAAAAGCGGAGGTGAATATTTTTAAATGAAGAGGGGCTTCTAATGTTCACCTAAAAATGAATGAAGTAGAGCATACAGATCTCTTCCCACTTTCAATTATTGCCAGGCAGTGGCCAAAGGGAAGTTCAACTCCTTTGTGACTTCTGACAGCAAGAAAGAACCATAAAAGGTATTTCAATGCACCTTCCCATGTTCACAGAACAATTATGTCTTCCCTCTTTCCAAAGAGCTGAGATAGAAGTACAATGTTTGATCCATGCCCATCTGAAAGGATGATGAAGTTCAGGTTGTGTGAGGACACTAAAAAGTTCAGCAAGTTGGCAAAGTGGTCCAAGGTTACAGGAAGAATTATGTCATTTACATTGAACGGGTGCAGCAGAAAAAGACTGGGCTAATAGGACAACTATTCGTTTGGGCATTGCCCCAGCAAGGTGGTTATTAGGTTGGAAGTGAAAAAAACCCACAAAAGATCCTTGAATGGAAAGCCAAATCTCACCAAGTGGGAAAGGAACAGGACAAACATAAGATAGAAACGATAGAGATGGTGCAGGAATAAAGTAGTCTTATATACAATTTTCATTACAAACTACTAAAATGAAAAAAAAATTAATAGAGTAATAACAACTTGTTGTTATTAAATAAGGCCTGACAGTGACACACCAGGTAAAAAACGTTCACTTTTAATGAATCTGTGGGCTTATCTGTGAAAATACATACATACATATATATATATATATATATATATATATATATATATATATATATATATATATATGCTGTGAAAAAAATATATATAGAAGATTAGTAAAGATTTCTTAAAAGCATATAATTTTCAGCTCCTCAGATATTCCTGGTCAACATAATGCAACAACCTCCTTCAGAATTTTGAAAATAGTTATGCTTTTAAAATATGTAATCTTAAATGGGCACAAGCTTTTGTTGGCTCCTGGCCTATTTGCAGTCTTCTTTTTTTTCCACTCACCATCTGAATTATCACATGTACTGTAGAATTCTGACAATTTCACCTGTCAGTTTCTTTATACTCATGTCTTGAATATGGTAGATTTTACCTCACCAATTGGCTGGGGATACATTAATTGCAATTTGTTTTAAGTGTAATATTTATACACATTTCTAAAATTTTCAGTATAGAGCTGTCACTCTGTGAAGAAATAGAGCCTTCCTGTCCAGATTCCACATCATTCATATATATTTCTCTGAATGTTAAAAATATAAAATGAGGAATGGAAAAAACTTTAAGAAGCATATAATTACAACACTAATTTTATAGATGGGCATACTCAGACTAGAATGTAAATCAAGAACCAAGTGCTCCAACTGTAATTCCTTTTTGACTATTCCATTCTACCTTTTCATACTACACTGAAGTTTCACAACTTTCCAAAAGATAAATATATACAGATCCTTGGAATGTGTCATCCCCCTGTCATCATAAAGTCTTAAAGGTGTACTTTAATATCTTAGTACCAGGGGAGCCCCTAACTACTGTTAATTAGCTTTTTGTGCCTAGAGAAGATTTTGTGTGAGTGTTCGTTTTCAGCTACCTTCAGAGAGCAAATCATGTCAACATGTCTCTGATTACCTTCCATGAAGAACACCAACTCAAATGACGTGCAGGTGCCAAACGTTGAAGAACTGCTGTAAGCATCACTTTTAGTAAATAAAATTAAATTTGTCAGCTTATGGGGGCTATTTTCTAAAAATAGTCCCAGGTTCATATTTGTTGTAATTAAATTAAAACTAGAAAACATCAGTTATCTGTAGAAAATACATGTTTAGGCCACGCACGGTGGCTCACACCGGTAATCCCCGCACTTTGGGAGGCCGAGGAGGGCGGATCACAAGGTCAGGAGATGGGGACCCTCCTGGCTAACATGGTGAAACCCCGTTTCGAACTTAAAAATACAAAAAATTAGACGGGCATGGTGGTGGGCGCCTGTAGTCCCAGCTACTCAGGAGGCTGCAGGAGAATGGCGTGAACCCGGGAGGCAGAGCCTGCAGTGAGTCGAGATCGCGCCACTGCACTCCAGCCTAGGTGACAGAGCAAGACTCCATCTCCAAAAAAAAAAAAAAGAAAAAAAAAAAAGCATGTTTAGCCATAAGAAATTGATGACAAAACTATCCATAGACATAGCTTTAACATGGTCCTTTGACATTAAAAATATCTGAGAAGAGGCCTATAGGTCATGCCACAAAAATGATCTATTATGGGGTATGCTGTGTGGTGGTGGAAAAAAATCAGGTAAAAGGCACATTCTTTTAAATGTTGTGCTATTTCAAAGTTGTAGTACCAGATGAAGAAAAATTTGATGAACAGACTGAGCAATCCGGTATTGTTATTTTTCTAATTAAAATAATAAAGTAGCATTAATTATCAAAACAGTTAACCCTCTCAATAGCTAAAACATGTAAAAACTGACATACCAAAGTTAAATCAGTTACCATTTTGACAAACAAACAAAGGGAAGCTAAGGCGTACCAGGGGTAGCATGCAGGCCCCATAAAAATGCAGCAGAATTAAAGATCAATCGTGTTTTGCTCCTATTGGAAAATTGAATATGTAAATAACAGATCTTTGAAATATACTTTGTGTGTGGGATTGTGCTATTAAAAGTAAATTTGAAACCATCCTCTTCTCGGTAATAATTAATAAGAAATATAAAGTCCTTCTCTAACCTTATCCTTTAAATTTATCAACTCTAGCAGGTCTGTTGAGTTCTGACCTTCATGCCTCCTTTTAGGGATTCCCAACTGCCTAAAGCATCCTTGCAGTTCTATCTGATCTGTCAACAGCTTTTAATACCAGCATTTTGGGGGATTCTGTTATCCTGTGAAATTTAATCTCACCTATTTAAGCTTGCAGAAAGTACTGGAGGGAATTATTAACAGATTTTCCCTCATCTTCTTAGAGGATAGTGTCGAGTGATTGGCTGGTTTCCCTAAGGACCCATGGCTGAGAAGCGCTAGTTTGTCAGTAGCATCCTATTTAGCATGTGTGTGAGGCCACAAGGGAGCTGGAAAGACACTTGGAATCAGAATTACATCAATATGCTGATGATGCCTGCATATCTTCATTTCATCAAACCTATATCCTTTAGTATTAATGCTTTCTTAGCCAAGATGGAAAGTACCTCCACACAGCACACTGTTTGTGACTCTAATTAGACAGCTGGAAAGCATGTTGATGATACATCAGAGCAGTGGACCAGCAACCTCAGCATCACAAGGAAACTTGTTAAAAATGCAAATTCTCAGACCCACCCCAGACTTACTGAATCAGCAACTCTAGGGACAGGGCCCAGCAATCTGTGTTTAACAAGCCCTCTAGGTGACTTAATGCACCCTAAAGTTTGAAAACCTCTACATTAGAGAAATGGGATGTGTTTGTCACTACAGAGTCTATTGGATGATGTCTCCTACTTTTGTGGATTAAAACATTCCTGAGTCTAACCATATAGTTCTTGGTTACTAACCACATAATATACATGGTCTCAAACAATTCCATGTGTATGGTTAAGCTTTGTGCCCCCACTCAATTCTCATTTTGAATTGTAATCCCCATAATCCCCACCTGTCAAGGGAGAATCATGGGGGTGGTTCCCCCATGCTGTTCTCATGATGGTGAGTGAGTTCTCACAGATCTGATGATTGTATAAGTGGCTCTTATCTTTTTGCTCAGCACTTCTCCTTCCTGCCACCTTGTGAAGAAGGTGCCTTGCTTTCCTCCATGATCGTTAAGTTTCCTGAGGCCTCCCCAGTCATGCTGAACTGTGAGTCAATTAAACCTCTTGCCTTTATAAATTACCCAGTCTCGGGCAGTTCTTCACAGCAGTATGAAAATGGACTAATAAACCATGTTAAATGTAACTGGCTTCTGTCATAATTCATATTTGTCACTAAAGGATAAGTAAACTTCATATTGTTCTGTATTTCCCTCACTCAGAGAATGAGAATTAGACTGCACCATCAGACATATACATGTTGACATGCCTAATGGTGAGGCATTTTACTGACAAACCATGCTATTTCCAAATTACACCCAAGAGTCCATGACCATTAAATAACACACATATTTGACGACATCTCTAAATGTCCCTGTCCCTCAATCTTCACTGACTCTAAAGAAACCAAATGTGGCTGAAGTTTTTACTAGGGGAGACAGTGTAGGAGAAAGAAGACAATTACTCAAGAAATTAGGGCCAATATTAAATTCTTCATATTGGCTAAAAATTATGTGCTAGACCTAACCTTTCAAAACCTGTATCTTAAAGTAGATAATGATATTGGACCTGTACTCTCCTGACTTTCCAGTTTCATGAGTGTTAGCACTGCAATATTTTGGCTCCTCTTTTGATGTATACAAAACCAAGCAATGGCCATAAAGGATTAACACTGAAACTTCTATGAATGCCAAAAGTTCCCAGTCCTTACATGGTATTACCCCTGGTAAGAGAATCAATCCTGAAAACTTTGCATAATCTAATCATATATTACTTATTATTCCATCTCTCCAAGAAATTTTGCCTATAATTATGAGATGAACCTTCAAAGGCCTACTGTTATAATATTTATCTAACTTGGAAGGTATTAGCCCGTGTAATGCTAGAAAGCCTTCGGTGCTGATTCCCTCCAGTAAATATTCATTCCACAATTATTGGTTGAATCTTTTATAGGTAGCACCCAAGGTGCTAAACAGGCGGAAGGTAAAAGTGACCCAGAGAGATGATCATGGCCCTTTCTCTCATGAAGCTCAAGGTCAATTAGTTTTAATATCATATAAAAATTTGGTTAATTGTAAGCTAATAATAAAATAATTCAAACAATCTAACATTTGTTCTTCTAGTTTTAATTAAGACCAGACCCATTTGAGTTCTACTAAGCTCTACTGCAGGCAGGTTACCTATTATCTCAAGGATCTGTTGCTTCTCAACACTTTGGTAATCAAGTTTCAGGCAGCTGAGCTCTGGCCTTCCAAGGTGCTATGCCTCTACTCTGATCCTGTGCTTCTTGTAATCTACTCACATTAACCAATAGCTCACTCTTTTACTTAGCCCCTGACTAGCCTCTCTGCTTCTGATGCCACTCCACTATAGTCAATTCTCAGCAGAGTAGCCATTTTAAAATTTAAATCAGAGCTTGGCACTTCTCTGTTCAAAGCAGCCCAGTGATTTTTCTCTTTCAATGAGAGTAAAAGCTAAAGGTCTTATGAATGCCTACAATACATAATCCGGTCAGCCACATTCTGTCCTCTCTTACTCTATTCTGATGATACTGGCGTTTTTTCTATTCCACAAATCCAGAAGACTTCCACAATAAAGGGTGAAGGCATTTAGCTTGCCATGGAATGTTTATCTCCTGGATGCCTACTTTCCCTCAACTTCCTCATCTCTTTGTTCAAAAATCATCTCATCGGAGAGGTCTTCCAGGGCCACCCTGTTTAAAATGGCAAACCCTGCCTTCTCTTCCACCATTATCCTCATCTCTCACACACTCATTATACTCCTATATTAATTTTTCTCCACAGTTCTAATTACTTTTCAATATATTATTTATGTGACAGTTTATTTGTTTAATTATTGGGTATCTTCTGTCACTAGGTACAAATTCCATGAGGGCATGAAATTCTAACTGGTTTGCTGACTGTTGTATCTAAGTTGCCCAGAACAATACCTGGTACATAATAGATGCTCAGTAAATGTAGTTTTAATAAATGAATGAATGAATGAATAAATAAATTCATACCGCTACCCTCTTCTTATCTGGTCTCAGTTTGTTTGTGTCTTAGTTCTACCTAAGACAGAAGAAATAACCACCATTCATTTCCAGTGACCCTTGCAAATGGAAGATGACTATGATATAAAATGTGAAGTAAATTGATATTGCCAATCAGTGTCATCTTCCCCTTCCAACCCTCAAGAAGTCACCTTTGGTAATGAAACTTTTCTAACATTGGAATCAGAAGGATAAGACTTAATATTTAAAATGTTTAGTTCAAAACCTATTTCTCAAGTACAAACTATGTGCCAGGTCCTGTGCTATGCACAGGAATACAAAGATCAAAATGTTTCTTTCTATGTGTAAAAAAAAACCATGATTACACTAATTATTGCCTAAGACTGTATCCCAGGAAAAAAAAAAAAGAAACCTATGATCATAAAAACTACCTTGGATTTTATAAAAAAGTCTAAAAAGGGTAGATTGGATGGAGAAAAGTCCAGATAATAAACGTGGAATTTGAAACTCAGCCATGAACCAATGGTGACCCTGATATTTTGGTAAGATTAATTTGTAATGTGGGTAATCTACATATGACAAATTACCTATTGACTACAGCTATAATTCTTGCCTAGTATAGAGACTCCAAACACATTCAGGCATTCCGAAGCAAGTCAAGTTCATAATACTGATTTGATTTAAATGAGTAATTTATCTTTCTATAAATACATTTGGTTCTTGTTCTCAGAACTAATATTCTTTATAAGGTATTATATTTCTCTAATAGCATTAAAATTTGAGAAGTGTGTAGTACATGTAAATAGCCGATACCTCACCCAAGACTACTCACCAGTCACTGGTAAGAATGAAATGATTTTAAACATGTTATTATTACTATTTTTTTGAGACAGAGTCTCTCTCTGTCACCCAGGCTGGAGTGCAGTGGCACGATCTGGGCTCACTGCAAGCTCCGCCTCCCGGGTTCACGCCATTCTCCTGCCTCAGCCTCCTGAGTAGCTGGGATTACAGGCGCCCACCACCACGCCCGGCTAATTTTTTTGTATTTTTAGTAGAGACGGGGTTTCACCGTGTTAGTCAGGATGGTCTTGATCTCCTGACCTTGTGATCCGCCGGCCTCAGCCTCCCAAAGTGCTGGGATTACAGGCGTGAGCCACCGCGCACAGCCAAACGTTATTTTTAGTATGCTAACTAACTACTAATTTTGAGTAGTGCTTATATTAGAGCACTTTAAAAATATACATGACACCCTTTTCTTTCTATTTGCTTCACAAATAATGAACTGACTGAAAGTATGACCAAGGTATACATCTTAGAATGCAGTCTGTAAATTGGCTTACGGAAAATTCCGTATGTGTCTTATTACCACATTCTTCTAATATGCATACATTTTGTGAAGAGTACCTACTATTCAGGATATGGAAGACTTAGCACTTTACATTGTTACTAGTTACATAGAATACATTTCAAGCATATTAACACTAACAAGAAGCCCTTGAGTATTGACAAAGATTAAATTTCTCATTTTACCCAAATCAGTATTACAAATTTTCTTTTACTTGGAATGTCTGAATTAGAAAAGAAACAATTATGTGTAGCCCTGAAATTTTTAAACTTGAATTTGACAATTTCAACATTCTAGCGATTTAAACATTAACAGTTTCATCTCCTAAAATCTGTTGGAGTACAACTCCATATTTTCTGATGGTTCCATTTTACCTCCTCAGGGACAGCTCTTATATTAACAAAGCCTTTTCTGAAGACGATGAACACACGGCGAGCTCCACAACGTAGAGCAGATGTTGCACAGTCAAAGGCAGTGTCTCCAGCTCCAAGTACAATCACGACTCCCCGTATCGATGGCAATGGAGAGTGACAGGCGCACATTCCTGAATGATGAAAGGAAAACCCCATTTTCAAGTAGAGAAACCATTTCTGCATGACAGCTCAAAAGATACTTGTACTCAAAGCAGTGTAAAATTGCATCTTGCAGTTTTCCAGGATGAAGTGTCACTATCAAATTATTCTGCTTCATTGAAAGACAGTTTTATTCCCATTTTAAAAATATGCTCATATATGTAATTTCATAGTCAGTATCTTTAGTTTCTTTTTTCTTCTAGGATTCCTACAACACATTTTGAGAAGTTTAGGTCATAACAGACTGGAATCAATCAATTAAAACTCTCTTCATCAAAATTGTGCTATCTATCTTTAACTCAGCATAATTTTCCTTTTGCTAGAAGAAAAAAGTGATCCTTATGATCTGTGTTAACGGTTTGCAATATTTCATTATAATACTTTTTTATGTATTACCTTATATAATTTCTAACACATACCTCTGTTATATATTTTGTTAACTTTGAATATTAACGTGCTGAATAAGTGTCCTTTATGTAACTGAAGAATTTCTGAGAACTATTTTCTTGAAATAGTTCAAATAAATCTTTCTCCCTTTCACTGCTTTCCTCTGGTTTTGTTTGTGAAACTGGGCAGTAAAAGAAATATGACTTTCTAAGCATCCATTTCTCAAGGTCATCTCTATTAAGATTTGCTGTCCATATGAAGATCCTTGTAAAAAAAGTAAAATGCAAGTATTCCTTATGTGTTAGGTAGCAGTGTATAATAAGATTAAATAAAACTGTTTATAAGATCAATTACTATAATTTTTTAAATGGTACCAAGAATAGAATAAACCTATAATTTCAATAAGTGTAATCATTTTGCTTGGAAGATTTTGTATTTGGGACACTCTGTAATTTTCAAATACAAGCTAGGTGCACTATGACCTTCCTCAGAAAGGGTTTCAGACATACAAACATCCAGTTCTACTGAGAGGCAGAAGGTGGAGAGGGTATGCATCTTTAGCTGTAAACTTCTGAAGAATAATTTAATATAGAAAGTTTCTTACTGTTTTAAGTCCTGGGAGAAGCATAAAAGTTTGTATCATTTCTACATGTAATTAATGTAGGAATAGCTGTGGCTCAGACCTCTTTAAAAATATACATTTGAAGGATTTAGATTATCTGACTTTGGATAAAATATTACAATTTTCCCCAAAGACAATGACTCTGGTCAGGCCAAACCAAGGTACAACCTTCATTCAGGTGGTTCTTCTTGGGGTGTATAAAGTGATAGGGTGTCTATCAAAGTATTTTATTTTAACATCATAAAATTACTGTTTAAGAGAAGACAGTCAATCTTTCTGCCTGTGTAGATACAAATCATATAAGATATGTGACGATTCATGCCATTTCTTTGAAAAACATCTTCCAATGTTTGTTAAGGACTTGCTTACCTTGAAGCAATTTTTCATGATGTAGTTTAGACATATATATTACAGTGAAAATTCCTTACGATGATACTTTATTGGAAGAATGAACAAACAGATGATTCTGGCAAACTGTTATACCCGGCCTTTTTTTTTTTAATTTTACATTTGGGTCTTAGGCAAGGTTGGGTGTGAGAGCTGAACAATGTGCTGCTGAGCTTGATTTTGATATTAATTTATCATAAATAAAATAGCATACTCACTATTAAGCATAAAAGACAATATGTTATACCTGCTTTACTGCCTTTGGCTACAAGTGGCAAAAAGTCTTTGGATGTATAAAACCCCTGGTCCTGCGTCAGGCCTTGGAAGATGGCATCTTTATTGGGTTCTGGCAAACCTAAGTAATCAAATTTATAAAATATCATTAGCAGGAGGAGGGGCTTTTCCTATTAGATATTAAAACAAAAAAGAAAACTTTAATCTTTGAAATAATGTCATTCTTAGAGGAAAACATCTGTAAGCAAATCAATATAAAATGTACATAATACAGTCTAACGGATCTCAGAGTATATTATGTATATCTTTAATATATAACCAAGTACACATCGTAAATCACACATTAATGTATACCTATAAATATATGGAAACATATGTATATACACACATAAACATATATAACATTACAGGGAAAATCAGGTTATATTCTTGCCTCATATCATAAATAAGTCAGTTTCAGCTACATTAAAGTACTAAATATAAAAAAAGTTAAAAATGGGTACATATTTATCTAATTCCTGAATAAGTAAAATCATTTCTTTTTTAATGAAAGAAAAAAATTAAAGGAAAAAACAATGTATTTTGCCACAATAATTCAACCACTGCTAAATTTAAAAAATATAAATGAATTAAAACGAAAATTATTAACCAAGAAGATGTTTTAATAATTAAATGTCTTTACTGTATAAATTCTCCAAATCAGTAAGGAACATATTAGCTTTTCAATGGAAACATAAAGAATAATAAAAATTGGGAGAAGAAAAAATATAAATCACCTATAAGCACTAAAAATATTAACTCCATTAAGTCATTAAACTGCAAATTAAAAGAATAAAATTGTAACTTCTCTATAAAAAGAAAAATATTTAAGAAAATTAAACTATACACCAAGGGTAGACATGGAACTTGTCATACTCTTTCAGTGGAAATATACATTGGTGTTCAATATCTAGAAAATAGTCTTAAATCTATCTTAAGAAAATACTGACACATGCAAATAAAGGTTTAATGCACAAAAATGATTAATACAGAAAGAGGAAAATAAGATGAGAGAGTACCAGAATGTCAGGTAAATGAAGAAATTAGTTTTACCGTATAAAAGAAAAAGACAACAGAACGAATATTTGAGAAATATGGTATAAGATTGTAATCAAAATACAGTCTTAAATGAACCTGCAGGATTCAAAACTCTGTATAGTATAATTCAAATTTTGTAAAAAAATGTATTAATATAAACCATGTAATCTAAACAGAGATCATTTAGAGTGGTGGTATTAAGGATATTCCAATTTTTATTATTTCCTTATTTTCCAAATTTTCTACATTGTACATATATCAACTATAAATTAGTAAATTCTTACCAAAACTTTGAAAGGAAAATAAATGGCAGACTAAATTTTTTCCAAAGTGTAAATGAAGAAAATCTTATAGCAGTCACCCCATCCAAGGCAAGTAGAGAAATAATTCATCTCAATTCCATAAATGCAGGGGAAAACATGTAGTTTTATTTTATTACTAAGACTCATTCTACCAATGGGTCATTCTAGAGAGGCAGGAGTTTATTTTACAATGAAATGAAGGGCAATGGACATTTGCTGGTAGATACAGAGTAATAAGCATAGCCGAAGGATGACTTTTGTCATATGAGATAAGGTGGGTGCCATATCTGATCTGAAAGCTGAAGGTTTCTGTGGGTTGCCTGTAATCAGCAATAAACCACCATTGTCTCTTCAGATTAAACCAAACATTTTTCTTCCCCATCCAGCATCCCCTGAATCTCCTTTTCCATAGCATTTGCTCATAAATGATTTTAAAAGAACTTTTGCTTTCAAAATGATTTCCATTATGTAGTAGCATAGTTAGGGGAGCCACCTCACCTGCCTTTGCCTCAGCTTCTCTGTAAAGGAAATGGGGATAAGACTGTTTCCCCCTTTTATGACATAAAAAGGTATATTAGTAACAGAAACAATTATATAAATGGGTGGCCGTTTATGTGATTCTTTTAGAAAACCTGGGTTGGAGGGATGGGGTTGGTAAAAATAGCTGAATATGTTCTTGAAGGCTCTCTAATGACAAAATGATTTCTTCTGAAACCTGTTAAAAGAAGACTGAAGTTAGGTCTACATTTGACTATTCAAACCAACATATACATATGCTACATATAATTAGCTTTTCTTTCCAGTTTATTTAGCCACACCCCAGGTCACACATAGGGCCTCAAGGTCCACGGAGCCCTCCTCCTCTACCTGGGTGACAGGTCATCCCTTCTGGCCAGGGACAGTGCATCTGAAGGTCTCCATGTGGATACTTTGATAGTCTATGCTAATCATAGTGCTGTGGGATGATCAGAAGCAGGGATTTTGTCACTAGACAGACTTTGGTATGAGTCCTTCCTCTCTCATTTACCAGTTCTGTGGTATTGTATAAGTTCCTGTGAATCCTGTGAAGGTTAGGGTTAGATGTCAATTTGGCTAGGCTATAACACCCGTTAGTCAATCAAACACTAAGGTAGGTATTGCTGGGAAAGCCTTTTGTTGATGTGATTAATATCTACAACCACTTGACTTTAAGGAGATTGCCTCAATAATGTGGGTGGGCCCTATCCAATCAATTAATCAAAAGGCCTTAAGAACAAAATTGTGGTTTCCCTGAGGAAGGAGAAATTCTGTCTTAAGTCTGCACAATCAGCTCCTACTTGGGAGTTCCAGTCTCCTGTCCTGCGCTAAGGAGTTGGACTTACCAGCTCCCACAATTAAATAGCCCAATTCCCTAAAATAAGTCATCTCTATCTACCCATCTGTCCATCCTACTAATTATGTTTTTCTGGAGAACCCTGAAATTGATTTTCCACTACTTCATTTCTAAAAACAGAGATAAAAATTCTACTTCTCTCATGGATGTGAGATTTTTTAAAAATGTTAAAAAAATTACAAAATTATGAAAATATTAAAAATATATCCATATGGATAAACCATATATATAATTGAGAGCTGGCACATCGTGAATACTCATTAAACATTAGCTATTAATATTAAGATAGGTTTATTCTATAATTTATCAATTATTTCATACTTCATATTGCATGGCAAGGAAAGAATAAAAGCTTAAATAAAAATAAAGTATTAAACCTTAGCATATGTAAATCAAGTTCCACAAAGAAAGAAAAATGAGGCAACCTTAAGTGAAATATGAAAGAAAATGAAACTTGCAAATAGTCATCTATCAAAGGAAGACTTCTCTGAGAGTAGGTGGCATATTAATAAATAAGGTATGTGTCTATACTAGGATGATTTCAAAATGACACTGAAATGACTTTTTAATTCACCTTTCAGTGTGAAAAAGAGAGTTTATGAATAAAGATGAATTGACAAAGATTTGACAAACAAAACAGTTCAGCGTAGTAGATATGTATAGTCTTTGTCTTTCAAGGAGGCCGGATAGTTTGTTTCTTTAGAATAGTTATTGAAGTTTTTGGTGTTTTAGCATGCATTTATACAAAGGAACACCTCCTTAAGAATTATTTTTAAATGGTGATTTTCACGTTCTCTGAAAAAGAAGGGAGGGAGGGAGGGAAGGAGGGAGGGAGGGAGGAACGAAGGAAGGAAGGAAGGATCCTGCTTATGTTACAGAAAATTTAAATTAACTTTTATTGACTACAGACACTACTCTAAATGCCTGGCCCCCAGGTGATTATTATATAACTCATTTTAATTCTCAAAATAATTGTATGAGGCAACTGATGTTATTATCCACATTTTAAATATGAGGAAATTGAGGCATATAGGGATTAAGTAACTCGCTGAAGGATCACAGAACATGTAAGAAGCAGCGCCAATTTCTAACGTGGACACTGGTTGTAGAGTCTATGTTATGAGTTCAAAATGGCTGCCTTTTTCATGTTTAAGGTTATAACTAGGCCAGGTTATAATGTGAAGCTACATAACCAGTCCTATCTAAAGTAATCATTCAACATGTATGTATTAAGTTTCTCTACAAGGCTGCAGATATGCGTACCTCACAGGATGTGTCTGCAGCCAGGTTCCAATCTAGTGACAGAGAAAGGACTGGCTGCTTCTCTTGTCAGCATTTTTGTTTTGTGATTATTTTCTCCAGTACAATCCCTTTCTGAAATGTTTTCCTTCTTAAGTGAATTCCTCTTGGGTATATCCTGGTTATTTTTCACTATTTGATATTCTTTGAAATGTGTATCCTTGCATTGTTGCCAAAGCACCTCCCTCTGGAACAACTACAGAATAAATAACAGCAGTATATATAGTAAATTCTTTCCTTGTGCTCACATAAAGTTTTGCACAACTTCAGTTAACATGAACAAGATATTAGATGTTCTGTTACATATTAAAATCTAGGAAGTAATAAGAGAAAAAAAAAAGCTTTTAAGGCTTTGCTTTCATAGCTATGGTAGGGCATGTTTAAGAATTACTCAGATTCTATAATGTTTGCTTGTGTTACTTCACCAAGCCACTTGTTTAGTGTTAACTGAATGATGCAAGCATTTGTGTGATGCTTCCTGTCCTTGAAAGGATTCATCTGAATGACAGCTAAGCCATCATGAGAAAGACAGTCATCTTTGGAGATAGACTCACAAATCCCAGGTGTGAAGAAGATAGCACAGACCACAGAGAAACTACCTCAGGTCCCTGGCCAAAGGCTGTGGCTCACAGAAATGGGTGATGCTGGCCAGTCACGGTGGCTCCTGCCTGTAATCCCAGCACTTTGTGAGGCCAAGGTGGGTGGATCACTTGAGGTCAGGAATTCGAGATCAGCCTGACCAACATGACAAAAACCCATCTCCACAAAAAAAAAAAAAAAAAAAAAAAAAAAAAAAAAAAATTAGCCGGGCGTGCTGGCTCATGCCTGTAATCCCAGCTATTCCAGAGGCTGAGGCACAAGAATCGCTGCACCTGGGAGGCAGAGGTTGCAGTGAGCTGAGATCGCACCACTGCACTCCAGGCTGGGTGACAGAGTGAGACTCTGTCTCAAAAAAACAAAAACAAAAACAAAAACAAATGGACAATGCTCTAGTATACTGAACTCTACAGGAACACCAATTCTTATTATTTCACACAGGTGCTTTTTCAATAAGACTTTGGTAGACAAATAAAACAACACTGATTGTCACTACTCTCAAGTTTTCTGGATGAGATCAGCAAAATGTAGCTGATGGCAAATACCGTAAGTTTTTCACCTTCCAAAGTACTTTTGTATGTGAGATCTCACATGTTATGTTACTCAGTCCTTATTTTCTAATGCTGGCTTGGGAAATGGTGCTGCATTAGGGACAGTATTAAAATATACAGATTAAACATGTATTTATGGAATAAACCAGGCTAACTTCCCCCTCTGTCTTAGTAAAAGAAAAATCCATGTAACAACTTTTGTCTTTATTTTTGTTTATTAAATCTTATAAAATATCTTAAGGCCGACTGACCTATTTGTATAATTATTTGTAAACAGTATACTGGATAGGACTGAAAACTCTGAAGTCAGACTTCCTGCATTAAAATTCTAGTTCTAGCACTTACTAGCTATTATGACCTTGGCCAAATAAATTATACTTTCTGGGCAACAGCTTCCTCATCACAGGACTGTTGGGAGAATTAACACGAAAAACAGGTATATAAAGCTCTTTGCACAGATGTGAAATAAATGTTTCCTTTAATTTTCTTTGCTTCCTTAAAGCCTTTGTTTGACTTAATGAAATGATACGTTTGAGTACATATAAGTTAAATGATCATCTAATCCATGATATACACAGTTTATATTATTACATATTTAAGTGGTCAGTATTGGATAGGTAGTATCACAGTCCACGAAACTTAGCATCTTTGGCTAAAATGAAAGGATGTAGCCACATAAGAGTATTATTCTAACTTCATTCATTCTATAGACTACAATGAACTCCAGCTACATGTGCATCAAAACAAGGAAAGTATTAACAGCAAGATAAAGTCCACTCCTGCTCAAAGTGTCATTCAAATTGGAGCATTAAGAACAAAATCATGTCTCAGACAGCATTGACCTAGGGTCTAAAGAACTGGGTTCTAATCTCATTATTTCCATTTTCTAACTGTAATTGAATAAAATTGCTTAATCCTGTGGCTTTCAAACTCCTTGATTTTAGAATGCAGACAACCCTGCTTACTATACAGGGTTCTTTGGAAAATTAGGTAGAAAAGTGCACATAAAGCATGCTGGTAAATCTAAAATAACATTAAAATGTAAGTCATTATTACTGTCTTTGGTAAAATATAAAAACTATGGGGGAAAAAGGCTTACATGATAAAGAGATTCATAATAAACACTTTCAAATAAAGAAGATATTGCAAACTAATCATAAGCCATTTGGGTGGCTGTATACAGGATGTGTAAAAGTAGGTAGAAAATCATAAATATATGCATCTATGTATATATATGTTTATATATGTATTAGAGAAGATAAGCTATTCCTGATTCAAGCCCAAGCAGTTGAGATTACAATATGGAAGTAAAATATTCCTTTCAAGTGTCTAACTAAGCATGTCGCAGTTCCACAATGGATTATAAAGTGTTTCATCTGTCACTTAAAGATCACTCAAAGGATTTATGTCTTACTTCTAAGGGACAATAGTGCCATATGGGTTATCATTCTAGGATCTATATATTGATGAGAAAGAGAATAGATCAATGATGGCCTATTGTGGTTCTTTTCTCAATAAAACTCCCCATTTTCTTCCCGATGTGCTGCTGTAAATGCGTTTAGTACTGAGTGTTCAGACAGAATGCAGAAAAAAATGGAGTGATTCAATATAACACATATGAAATTAGATCACCATGCATCACAATAATATTCATTTCATTGATTTTTGAAATCCCCATTAAACATCTGTTTCATATAACTGCTGTCTATACTCTTTCTCTAAATGTGACCACACACATTAATTGTGTGTATCACACAATTGGTTAGAGAATAACAAGAACATTTTTAAAAATGTTATGAATGGAGACACCATTTAAATAGTATTTTTTTCCATTACACAAGATTCTTTTTGTACACCAGCACATAACAATAAGTCCAGAACCAAGTGGATTACTGAGTATTATTATATCATTTTGAAAATCTGATACATGCTGAATTTCTCTTTGTATTTAATGTATAAAACAGTACAATTTTAAAAAGCACTAGAAAAGAGAATAAAATAATCAAATAATTTTTATGAAGTTATAGTATTTCAATTGGCTTCTATACTTCATGTAGAAAACACACAAATTCTATCGTGCCAATGTAATTACTTCACCTAACTTCATGTTAGAACTTATATCAGACTTCAATTTAGAATATCTACAGGTGAGAAAGGATGTGAACATATTCTTTATAACAAAGCAATGAATGTATTAAGAAGTACAAGTACACATATGAAATGAATTGAATTTGAGTGGTTGAAATTCTTATAGAGGATTTTTTATCTGTAATAAATGTCCAGTGATTTAATACAAACACAATGAGAATATGGGTTCACCATGCATTTTTGGTCTCATACTTTTTACTTCCTTTATACATTTGGAAAAAATACATAGATTTTATTTTGTTTAACAAAATTATGGCTTTCTTTATGGAGATGGATAAAATATCCTTGAGTATATTGTACTTTTATAACAGATCATGTCTATATTAGGATCTGTTGCATCTTTTCTTCTATCTATAGGACATTATGACACAATGAGAACAACAAACCCTTTGGACAAAAAAAAGAAGTACCTTTTTCTTCATTATTATTTTATAATATTGCAATTTGCTTATAATTAGTAGAAGTTATTGCAATAATTGAAATTATACTTTAATATAAGCATTTGGTTTAGTTGAAACATTTCTAGAAAAGATGTTAATGTAATTTCATATTTCAGCCATAAATTTATCCTCATTACTCTGCTTTATGGTATTATTTATTAAAGTATACTTTGTCTCTTGAGCCTTTTCTCTTCTCCTTTTCTTTATTTCCCTCCCTTCTATTTTCTCTGTTTCTTTTTCTCATTTGGCTTTTGCTATAAAACAATTTCCTTAAATTTTAATCCCCGCATTGTGAAGTAAGGGTAAGCAAAAATCTCAAACAATACGCCTCAGGCAAAGATTTTTTTTCTTAATGATTGGAGTTCTTAGATAGTGTTAGGAAATTACTGTTTAGGACTGTGTAAGTACACTATATCCCAAAGTAAAGAAATCATTAATAATAAAATACTAAAAAGGAACAGTTATATTACAAAATAAATCTTCCAGGCTTACAAAGAAAACAAATTTGCAACAGCCACCTGCTGTGGAGATGAGGCAGTAATCTCAACAGCAGGAAATAAAAGGAAAGAGAGGAGAAAAATACAAAAGCACAGACATTAAAAAAGTAATTAAAACACTTATCTCCATCGACATACATAACGGAAAAAAACCCTCAACCAACCACCTAAAAACATACTCTATTGAACTGCACAGTAGGAAACAGCATTAAAGCTGCCACCATAAACACACATTCCGTAGAAGGAAGAAGACCCCTTTAAAAATGTAATATCAAAAGTATTACTAAAGTGTTAATCACCAGTAAATGTAACTCACATTCATTGTATTGTATTAGTTACTTTCTGGAAGGCGTTTTTAAAAATTGTACTTTTACATTTTTTACTCAAGTAAATTCTTAAACACAGGCACTGATAACCCCTTTATCAGTAATTGTTCTAGCAAATTATACAATCATATTGTGAGACTGAAACATTCTGTATTTGAAAAACTTTATGTAATAATTGTTAACATATCATGCATCTTGATAATGGCATTTAAACAGTTTCCTTTGAAGTAAACTAGCCTTTGCTATAGTACTGGAAAAAAATGAGGTGAAACACAATGTATGAGTTAGGGTCATGGATTAAAACGGAAATGAAAGCTAAGAATCGTTCTGAATTACTCATGTATGCTCTGGCCTTCAGAGCTCTGCAAAGTGAAACAATGCAAGACTGAGGAAGCAAGTGGCAGGCTTTAAAATAAAGAACATGTAGCAAACGCGCTTGTGACTCTCTTAGCTGCTGGAATTTGTTTTCTACATCTATGTGATTTTCTCCAGGCATATATGTGAAACGATGGAGAGCTGCTCAGTTCAGAAGGATAAGATCTCTCTAATGAGCTCTTGGCTCTGTTACTTATATAGCTATAAATCCAAGCATAAATAATTAAACTTTAAGCCTCAGTTTCCTCATCTTTAAAATGAGAAGCTACAAAACCGCATCTCCTTATAGAACTGTTATGTGGACAAGTAAGCATAAAATAGCTCTGTCATACTGAAATAATTTTATAGGTAGAAAATGTAATTCACAAACATAGAAATTTGTCGTGCTACCATATAATTATTTTATCTGGTGATAATATTCATCGATCAGTGTTATTTCATTTTAATTCTGCATTTTCTTCTTTAAATGATAAACTTCTGTGCAAATTTATTTTATTTTACTCTAAGTCATTACTGTAATTTCATAAGTTTTCCAAAAAAATTACTGTTCTCAATAGATTTTTACAAGAAATATGTTAGATATTAGAAAATATGAAATCATTTTCATGCATAAATATACTTGGAATATATTTAGTATTACTGTCATATTGCTGAGACTTAAAATCACAGTACTTTTCTAGGAATTCAGAAAATTCCACAAGAAAATCACCTTCTAAAGGGCATTCTTGATGGATGCGCTTGGTCAACAATTCCAGAAACATGTTTGACCTTTTTGCACCTCAGTTTCTTCATCCATAAAATAGGTAAATCATCTAGAAATGGAGTTCTGGGCCTTGTCTGTGTTTTTTACAGACTCCAAGACTATATTAAAACAGAGTACCTTTTAGAAGTATGCATTTTATTGTGTACAGAGGGCTCACACTTTTCATGACATTCTCCTAGGATCCTGTGACTCAAAAATAATTAAAGAATCACATTTCCCCACTCTAGCATTAAATCAATTACACTATACCATATCCAAATGTCTTTTCAAGTGTACAGACTATGGCTGAAAATGCCAAATGCACTGCGATTTTCCACATCTAACAATCACTACATACCTGTTCATAAAAGAAAGAATATCTGTTTATAAAAGAAGTTGTAAGAATATTGGGTCCAGTGTAAGCGGAAGCAACAGTTTTTAATATCAGACATCCTTATGTTCATATCGATATGTGATATGGTTTGACTGTATCCCCACCCAAATCTCATCTTGAATTGTAATCTCTGTAATCCCCATTAATTCTCACATGTTGTGGGAGGGACCTGGTGGGAGGTAACTGAATCATGGGGGTGATTTCCCCCATGCTGTTCTCATGATAGTGAGTGAGTTCTCATGAGATCTGATGGTTTTATAAGCATCTGTGATTTCCCCTGCTGGCACTCACTCCGTCCTGCTACCCTGTGAGTAAGGTGCTTGCTTCTCCTTTGCCTTCTGCCATACTGTAAGTTTCCTGAGGCCTCCCCAGCAATGTGAAACTGTGAGTCAATTAAACCTCTATCCTTTATAAATTATCCAGTCTTGGGTATTTCTTCATAGCAGCGTGAGAACCAACTAATATACTACTTCACTATAAATACTAGCTGTTTAACCTTGCATAATCACAGTTATTTAAATTTTAAGTCTCAGTCTCAACTATAAAATCTGCTCTGCTGGGATATTAAATGAGATAATATATCTCAATAGTATGATAATTGCTTAGCATACTGACTGGCATATGGAAAATGTTAACAGATGAACTGATCTTGATGTACTTAAAGCTTAAAAAATCTATTATTTTCATATGCATACCTTTCTTGATATTTTTTCTTCCTTGATATTTAACACAATTATTATATAAAACACCATAAAAACAACTTTAACAACAATGAAAACTATGGACACTTTAAAACATTCAGTCCCAATTGAAATTTCCTTGAGTATTGGTGATTAAGCATACAAAACTTGGCAGTTTCATTGTATAATCATTATATATCTAGTTCTGAAATTTTTGTTGCATAAAATTATTTTAAAATAGTCTATCATATTCAACTTTTGGATCTGGAAACCAGCTTGATGTTTTAAGAATCATGAGGACAATCAGTTGGAAATACAAATCCTAGGTATTAATTTAACCACTTATTCATTAATATTTACTGAATGCCTACTACGTGCTAAACACCATATTAGGTGATGAAGATACATAGATGAGTACCTACTATGTACTAAACACCATATTAGGTGCTGGGAATATATAGATAAATAGCTTCTGGGGTAGTAGGAAGAAGGACATGTAATAAAAAAATTTAGAATAGAGCAAGACACCTGCTATGAGAGAAGGATGCATAGGTTACCACAGGAGCAGTTACAAAGGCACTTCACCTGGACTGCAGACAACATTCTAAAGCTGAGTCTTAAAAGATTAATGTTTCCAGTCATAGAAAAAGGGGGAGTATAAGCTTCATATACAAGGGCATGATGGGGTATGAGTTCAATCTGACAACAACTGGGGTATGATGAGGGGAGTAGATAGGAGGAGACAGGAAGAAGCAAAATGCGAAATTTGACAAATAGGCAGGGTCCAAACTATGAGGGGTCATTCAAGTCACACCAGGATGTTTGGATTTTACACTGAGGAAACATTTTAGGAAATGATATAATCAGCTTTGTACATTAGCAAGGACAAATTGGTAGTAGTATATAGAAATAATTTGCAGAAAATAAGAATGGAAGAAGGTGGATATAAGGGGATACTGCATAAATCCAGATAAGAAAGGAAAACTTCTCTTCTTCTTCTTAACCAGGATTACTAGTAACCTCCACTAACATGGCATTGCAGGGGGTATCCATAGCTTAGTATAAACACAGCTTACCCTCCTGGGGCAACAATTTCACTCAAAGATAAGTAACTTAAATTATAGTGTTCATATTACGACAAATGTAGAGAGACTGAAAAATGAGATGCAAATTTTGAATGAAATTTTAATACTTCAAAGACATTCTATATATGGCATTCAAAACTGTGCCTCCAGATTCCCTAGAGGTATGTTTTCATTCTCTTCTCCTATTACAGTAACTTAAATGAGAAAAAATAGCACTTATACTAAGATACTGACAGTGGGGATGCAGAAGAATAAAAATATAATCTCAATATATTTAGGCATTAACTTCATAGGATTTGGTCCCTTGTGGTTATAAATGGCAAGGTCAAAGCTGAGTCTCAGCTTTCTGTTGTATCTCAATAGCCTATACGTCCTTCTCTCATAGCACATGTCTTGCTCCATTCTAATTTTTTTTTATTACATGTCCTTCTTCTACTGCACTGTGATTCAGTATAGTGGAAGAGGGGCAGATTCTAAGGGAAGAGTGTTGTTCCTTTTTGGACATATTTAATGGAGTGTGGAACAAAAATCTGAAGCTCAGGAGGGAAATCCCGTCTAGATAAACAGATTTGAAAATTGTTAGCAAAAAAAATGGTGCTGGGAGTCAGAGATGCTAATGAGCATTAATCCAGGGAGAGCGTATACAATAATCAGAAGAGAAGGCCAAGAGGGGAGCATAAGATAACACACATACCTTAAGGAAGGAAAGAGAAAAGGAAGCTAAAGGAGATATTGAAGAAGGACCAATCAGTCAGGAGGAGGGGTAGGAAAAAGCGGCATGCTGGAAGTCAAAAAAAGAGAGGTATCAGCTCAAACTTTCTTGTTATCACAGAAGAAAACTGGATGCAAAAATTTAAAACATTATACAGCGCATAACACTATGTACACTGTAAAGCACAAACAGTGTTCAAAAGAACACTTTTGATTTTAGGAGTCATCTTTCTTGATTTTTCAGTACAATACATGGCCACTAGCCTACAATTAATTTTAGAAATAATATAAACAAAAAAGATTTATTGAAAGAGAATATTAAACAGAACAAAAGCAACAAAACACAAATACATATATTGTAACTATTAGAATCTATTTAAATGAGCCAACTCAGAAGAAGAAAGGGGAAAACTCTATAATAGCCACATGGGGAAGTATTCTAGTGGCAATGTTGGACAAGTATGAAAAGAATGAATTGGCCAGAAGGAGAATACATCACATGAAATCCCAGGAATCAGTACAATGGAGAATATATTCGCACTGGAGCACTTTCTCAAGAAGTAAAAATTAAGTCAGTAATGGCAACTGCACATCAGTTACATTCTGAGTAAATAATATAAAAGGGACATAACTTAATTTGTGTAATATTTGTTTGATTAAAAACTACATTTAGAAAATATTCTCTTACAATCTTAAATAAATACATCAAAACTAAAGCCCTGAACAATGGAGGTGTTGTTTTTCTACTAGTGGGTTTGGAAATCCCACAGAAGGGTACATTCACGTCTGGTTCACCCTACCACAGATTTTCTGACCTCTGAAACCAAAACCAAATAAAGACTCCTAGACAGTAGAAATATATGGGTAACGTAGCGACACCTAGGTTTGCTCTCGGTTTCCCTACCTACTAGCTTTGTGATGTATGGCAAATTAGCTTACTTCCCTGTGCCTTAGTTTCCTCACCTGTGAAATGAAATGTTTAGTGCTTCCTCACCTGACCTAAGTGCTCTTGAATTATGAAGCATGTAGACAGATATGAGAAATTTAATAATAATGAAAATTATTTTCATTTTAATTGGAGCACATTAAAATGTACATTAATATGCATTTAATATAAATTTAATAATACACATATAAATGTATATTAATGTGCAATTGGCAAACAGTCATGTTTTGATTTATCCCACTACTAGGTGAAGAATCTATAGCAACAGTTCATGGTGGATTAATTAGGGAGATCAAATAGAAATTCTCAGTTGCTGTTTAGAAACTATTTAAGTTCACTGTAAACTATATAATACATACCAATTCACGAATTATACTAACATCTGAACCACTCTAATGATAGTATAGAGAGCATACATTTTGACAGAATCAATAAAAATCTCACATTTTTAAAGTCAATGTAAAATAATGAATTACATTCCAAATGCCTTTGGTTTAATAAACTGAGCAGTCTGCTTTGATACTTTCTTTTCAGTTTCTGAATAGGTAATTTCTATGATGACATATGGTTTTAGGGCCATTTTTAATCATTTGTAAATACGTTTATATTTTTTAAAGAAGGCATATTCTAATGCTAAGCCATGTGATTCATCCTCTAAGACCAGGCTGTATAAAGGGCCACTACCGGCAATGAAGTCTAGTTCAATCAGTTTACATTCCAGCCACAATCTAGACTCTTTTGAAACCCTAACTTGCTGTTTTGTCAATGTATTCTACAGAAGATAAAGAAAAAGAGAGAGAATCTAATTCAGAAGGTCTTTCACCACTAACTGTCTTAAATATAGGCTCAACATTATACAAGCTCAGTAATAATAAATATTTTAAAACTTTGCATTTGTAAAGTGATTTATTACTTAAAAATATTTCTTATATACTTGAGCCCCACAAAAACACTATGGACTAGGTATCCTTATGCTCATTTACAGATGACAAACTGAGGTTCAAGGCAGTAAAAAAAGCTTTCTATAATCTCACAGACAAGTGGCAAAGACAGATTTAAAATAGCAAAAACTGTTAAATACATCGTTTCTTCCATCATTTCATAAAATATACTTTAGGGCAGCATTTAATCTTTATTGTTAGAGAGAGAAAAAGGAAGCTTAACCTAGTCTGAAAATTTGGCATACAATGCTATGTGGTGCTTGAATGTTAATATAGCTATTTTATTCATAAGAAAGAAAAAAATATGCTTTAAAGATTAGTAGGTAATTACTTACCTATCATCCCACCTACACTACATTTTGGAATGATTTTAGGTAAGCCACACCCACTTAAACTTAAATGGCGTCTTGTAAAAGTATCTTCTAAGCACTACTCATTTGTTTAAAGCACAGATCTACAATGACAAAAATCAATTCATTTTGAGAAAGAGGTAATAATTAAAGTGTTATTTTTCTTCTTTCACTGCAAGTCATTTGGCCTATGTTAAATCAACTATCAAATTTTCATTCATTATTTCTACATGAAGGATTCTGCCAGCTCAAAAAAGTATAAATCTTCATTTGACAAATTTAAACTATAACTGTCCCAGATGTTATCAGGCCTCATAGTTCTTATCCCTTAAAAACAGCAAAATATTGTCAAGTCACACCACCCCCCATACCCTCAGATAACCCCTGGAATCAATAATATTTGTAACTTGTAAGTGCACGGTTAAGGAGAACAGAAGGCAAGTGCTGTCCTCGTTAACCACATTGAGCTGTGATACCACAGCCGACTCCCTTGTGTGACCTGTGATCAATTTTAATCTCCTGACCAAGAATAAAAGAGTGCAGACTCCTGATTCTGGATTCATCTTGAAAGGAGATTATAGATTTGCATGTTTGCAGTGGGAATGAAAGATTTAATTCAACTGGCATTTCAGGAAAGAACACATCTAAACTATCATTCCTCCTCATTTACCCTCACTGCTTCCAGGTCCTCTATTGACAGAACTAAATACTGAAAACTGTGTACGCGATGGGTTAAAAAGCAAAGCTATCTTCGTGGACATATGATCAAATAACTACAGAAACAGACTCCATAGTGATTTCAGTACATGATTTCAGATGGAATCAGATTTTTGTATCTCAGATTTCAGATTTCTCTATAAAGATTACAATTTTTTGCCCAACTTCTTCATGTGAAAATCCTATTTTTAAGCAATTAAAGAATTCATTGTTTGCTCAAATCATGATTAGCTGCTTACAAAATACATATATCCAAGTACATTGATACATCTGGGGAGCTTTAAAATGCAAAGTAACCGTGATGTCAGAAAGAGGAAAGACATTACCAGTTTTAGTTTCATATCTCTATTTGTAACTATATATCGGTGTGTTTGTGTGTGTGTATATATATATGTGTGTGTGTGTGTCTGTGTACGTATGTACAAACATACATATGATAATAGATGTATTCATCCATTTTCACACTGCTGATAAAGACATACAGGAGACAGGGCAATTTACAAAAGAAAGAGACTTATTGGACTTATAGTACCATGTGGCTGGGAAGGCCTCACAATCATGCCAGAAGGCAAGGAGGAGCAAGTCACATCTTACATGGAAGGCAGCAGGCAAAAAGAGAGCCTGTGCAGAGAAACTCTTGCTTTTAAAACCATCAGATTTGGTGAGACCCATTTACTATCACGAGAACAACACAGGAAAGACCTGCCCCCATGATTCAATCATTTCCCACCAGGTTCCTCCCACAACACATGGGAATTATGGGAGCTATAAGATGAGAGTTGGGTGGGGACAGAGAATTTCATTTGGGTGATAAACCGTATCAGTGAGTTTATACAAAAATGCACAAATCTTATTTTTCTATAGAGAGAAAAAATAAAATATCTTATTGTTGAAAATCAAGTAAATATAAGGTGTTCTAGGAGGTTACAGGGGCAATCCATGCAACTGCAATTTGAAAATTCTATAATTAGTATTAAATAACTTTTTCTATACATCAGATAACATTTCCAATTCCACATCATCACAGCAGTTTTCAAACATTCACAATGCATCACGTACTGTGCTAGACAAATCCGAGCCAGAACCTAAGTTTGAGTCCTGACTCTGCTACTTTCCAGCAAGTTAGCTTACCATCTTTTACTACAGATTTTTTCATCTGCAAAACAAGAATAAGATCCTTAATAGCACTGAGATTAGGATTTTTTGTAATGATTAAATGAGATAATATAAGCAAACCTAGAAGTAGTGCTCGTGGTACTTAATAGTTACTACACAGGTGTTAGTTGTAGTAAAACGTATTCTGATTCATTCATTCATTCTTTCATAAACATTCATCACTCCCCGTGTTGCAAGGACTGCGTTAGGAAATATTCTCATAACTTTATTGTTAACATAACCTTCAAGCATTAGTTTATGACTAGAAGATGCATGAGTGGCTCATGTGTAATCTGGGACATAATGACAAATATTTAGGATGTATCCTATTTCCACAGATCCCCTTATGCCCTGTATTGATATTAAGTGGTATTAAAAGTAGAGAGGGCAAAATAGACCAACTTAATATGGTGTTGCATTTTTAAATTCAGCATATTAATGCAATATACTATTGTCTCTGTGGAGTTTCATTTCACACGATAAAAGAACCAGGAGGCATCTGATCAATAAATAGAAAATCAAGTTATATGTTCCTGTTAGGGTGGTCTAACAAGGATTAATCTCAGAAATGTTGGTGCATGCCTAATGCTGTGGCTTTTAATCTTTTCACACAAGTGGGTCTAAAATACTTGCTATTAGCACTAATGTAAAAAAAAATTAATACTTTACATATGGCTATCCACTGTACTCAAATGAAGGGGTTAATGGTAAAACAAGCCTTTAAAGATGTAAATGATTCCTCCCATGTGGCTGCAAAATAGCTTAAGTGTTTGCCATCTAAAATTATTAACATATAGAAACATTATTATCTCTGCAGTTAATATGCACCTCACTGAAAATCTCATGGATGCAACAATTAAGGAAGGCACCATCCTTAATGAAGTTATAAGACATATATCATTTATTAAGCAGCAAATAATATCTTTAATTTTGGCTTTAATATATCTTTAATTTTAGCTTTAATGATTATATGCAAAATGTCTTCCAAAACCTCAGGACAAATTATACCATAGCAGTTGGGCTTGTTTCTTCAATCCCTCATCCTCTATGCTGCCCCCAGTGCTGAGCAAGAGTTGTCATTTACCTGAGGCTTCCTTTCTATGAGCATGTGCTTCTCTGAAATACTGAGATAATCAAGGCCAGGACAACACTACATGGATGTTTTTTCATTAAGAGTTTATATCTAATTTTGAAATTTTCTTACTGATTATTATAGAGTTTTGAATAATCTAGAATGAATGTTATCCATCACATTTTTATTACTACCCTAAAATGCTAAATAGTAGCATAAAAATATTGAAACCAAGTTGGGCAGACATGTCTTTTCTCTCTCTTTCCCTTTCTCTCTTTCCTTTTTTCTGCCCTTCCCTTGATTCCTTCCTTCCTTCAATAAATATTTATTAAGCAGCCTTCCTGTAACAGGCATTGTTCTCTAGGCAAGTTATCTAAATTTGTTTAAATCATATACTAATTGAATGTAAAGTCTATTTGTACAGTCAAAAGATAATTTTGGTGGTTAATAGTCAATTGAGTTTAAGTCTGGGAACCCTCTTTCCTAAGGAAAATATTTCCTTTATCACACTCTTTGTTCAGTGTGCTCATAAAAATCAATCATAACTCTCTGAAAATGATGAGAAAAAAAGAGTGGACATGTCACTAAAATCTTTAATAAATTTTTTACTCTTCTGCATCCTCATATTTATCATCTGTTTTACATAAACTATTGGGTGGTTTCACTCACAAAAAGTCCTTAAATGCGACATCTAGAAATCTGGGGCATACTGAGTGTGCTGGTGAGACTTTCCGAAACACCTGTTTTCAACGCATGATCTGCCAATATGTGTTTAAATTTGTTCATTTGTTCAATATATATTTACTAATTAAAATTATAAATGGAAAGAGCTAGAGCATGAATATAGCGTTTAAGTAATAAAATGAATCCTAATGTACAGATTTTTAGGCACAAAGGACATGACAGAAATAAGATAAATAGACAACAATGGGTATGATTATGTATTAGCAAACATCAATAATTAGTAAAGGCACAAGTAGAAAGGATAATGTCATAGTGGCAGTAGCTACAGAGATCATAAAAGTAGCAGTTCTACCATGTTATTTTCCTTTGTGCATACATACAATATTATAACAGTCTTTGAATTTCCTTTACTAGCTCATCCTTTTATCTAATTATCTGGCTCACGAAGAGCCAGGGGGAGGGATGGATCTTACTTGTAATCTCAGCAATTTCTCTCATTGAGTTGATATTCAAGTAACTGAAAAATTTTATATAGCAGCTACCGTAGTTCCACACATGGTATTGGGATATGGTGATTTAAAACTTAATTAATATTTTTAAATGAGGCAAATCTTCAAAGTTTATTAAAAATTTTTTAAAGTTTTATGACAGGGTGTATCAAACAGAATCCCTACAAAAAATAAATGTCACACTTAAATTAGGATAACCCGAGATTTTATTTACTAAAGAATAATTATAAAGATATAGGTAAGGTGTTAAGGTACTACAAGAGTTAGAGACTTGAGCTAGAAGAATTAGTTTAATATCAATGTTTCTGATGAATAATTTAAATACTTTTACTCTGTGTTTTCAGTAGATCAAGTGTTGCCTTAATAGATATTATGTGAATGATATTTATAAGACTGAGTTGATTTCCCCCACAAGTTTGACAGGATAAAATCACACATAAATACTTTTAATAAAACCATAGTAGACTAGAGATAAAAGGCATGTCAAGGACAATTAGCCCCTAGAAGGGGCTTAACAAGTCCAAAATTTTATAGCTAATTATTCACAGAGATGAGGCCTAAATCCAGTTAGCTAATTCTAAGTTCCACTTCATTTTCATTAGCAATGGAGGGAAGCATCACGACTACTCACTAATATAAATCAACTATACATCCTCCCCACCCATCAAGATGCACACTTTTCAATATGTATTTTAAAATCTTTAAGTATGAATGTACAGGATTATTTAATGTTACAGGTTGAAGAGACATTGGATACCATGAAATATCATTGTCTCATTTTAGCACTGAGGAAACTGCAGTCTAGAAAATTTTACAATTCTTAGTGACTAAAATCTAGTTAACAGCAAAGTTAAGGCTTACAGATCTTCTAATTCAAAAATCAATGCTCTTTCCACAATCAAAGCCGCCTCTTTTCTCTGCCTTATTTATTCCTTAAGACTGTAGGCTTTTAAAATCCAGGGCAATATCTAGTTTTTCATATATGCCTAAAAGATCTAGCTTACTCTTAAACTATGCAATACTATTTGAATACTAGTGCTAACTATGATTAAAGTTAGCACACATTTGGAAACTTGCATAACACTGCTAAGGTCTCTAACCATGAGTAAGACACAATTCTTGTTTACAAAAATAAAAATTCATAAACCCATATATCCAGTTGTCCAACTGCTTACTGAACATCTTCCACTGGTTGGGCTAGTAACACAACAAATTCAAGATGTCCAAAATGCGATTCTTCATTTTCTTCTCCAAATGTTCTATTATTCACACTTTCTGTCTTTTTGAACTATGAGATGATCATTGATTCAAAATATATTCATAGAGCACTTACTATGAGCTAGACACTATGCTGGGTGTCGGGAATCTATGCTGACCAACAGTGGGGTGATTCTGACCTTCATGTAAAACATGACAAAATAATTGGTAAGTACAAACTACATACCAGCTATGCAGATTACCAAGTAACAAACAGAACCATCCTACACAACTCCCTCTCCATCAAACTTCATTTCTACAATCACCAAATCCTATTCTTTTCACTTAATAATCTTTCAAATTAATCTCCTCAGTCTCACTAATATTGCTTAGGCCCTTATCTTTTCTATCCTGGCTGACAAAAAAATAACCTCCCAAACTGATCTTCCTGCTTCTTTCCTCTCTGTTGGTATCATTCCCCATCATGCTGGCAGATAAGTTTTTCTAAAATGAAAAATTCGAGGGACTCCCCAGTGTTTCACTCCTTAGCAAGGAATATAAGGCCCTTCATTATTTGAACCTTAGTCTCATCTCCCCCAACCCCTTCAGCAATTACACTTCATTTCTGATAAACCAATTTGAATTCTGTCCTATAGTGCACTGAATACAACATTCCCCTTCATTACCCCTGAGTTAAGATTCCCTCTGACTGGCATGCCCTTCCTTCCCTCCTTTGCCTGGCTTCCATTTACCTTGATCCTTATGAAGCATATGATACGTTAACTCCTCTGAGAAGACTGACAGACCACTGTCACTCCCTACCCCAAACAGAAATAGCAGATTCCTACCATGTGTTCCTCCTCTTCATTATCCTTACACCCAGGGTTTGAGTCTATTTTATTGGTATTTACACTGCACTCTAATAAATGATTTTTTTTTTTGTCTGGGAACTCTTTACGGAGTTTCTGCTTTGTTCTTCTCGGCATTCTTTCTGCCTAGGACATACTAGGTATTCAATTAATGTTAGTCTAATGAAGGAATGGTAAATTCAGTTTTCATTTGTTCATTTTTTATTTATTGTCACACTTTTCTCAGCATCATAAAAGAAAGGTTCCACACATAAGTGAGTAAATCATCCCTTTCTTTTTAAATATCCAAGGATCAAAATGTAATTTAGGATAATGAGATTGAAAATTATTCCAAGTCAAGAATAAAATTCTTATTCAAAATATTATCTTTTTGAGACAGATAGGATTACATTAAAAGACCAGAGAGACCACACGGAGATGCTGGATACTTACCTATTGTTCACTTAATTATTCATGCAAACTACTTGGATGTTTTACTAAAACCAAGATTTGCAAGCATATTAATATTATAAACCCAAGAATCACAAATATTAAAAACCGTCTCTAACCATGTAGCTCAAATTACTTAAGTGCTTAGATAACCGTGATAACACAAAAAATAGAGACCTAGTTCATACAAAAAAGAAGAAATATATATCCTAGGTGAATGACTTGTACAATATGAAACACAGCAATTATAATTTTTAATTTCAATTGTTTATGTTATGTACAAAAAGAAAACTTGAAGAATGAATATTTCACTATTGCATTAAAATTCCTAAGATTATTAGAGTAGTGATTTCTCCTAAAATTAAGGCTATGAAAGTTTTATTTCTTTTTTTTTGAGACGGAGTCTCCCTCTGTTGCCGGGCTGGAGTGCAGTGGTGGGATCTCAGCTCACTGCAACCTCCGCCTCCCGGGTTCAAGTGATTCTACTGCAAGACCATCCTGGCCAACATGGTGAAAACCCATCCCTACTAAAAATACAAAAATTAGCTGGGCATGGTGGTGCACACATGCAGTCCAAGCTGCTAGGAAAATTCTCTTTCTTTCTTTTGTAAATGATCCAAGGATCTAATTCCCACATATTCAGATGGGGCATAAGTATGAAGAAAACACACATACAAACACCTACGCATACACACACACAAACACACAGTTCGTGTCTACAACCTCCAAACGTTCTTTATCAGAACCACAAGACTGTTCTAAAATGTCTATACAAAAACACTCAACTATCCATGCCTAAATAAAGGTAATTGGCTAGGGACTACTGATTTCAGGCAAATATATTTTTACAAGAGTTACAAAACACTAAGCAACAGTGGCTGTGTCAGACTAGTCAGCCTGTCCTACTCATATTTGTAAGTTAGTAATTTAAAAAGCTATTTGGCTTAAATAAAATTATATTTACATTGGAATTCTTAGAACTTTAGCTTTGCTGGATCTTTGGCTTCTGGTGGTCTCTAGGTCCAGTGAAAAACACCAACATTGAGAGTAAGTTCAGGGTGAGGATAAAACATCTCCTATGAACTAGGGATACCTACAAAATATTTGCAGGGAGATTCTATCTCTGAGAGAGGTGCTGTGGAGGGGTTGGGGGTGTCTGCTGACAGGCACTAGGTGGAGTGCATACCTGGGAAACAAGACTTGTCAAATCATTGCTACCAAGCAAGGTCTGCACATCTGCAGCATCAGCACCATGTGAGAAATGCAGAAACTCAGACTCCACCCCTCTGAGTCAGAGATGGATGCACATCTCCAGGTGATTCCTACACGCATTAAAGTTTAAGAACTATTAAACCATGAGTTATCACCTCGAAATAAGGAGAAACTTTTATGAAAAGAAGGAAAAAGTCTCAAGCTGCCTTCTCTTTTAAAACTCTCTCAGTTTGCCACTTGGGTCCCCAAAATGTAAGTCATACCAGGGTCAGATCTGCTGTAGGTCTGATAACTATATAAGAAACCAAATGGGCAAGTATGTAGAGAAATAATTTTTATATGGTACAGTAGACCCCTTTAAGTGTTGTCACCTGAAAGGTATAAAAATCATTGCCCTGCCTTGCTTTTTGTCAAATTTCAATGATAAGGACATTAAAGCTTTGCCTTAGTACTGTTCTAGATCAGTGTTTCTCAGACTCTCCATGGCAAGGGACTAGTCTTCTTTCATTCCAATCCTTTTCAATTATTTTTTAAGAAAACAAAAATAAATTACTAGAAACAGAAATTGACAAAAAAAATCACAGGCATAGCATGTCCTGACATTTTATTACTTGATTCATTAGACATGTAATTATTCTGTCAAGGATTTTTTTTCTTTTTTTTTTTTTTTCTAGATGGAGTCTGGCTCTGTCACACATGCTGGAGTGCAGTGGCATGATCTCGGTTCACTGCAACCTCCGCCTCCCGGGTTCAAGCAAGTCTCCTGCCTCAGCCTCTTGAGCAACTGGGATTACAGGCATGTGCCACCATGCCCGGTTAATTTTTTTGTATACTCTGTCAAGTTTCTATAAAAGTTTCTAAATACAGTGTGTGGGCTTATCTCATTACAGACCAGTAATAACCAGTTCAGAGTCCGGCGCCAGTCTATGGCTACACAACCAGCAGCATTGCTATAGATGACACAGAATTTGAATTTAGGTAGATGATACAGAATTTGAATTCAGGTAGCCACACTTCAGAAATAAACGTAGGATTTTAATCCAGGCAATCAGGCTTCAAAACCAACAGTTTCAACCAAGCCACCATCACAGATTAATGAAGGGCACGGGGTTCCTTGCCCATAGCTTAATATGGAGTTTTGGTGAGCTCACCACATAAAATCGAAGGCAGTGTAGATAGAAGAAATAATAATGCACCAGAAACATCCAGGATGCAATCTTGTGTCTCATTTCTGCAGTAACAGTAAGTAATCTTGGTGAAGATGTTTTTATTTATCTTCATTCCTTTTTATGATTTTTGTTTCTATTTGATGTGGATATCCACCAGACTGTAAATGGGGATAATATATCACACAACCAGGTTGTTATAAGGATTATATACTTTGGTAAAATTTTGTTGTTTTATTTCATACAGATTGGTAAAATTTACAAAATCTTACATTCTAGAAAAGTGTAGTCAATTGTTTAGTTTCAAATCAATTAGGTAATCATAAAATATTTTCCTTTCTTTTAGGATTGCTAGAGATGCCTAATAACATTATTTCTACTTTAAACAATTTGTACTAAATTATATTTAAGTATCTTATTTATATCAACCTGACAACTACTAGCTTATGATCAAAATGGAATGCTGGTTGACAGGACAAAATACCATGTTCTGTTTGATTCGCTTGTCTTTAGCATGTAGTAATATATAGAGATAACAAGTTAGCAACTTTCCATGAAATTGGACTTAAGCATACGTTTGTACTTAATTGTTCAGAATGTCATATGAGAATCCTGAAGGAATAATCTGCTTTTCTTTCAAATGTATTGCCTATATTAAATCCGCATCCACCCTTTTATCAATGCAAGGGAAACACCGGTTACAAAGTTAATGTTAACGACCATTGCTTCTATTTTTATAATACTGACTAGCATAAAAATTCAAGTAATCATGCTTCTTATAACTTTGAAAAATGTTAGTTTTTTCCTTGCTCTTGGTATCTTTTGTGATTTTACCATTACACAAACTATCTAATTTCACTTAGTTTCTAGGAAATTTGAAGGTAACTTTTTAAAATGGATATATTTAATATGAAAACATTATTTTCTGGGCTTAAGGCCTTAAAGTATTGCCAGTGGCATTTGTGCCTATACTGTTTGACAGCTTTTTCTCATGTTGAAAAATAGATTTGAGGAAGTTAAATCAAATTCAAACATCTGTGATTGCCATGACTGATTCTAAATACAAAAAAGCTGAAAGCTGTAAGAACCGTTTTTAGCCATTCTTTTTCATTTAATTTTAAAGTTCGGCAAAATCTCCCAGTATAAGTGAAAAAAAAAAAAAACATAGGCACTTTGGAATTATTAGCCTGGGTTACACTCAGATTCCAGTGAGATTTGGCTGCAATCACTATTCCAATTGATACACAGGGCATTCATCTTAATGTTCTGCCATTTACTGGTGTTCCCATACCCATTTTGAAGGCATTTACATTTTCTTTTTGTCCTTTTAAAAAAAATTTTTTTGAGACAGTGTCACTTTGTTGACCAGGTTAGAGTGCAGTGGCATGATCGTAGCACACACTATAACCTCAAATTCCTGAGCTTAAGCAATCCTCCAGCCTCAGCCTCCCTCCTAAGTGGGACTATCGGCACATGCCACCACACTCCACTATATATTTATTTATTTGTAGAGATAAAGGTCTCCCTATGTTTCTCAGGCTGGTCTCAAACTCCTGGCCTCAATTGATCCTCCCCGCTTGGCTTCCCAAAGTGTTAGGATTACAAGTGTGAGCCAAGGCACCCACTCTCACATTTAGATTTCTTACTGGCAACATCTCATAGGTTATTAACCATCTGCCCTCTTAAAATTAACTTTTTAAACATAGTTGGCCAAAATTTATTTCAGTGAAGTTTCAGATAAATTACAATTTCTGGATATCTGGACAGGAATCCACATTTACCTTTTATATTGTTCATAATTTTATAAATTCTATTCGTATATGCTCTTTCATTCTTCACTGTCCCAAAATGTAAAAGTCCAATCTTCTTAGCCTTCCTTCATACTTCTGCCCCTATCTAATCATTCTTTTAGCAACTTCTGGTTCCATTTTGATAATCATTTTTTAATTTAAAAAATCAGCTTCCTACTTGTACATGGATTACAGCTTTATTTAACAATTCGATAATTAGATAATGCTTTCATCCTCTTAAGAGATTTATCATGAAATAAAAAAGTTTAGCATTTCATTCAAACTCAGCTATCTAACAATCAGCATATTTGTACATATACTGTACAAGCCTGTCTAATTTTATAATGATGGCCATGTCAGCACTGCAAGAGGCTGTAATGCCTTTTGAATATCAAAAGAAATTTAGATTTGATTGAGTATATTAACTATTTTGGAGACTCATCAATAGCATATAGGACCTACTATAAATTCATCTTTATTCTAGGTCCTTTCAGTAGTACAGAAACATGCTAAGTATCTGGCACTTTTGTATCATTTTAAACATAATGAATTGGAATGGTGGTATGAATTAATAATTTTAATGAATGTAAATAAGAATTGAATAATTAAGTAAACTGATAGTAGATTATGGGAGTCAGGTGTTTTCACTGTTGTATTGGGAGGTTAAATGTAAATAAGAAGAAAAGGATAGAGAGAGGCTACAATGGTCTACGTGGTGATGAATTAGAGTGGAAGACATCAGTATATACACATGTTTCATTTAATACAGATACATATGGTTAAAGAAATATGTATGTATTAGCATTTTATTCAAAAATCAGCTATCTAATAATTAACATATTTGTACATAAATAATATAAGTCTAATTTTGTACTGATGTCCACATACATGTATATGCATAGGTTAGTATACACATATATATTCCCTTACCCATCAGCTGGGAGGGCCTAACAAGCAATAACATCACAGTAGCAATGAGCACACTTAGCTCCCAGATCTTGATTTCTAATACCATTATCCAATAAAAGAAATCAGGGCCCCCTTGGAGAAACACCTGATTCTAGGACTTAGGAAGGAAATATACAAGATAAGCCTAGATCATCTTGTAGGGCCAGAAATTAAGTGCTAAAACACAAACACACACTAATGCATGCACATACACACATACACACGCACAGATGTAGATATATTAAAGGGACACAGGAGTAAACTAAAAGAACTCCCAATGGACACAGCCAGAACAATTTGAGCAACAAAACAAAGTGATATTAGTTTACAGCAAAAAGTAAAAAATAAATATCCACGAGTCCATCATACTTATATAAATAAATGACTGAATAAATAAATGGGCAGAATAGACAAATTCCCATGCAGATGAATCCCAAATGATTTATGTAGATACTCTATTCTCAAGGAAGTGGAGCATAATTCCCCACTCATTAGGTGTGGCCTGCTCATAGTGGCTTTCTTCCAAAGAACATGATATGCAAAGAGTCATAAAAGAGTAATTTTTTAGTGGAGAAACCTGACATACACTATGTTAGTCATGAAATCAAGGTTAACATTAATCATGACAAAGCTTATTGATAGTATATAAAATAAGGTGATTTAAATAACCCTTTACCTCTGTGGTCTTCTGCCCAAAAACCCATAACCCCAGTTTAATCATGAGAAAAAACACATATAAATGTCATTTGAGGAACATTCTAAAAAAATACTTGACTAGTAATCCTCACAGCTGTCAAGGTCATCAAAAATAAGGAAAGTCTGAAAAAACCATTGCAACCAAAAAAAAGCATAAGAAGACATGGCCACTAAATATAACTTGGGATCTTGGATAGACTCTAGGTAAAACCGACCCTGGGTAAAAACTAAGGAAATCTAGCAAATGTGTGGACCTTAGTTAATAATAACGTATTAATTCTGGTTCATTAATTGTAACAAAAACATACTATACTAATGTAAGGTGCTAACAAGAGAGGAAACTGAATGTGGACTCCAGCGATTCTGTATTGTCTCTAAAGTAACTCTGTAAATCTAAAACTGTTCTAAAATAAAAAAGTTTATTTAAAAAGATACCGAGGAATAAAAGACTAAGTTGCATGAAGTATGAGTTTCTATACAAGACTGTATATAATTAGATGTTATTTTATGCAGTTTCCAGTGTGGTGAAAGTGAAGAAGAAAGGCAGGCAAACAAGATCTGAAGGAATCAGGAAATAGTTTCATGAAAAGAATGGCGTTTACACAGAATCAGGAGAGCTAAGATTTGCATATGTGAAGTTGAGAAGGGAGTATCATGATACTGAAGGGCAAAACAGATGCAAAGACTTCAGGCAAAAATTATTTAAAACCACTTCTCAAGAAAGTGGGTATGAGATAGGACTCTGGTCATTCTAGTTTCCATCAAGCTGGGCAATGTTGAAAGTGAATGGAGTTAGTCCAAGGATATTGGCAATGACCAGTGACTCAAGAAGCAAAGGAATGCTCTCAAGAATCATGACCAAAGACTGTGAAGCAGAGAGGTAAGAATTAGGTGCAAACTGAGGGGTGTCCCCCACAAAAAAGCAAGATGAAGAAAGCAGTCTGAATAACAAAGGCAAGCCAGTAAAGATTCCTCATGAATTTCCCCACAAAGGAGAAAACACATAATCTTACTCATAAAGCTAGAGCAGGCTGTTAAATGTTCTCTTATGGAAAGTAAAAAGGATGTTCAGTCTTCAGCAAACATAATTCACTGCAGAATAACAGGAAATAAATTTGGGAACACAGTGTTCAATTGTTACCAAGGCCTCAGGGAGTCAGGCATAGTGATAGAAACATTTTAATGAGGGGGTTTGGATCAAAGTCATAATATAATGAAAATAACTACTGACAAAAGGAATCTACAGGTTCAGTGCAATCCCCATGAAAATTCCAACTTTAATTTTCATAGAAATAGAGAAAACATTACCAAAACACATATGGAACCATTGAAAAACCCTGAATAGCCAATGCAATCATGAGCAAAAAGAACAAAACTGGAGGTATCACATTACCTGATTTCAAACTATACAACAAAGCTAGAGTAATTAAAACAGAAAGGTATTCGCCAAAAAAAAATAGACACATCAACCAAGGGAACAGAGTAGAGCATCCAGAAATAAACCCATGCATATATGATCAACTGATTTTTGACAAAGGTGCCAAGAATAAGCAATGGGTAAAGGATAGTCTCATTGAAAAGTACTATTGGGAAAACTGGATTTCCACATGTAGAAGAACAAAATTTGACCTTGCACCATATAAAAAACCAACTCAAAATGTACTAAATACTGAAACATAAAACCAGAAACTCTAAAATTGCCAGAAGAAAGGATAGGAGAAAAGCTACATGACATTGGTCTGGGAAATGATGTTTTGGATTTGATCCCAAAAGCACAGGCAACAAAAGCAAAAATAGAGAAATGGGATTTGATCAAACTAAAAGACTTCTGCATTACCAAGGAAGCAATTAACAGTGTGTAGAGACAACTTACAGATCAAGAGAAAATATTTGAAAGCTGTACCTCAGATAAGGAGTTAATATCCAAAATACTTAAGAAACTAAACTCAACAGCAGTAAAACAAAAATCCCAATTAAAAATGGGCAAGGGATCTAAATAGACATTTCTCAAAAGATGACATACAAATGGCCTAGAATATATGAAAATTATCCTCAATATCACTAATCACTAGGGAAATACAAATTAAAACAATGAAATATCATCTCAAACCTGTCAGAATAACTTTTATTAAAAAGATGAAAGATAACAAGTGTTAGCAAGGATGTGGAGAAAAGAAAACACTCTTGTTAGTGAGAATGTAAATTAGTAGAGCCACTATAGAAAGCAGAAAGGCAGTTCCTCGAAAAACTGGAAATACAATTACCATGTGATCCAGAAATCCCACTTCTGGGTATTTACCCAAAAGATTTGAAATCAGTTTGTTGAAGACATGTCTGCACCCCCATGTTTATTACAGCACTATTCACAATAGCTAAACTTTAGAATCAAACTAAGTATCTATCAACAGATAAATGGATAAAGAAAATGTATATATACAGTATGAAATACTATTCGGACTTAAAAAAGGGAAATTTTATTATTTGTAACAACATGGGTGGAATTGGAGAACATTACACTAAGTGAAACAAGTCAAGCATAGAAATACAAGTACTGCATGTTCTCACTTGGATGTCGAATCTGAAACAATTAAACTCATAGATGCAAAGAGGAGAATGGTGGTTACAGAGCTTGTGTGTTGGGGAATGGGGTGATGATGGTCAAAGGGTAAAATCTCAGACCATAAGTGTGTGCTTTTTTCTTTTTTTTGAGTTATACTGCACAGCACAGTGAATATAGTTAATAACAGAATACTGTACATTTCAAAATTCCTAAGATATTAAGTTCATATGTTCTTACCACAAAAAAGTTAAGATTTGAGGTGATGGGGATGTTAACTAGCTTGATTTAATTGTACCACATACTATTTGCAATATTATAACATCATCTTATGCCTCATAAATGTATACAATTATAACTGTCAATTTATAATAAACTTTTATAAATCAAGAAAAGAACTATTGAGAAATAATTCTAATTGGAAGGATTACATGTAAGAAGAATTTCTGAACAAGAGTCTGCCTTTAAAAGAAAACACTGTTGTTTATAAGCATCTGGATTAGAGTAGTATCAGAGGCAATAGAATAACTGGATGTAAAATGATGACAGAATGACTATAGATGATATATCAATGGGTAACTGTTGTGAACTGAGTAGTATCCCCTCAAATTGATATGCTGAAGTCCTAACTCCAAATACCTGACAATGCATCTGTATTTGGAGATAAGATCTTCAAAGAAAGAATTAAAATTATGGTCATTAGTTAGAGTGGGCCCTAATTCAACATGACTGGTGCCCTAAAAACAGGAGGAAATTAGGACATAGGCATATACAGAGGTGACAGCATGTAAACACACAGGGAGGAGATGGTCATCTACAATGCCAAGGAGAGACACCTCAGAGGAAAAACCAACTCTGCTGCCACCGTGAACTCAGACTTCCTGCCTCCAGAACTGTGAGAAAATAAATTTCTGTTTTAAGCCACCCTGTCTGTGATACTTTGTTATGGCAGCCCTGGCAATCTAATACGATGATAAAACACTCAGTTTTATTTTTTGAAGCTTTGCAACCTTATACAATAATTGTGACATCACTGACATAGACTGGACAAATGAAAGAAAAGGTCACGTGGGCTTTGGCAGATGATGAATCTGTCAATACAAATAAATAATTGTTCTTTTCGGGTCATTTCAAATATCAAGGGTAGGAAAGCTTGTCCTCTTGGACCTACTAGACTATGGGCAAAGTGAGGTCAGAGACCACTTCTTTCTTAATTGTTCACTCTATCCGTGATGCCTGAAATACAGCATTAAATACTTAACTATTTGTTAAATGAATAAACTCGTATTTCCCACGGTGCCAAGTCCAGAGTCTCTTGCATTTTGTCAGCGTTTCATTAATGTTTGCTAAATCAATGGGAAAAAAATGTCTTAAGCTCTAATCTAAGTTGCAACTATTCTGAAATGTCAATGATATTAACATAAATGAGAAAATCATTAATATAAACAGAAAATTCATATAAATATTCAGTTACTTCAACTATTTCTTTTTTAGAAGATTTTATTCTCAATTTAAATTGGAAGTAAATATTTCCAATGACTACGACTGTTTACTACAAAGACAAGAAAAAAACAAACAAACAACAACATAAAAAAACATACAATGACTTCCCATTTCCTCCAAAAGGAGGCAAGCTCCTCTGCCTAACTGAAAATTGGTTCACATTTTGCCTCAAGTTTCTACTCCCATCTATAGTTTCTGAATGTGATATATACATTTCACAAACATTGGTCTTCTAAAACAATGTTAAATCAATATCAGTTATTATTTGCCTGATTATCATAGGTGGGAAAGATAAAGTCTTAGTATGTCTTCCTTCCGCATTAGCCTGACCATTATAAAAATAAACGACATAGTAAGGAAAGAGAATGGAGGGGAACTTTAATTTCTGAAATACATATTACATGCTAAGTATTTTCTCAGTGACTTAAATTCCCAAAGCATCTCAGTAAAATATATTAGTAGTCTTTCTTTCTTTTTTTTCCACAAGGGAACTAACTAGAGCTTAAATAGACTGAAATACCTTTCCATGGTGTCTTAGTTCCGGCTTCTATGTCAAAGTGCCATAGACTGCGTGACTTATAAACAGCAGAAACTCATGTCTCATAGTTCTAGGAGCTGGAAATCTCAGATCAGTGTGTCAGCATGTCTGGATCTGGTGCAGGGCCTCTTCAGGCCCAGCTCCTTGAGGCTCCTTTTATGAGGGCACTAATCCAGTTCATGAGGGCTCCACTCTCAGGTCCTCATCACTTCCCAAAGACCCCACCTCCTAATACCATTACAACAAGGGTTGGGATTTCAACATACACATTTAGGGAGACATAAACAGTCCATAACACAAGGTAAAACATCTGCTGAGATGCAGATCCAGGATTTGGATTCAAATCCTACATAATTTAACTTACAACATATTGCCTCCAGGATTAATGTCATTTTATATGTAAATATTACCAACAATAATTTAAGAAACATTATTTCTAGAAACAGAAAAGTTTTCAATTATCTCTTCCAAGTAAGAACTGATGCTACCGCCTAATCCCCAGTGTTCCATTGTGCACTGAGAGCACGAGGAAGCCAGCCTGTGGCAACTCACTCTGTTTCAGGTATTTTCCCTATATCACCCTCCTGCTCTGCAATTCCCCAGGTTTTCTAAGAACCAAAAAATGTATGCTTCTTTTTCATTTCTTGTTAACAAAGAACAAGACACTGTATTAGGATGCCTTTATCTTACCCACTTATGCTATCATCTGCCATAGGGCTAGCAACTTGTAAAATTCCTCAATTTCCACCTTGCTTTTAATAGAAAATACTGCTCTAAATAACACCAACTCTCTTCTCTCCAAGTATTCTATCTTGAAACATTTATCCAGCCTAGATGACCTAGAGGAGTTGAACATCATTAGCAGATTATCATCTGATATAACATTACTAATAGTATTATATATTAATATTATATAAAACACATATACATATACAAAAAATAACATTATAATACTATTAGGTTCAGGAAGGCAAAATTATAAAGGGCCTTTTGAGCCATGCTAAAGACTTTAGATGCTATCCTTAAAAAGACCAGTTTGAAAGTGAGTTGTAACTATCTGCTAGCAAAAAGACAATTGCATGGACAAAGATAATGATAGTAGGAATGAAAGGGCAGGTTCCTATTTCAGAGACATTGAGGCACAGACTCTTCATGATATGAAAACTGCCTGGATGTTGGGGGAAAGGGAAAGGGTCTTCCAAATCTTGACCACTTTCATGGACCAAATCCTCCTCTGATAAGTACTTGTTTCCTAGCTCTATTAATTCTATTGCCCAGGCTCTCCAATACCCTCCATCTATATTCTAGGGACCAGATGGACTTTTTGCTGTAAGGACCTATTTCTAAATTCTTCCCATGTGTCCTCATCATTCCTCCCTATACCTTGATTTCAAGGCAACTCAAACTTTGAATAATACGTATCACATTCCTAGACACCACTCAGTATACACAGTGATTTTTCTTATTGTGTATGGGAAAGAGAAAATATTCTCAGACATTAACAGTTAAATTATCATTTGTAAATCAGCTAGTGATAAGAGAAGATGCCTTTGGCATCATATATATTTTGCCTGCTGTTTTAGGTCCTGCCATCAAGCATGTAGTAATATTTTCAAACAATTCTATCAAATAACAGTTGATTATAGAAAATTCAGTACAACTTAGAAATCTTGCCAATAATAATAATGATAGTAATATTACCTCTTAATTTTTATGAGAAGGGTCATGATTTTTGAAATGATAGCCAAGTCCAACTTAGACTTACAAAATACTTTATATATGCATACATGCAAAAAAAAAGTGGCTAGAAGAAAAATTCAGCACCACCTCTTCATTATATGCAAATAGAATTAGTAAATACGAATGTACTACGTACTAGTAATATGCATGTATATATGTATGTAAATATGAATGTATGACCATGCTGTTTTATAGCCTATGTACTATCTGTGCAAAAGAGGACAGTGGTTATTTGCTCAGACTTTAGAACTAGATACCTTGAGTTCAAATCCCAGCCTCTACATGCTAAATAAAAGAACCCAGACTCATAATGATGGGGCTTTAGGGATAACTCATATGATTTAACATGTGCAGCAGGACTAGGTGAGTCCCTGGCAATTAGTAAACAATCACACAAGTTGGATGTTTTTATGGCTCCTTTTAATGATTAACATTAAAAATAAGTCATTTATTTGATTTTCTGTTTTCCTCCTACCCCATATCTAATCTATCAGTAAATCCTATCGGTCTCACTTCTAAATGGCATGCGGATTCTGATGAATTCTTACCACTTACATTGTTACCACTCTCTTAGCTTGGGTTCTTCCAGAAGCAGAGCCTGAGTCAAGAAATCAAGTGGAAGTATTTATTTGGGAGATAATCCCAGGAAACACCAATAGGAGGGTGGGCAAGTGAAACAGGAAACAAAATAAAGCATGTGTTAAAAAGTCATGCTAAAAATTCTAGGAGCCAATGTAGGACACACACCTCAAAGCTATCCTACCCCAGTGGTCAGGCAGTTGGTGCATGAAGGGGGCATCATTCATCGTTTGAAGGCTGCTCACAGAGGCACTAGTTCTTTTAACACATCCTCCTCCAATGTTGTCATCTCTTTTGCCCCCTTACTTAGTTAGATATAGCCATATTTTATCAGAATACAGCCAACATAACTGACACTCTCACTTCTTGCAGTTAACTCAAAGGTCCCTCCACAGACAGGCCATTTCTGATAATCCTATTTAAAATAGTGTCTCTCCAAAAACAAAAAAAAACAAACAAAAACAAAAATGCATAAAATGCTAGAAATCTTTGCCATATATCAATATATTCAGCAAATTCTACGAGTGGATTTTAGAAATTAGGATTTAGACAATGCTATGATCTATGCAATCATTTTAATTTTATTCACCTATGTAATGGGGGTAATGAAATTTATACTGGGGGCTGTGAGAATTGAATAAAATAATACAAATAACCACTAACCTATTACCCATTTCTAAAATATCATAATTTCAAAACATTGTATAAATAGAATCATAAAGTATGTAACCTTTTAGAATCAGATTTTTCCACTCAGTCTTATTGTCTGGATAATCATCTAAGTTGTCACGTATATCAATAATTTGTTCCTTTTTAATGCTAACTAGTACTAATATGATATATATTATGACAGTTTGTTTAACCATTAGTCAGTGAAGAACGTCTATGCTGTTTATAGTTTTTGGCTATTACGGATAAAGCCACTATATACAGTCAAAAAAAAAAGAAATATAAAGCACTATATAAATATAATACAAATGTATTATTCTTACATTGGACATTTTTTATATTTTGCCCTAAAGTTTTCTGTGCAATTTGTTTTATTTCATTTCCCATTTTCCTAACCAGTTACTTTTGTTTTGTTTTTACCTCCAAAACTCCTTTAAGTACTTTATGTGCCTCATCATCTCTCAGTGTTTAATTTGGTGTTGCTCTATTTCTCCATGCCTTCTCTCTAATGCTGTTTCTAGCTCCCTCCACATCCCCCTCTTGGGGTGCCTGCTCCTTCCTCTGAGCACTCTGCCAGTGTTGTCTTTCCTGCAGCTCGAAGCTAACAAGACCCTGAACTGCTGCTTCTCTAGGACCTCAGAGCTTAGTGTTTTGTCAGCTTCAAGCTGTTTTGGAGAAAGTGTTGGCTTATTTCTCAGCTGTAGCATTGACTTAGCAAGTCTTTCTTCTAAACTTGTAAATAATTCATTTCAGGTCAAGTTTTGCTACCAGAAACTTTTCCCAGTAAATAACAAGTTTCTTTATCTCCAGTAAGAAAGTATGGTTTTGTGGTAATAGTGGTGAGCAACTTATTAATAAAAGATAAGTTCTATAATAGGAAGGGATAAGCCTTCCACTTTGGTACAACTCTTATTTTGCTACTATTTTTTGATAGGGAGCAAAGTAAAGAATTATAGTGGTAACACAACTTCCTGCCCTTTACAAAGCCCATCAATAGGAAGTATTATCAAAAGCTTTGAGAGATAAGCCAAACCTCAAAAGGATACTAATACTCCTTTGTCTTGATTTGTTTCATTCCAGGTCCTCTAATAACTTAAATAATTGAAGAAATGGAGGTAGTTGAAACAACAAAAACATAAGCACGTAACAGGCTTCTGAGAGCAAGCTTACTGATTTTCATTTGCTGGAACCACGCCAAATGTGGGCTATGGCGTCTCAACAGGATTTCCAGTCACTTCAAACTGTCATTGTCTGAGCTGCCCCAGTGACTGGATTGAGATCAGGAGTTTCAAGCATTCTGTTTGGCCACTGCAAGCCAAAAGGAGTGATGGCTGCAAGGCATAAAAGGGTACAGACTCTCTCTGACTAGCAAAATTGAAAGCCCAGCCAGCCACAATCAGGCTGGCTTAAAGCATAGTTTATTTTCTCTTGTCAATCTCAGCAAACCCTATTTGTTGTTGGCGTTTCAACGAGCAAGACTTATTAAGGGTGAAATGTCAATCTTGGGCCTTGCTCTACCTTGTCCCAGGTCAGTAGGCAACCAAAGTGGTCATTCTAGCAAGTAGCATTTTGCAATCATAAGTGCTTATGTGAACCCAATCTGAGAAATGATTTATGTTGACAAAAGAGTAAGAGAGCAAATGTATAAAGCAAAAAAGAGATGGACAAAAGAGAAAAAGTGCTTCAAAGGAACTAAGCCAGAGGAATTTCATATATAAAAATATATATGAATTAATTTTATATGCTTTACTCAGGAAAAGACACACATACATACCACAAAAATGTAAGAATAATTGAAAATAGAGTCTTCTTGAAACATATTTAGGAATTTGAACAAATGTCTGTTCTTTAAAGTTACGGGAGTGGGTAGAGCTTTATGACACTGTGTGGGGATATGGGGGATAGAGGAGTCAGAGAAACCATAACATTAAACAGATGCATAAAAATAATATTAGAGTATTTTATGGATGACACAGTTATAGTTTTTAAAAATGATTTTTAAAGACCCCTTTGAAATTGAGATTTGAATTATACATAAATATAGCCACAGGACTTCTAAAATTCTATACCACCGTTCGATTGTAATCTAAAAGGGATGCCAAAAGTGCATAAGCAGAAGCCCATGTAACTTCTTCACAGTAAAAATTACTAATATAACAGGGACTGAAATGAAAAGAGCTGGCAATGCATTTTCCCCCCAGCATATCAAGCAGGTTTTCATAAGGAAGCTGTGGTCATCAATCACTACCTCATTACCAGCCCGTCATCTGGGCTTAGGCTAAATGTATTCTGGCTGGCTGCCATACTAAATGTTCAATGAAACATCCTTAAGGCTCTCTACAAGTTCAGCTGAAGTCGCACATGCTATACATCAAAGAGGAACATTAGCGTTATCATAGCTTAATAAATAGTGCCATTCCAGCGATGTAATCCTGTGTTCTAGAGCTATCTACCATCCCCAGTATTCTACTGCTTAAGTAAACAATCTTTCTGTCTCCTGTGAGGTTTATTTAATGATAAATACATGTAGAGATAATTAGTCATACTACTACTGATATACAAATGTACTTCTAAACTTGCTGAAACCTGGACATGAATGAGAGTAACAAATATTTTAAGACACACAATACATTTACAAAATCTGTCTTGGAATATTAATCATACATGTACATTGCTATTCATCAATGATATTTTGACTCTCATTGGAAAAGTTTTAAGCCAAATAATGACCCCAATCTTACTTCTGACTTCCCCAAGTTCAACTGATTGAAATGTTGTGCAAATAAGCAACCATTTCCTTATTGAAATGGTCAACAAGGACCTCAGTTAAAACAATGGTCTCAGGATTTTTAATATATTTACAGGTGTCACTACCTTCATTTGTATAAACTATCCTCAGATAAAAAGACTAAAAGATGGGTTTTTTAAAAGACGAAAATTAGACAAAATTGTTTTAGATCACTCAACATTTTTACAATTGCTGGTCAATCTTAGATTGGTCTTTAGAGCCTAAAGATAGAGCCAACATTCACATTACTAAATAAAATGTCCCTGGCTTCTCTCCAAGTTTCAGAAACACACGTAATCTTAGCACAAAAAAAATGGGGCATACTTTTCAAACTGTATCAAATTTGCCCAGGCCACATGGCTTTCTTTAGTTTTCCTGCTAATCACATGCTATTGATTAAAAGCCAAAAAAATAATATTTGAGAGACCTGAAAGGTGAACCTAAAATGTGAAGTAAACCATGTTTATAAGAATTTTGGGTCAAGATAGGATATGACAACAATAAGTTATATTCAATAAGAAAGAAAAAGACTTAGGGTCAAATATGAGATAAAGATTATTTTGGACCACGAAATGAGACAGAAATATAAAGTAGCAAGCAATCTTAAGGCCCCTATAATGTAAAGGGAACTAAAAGCGTCATGGGGATCTAGAACCAGGTTTTCCCTGAAAGCCTGGGCCTAGGGTAGTATTAAGCTGCCAAAGATAAGTGGCCAAAACTGTTGCCAACACACTGACTGCAATTTTGACTTTATTTTAAAATGGGAACCTAGAGAGAGTGGGAGGGCATAGACACAGCCTCTTCACTATTAATCAAACCAAATCATCAACGATTTTAGACATCACTGTGGGAAGAAGCCCCACAACACATTATTAAGATGTTGGGAAAAAAAACCAAAAAACTTTTCTTGTATCCTCATAGGTTCTGTCAAGGGGGCCTGCAAATTAAACTAACAAAAGCTAGGTAAGAGAAAAGGTCTAAAATTTTTATTAATATTTACATGGATAGGAATTCACAGAAAACAAGTGAAATTCAAGTGGTTAGATTCAGGGGCTTATATGCCTTTTAAAAGGGGGCATTAGGCTTCAAGGGATGATTAACTCATGGGGAAGTGGCTAGACAATATATGGGGGAATTAATGGAATAGTCGGGTTATATTAGTAAGGTTTATTCGTGCAAACTCGTTTCAGCGTTGACTCCCCATTTGCAGTGATAAGAGTTGTTCTTCCTTTCTTGGTGCCAGGCTAGGGAGGGAGAGCCTTCACAAAGGAAAATTTATGCCCTGCTTTTAGACAGATAAGGGGAAAGAAGATAACTCTTCCTGCATCTTCTGCTTCTCAACTGGGCTTCAGCTCGAAAATCATCCTTATGCCAAAGTAGAATATTTTGCAGTAGATTCTCATTGAAGACCTGATAAGAACTAGAGTCCTGAAGGAACAGGTGAAGAAACTGCTAAACCACTAAATAGGAAGGACAGTTTATAGATGAGGAGAGAGAAGAAAGTAAAGCCAACATGAATTTACAAATTCCTATTAAAAATAAGCCTGAAAACCCAAACTCAAATCCTGTAAAAGATTCTAATGCTAAGAACAAAAACCAAGTAAGTCAATAAGTGAATCATGAATTCACAGAATTTAAATTAATTTTAAGGAACACCAACAAAAACTTTGAAATAAGTATGTCAATGCTTAAAATGGAAACTGACACACTGGCTTTTATCAAAATGAAGCATCAATTTATGACACAAAAAGAAAAATAATTAAATATAAAACAACAGATTTGAAGAAAATAACTAATACATAACAATAGAAAACATATATAATCATCAAAATAAAAATAACTAAAAAGATAATTCTTACTCTGAAGATGTCAAAGCAGTAATTAGTGATGATACCAAGAAATTCATCCACAAGGTAGAGGAAAAAGCCATGAATAAGTAGGTGGAAGATACAAAATATAACAACAGATGTCTTATAAGCACCAAAGAATAAAATAGAAAGAGAAACACTATTTGAAAAAATTGTAGGTGAGCATTGTGCAGTATTTGACACTGGTGGCCACAGTAGGCATACACGTTTCTGCAAGGCATATAGAATAGCATCAGAACAAAGCCTATTCACTGTCTGGATATAGTAAAACTGACAATATCAGGAGTTTTAGGGACAAAGAGAAGCCCCTCAGGACCAAATCTAATCTTATCCATCTAGTTGCAATTGCTTGAAATTCCTTTAACTAGAGACAAAGCCTTTCAATCTATAGCTAGAGATAAAGGGCTTAAAATGCAAATAACCAGGGAGAAAAAAAATGTGTTCAGTCCATGTTCTGTTTACTTAAATGGAGTGTTGAAAACAGTGAGGAGACACAGAGGTGCCATTGAGAGTGATGCCTCTGAAGAGAAACGCTGGAGTGGCACTGCCTCAGGCCCAGGCTAGCTTGATCCTTGGCTCCAGAGTTTAAAAGGCACTGACCATAGAGGACACTGCTCTTCTTTGGCTGTACCTTAGGATAAGGAATTATGTAGGGACCGATATATATGCCCACCTCAAGCCCGCACCTTCCTTCCTCCCATTTAATTGTGGGAATTCCATTCCCAAAAGGCTGAACCTGTTTCCAGGGCCTTTGTGAGGCACAGTCTATTCCTTAGTGTTCCATCCCTAGAGTGACGTGTCTACATACCAAGAGCTAGGGGTGGCCAGGGTGCAGTTCTTGGGATGGGAGAGGAATGTACTGCCTACTTCTCCCTCAGTGGCTCCGCCATGGGATTATGTGTTAACGATGTAATTGGCACCCACAGTTTAAGACCACCAGTGTGGTTCTTGCCTAAATAATGAATTTACTTACAAATTGCACTGAAATTATTCTCTAGCTATTAAATACATGGATGCATTTCTTAATCAACTAGCATGGAATTCTTCAAGGGCAGGGAATACGTCTGCTAAAATTATTCAACTATCCTCAGTGTCTATATTGTACATGTAGAGTGTATTCAAAAATTAATGTCAAACAATTTAAAAGGAAAGATACTGACATTCTCATTAACTCAACTCATTATGTCTAAAGTTGAAGAAATTGTCCCGTCCCAAAAACTAGATATTTTTCTGTTCCTCATAATTGTTTTTATTTGTTTGCTTCTTTGTTTTTGAGACAGGATCTTACTCTGTTGCCCTGGCTGGAATGCAGTGGTGTGATCACGGCTCACTGCAGCCTTGAGTTCCTAGGCCCAAGCAATCTTCCCACCTCAGCCTCCCCAGTACCTGGGACTATAGGCATGCATCACCATGCCCAGCTAAGTTTTGTATTTTATTGTAGAGATGGGGTTTCGCCATATTGCTCAGGCTGGTCTCGAACTCCTGGACTCAAGCTATCCACCCACCTTGGCCTCCCAAAGTGCTGGGATTACAGGCATGAGCCACTGCACCCAGCCATAGTCCCTCATAATTTCTATTAAAAAAAAATCACTAAGCCAGGCTCACTTAGCATCATTTTTGGCTTCATTCCCATCTCTCACTCCAAGCATATAGTAGTTACTAAGTCAATCATCCAAGTAATAATATCAAAGTAATAATACCAATTAATGAAGTCATACTGTTGATCCTATTTCATCCCTTTTTCCCACTTTCATTTCCATTTCAACTGGCCCCACCTTTCTCTAGGTCTCTATTTCTTACTCCTAGATTACAATCATCACATCTGAGTCCTACCGCTTACAGCTGTGTTACCCTGGGCAAGTCACCCGACCTTTCCAATTTCATGATCTTTATAAATAAAATATAGATAAAAATCCACCAAATAGAATTGTGCAAAATTAAGTATGATTTATTTATGTTTCTTAGTGCCTGACAAGAACACTTTTAGGATTACTTGCATTTGCCATTTTTATATGAAAGAGGACATGGGCAAATGAAGACATATAATATGTGAATTATCATTTTTATAATTATTATTTAAAATCATCATTAATAACAAACTTTTGCTTCCCCACTTCTCTGAGATCAACACAGCTTTACAATGTTATTTTCTACCGAAGAGTCTTGAATGCTTCCCCAGTAATGTCTGAATTCTTTAATCTCTGTAACAAGTGAAAAGTTCTTATTCATATTATCTTAACACTAGAAATGAGAAGTTCACTCAGTGAATGAGGGCATTGTCTCTCCCATGAAATGCCTTGACAAACCTACCCAGGGTCAGTAAGAAATCCTGTGAGCATGGATGGCAGGCATACAATGTTGCAAAATGCCAGGGACCTTGATTCACTGTGTGGGAACCCACTCAGGTCCCCAGAGTTGGTATAAGAAATTAAATTGAAGGTATTTGAGATTCAACCAATGCAGAAAAAAACATTGTTGGAGCTTTCCCAATTTGACTAAAAGCAGAAACTTCTGGGAAATGAGGCTGCCATAAATTCCATCTTCTGGGTGGCTTCTACTCCCAGGAAGAAGACTAAGAGTACAGCTACCATAAATCCTCTCTTCAGGAGAGTTTCATGGCATGAAGAAGAAGGAAAAACCACACACACCTCATAAATGAACATTATCACAAACTTTATCTCCCATTTGTTCTCCTCAAAACCAATTTGTCTTTCCTAAAGAAACCTACTTGTTATTCCCATAGAAGCCTTCCCCCACTCCCCTACTAAGTTGGGTATATTAGGCTTTAACTTTAACCATTTATCCAGCTACCTACTTCTTTTGTTAGCTCCTTTATGCATATGAATAAACCTTTTTTCCTTCTGATAATATCTTTTGGCAGTTTATTTTATAGACCCCCCAGACACTGAACATAAGAGAGTACAGGAAAAGTTTTCCCCCCCTCAACAACACAAAATACCCTAAGGTTGGCAAGCACCCAGAAAACCAGGCAAAGGACTAAAGAGCTTTGCCTTAGACCAGGAGACATATATATTATTTTGCTCCAAGACAAACAAGAAAGAAGTGAGAAAAGAGAAAGGGCAGAAAGAAGACAACAAAGGAAATAGGTGAGATGTAATTTCACGAAGGGAACAAGTGTGATAGCCAACGAATATTTTAAGAACAGTGATGCCTACTCTGCTTTCTAATTAATATTTTTATTACTTTACTATACATCTCTTTTCCAATTCCTTTAAAATATTTCAGGAAAATACTAACCTTACTGATGGATTTTGTGCAAATCTATACTAAGGATCATTCTGAAAGGATGGAATAGAGAACAGATAAACCAAGACCTTTTGTTGACAAGGTCTCTTTTGCTTGAAGGGTGCGCTAAATGCAATACGTTGTGCCCAGCATCATTTCTCTGAATTTGCCTGATGAGCCCTTGGTGTTCACTCTAAGCACATGTACTGTATCTCATGTAACATTAAATATTAATGGTGTTCTCATAAAACTTGCTCTCTTCCTTGGCCTTGACAAGTCTAGAACTTGTGTTTCCAATTTGTTGAGACCAAGGAAGAGAACAAGTTTTCATCTGGAAGGCAGAAGGTTTTACAGATGAGAATCACATGCATAACATTTTCAAAATGTACATACAGTGAGGGTAAAAACCCTCACTGTCAGCTCAGCATACCAGGATTTGGTCAAGAGAGGCACACAGACATATGTACATTGGCACATCCCCTGAAGTTATGCTCTCATTTATTTCCACAGAGAACTATGCCCTGGGAAGCCATGCCTGACAGAATAAGACACAGATGTTTTTGCACATGTGGGTACTTGTGGCAAATCATTATGTCACCTAGGAGAAGCTACTTTCTAAATTAATGGCCATCAACAAGCTTACCAACTCTTTATTATTGATCATATAGACTAAGCCATTATGAAAATTCAAGAATTAAGTTGAAAGCTCCTGGTATTGAGTGAGAGAAAATCTTCATATTGGATGACTTAGTCCATTTTGCATTGCTATAAAGGAGTACCTGAGACTGTGTAATTTATAAAGAAAAGAAGTTTATTTGCCAATGCAGGCTGTACTAACATGGCACTCATATCTGTTTGGCTTCTAGTGAGGCCTCAGTAGACTTACAATCGTGGCAGAAGGGAGGGGGAGCTGGTATGTCACACGGTGAGAGAGAGAGCAAGAGAGAAAGGAGGAAGTGTCGGGCTCTTCTTAAAAACCAGGTCTCATGTGAACTTACAGGGTGAGAACTCACTCAATGCAAGGACAATGCCAAGCTATTCATGAGGGATCTAGTCCCATGATTCAAACACCTCCCACTAAGCCCCAACTCTAACAATGAGGACCACATTTCAACATAAGATTTGGATGGGATAAACATCCAAACCATATCATTTGGAGATGGTATCATAACGGTTTCAATATATATTTTTGAAGCTTTAAAAACATATTTTTAGCCACAGAACAGTCCTGCATTGTTACCCATCAGCAGTGTAGTAAGGCAAATCTTCTTTGTAGGCAGTTGATGAGGCAGAAGATATACAGACACTGGGTTGCATTCAACCAGCACTACCCATTTGCTAACTGTAAGGCACACAGTTTTAAATAATCTTGGTGTCTCTATATACAAAACAGAAATAAGACTATTCTCAGGATTGCAATAATGACTTAAAAATACATTATAGATGATTGGTATATATATGTAAACAGTTAATAAATTCTATTGCTTACTGTTATTGATAATGCCATTATTACAAAATATGTGTGTGTACTAAATTAAAAATAATATTCTATTACCTTTTGTTTTCTACCGCTCCATGGCTCAGACACTGAAAAAAATTATTGTACTCTATTCACTATTAACTGTTATTTTGTGTGTGTATTTTCAGTTGCTTTCCTTCATCTTATATTTTTCTTACTTATATAAATTTTGGAAAAAAAATGTAAGCACTATGCATTTTTAAAAGTATAAATAAGAGTTTAATTTACTAGAGGTTTTTAAAAATCTCCTTCCTAGTGATAATTAAGGTGATGTGCTATATCAAATAATCAATGGTCTCATTAAAAACAAGACCCCAATCTTATAAATAGTCTATGAAGCTGGGTCCTTCAGCGTTATAAGGGTGTGTGTATGTGAACTTAATTTCATATAATTGGTAGGTAAACAAAGAAATAAGATTTTCAGATAAAACATTGATTCCAATTATCTCATTGTTAATTCAAGAAACTACTATGGAGGCTTTAATACCAATTTTTTTAAAATACATGGTCAAATTAGATCCTCAAACGCATGTGTATGAACAGATGACGCAGAACATGCCTATTCAAGACAACATGGTTTCTGAGTGACACTGATTAACAATCTTGTGAAAGCTGGCCTTTATTCTACTCAACTTAACTGAAACAATGGGGCAGAAATGGTGTTTTTGCCATATCACAAATATGAAGTTAATTTTCAAAACAAAAGCAACCCAAAGTTAATCAGACATCAGAAAATCTATCTGTCTAGTCTTCATATATAACTGACAACTCATTAAAATGTTTAAATACATACTAATGAAGTCAAGTTACGTAGTGACTTACAGATTTAAAGGGTACAAATTCTTCGATTTGTTTTTAAGAAAAAACTTCTAAGAAAATGGCATTTTCCAAATCCAATTGTTGCATTTAAGATTTTTTTTTATTATTGCTTCCAGCTTCTTGTAGAAGCATTTTTACTTACAAATTTCTTTTATTTTCTTTTATTTTTATTTATTTTTTATTTTTGACGGAGTCTCTCTCTCAGGCTGGAGTGCAATGGCACCATCTCAGCTCACTGCAAACTCCGCCTCCCAGGTTCAAGCAGTTCTCCTGCCTCAGCCTCCTGCGTAACTGGGATTAGAGGCACTTGCTACCATGACCAGCTAATTTTTGTATTTTTAGTAGAGGTGGGGTTTCACCATGTTGGTCAGGCTGGTCTCAAACTCCTGACTTGAGGTGATCCTCCCACTGAAGCCTCCCACAGTGCTGGGATTATAGGTGTGAGCCACTGTGCCCGGCAATTTATTTACTTTCTGTTAGATTATTAGAGTCTGTAATTGTAAGTTATGTAACCACACCATGAATTAACAGGCTTGAGGGCTTTCCCTGAAAGATGGGCAAAAGGTGGGACAGAGCCTGAGTTTTCCACAACTGCTACTGCCATGAAGTTCCTGCCCCTTTACACAAGTGGTCCCTCATAAAAATTTCCCCTGGGTGAAAAAAAATGGTCACTTCAATAGAAAAGTCACAGAGGCCAAAACAGTGATAGAAGAAAAGCATGACTCATACTTGGCCCTGTTGCTTGAGGCACCAAGATATGACATTTAGTATAAGTAATTTGTTTATTCTTGCCTGCTATGATTTTAATGGGTGGGCCTTCTAGCATAAAATTCTTCTAGCATAAACTTTTCCTCTTCAATTTGAAAAGGGAGCCATAGGCTCCCAGTTTTTCTTAGATGAAGGATATGACTACCTGTCTGGCACATGGATGGAGTGTAAAAGCTATATGGCACTGCTGAGACTGTCCTCAGGCTTGCATGGGGGAACATACCAAATGATCATTTCTTTATACACAGTTGATTAGATGGGGGATGAACGCCTAATCTAGTTCCTGATTTCTGACAAATCCACCCAGATATTGTACACAGTGCGTAGTGGGCAATTTGGCTGAAATCTGGTGCAAAGTACAGGACTGAGAACTTCTTTTGGAGACATATATAATGAGCACATATAAAGGTGCAGAGGAAAGGAAGGGGATGGAGATAGAAGAAACAAAAAGTGACAGATCAGATATAAAAGACTTTCTAACCACCAAATAAAGAAAGATTTTACTTCTACTCCTGATATTTTCCAGTTCCGCTTTCATTTCCTACATAATCCATCACATAAACAGAACCAATGACAAAAAGCCACATGATTATCTCAATAGATGCAGAAAGGGCTTTCGATAAAATTCAACACCACTTCATGCTAAAAACTCTCAATAACCTAGGTATTGATGGAACGTATCTCAAAATAATAAGAGCAGTTTATGATAAACCTACAGTCAATATCACACTGAATGGGCAAAAGCTGGAACCATTCCCTTTGAAAACCAGTAGAAGACAAGGATGCCCTCTCTCACCACTCCTATTCAACACAGTATTGGAAGTTCTGGCCAGGGCAATCAGGCAAGAGAAAGAAATAAAGGGTATTCAATTAGGAAAAGAGGAAGTCAAATTGTCCCTGTTTGCAGATGACATGATTGTATATTTAGAAAACCCCATCGTCTCAGCCCAAAATCTCCTTAAGCTGATAAGCAAATTCAGCAAAGTCTCAGGATACAAAAATCAATGTGCAAAAATCACAAGCATTCTTATACACCAATAACAGACAAACCAAGAGACAAATCATGAGTGAACTCTCATTCACAACTGCTACAAAGAGAATAAAATACCTAGGAATACAAATTACAAGGGGTGTGAAGGACCTCCTCAAGGAGAACTATAAACCACTGCTCAAGGAAATGAGAGGACACAATCAAATGGAAAAACATTCCATGCTCATGGAGAGGAAGAATCAATATGGTGAAAATGGCCATAGAGCCCAAAGTTTACAGATTCAGTGCGATCCTCATCAAGCTACCATTGACTTTCTTCATAGAAAAAAAAATTGTTAAATTTCATATGGAACTAAAAAAGAGTAAGTATAGCCAAGAAAACATTAAGCATGAAGAACAAAGCTGGAGGCATCATGCTACCTGACTTCAAACTATACTACAGGGCTACAGTAACCAAAACAGCATGGTACTGGTACCAACACAGATATATAGACCAATGGAACAGAACAGAGGCCTCAGAAATAATGCCACACATCTACAACCATCTGATCTTTGACAAACCTGACAAAAACAAGAAATGGGGAAAGGATTCCTTATTTAATAAATGTTGTTGGGAAAACTGGCTAGCCATATGCAGAAAACTGAAACTGGATTCCTTCCTTACACCTTTTACAAAAATTAGCTCAAGATGGAAATCATCATTCTCAGTAAACTATCGCAAGAACAAAAAACCAAACACCGCATGTTCTCACTCATAGGTGGGAATTGAACAATGAGAACACATGGACACAGGAAGGGGAACATCACACTCTGGGGACTGTTGTGGGGTGGGGGGAGGGGGGAGGGATAGCTTTAGGAGATATACCTAATGCTAAATGACGAGTTAATGGCTGCAGCACACCAGCATGGCACATGTATACATATGTAACTAACCTGCACATTGTGCACATGTACCCTAAAACTTGAAGTATAATAATAATAAAATTAAATTAAATTAAATTAAATTAAATTAAGTTACATTAAATTTAAAAGATGGATTAAAGACCGAAATATAAAATCTAAAACCATAAAAACCCTAGAAGAAAACCTAGGCAATACCATTCAGGACATAGGCATGGACAAAGACTTCATGACTAAAACACCAAAAGCAATGGCAACAAAACCCAAAATTGACAAATGGGATCTAATTAAACTAAAGAACTTCTGCACAGCAAAAGAAACTATCACCAATGAACAGGTGACCTACAGAATAGGAGAATTTTTTTGTAATCTATCCATCTGACAAAGGGCTAATATCCAGAAACTACAAGGAACTTAAACAAATTTATAAGAAATAAGCAAACAACCCCATCAAAAAGTGGGCAAAGGATAAGAACAGACACTTCTCAAAAGAAGACATTTATGTGGCTAACAAGCATATGAAAAAAAGCTCATCATCCCTGGTCATTACAGTAATATAAATCAAAATCACAATGAGATACTATCTCATGCCAGTTAGAATGGCAATCATTAAAAAGTCAGGAAACAACAGATTCTGGAGAGGATGTGGAGAAATAGGAACACTTTTACACTGTTGGTGGGAATGTAAATTAGTTCAACCATTGTGGATGACAGTGTGACAATTCCTCAAGTATCAAGAACTGGAAATACCATTTGACCCAGCAATCCCATTACTGGGTATATACCCAAAGGATGATAAATCATTCTACTATAGACACATGCACATGTATATTTATTGTGGCACTGTTTACAATAGCAAAGACTTGAAACCAACCCAAATGGCCATCAATGATAGACTGGATAAAGAAAATGTGGCACATATACACCATGGAATACTATGCAGCCATAAAAAAGGATGAGTTCATGTCCTTTGCAGGGACATGGATGAAGCTGGAAACCATCATTCTCAGCAAACTAACACAGTAACAGAAAACCGAACACTGCATGTTCTCACTCATAAGTGGGAGTTGAACAATGAGAACACATGGACGCAGGGAGGGGAACATCACACACCAGGGCCTGTCAGGGGTTGGGGGGCTAGGGGAGGGATAGCATTAGGAGAAATACCTAATGTAGATGAGGGATTGATGGGTTCAGCAAACCACCATGGCACGTGTGTACCTATGTAACAAACCTGCACGTTCTGCACATGCAACCTAGAACTTAAAGTATAATAAAAAAAAGAAAATTGTATTTTTAAAATCTGAAAAAAAAAGAATCATCCTTTATTTGAGCTCACTGCAATGGTTTTCTACACAGAAGTCTTCTACTGAGAACCACAGAAAACATCTGTATTGAATGCTATGTCTGTATATGGGGGAACTTGGAAAAGAAAATTTCAAGCTTTTCAATCTCCAATGATTAATAAAAATAAAACTGTAATTTTATATATCTACCAAAAGATCATGTTAAAAATTCTTGCCATCGCTTTCTGACCCTTGGTTTCAGGTAACTATATGTTGCAAATAATTTGAGTATATACATCAGATGGTAATACATTATAAAGTGAATTTTCCATTTTTGTTTGTTTGTTTGTTTTGAGACAGAGTCTCCATCTATTGCCCTGTCTGAAGTGCAGTGTCACAATCTTGGCTCACTGCAACCTCCGCCTCTTGGATTCCAGAGATTCTCCTGCCTCAGCCTCCCAAGTAGCTGGGACTCCAGGCGAGCACCACCACACACAGCTAGCTTGTTTTTTGTTTTTTGTTTTTGTTTTTTTTTTTTGTATTTTTAGTAGAAACAGGGTATCACCACATTGGCCAGGCTGGTCTCAAACTCCTGACCTCATGATCTGCCCACCTCAGCCTCCCAAAGTGCTGGGATTACAGGCATGAGCCACCGCACCTGGCCAATTTTACATGTTTTTAATGTCAAATATTTCACACATACATTCTGGAATAATTAATATATTCACATATGCAAAGATAAGATATAAAAATATACACCATGAAAAGTGACCCTTCACTGTTGTCTCCTCTATCTTAAGTTTTCTTGGGTAGCCTTGTGTCTATAATTTTTTAATGCATACACAAGAAAAATTTTACTTTTTTATGCAAATTATAATATATATGGTTTTACATCAACTTTCTTCCCAGTACTGTTCCATCTTAGAGATATTTCCCCATCAGTATTTAAAGATCTTTAATATTTTTAAAACTTACAGTATTCTATTGCATGAATACGCTGTAACTTATTTATCAGTTACTACCTAGTTTTTCTTGATGGACATTTAGGTTGTTTCCATTACTTTGCTATTATAAACAGTAGTGCAGTTAATAAGCTTTTAGACACATTGTTTCATGTATGTAATTTCCAAGAGGTGGAATTGATGGTTTTATATAATAATTGTATAGGAGTGTCTATTTCCTTGTACCCTCGTCAACAATTTGTCAGTGTGATAGATAAAATGGTAGGTCAGGGAGTGTTGAGTTACACTTCTTTTATTATGTGTGAAGTTGAGCATCTCTTCAAAAGTTTAGAAGTCATTTTAATTTCCTTTTTTGTGAAATATATTATTTTATCTTAGTGAATGGATCCAACTCCATTACAGAGGATATCCCAGTTATATCAATGCCATGTAAGAAATAACTTGTCTTTTCTACACTGATTTCAAATGCTACTTTTTAAATATTCTAAATCTCTGTATGCATTTGTGTCTGTTTCTGTTTTTTTAATCTGTTCTGTTAATATATGTTTTCATGATCTAATGCTATATTATTTTAATTCATGAGGCTTAATGATATGTTAGGTTTATAACAAAATAATTTAACTTTTGTTGTTCTTATAAATATGGTCTTTCCTTACTACATCTTCTGATGGGTTACTGTTTGCATATATAAAAGCTGTTGATCTGTGTACAATAATTTTGAGCCCCAATCTTACTAAAGTTTTTCTCTAACAGTTTCACCAAGAACAGTCTCCAAAAAACAATCTTTCCTGAGTTCTGAGAAATTACTTGTAGATTCTATATTTGAAGAAAATCTTAGCTGAATATCAAATACTTGGCTCACACTTTATTTCTCTAAATATCTTGTAAGTTTGGTTTCAGTGTTTTCTGTTACAGAATGATGCTGTGAGGAGTGTAAAGCCAGTCTAATATTTTCTCTTCAGTATGACTTGATCATTTTCCCTATATGTCCAAGGAAGTTTTATTTTGTAAAATACAAAAGTTTTCCTAGGATATTTCTGTCTAAAGCATCCCAGGGCAAGTCTTTTCAAAGTACAATTTCAAACATTTCATTTCACACAAAAATATTTTTTGTATTATAGTTTCAAATACATATTCTGTTCCAGTGCAGTGCAGAATCCTCCTGAAGTACTCCAATTATGCATATGTTGAATCTGCTTTGATTGTTTCCTTTGGTTATTATTTTCTCTCCCTATTCTTTACTTTTATCTGTATCTTCTTTTTATTTTTTTTTTCATTTTCCTCCTTTCCATATCAGATGTCCTCTACAGGGCTTTGCTATCTTTATTCATTCTTATGCTCCTCCCATTGTGTCTTTATTTTAGTGATTATGTTGTTTGAACGCACATCTTCTTTTATATTTTGTCAACTCACTTTCTATTTCCTATTTTTTCTTATTTTGTTCTGAGGCTTATGCTTTATGGTTTTCAAAACACTCATGGTAATACAAGATTAAGTTTTCTTCTTTTAAATAAAATTCAAAATGTTTTGTTATTTTCTTTATGTTCCATTGCAATTTTTTTTGGAAAGTATGCTTATCTCTTGGTAAATTAATTGCCTCTTTTCCATAAATTTTCTGTAGTATTTTTCTTTTAATGCCATGAGAATATCTTATTACTCATCATGTAATGAGCTAACTTTGCTTAATTGGTTATTTGCAGGATGTTCCTGCAGAGGTGGTTATGGTGAGGGACAGAGTTCTCTCCTTTCTTGCTGCCACAGGGATAGGACACTACTTGCAAATATGGCTTATTTGTACTGGATTACTTGAGTAGTTTCACCTACTCTGTTTTTCTGAACAAAATCAAGTTCAGAAAGCTCTTGGTTGCTGTTGTTTCTTCCCCTCACCAGCATTGCTCATCTCAGTTCCCATACCCATCCATTTAAAGAAGAACAAAGTGCCCTTGTATCTGATACCATTCCTGGGTTTCCCAAGACTCTAAAATACTTATTTGCACTTTCTCACCTGTAGTTATTGCCTGATTTCATCAGCTCTGGAAGCTCCTAAATTACATCAGAATATACCACTTGTATTTGTTTTCTGATTTCCTAAAAAAATGCATTTTTTGATATGGCTGTTGACTTTAAGGAGAAATGGGAACTAGCTTACTAGAAAATATAAGTTTAAATATTTTGGTGTCCTTTCCACCAATAAAAATTTAAATACACATATATTCTTAAATTTTAACATTTATACATTTTCTTATAAGTAATCTTATATTTGGTGGCCCAAAGTGATGGGGAGATGAGTACAGAGCCAAATGTCTATCTGATTAGAAATGAAAGATAAATTCTCTTGGGTTGAAATAACATGTAGGAGATCATGAAGAAAACAATAATAAGAACAATAACAGAACCAGTATAATATACAGTTTTTATTCTAATGTAATAAATATTTATCCAGCGTGAGTGTTTTACTAAAAGCAGACAACTTTAAATCCAAAATCACATATGTTTTTGAAGGGAAATATATATACAATGTATAATAAAATAATATTGAGCATAATTTCATTCAAAAATATTTTATCTTTATAATTTCTCTGAATGAGCTAAAAAGATTATCTCTAATTACTGACTTGTTATCAAACCATATTATATCTGCATAGTATCTTTGTATAATTGTATAACTTCTGAGAAAACAGATATATAAAATTACTTCATATTTGAAGTTTTTCCTAATAAAATATTAAGATCACTAAACTGTCAAGGCTGTATGATAACCAAAATTATGTCCAAAAAGGAGCTACTAAAATAAAAAGTTACTAACTGCAGAGTCTCTTCTAGTTTTTCCCAACTCATACATCTGATATTTTGCCAATTACTGATGACTCAACTCTGCCCTTTCTCTCTCATCCATCTTCTTAAATTCATTCCTGCTGCTACTACCAAATCAGATTTTCATTAACTTTCACCTTGGCTACAGCCTTACAGAAACACAGAAAGTTATTATTGAAAGGAACCTTGTAGTCATAATAAGCCTACTGAATGTCAAGTCTGGATTTAAGTGCAAGCATTATTAGGTGATAGTTTGAGTCAATTGTCATAGTTTTGGTCTGGCAATCAGAAAACCATACTGATAGCCTCACTATAATCATGGTAAGGAATCTAGATAGTGAGACTAAATATGGATTCAATCAAGCAGTCATCATCTAGAACATCTAACCTTAGAAAGTATGACTATGGAAATCACTCTGGGGCTTAGAGTAAATGTCTAAGACATTATAAGCAAACTGACTTAAAACTAAGGTAAAAGTGGACCCAGTCAGGTAGACCGTGTTACTTACAGGCAATTTGGTGTTTGTGGATCATCTCAATAGATACTATGTCATGTGTTTGATAGGAAGCTAAATACTTGGGGAATAAACCTGGATTTCCTGTTATATGATTATGGTTAAAATTAGTATTTTGACAATGAGGTTTAGAAATAGTTACTAAAAGAAAACACTTTATTAAAAAAAAAGAGAAATCAAGTAAAAGTGGAATCAGAACTAGGAAAGACACTGATTTCTCCTATAAAGACACGCAGTTTTATTCACTATTGAAAGGTAAGAATACATTATAATAATAGCTAACACATGTTAAGCATTTGTTTTATGCCAGGCATTATTCTAAGCATTTTCGCTGTGTGAAATCATTTAATCCTCTCAGTCCTGTGAGGCAAATTATATGATTATTCATAATTAACTTTAAAAAAATAGAACAAAGAATTGTTAAGTAACTTTTTAATCATAATCACTTGGAATGGAAGACTCTTAGAAACTATGTATAAGCATACGGCTACTGTTACCTCATTTCAGTCAGAGAAGATTCCCCTTAGAAGATCCTCTATAGACCCTCAGTGTCCTATATTGAATCTAAATTCGTATTATATTTGTAGTAAGTACACCCAGATCTTAATTTTGTTTTACATATGTTATATCTACATAATTAGTAAGAAGAACAAATCTCTATATGTCCTTTGATGTTAAGCATGTTAGGCTACATTAATATTTAACATCTAAGCAAGGAGCTCTAAAAAACTCCTAAATCAAGAAGGTTTATATTTTCCTATGTTTGCCTACATATTGCAGTGTAATTGAGGAAGCAATTTTTAGTCTTTAATTAATTGGAACTGTAATTATTCAGCCTAGAGAAGTAAATACTAAAAATCAATTTAATAAAGATTTTCAGCTACATAAGGAGCTCTCAAGGTGATCATGACTATTTCCATTTAAAAACTGGATTTATCTGATAGCACAAAAGATGAGTGAAATATTCCTGACAGTGAGGGTTAGCAAATTTTAGAAAATAAAAAGGTTGTAGAAATTCTTTTTATAAATGCGTTTTTAAATCTTGTTCATATTTATCATCCTACTTATGATACTATCTGTACATGAATAAGTTACTTAAAATATGTTTCTTTTTCTATCTTGAATGATTTTGTGGTTGGAAATAACAATTAGTTTGCTTAAATCTGCTCATACTACAATTAATCATGTATTTCTCTTTGATAATAAAATAATATTTTTTCTTCACATTTTAGTGAAGTCAAAACTTGGAAAACATAAAATCTTACTGGAACTGTGTTATTGTCAGAAGAATACCACTGTGTTTAACTTAAATGATAATTAAGACTCGCATATTTGAAAGTTTAATATAAGAAAGGGAAGTAGGAAGTTCCAAAAAGTAATGATGAAAGACACTCTTATTTTTAAGCCATGACCATTCCTGGAAGAAAACAGAAACTGGGACACAGGCGAAACACTGAGGTTCCATAGTTGGCAAAGATTTGTATGCCTGGATAGATTAGAATTCAATGTATTACCTCCTGTTCTTATTAACAGCCCCCCTTGCTATAGCCTCTTAAAAGGTTTCCCAACTCTACTCTGCCATCCACCGAGGCCGACAGAGTAATTCTTTTTCCAAATGCAAATCTGATCATTTCACTTCCCAACCTAGCTATCTACCATCTCCTGCCACTGCTTCTTTTCTTTGTTCTCTCAAAACTCAGCTTGCAGGATCCCTCCTCCCTCCACTTAGGGGATGTTCCCTTAGAATGCACCCTCATAGCCCCTTACATTTCTGCTTTTCAAAGTGTTTCATTATGTGATGTGTTGTACTGAATGTCTGTCTCCCAAAGGCTAGGAGCTCCTCTAGAACAAGGACTCTATCCTCTTTACTGTCATATTTCAAGTGCAGCTCTTTCCCTGGCATAGAACAGGTTCTCCATTACTCCAGTAGAAAAAGGAGCAAAACTGCTAAGAACAATGTTTCCTCTTCTAATCTTGTAATGTATTCAATCATTCAACAAAACATTTAGTGAAGATTTAGTTTTATGCTAAGACCTAAGGCAACAATGGTCAAAAGAGATACCTAAACCTTGCTCCAATTCAGTTTCTAAGTTATTAACAATTACGCACACAATTTGAAATTTTCAAATTTTAAAAAAGACATGTTTTTCCCATAGATTTTAGTTTATGATGGTGATTATATTTTCCTAAATTCTGTTGATCTGGAGAGGAGCTTGCTCATAATTACAACACCCAACTTCACAAAAGGGCATTTTAGAGGCAAGTTAAACAAACAGATAGAAACATCTCATAAACCACAAAAGAAGGAATTAGTAGTCCCTAGGGCATAACTCTAATATAGATTATTCCAAGTTTATTTTCACATTCTTTATCATTCCTATTATGAATATTATCAGTTTACTTGTTCCTTGAAAAAAATTTAAATCTTATCTGTTTCCACAGTGAATAATTCAAGGTGTGTATACACACACACACACACACACAGGAGAGCTTAAATATTAGTACTTAAGATAGTACCATTCCCTTCATTATATTCTATTATTTGTCATATAACATGTCACCTAACTAAAAATTGTTCAATCATAAAATGATAGATTATTCAAATGTCTAGCCACAATAGCTGCAGTGAAAAGCCTTAGCTCTGAGTATTTGATGAGTGTTCAATTAAGACCTCAAACCTTGTTTCTCTTTGGGCACCGTTATTTTAAGTAGCTATAATTTATTCATCTTTATACATAAAACATGTACAATTTTAATAGTTGTATATGATACAAAATTTGAACATTTAAGGATATGTTACACCACATTAAGTTTAACCCACATTTATGTCTTGGATGATAGATGCAAGAATTCCAACTGAGGCGATTTTATGAACCAGCTAAATGATTTGTATTCAGAACAGCATTAAAAATCCCCATGACAAAGTGTACTTGAACAAAAATACCCTGCTTGTGACACATCCTTTACAAGTAATGTGTTTTCATTTTTCACATGTTGCATCTCATTTATTTTATTCAGGCACACATACCTAAATCGGCAAGATACTGCAAGCTTCCAATACCTTTGAAATAATAAATCACTTCTTGCAGATGTTTTCACCCGCTGCAAGGCTGCCGTTCATTAATCAAACATTATCATTTTCTATCAGTGCCCAGTGTTAAACAGAAAAGGCACTTCATTTTGAGTTCTGACTTTCATCTTTCATTCACTGGTTACACCCTGACCCCACAAAACTTACTGCTTCCATTCTGGAAATGTGAAACCTCCTACAGCGTAATAGATTTTGCAGCAAAAAATCCTAAATGGTATTATATTTTCTGAATTCAATATGCTTTATCAGGAGCTAAATCAAACCAGATTTTAAAAATGCCAAATAAATGCAGTCATAATAGGCATTTAAAATTAGGTACACAATAATAATAAATTTATAACATAAGCTCTTTTTCTATGAATATATTTAATATCTAACACATCAAATTGCTAGAACAAAGATTCAGAGATATATTTTTTAATTTAGCTTAAGCTATTAAAATCATTTCAGAAGCCAAAGAAAGGCAATTTATCTACCTACTATAATTTTTAAGCCCACAAAAAGAAAATGGAACAAAGTGAGAGACAACTGTAAAATCTTTCTCATTTTTTTTTATTCTCTAAGTAAATAAATAATAGAGAATGATCAATTTATAATACAAGAAATCAAGATGATCTTACGGATCATGAGTCACTATATTCATTCTATAAATAGTCATATAACCTAAAAAAAGGACAACTGATTTAATCTAGATTGCTTTACTGCCTTAAAAACAGCTCAAGAGTACAGATGCTGCAAAAGAGAATTTTAGAAATCACTTTCATTTTCTCTTAAAAAATTCTCATGTTATTCATCCTCTTTGACTAACATCTCCTAACCTATAAGAACATAAAGCTAACATTCACTTAAAATCTGACCTGATAATGAATTCATAAACTAGAAATGGCCACGCAATTGAATAAAAAGGAAATAGTTTATAAATATTCTGTTTCATCATTATGAATTGGTATCATTACTGATTATTCACAATCTGTCTCCCATTAAGGTATAGTGCTAATAACTTTACACATGGATATGGCCCCCTTCCCAGTAAATTTATAATAAACATTATGTGAATTTGTGCAGGAGAATTTTCCAGAAAAAGATCTGAAGAATTCAGAGTAAATAAGAAAAGCTAAAAGCAAAGCATATTATCAAGATTTCATTCAGGTCTCAACAAAACCCACATAATTTTAATTTGAGGGCGGAAGGGTGAGGGACATTTCTATTGCAGTATTTTATATGGTGAAGATCCTGAGCATGGTAGGCCTAAGGCAGTTTCCTATGATATCAATCAAGAAACTCAGATGCTTTTTCACTGTCTCTAGGATAAATCTAAACTCTGTAAACTTCTTAACCTCGGGTATATGACCCATAATTGTTTATTTGTCTCCTACCCTCATGTCCTATCTACTGTTATTTACTCTCTGCCTCCCTCAGCATGCTTCCTAGGCATATGCCATCCCATAAGTATCACAGTTTTCCAAATCGCCCTCTTCTTTCAAGTCTCCGTGTTATGGTGGACACCACTTTATCTGCCAGTGATGATCCTGCTTCAATTTTTCTATCTAACATACTCCCACCCCTCCAGATTAAAGACTCAACCCCCTAGATGGTCATTTATCTATCTTCTCTGTCCTCCCTTTGTACGTCACTACAATAATATTTTTCCCCTTAAACACCTATGAGCATCTCTGGGAAGAGAGTATGCCTAAATTCTTTACCGAAGGACAAGTATAGTGCATGGACAAATAATACCTTTCAAAAATCTGACAAATCATTAAATGAAAGAATGGAATCAGGTAAAAGTGGCCTTTCATAGTCAGAATTTCAGTTTGTTTCTTTCTCCTTTTTTTTTTTTTTTTTATTTTGAGACAGTCTTTCTCTGTTGCCAGGCTGGAGTGCAGTGGTGCCATCTCAGCTCACTGCAACCTCCGACTCCCGGGTTCAAGCGATTCTCCTGCCTCAGCCTCCCGAGTAGCTGGGATTACAGGCACGTGCCAACACGTCCAGCTCATTTTTGTATTTTTAGTAGAGACAGGGTTTCACCATGTTGGCCAGGATGGTCTCTGTCTCCTGACCTCGTGATCTGCCCGCCTCGGCCTCCCAAAGTGCTGGGATTACAGGTGTGAGACACCACGCCCAGCCAAAATGTCAATTTCTTAGTTGTCTTATATTCTGTTGTCTTTGTATTCTCATGATAATTTTTCTTGTCTTTTTATATTTTCATGAGACCAGTGTCCCCCTTTTCCTTCTCTTCTATTCTCCCTACCTTCTCCTCTCACCTTTTTATAGGGAAGGGTCTGCAATATTTTTGTACTAAGTGTTAAATGAGTAATAACGATAAAATTCTATCCTTCCAGACACACATACATAAACACACACACACATTTAACAAAGGATAAACATAAGGTATGGTCCTTATACGAAATAATAAGGCTTTAATTATGAAACTGTGAGTATAGACTGAAGAGTGATGGAGAAAAATCAGAATCAGATCTCTGTTGAAGTCTGAACTTTGTATCTAGCAGTGATCAATATTGTGCGTGTGCTCTCCATACATGTGCACAATAACTTATCAAGGTGTCTCTACAGTTTATAACCCCCACCTTATCTTAGCCAACCCAACAATCTCAAAAATTAACGAGTTAAGTAAAGATGCCATTCACAGAATTGCACAGGGCCAAATAGATTACAGAATATGTAGCTATAAATATACACTGTCCTGCTTCCATAACGCATTTGAAATAATCTAATATGATGGATAGATAATTACAATGATTGAGCACTGAAATTAACCCTGAGATTTTTTGCATTGAAGTAAAATGAAATTATTAGAAATCAATATCTGATGAAAGAAAGCTTACTGACTCATTAGGAGCCAAACTATTTTCCTATCACTAAATTCTTTAAGGAATTCTATGACATCAGCCAATATATAAAGATTTACTGACCAATATAATATAATTTTTATAGTGATTTCACAAAAGATACAAGATTTCATTATGGGACCCTTTAATATTCATAAAAGTTCAGGGAGTTATAATAAAGTAATATATATTTCCATATATTTTCACGATTATGTGAGGTATTCTATTGTATATAATCTTTCTGTATAGAATCTCCAATACATATTATTTGACATAAGCAGCAAAAGCATACCAATAGAAAGAATAATTTGATCACTACATTGTTCTATTTGTCAGAAATGTCCTTTATAAAAATAAAGACATACTATTAAATGGTAAATAATAATTAAAAATAACGTGAAAATAGTCAATAAAAATGACTATGGTATTAGTCTGCTTTCATGCTGCCGATAAACATATACCTGAGACTGGGTAATTTATAAAGAAAAATGGAATCGCAGTTCCATGTGGACTGAGCTCGCAGTTCCATGTGGCTGGGGAGGCCTCACAATCAGCAGCAGATGAAAAGTATGTCTTACATGGTGGTGGCAAGAGAGAATGAGAACAAAGAGAAAAGGGTTTCCCTTATAAAACCATCAGATCTTGTGAGACTTATTCATAACCACAAGAACAGTATGGGGAAACCGCCTCCATGATTCAATTATCTCCCACCCCGTCCCTCTCACAACATGTAGGAATTATGGGAACTACAATTCAAGATGAGGTTTGGGTGAGGACACAGCCAAACCATATCAGCTACCACAACAGAAATAGTTTTCTAACTGTTGTGACCTACTTGAATATACACAAGCATACTTGACCCTTGCATTTCCTAAGAAAAAAACTTTGGCAATTAATTTAGTGAAGAGGAATTCTGAAAATGAACAAAATCCTCTGGGATCCCACAATGAAGTGTCATGGATCTGATTTTTAAAATTACTGCACAGCTCACACAAAAGTATGTACATCTTTTTCCTTAGAGGCTAAGACATGGTCTCTTGAAGCTTAGCTCTCCTACTCTGTTAAGCCTCAAATAGAGCGAGACACATTTGTGACTGCTGTTTCAGCTCTCAGAAGATGCTTTTTGCAAGTTCCTTCCACTGCTGCCTGCTGAAATACATCCAGCTTCCCAGATCCAAAGTAATAGAAGTAATTTCCTATGGAGTTAAATTTGTTTTGTTTTGCTTTGCTTTTGCTTAAACAAGTTGATTTCTAAAATTCAGCTTGGACAAGGAAATTAAAATTTTGGTGACAACAATAAAAGTTAAAATACTTAAAAACAGTCTTTTTATAGCAGAAGCAATCAAATTAGAATAACAAGCATAGGAATACACAAAGCACTGCTGCAGAAGACTCTGCCTCCACCCCGCCCCAACCAAGGGAAACAAAAACTTTAAAAACTGTACACATTTGATATAAATTTGAATGAACTCATGTTAGCTTGTGTTGTGAGCCAGTTAACAGAAATATTGACGTTAAAGGTTCTTTTTGAGTCATTTAGCTTTCACTGTTTTGGGAGAAATCAGGATGAAAAGGGTTAGCATGCCTAGGAAACTAAAAAGAAGGACACACTTTACTTTTTACTTTTTAATAATATAACTGCTAAAGAACATCATTATTTATTACGTAGAAATAAAGGCTTAGAAGACAAGAGTGACTTTTCAAAATACCTACATTTCCTGAGCTCTAATTTTGTCATATTTCCATTTTTATTTGTAAATCTAAATGTACCATTTTCCAGTAACTAGCAATCTTATAATTCACAACAACACATCTTATGCAACAAATAACCAAGCCAAACTGTCATATTCTACCTACGGAGCAGTTGTTCTGGCAGCCCAGCAAGAAGAAGGAGAATAATGTTCTCCACTTGTAGCATGCAGAAATTCACTAATCCCCTTCTTTTCACGGAAGATCTTTCTGTCTTGTGTCCTCTGGTCTAGACATTGGGTTTATCCTCTTTACTGAACAACAGAATTCTCAAGCTACTCAAGATGAATGAGGGAATCAAGGGGTCTAGCTACTTTTTTTAATACACTCTTCATAAATTCCCTATTTTTTGGCCTTGTCTTCACTCTTATTTCCACAGCTACCTGGTACTACCAATCTTGAAACCTTAAGTAGGTTCAGTAGTACACATTATGATACTTCTCCAGTCTGGTTAAGGATTTAGCTTTCTTGGGTCTGCTAAGTCCAACCTCATGTAGCCATCTGCTTTTCAACTTCCAAAATGTTGTCATTTCTGCTCCTTTCTATTCTTTTTTTCCTTCTGGGCTTATGATTTTTGACAAATCCTGTTGCTTTCATTTTTGTGACAATCCAGGACAGGATATAGAGATACACTTGCATTTGGTCTGCCATTTTTAAATGAAATCCTCATTAAACTAATTTTATAAAGAAGAATTTCCATCGATAAATTGTATCATACTTTGTCTCAATGCTTAGGAATTTTTTATTTTTTTTTTTTTCAAAAGACTGACTGGATCTATGAGATCTATTTCCAGGTGTGACTTTGCTTACTATAAATGGTCAATATTCCAAGAATGAACTTGGGCTTGATTCAAAACTCAACTGCAATTTCTTAACTCTGCTGCATGATTGTATTTTTTTTTTTTTTTTTTTTGGATGCAGTTTCACTTTGTAGCCCAGGCTGGAGTGCAGCAGCATGATCTCAGCTCACCACAACCTCTATCTACCAGGTTCAAGCGATTCTCCTGCCTTAGCCTCCACAGTAGCTGGGATTACAGGTGCAAGCCACTGCACCCAGCTAATATTTTGTATTTTTAGTAGAGATGGGGTTTCACCACGTTGGCCAGGCTCGCCTTGAACTCTCAACCTCAGGTAATCCACCCACCTCGGCCTCCTAAAGTGCTAGGATTACAGGCATGAGCCACTGTGCCCAGCCTGTATTCTTTAGGACCTTCACTGTTCAATTAGCCTGCCAGTAAGCAAGGATTAGGGAAAACAAAATGAGTTATGACTTTCTGTAGATATTTATTCACTAAAAATTATAAAGAATATTAAAATTTGTATTTTTAAATTAAATTTCCAAATTCTAAAACATGCAGTCTTGCCCATCAGCTGCCTCACTCTTATGACTTATAAAGTTGTCAATATTTTTTATGGGCAAATGTAATATAAAGCAAATTATTTTTTGACATTGTTGAATGATCTCCTCTCAATCAGTGAAAACACATTCTCTTGCCATTACTGACTAAGCAACTGGTTTTATTTTTAATACATTGTGTGTAAATGAACAACCATCCATCTTCTTGTAGTCATAAATATATCTGATAAAAGATGATTCCCTAACAAAGGAACCACGGGCGTCTAGAAATAACAGTTTATGCTGCAATTTTTATCTTAATAACGGTATCAGAAAACTGATAATTCAACATCAATAACGTGTTCCAATTAGAAATATATTTATTATATAACTAGCAGAAAATGTTGAAGACTGGTAGTTTCTGAAATTCTTCTCAGAGACCATGCACTAGAAACAATGGAACCACAGATTTGCTAATTAGAATTATTCCTGAATAATCATTAAAGCAAACAGCAGCTTTTGCGTTTGAATTTCACATGAAAATTCAAACACTTTTGAGACCAATAGATAGTTGAAATAGACCTATAGGAACACAACTACTGAAATTAAAAGGTATTCAGTTGCTTGTTTCTGTTCATGAGTACTAGTTTTATTCTACAGATAGTACCTACAGTTTGCAGCAAATAAGCCAAAACAACAAGAAAATATCTTGTTTGGTTATACTAGAATTCAATGGCTGTTAATGCTCTATTACACACTTAAATTAGTTTTATGTTTTAGTTTTATAAATTAGTCTTCTCTGCATATCTAAATATATATTTCCTAATGAGGTTTAATATTCAAGGAGATAAATATGAGAAAATGCTTTGAAACCAATTATAGGAATAATCTTACATAATCTGCAAATGCTGATCAAAATACATCATTTCTACAATGTCAATACTGGGAAAATATAGCTTTATTAGGTTGAAAATAATTATTTTGACTTTTATGATAATGGTTAGATTTGATTATATGTACATAGGGATAAATACAACATTGAAAACACTAAGCCACATAAATTTAAAACATCGTGTAATTCGAACAGCTTCTTACTAGTGGTTTATTTTTTAATGTTCTCATTAAAGTTCCTGATATTAAATTATAAGGAAAAAAGACCTAAGAATTTAGACTTAAATAATAATTAATTACTTCAGCATTTGCCCAAGTTCAATCTCTAATCATCACTCTCCTGCACTGTATAACCTCTGTCCAGCCCATCTCCACATGTCCAGTCTCATCACTTTTAAATTCATCATCTACCCAGAAAGCCTACACTGCATAAAACCTTTTCATCACTTTTCGTATTCAGTAGAATAAATGCCCAACTTTTCTAACCTACTAACAAGCCCTCTATGACTGTATGACTTGCTTCTTGCCTTACACTTCAGCCTAAAGACTAAAAAATTGGACTGTCACAGATCCAGAAACACTAGAGGTTTATAATGCTAGTTCACTGAACACCTGGCTCTCTGGAACCATCTTTCAGAAAAAAACCTTCTCCCTCTAACTTCTCTTTTCCTGTTAACTCCTAATCATCTTTGCAACTCAGTAAAGACACCACTTCTTCTAGGAAGTTTTCTATGGCTCCCTCCCTGACCCAATACACATCCTCACACTTAAAAGTCATCCCAGGAATGTTGGACCTACCCATTGTGCGCCCACAACTCTCTGGGAATCTCTCTATCACTACTTATGTTATTACCATATTTTGTTGTAATTATGTTACTTTACACCCAATGAATCTCTGATCTTTGTGAAGTCAAGAAAAATGTTTTCCCCTTCATTGAATGCGTAATAACAGGTACCTAGACAGACCATAGTAAATGCTGGTAGAATGAATATATAAATTTGATATAATTACATATGTCCAACCAGGCTGCTTATAAATTGGCAGTCTGGAAATTCAAGGGAAAGCTTTCAATGATAATTTTTAGATTATAAATACAGTCTGTACATTTGTATAAGAGTGGTATCAGCTCAACATATTCAGTGATGGATATTATTTGATTATCTGTATTGCTCTGAACAGTTACAGTTTAAAAATATCAATCCATAATGGGGAGTATTTTCCATGCCATGTATATTGAACTATTGTTCTTTAATACATGGCTAATTAAGTCTTTAACAGAAATCAGTACTCACTTCTTCCTTCAACTAAAGTTGAAAGCTTAGCTTAAAATGAATTACTTCATTCCTCAAAACAGCAAGTTAAATTTTTCAACTTGCTATTTTATTCATGTAATGCTGTGAAGTTTACCTGAAATTTTTAAAAGTGCACATAGTATAAGAACTCAAAAGTTTTTGAATGAATGCTAAATTACATTGCCCTTCATCGAGTCATACATACATTTTCTTGCTTTCTTTTGTTTCTTCACATTCACCTTCATTTCTTCAATTTCCACCTTACTGTATATGAGTATTGTATATTCATATGGTCATCTGATTTTGAAATAAACCCAGTGCACATAGCATAATATGCTTACAGGTGAATTCATCTTCAACTTTCAACTCAGAAAATGCCCTATATTCTTTCCAATAGTAATACTCTGTAATGGCATGGTGGTTGGTTCTATCACTATATTTAAGCAAAATAAAAGTAGCTGCTAAGGACTAACAATTTGCTAAAATGCTACTGTTCTTGTATTTAACAACTAATATGCTTGTCACAATAATTTACTAATGGGGTTATTTAATGACCTGATAGGATTAACTTCTTTTCAAAGCAATTAATTACAACCTGAGTATTATTTATAGCTGGATAAAACTGGCTCAAACCAGCTTTGTGTGTTTGTTGATTTTATTTATATATGCTTGAAGGGGTGATAATTTTGTAGGTTTCCTAGAATATCCATTTGATAAATAATCACTAATTTCATTGTAAAAAGTACAAAATATATTACTTTTATCTTAATTATAAACAATAAAACTAATGTTCAATAAAGGTATCATCCCTAGTTGTTCCCTCTGTTAAAATAAAATGCTTTATTTATTCTTTGCTTCCTTCCACCCCATAAATGTAAACTAGTATTAAGACCCATCATAAATGTAAAATTAATTAACAATGTAATGTCCCTTGTATATACTTCTCTACTATGTCATACAGTTTCTTCACACTACTTATCACTTTCTGTTCTGTGTGTTCCTGGAGAGGACTCAAGGTTCTTTCTCTCTCTCTCTTCACCCCTCCCCACCAACCTTTAGATTCTAGTAAAGCCTTCCTACTCAAAGGAGTAAATAAAACCTTACTACTTCACTAAGAAGAGGCTAAAGCAAAGTGAACTCACTTGGCTGACATGTTCCACCTTAGAACTTTTTCTGTCTTCACTATTTTTGTGTCAATGGGAAAAAAAATATCCTTTCAACTTTCAAAAGCGAACATTTCTGCCTATGTTCTTCTTTTCTGGTCTCTTCCTGTTTTGCTCACTCCCCGCTTAAATTTAATTATCATCTCAAACATCTGTTTTCTACTCACTTCTTTATCTTGCCATAAAATGTGTTTATATTTCTATATTAGGAAAACAAAACCCAACTGACAAACTCTCACCTCTTCTTCTCCCTTAAGCCACTGTATCATGATTTACCTCTCCATAATTATTGTATGAGGTACCATGGAAGTTTGAGAAAACCACAGGTTTGGGTTTCTGGTTCTGTCCTATTACATATTAGAGGAGAAATAATTTAGCATAATGCCAGTTATGTTTAAAAATATATGCTCATTTGATTTAACATATAGCATATATGTAGGTATACATATTAGAGTTGTAATGAACTCATTATTACAAATTCATTTGAAGAGGGTAAACATAAATCCCAAGATCAAAGACTTGCCTACAGTGTTCTCTCCACCTCCTTCCCCCTCATTTTCTTGTGTGTATACCAATTAGCCTACAATGGTAGAGACCATATGTTCAATTATTCGGCATTATGGAAACATATAGAATCGAGGAGGACTGATGTTATGTTTCCATAATGCATAATGCATATTTTCCTCCCCTACTTTAGGAGAATACAATATTTAACTGTGACTATGGGAAAAAGTTAATTTTAGAGACCCATCTAGTTGATACTTGCCAAAATAAGATAATTTTTAAATGTGTTAAGACATATACTACGCTTTGATAAAATAAAAAAAATATATAGAAATCCAGGAACAAAGCTCTATGGAAGAAGCAAACTTAAAGTCAATCAAATTACAATAAATATTGAAATTTCTCTTGCAGAATAACTTTATTGGTTAGTAAGAAAAAGGGAATGAATTTACATATCACTTTTATGATGAACATGCATCTATGAAATAAATCTTCATCAGCTTTTGTAAAACAAGCTATATGTTAATTAATGTTAAGGAAATTTGCTTTTTAAAACTCCCCAATCTAATATTTTTAAGTAAAAGATTTTCTTCTCCCATTCATCTCTTTTTAAATATGTATATACATACATACACACGTGTATATACACATATACACACATAATATCAAGTTTTATTTTAAAAAGTATATATTTTCACACATAGGAAATATTTAGTATTTCCAAGTCAACTTTTTTTTTTTTTTTTTTTTTTTTTACGGAGTCTCGCTCCGTCGCCCAGGCTGGAGTGCAGTGGCATGATCCCGGCTCCAGCTCACTGCAACCTCCGCCTCCCAGGTTCACGCCATTCTCCTGTCTCAATCTCCCTAGTAGCTGGGACTACAGGCACCAGCCACCACATCCGGCTAATTTTTTGTATTTTTAGTAGAGATGGGGTTTCACCATGTTAGCCAGGATGGTCTCTCGATCTCCTGACCTCATGATCCACCCGCCTCGGCCTCCCAAAATGCTGGGATTACAGGTGTCAGCCACCGCACCTGGCCCCAAGTCAACTCTTTAGCAGGCTCAATAGTATTCATGAATACCAGCTGTGTACATCAAACAGCTGATATTAAAACACAGTGCTCACTTTGGGAGGCTGAGGCGGGCAAATGACGAGGTCCAGAGATCGAGACCATCCTGGCCAACATGGAGAAACTCCATCTCTACTAAAAATACAAAAAAATTAGCCAGGCGTGGTGGCACGTGCCTGTAATCCCAGCTATTCGGGAAGCTGAGGCAGGAGAATGGCTGGAATCCAGGAGGCAGAGTTTGCAGTGAGCTGAGATCGCACCACTGCACTCCAGCCTGGGCGACAGATCGAGACTCTGTCTCAAAACAAAAACAAAAACAAAAAAGAGTGCTAACAAAAGTTAGTCATCATGTGGACTAACCTTTTTTTGCCCTATTATCATGAAAATCCCTCTAGCCACACAGATTCATCTAATATATGATCTGGTGAAAATAAGGATGGGGCAATGGCAACACCAAAACACACTATGAATAAATCATGTTGAAATAATATTCTTAGATACGGAATTAGAGCCTATTCATTTCAGTGTGTGTGAATATCACACTCTGTGGAATTGGTAGTCACACAGTTTCACTGGGCTATAATTTTTTCTCGTTCTGCATAGGGTGGTTATGAAAACTAAATATGTAATCTCGTCAATGCCATGGCATCTTACTGTGTGCCAATTTCAGTGAAAAGGTAGTTTATATTATTTCTATTACTCCCAACAATCATGAACTATAACATACTGATTGCATTTAACTAGCTTCAAGATTCATACTAGCAAATAGCGAGGAGATACTGCCACTAGCATCATTTGCCACAGCCAAGGATACCAAATCTACCTCTCCTGCCCACACTTCTCATATTATTTCCCCAGAACTAATCAGGTACACCTAAGAGCTTCCTGGATATTTCCACCAGGTTGTCACAAGGAATCTCAAACGTAAGAAGTCAGGAAAGATCTCATAATCTCCCCTTATTTTATTTTATTGGGTAATTGTCACCACCATCCATTTATTTGGTCAAAAGAAGTGTTGAAAACATCCCGACTTGTACCTATTTCTTAGATCTTTACCCTGCCTTCTCCTTCTGACTCCTGTCCTTCACTAACAGTATCTAATCAGTAACCAAGACTCATTCATTGTATTTCCTTATGTTTGTTTCCTGCTCTCAGCTCTTGCAGCCCTACCTTTGGTCCTCAATTTTCTCTTGCTTGAATTATTCCAATAGCCACAATGTAAAAATCACCCAGTGCTGGTCTTGCTCTTCTCCAAACCATTTTCACAGTGCGACCAAACCTATCTCACTAATCTCTTACCTCTCACATCAAAATCCTTCATTTTCCACAGCACAAAGTAAACACTCAATAACTACAGATAACTAAACACATTTGCATTGCCATGTGAAGTCTCCTGAATCTGGTCCTGGTTTGTGTTTGTCCCTATTTGTCAGCACACGTCTCTGGAAGTGAAAACTCTAGCAAGAATATAGAGCTGTTACATATGACATTCCCTGTATCTGGGTGCACTCCTAATCCCTGCCCCAGCATGTCTCCTGAATTATCCTTTTCCTACAGAGGCTTATAGTCTAGGATGAATGAATAGAAATATATACATGTAAGTGAGCAAAATTTTTTGGATGCTCTTATATTGTGTTATATATTGTGGGAAAAAAGGAATAGTCAAAGTCACAGATTAGAAAATATTTACATGTCTGTCTCCCCCAAAACTGTAAGCCTCTTGATAACAAGGTCACATTAATCACAGATCAGGAACTTGGTATTTACTGAATGAGTAAATGAAGTTATATAAGCATTAATGTGGGTGAAATCCTTAGCATTATTAAAATTATGAGAATGAAGATAATTTATTTTATTACTACTTTAAGCACATGACTGTTGATATTTTATCAATGATAAAGTTGGATTCTAAGGAAACTTATAAATATTAGATTTTTCAAATAGGATTTTAAGGTCATGAGGGCATATATATGTGTGTGTATGTGCATATATATGTGTGTATGTGTGTGTATATATATATAGCTATAGGTATAAAACTATTCAAAACATATATATGTGTGTGTGTACATATATATGTATAGCTATGAGTTTAGTACTTTAAACTATAGCTTAAAGTACTATTTCAAATAGTATTTTAAGGTTGTGAGGGCATAATTAAGTAAAACACACACAAATATACATGCATATATTGTATATCTACATAATATATATATAACTATACATTAGTTTTATACCTTGGGTATAAAAACTATAAGTCAAAAGTTTTCTTAGTCACTGCCTTATTTTGCTTCCTCTTATTAGAGGTCTTAGTAGTCCAAAACCTTTAACCTCTTTAGGGAATTTTGCTTCTCATATAACTCGTTGATTTTAGGCTGCTTTCTGATCCTACAGAAACAAGGGTCTTCGAGTGAAAATAACTTTAAGATAATGCTGCCTTTATGAATTTTAGTTTTTCCTTACTCTGCCACCTCAAGCTTCCAGTTTTCAGAAAAAATGACTATAAGTTGTAAAAGGCTGGAAGCTAGAACACATGCACGCACACACACATACACAGGGGAAAAGAGAGCATACTTAAATATAGTGGAAAGCAGTTGCAGAAAAACATAAGATTGCTTTACCACTAAAAGTCTAACACATTTCGGTCTCTACCACTGTAACAGAAAACCTCACAGATGGATCAATCACTAGAGATTAATACTCTGTCTTTTCTAAGCCCCATATGATCTCGTATTATCACCCAGAATGTTTCTGTCAGAAATTCTAGTAATATAGCTACCAAAACCACATTAGAATGGGAAAAAAGGCACAAACATAACATTGATTCAACTTGCCCTAGAGTACTCCATTAACCAAATATTTCTACAGTCAACAGGAGAGGAAAACAAACATGCACACAAAATCCCAATAATGTATTTACTTGACTGTGCCAGAGTGGTTTGCTTTAGAAAATAATTTGAGTCCATATACTTAAAATGTTTATATTTTAGTAATTACAAATAGACATTAATATAATAAGTGATCATGCCTCCCATAAAATAACAATAGTATTTTTCATTATCAATCTTTTTTCACATTGTTGTTTTTATTTTTGCTTTTTCTTTTTGTGTTTTTCTAAGTATCACAAAGGCCAATCTGAATCCAGTTTAAGGCAAAAGGAATAAAAAATTGAATTAGTCAGTCTTGAATTTAATAAATTTTTACAATAGATCAAACAGATTTTGAACTAACATGTTTTGATCCACCACAAAAGAATGCATTTCTACCTAATCACATTATCTTCTAAATGAAGAAAAATCACAAATTCTATTCAATATCCAGGTATTTTTCTTATTCAGTATTCAGATGAGTCTATCTTTAATTAATTTATCAGTAATACTTTTCCTATGGTTTTTAACAAATTTTGCTACATAACAAATGTGTACTTATTTGTTATTCATAGCAAGATGATGAATATGCTTGCATAAAAAGTTAAGGACATCTTCTAAAATAATTCCACTGTACTGCCCTGAGCACCTTGAATAAAAGGAACTATGCTCTGGATGGCTTTTTGTTATTTCCTGGCTGAAGTCAATAGGTGCTAATTGTTAGAATTCATCATGAAGAATCCAGAGGCAGAACAATAAAGTGAAAAGGAAAAGTTAAAGAGGTTTTATAGAAGTCCTAGCCTAGAGGCTAAGATAAATTTTTTTGTATATGTATATTTTCTTTTTTCTTAAGTTATCAAAAATTGATGTGAAAAATAAAACCATTCATTAATAGTGTTTAAGATATACTTTCAGAACCATCAGTCACTTCACAGAAACTAATTTCAGTTCTCATTTATTCCTTCTGTGATTTATTTTATTTTATTTTATTTTCAGAACCAGAATCTCACTCTGTCACCTAGGCTGGAGTTCAGTGGCACAATCACGGCTCATTGCAGCCTTGACCTCCTGGGCTCAAGTGATTCTCCCACTTCAGCCTATTGAATAGGTACATCCCACTCTGCATGGCGAATTTTTTCTTTTTGTAGAGATAAGGTCTTGCTATGTTGCCCAGGCTGGTCTGGAACTCTTGGCCTCAGGCGATCCTCCTGCCTCACCCTCCCAAAATGCTGGGATTACAGGCATGAACTACCCTACCTGGCCCCTTCTGTGTTTTAATTCTTGGTTGTGTGTGTGTGTTTTTTTTCTTTGATTACAAAATCAAGTATAAAGTTATTTATTGAAGATGTACTTTAAAAGGACAAAACACTACACTTTAGAAATAAAAACAGCAGCTTGTGTTAGTAATATTTAAAAAAAATAACACAAGCATGGTATCAGGAAAACATATTTTTGGATACACCTTTCAAATAAGCTATTTGCTAAAACAGTAATTAAGGAGTGAGAAGCAAGGTTGGTTTCTCACCATGGGGGGTTTCACAAAAATTCAGCTATTTTAAAGTTCTAGTACAAAATAATCAGGGATAGCTATCTCTTCTGCTACCTATGTTGTTGTTCTTAAATTCCACAAACAGATGCATGCATGCAAAACAAGTCAGGTTCTATTAGACAAAAGTTCACTTGATTTATATTTCAACTAGATTTCCACTTAAAATGTTTTTTCTTAAAACAAGAAGAAAATATAAGCAACTAATGTTCTTAAGTAATTTTTTGGTGCATCATCTGCTGAGCAAATCCGCCCTGCTACTCATTTTTTTAAATAAAGTTTTATTGGCACATAGCCATATTCATTTGTTTACATATACTCTAAGACTGCTTTCATACTACAAATGTAAAGAGCTGAATATCTACAAAAGAGACCATACAGCCCACAACATACAAAATATTTGATATCTGTTCATTTATAGACAAATTTTGTAGACAACTCACTTTATTAGTTAGAAATTTAAATATAAGATATTTTGCTATCTCTTAATAGTCCTCTCTATAATTTGCCAATTCAAAACTGGTCTTCATGCTGAATTTGGCCCTCTATCTTCATCCCTTTGGCATATAATCTAATTGAGGCCCTCAAAATATCAAAAAATGTGAATGCCATTTAATTTTTATAGGAGAGGTTCTTATTTTCTAATTCATCTTGTTGATTAATCATATGTTTATATACTTAAAAATTTTTTTTATCTATATATTATCACTGCAAGTTTCTGTTGGTAACAAGCAGGCTGCAAATGAAAAGCAAATGAAAAATCATTATATACTACTTACATCCATTAGGATAGCTACTATCAAAAAACACACAAAAACAAACTAGCAAATGTTGGCGATGATGTGAAGAAACTGGAACTTTTTTTCACTGTTGATGAAATATAAAATGGTGTAGCTACTTTGGAAACAGTATGTTGGCTCCTCAAAAAGTTAAACAGAGTTGCCAAATTATCTAGCAATTCCACATATGGATGTGTGGCCAAAAGAGATGAAATCAAGGACTCAAAGAAATATCTGTATAACCTATGTTTGTGGGAGCATTATTCCCAATATCCAAAAGTCAGAAACCATCCAATGTCCATTGATTGATTAATGTTAAACAAAATGTGATATATACATAAAAAATTATTCAGTCTTAAAAAAGAATAAAATTGTGACACATGCTACAACATGAATGAAGGTTGAGACATTATGCTAAGTGAAATAAGCCATTCACACACAAAATATATAATGTATGATTCCACCCATACTAGGTACATAGAATAGTCAAATTCATAGATTTGTTGCTTAATAGGTATAGTTTCAGTTTTGCAAGATGAAAAGAGTTCTGTGGATGAATAGTGCTGATGGTTGCACAACGATGTGAATGTACTTAATCCCACTATTCACTTAAAGATGATGAAGGTGGTATATTTTATGCTATGTGTACTTACCACAATTTTTAAAAAAGAATTAATTTAAAATATTTTTTAAGAAAGCATAAATAAATTTTAAAAAATGATTAAATTCTGCCAACTTAATGTATTAGCCAAGAGTAGGGCTTTGGTTTCAGAGGGACCTCAGTTAAATCCAGGTTCTAGTACTTGAGAAGGTTACTTAATATCTGTTAGACACCATTTACATAAATGTAAAATAGAGATATGAATAATACCAATCCAAAATTACTTTGTGAGAATTAAACATGACTTTGCACAGAACTCAATAAATGTAGCTATTCTATTTATTATATTTATATGCACAAAGTTCTTATTTTTAAAATGCATTAATTACTTTTCTAAATATATAATAACCTCTTTAATTTTTCTGTAACATATAATTGCTAGCACACTGCTAGGTATATTGCAGAAGCTTAAAAATATGATCAACCAACTTTAAAATGTGATCAACCAACAGTGGCATTAAAAGAGTAAGAGAAGTGGAAAAATACCTGACTGTGATACAATCTCCAAAGACAAAAGAAGGGCTATTTTTTCCTGTAAAATGGAAACTTAACCAGGGAGAAATTAAATAGCAATCAGTTTTAAACTACAGTATTCTAGGAATGATAAATTTATTAGTAAAATATAAATGATAAGGCTCAATAGACAAAACTACCAAGTATTTTTTTTAAAAAAAGGAAAGAATAGAAACACAAAATAAGACTTTAAAGATCCAAAGCAGCAATTTTCCAATTAAATATTACTTTATTCTCATAATGGATGTATTAATATAATCTTTGACTGATTAACCCAAATACCAATATCTTAATCTCCAAATTTAACTTATGAATTAAGAGTTGGATGCACAACGTATCTCAGTAACAAAAGCAAAATGAACATCTGTTAACTTTCTGCCATGTAAGTTTGTGTATGGTGGGGGTGGGTGTGAACAGAGCCTCTGATGTGTAATGTTCTTTCCATCTGCACACCAGGTGGCACTGCATGGTTAATCAGAAGATGACAACACACATCAAGATTCCTTACATATTTTGAGATAGGAAAGTAAATAAGTCAAAACGTTGTTTTAAAAATAAAACTTTCTTAGATGTCCACAGTATTAATGCTTAATAATGCATTTTAAGAGTTTATGTTTCTGACTTCATATTGTAATCATTCTTGCAGTATTGTTTTTCCCATAAATTCCTGACATAACTTATAACAGTACTAAGTAATATGAGTTTAAGAAATAGAAAAGTAATATAACCAAACTAGATTGTATTTGGGAAGGTGGGAACAATATGACTGTTTTGGACACCTCTTAAGCCATTCAAAGGCAAGATCTGAAGAAAAACTGATTTGATATAAATTTCAATTGCATTGCTTCTAAAATAGATTTACTTAAAATATTTAATGCAGTCCCTTAAAAGCTTTGGTCTTGCTTTAGAGTATACAGGTGTTAAGCACTTAAAGTCAAAAAAGCTGTTTAAATGACAGAGAAAGAGATTATTAGATCACTTTAATCCTGCTAACGAAAGATGGCATAGCTTAACTGGAATAAACAGGAAATAAGGAACGGATAAAACATAAATTATCCCCCAAAATTTCACATTTCTGTACTTTGGTAAGATTGTTCTAGAAAGAAATATATATCATATATGGAAATATGCCTAGTTTCCTCCAACTTGCATCAATCCCTGCCATTTCCATGCCATTTTCCTTTTCTCTTACTAACCCCTCTTTTCTTCTGTGTATGTCTTCTTCAGTTCACCAAACTTTACATAGCAGCGATTCGTAAGATAAGAGCTGTGTGGTTTGTAGTGTGAAAATAGCTATCCAACAGTACATCTCCTAGCTCTATTTGAAAACCACTGTGTACTGTGCACATGAATACAATGTAGTCTTGAATTCTCCACATTTAGCTTCATTGAATTACAGTGGGCGGAGGGGAAGGGTTGTGTACTGTGATGTTCCAAAAGTCTTCTTGACAATATCCACTATCTCAGTAACTTCTAATTTTGTTAAGTATCCTAAAATTTATCCTTCAACATCAATATTCTACCTTTAGAGGACAATGCAGACCTATAGTATGATTACCAAACGTAAAACAAAACAAAACATCATGATGATCCTAAGGACAAATGTCATATGCTGAAGCCCTAATCTCAAACATGATGGTACTTGGAGATGGGGCCTTTGGGATGTAATTAGTTTTAGTTAAACTCATGAAGGTGGGGCCCCCATCATGGGATTAGTGCCCTTATAGAAAGAAGAAACGTCAGAGGTCTTTCTCTTTCCATGCGGATAAACCAAGGAAAGGCCATAGGAACACACAGGGAGAAGGCAGACATCTTCAAGCCAGGAAGAGGGCCTTCACCAGAACCCAGCCATGCTGGCATTCTGATCTCAGACTTCTAGCCTCCAGAATTGTGAGAAAATAAATGTTTGTTATTGAAGCCACCCAGTCTATGCTATTTTGGCATAGCAGCCCAGCAAGACTAAGATAATACCCATAGTATATGTTCACTAATAACCCCTTCCAGGTTCAAATGATAATTATCTCCCACAAAAAATGTAACTGGCAGCCATAAATAGCAGTTGAAAGACAACATTTTTCTTAGTTCAGTAATTTTCCAATTCTCTTATCAACTTCACTTTAAGAGTTAATTAAACCATTGGAAACTACTAAAAGAAAATTAATGCTTAAACAATGAAAATACCAAAAAGAACTGTTTTACTTCTCTAATTTAGGTAACTACCATAAGTAAAATATGTCTTTATTCCATGAAACATATATAGAAAAATATAATAAAAATTCCTCCATGTCTCCATCCAAAGAAATACAAAGAAGATAAACACAAAGAAGGTAAATGCAAAGAAGATAAAATATTTTAAAATATAATTTGTGTTTTATAAAAGGTTTTTTAAAATAAAAAGAATATAAGCTGTATAATGTTAAAATAACCTTAGTGATTAATAAATTATCTCCTTTTTTACAATAATACGGAAGACATCATGAGTTAATAGGGTTAATTAGAGTTAATAATTAATCAATACTTCAACAGATATTTATTGATCATCTACAACATGTAAAGACTTCTACGAGTAGAAAAAGCCATGATTTTAAAAAACATTTCCTTATATCATCATCTTCATCACAAAACGCTCATTAAATACCCTAGCGAGTACTACCATTAAAAATTAACCAAAAATACTTAAAGAAAATATCTGATATTCAGCACAGTAATGTAATACTTGACATAATTATAAGGCATCAAAGTAGGAATGACTTAAGAGTGGCTTTGAGTCATTAATCAGAACTAATGAATATGTCTTTGCATTTTGTCAAAAACAAAAAAAGATAAAAGAGGATGCTTGGAAAGATGCATGAATTTTAAGCAGTGAAGTAATCAAGTATAATCTCAAAATTTCTCAACAAGTTATTACATTGCTTTTCATTTCTTCCATTGTTTCTTTTTTTTCTTTTTCCAATTACTTAACTTCAAAAAACTTTATTGATGTTGTATTATGTGTTAAGAAATGTGCTGAAATTATGCAATTCAAGGATAAAAACCAACACCAACTCTCATAAATGTTTAATATACTGTGTTTGTGTGGGTGACAGGGGAGGGATATATGCACACAACCAAAAATGACAAAAGGAAAACTATATACTATAAATGACATATATTTCATTATATATGAACACAGAATAAACTTTTCTTTTCTTTTCTTTTGTCTTCTTTTTTTGTCTTTTCTTTTTATTTATTTATTTACGTATTTATCTATTATTTTTTTTTTTTTTTTGAGATGGTGCCTCACTCTGTCATCCAGGCTGGAGTGCAGTGGAACCATCTCACCTCACGGCAACCTCCCCTTCCCACGCTCATCTCCCATAATCAAACTATTTAGGAATCAGTGGCAGTTTGGTGAGCTTGGAATCAGAACAAGAAGATTCAGAGGTCTCTAAAATAGACTTCTCTGTCTATCTTACGACCTGGGCTCAAAGAACTCCCGGTCCATTGATTCAGGTGCCTTAAAAGAGCCACTGTCAATATTGCTGATATTTCTGCAGGTTCCTTTTCTTCCTCAATACTTCTAAAGATGACCAGCCCCCATTGCCTGCTTCTGCAGATTAATATGTGCTTTCTATAGATATGTTAATATGATCAAAGAATAATTGCCCTACATCTATTTTATCTCCTTCTGGGGCTTTGCATGAACTCATTAAGTAATGATTTAATGAACTCTCAGCTGGAATTCTATTTCCCTCATTTCCAAAATCTTGGGAGCCATTTTACAATTACACCGAAGTACTTACAAGTGACAGTAGATTAAACAATATTACAAATTAAAAAAAGTAGATTGGCAAAATACTCAAGACTTGCTTTTTGCTTAAAATTAAGTCAGGTTTATTTTTTAAAATAATCTATTCATAGTTGTGGATAGTGACTAAACAATTTACATTTTTATCTGGGGACAGAAGTAAAGCAAATGGTCTAAAAACTTAATTGCATTTTCCTCTGAATAAATAGAAAGTATACACAACTATGTACAATTTAAAAATTCCTGATTAAGAAGCCAATTAAGAATAACTTTTATAGAGAATAATTCTGGCTTTGTGAAGGCATGAGAGATTTAACTAAAGGCCACTCTGTAGCAAATTTAATACCACAATCTCTCGATGGATTTTTTAAATTATAATTATCTGTTATTTGTCTGTTATAATATTTGGGAATCTTCACATTTAAAAAAATATTATTTTCTGATGGTAACTAAAAGAAAACCAATTTGTGATAACAATGAGAAAAATGAGGCTAAATATAAAGACTAATTCTTCTTGAGTATCAGCTTACCCTCTTCAAGAATCTTAAGTGAGATGCTGAAATGTAGACAGAGTCATGTTGGCTTTGAGTCACAATTGAAGTATGGATATTTGCACTTGTTATTTTTTTTTTTACTTTCTTTATAAAACTCACTTTCCATGCTTTAGTTGCCATTTACTTCTTTTCTGTTACCTTTGATAGTCTTAATTTTCTTACCCATCAAAGAGTGTTAAGAATATCGACATCAAGGACCATTTTAAGAGTTAAAAGGATAGATCATGTTAAGAATTGAGCCTGGAATATTATTCACTGTTACTGCTATTATTACCAATATCACCACTGCTAATATCACTATTCCTACTTGGAATAGTGTAATACCAAAATTATAATAATGTAAAATGTATTCCCCCTGGGTTTGGGCAATGTTATAATACTCCAAAATTGCCAACTTTGTTAAGCAACCTATAAATTTACTTTATTTTGGAAAACAGTCAAAAGAGTTGCATTTTAAAATCAATAACTAAAAATACGTATAAAGTTCCTACTATGTACCCGCCACTTTGCTAGGCACCAAACATCTGTCAATGAAGAAAGCAGACAGAATCTACAGTCTTTAAGAAGCTTAACTTCTAGTGGTGGAAACAAACATGTAACTAGTGAATTATAATAAAGAAGGTGAAGAAGTGCTATACTACAGTAAAAAGTCCAGTCTGAACATAGAGAGCAGGAACACAGAGTTTGTGTGGGGTGGGGGGTGAGGAAGATGATTCATTAATCCAGGCTAAAGTATGAAGGTAGGGAGTAGATCATCACAAGTAAAATAATTGTATCAAATAGAAAAAAAGCATCGAAGTCAAGAACACAAATATGAAAACAAAGATAGCTCTAGGTCCATGTCCAAAACTTGAGGTTAAAAAACTTCAGATAAGGTAAAACTAAAAACAGTTCAGAATGGCTGAATCACATAATTTAATAGGAGAAGTGACTAGAGACATAGCTGTGACCAAATCAAGAAGAGCCTTGAAAACCTTCGTGGGGACTTTTCTTTATCTGGAAGGAAATATGGAGCTATGGAAGAGTTTTAGTGAGGAATAATGATCAGATCTGATTTCAGCATGATTACTACTTTTGTTGTGTGAACAGTGGTGGCCAAAGAGACTGGTTGAGGCCATAGCAGTATCCCAGTGGCATTAAGTGAGGGGAGTGGTGGTAGCAAGAAGTAAGTTCAAGGAAAATCTTTTGGGTGGACACAAGTAAAGCACTTGGTGTTGAAAAAGACTATTCATCTCTACAACACCTTCCTGTAGTTCCTGTTTCGTAGTGTCTACTGTGACTATTATAATTGATTTCACTGCATTTTCCCCTTAGCCCCTTCTTTCTCATGCATTCTAAAAACAAAAATTCAAAGAAAGAAAAACTTGGCAGAAGAACATATAAAGTTTGATCAGTTACCTAAATGTGTCTTACTGGATGTTCTTTCCCTTGCATGCTTGTTTAACCTTTTTGGCACTATCATGTTTTATGAGGCTATGAGATGAAAACTATCAGAAGATGAACAATCAGAAAGAGAAAAATAAATGGGCTTCTTTAAAACAAAGACGAAGGGTCCATCTCTTCAGTTATCTATAACAGTGACTCTTAAACCTGGCTCTAGAATAAAATTACCCACAGAACTTTAAAAAAAAAAAAAGGAACTATACCCATGTCCAGCCCGTCTACCACACTACGTCCCACTCCTGAAATTGTGCAATATGGTTGTTCTTTTTGAATGTCTTATGATATTTCTGACTCAATTTAATACCAACCTAAACAACGAATTCAGATTTCTTTATTGTTTTTTAAATTCTTAGCACAGTGTTTGGGACATTGATTGTAGTAATTCAATACTTATTTAACTCACTAATAGCTACTTATTGATAGGTGTTGAGTATACTATGGGAAAAAGGTGTTTAGTCCATCAGAGCCCTTACATTGTATAGCATTGGCTATCAAACTTTAACTAGAGCCATATTTAAAAAATACATTTTATTTTAATGCAGTGTGAACGTGCAAGCACACACATCAAACACACATACACACAGGTGAAAAACATTTTTCACAAAATAACACTTGCCCTAACCATAGCCAACACACTTTGATATGTTCTATTCTATTATTTTCTGGTTATTTTTATAAAATAAAAAGGAAGAAACAATGGTTGTAACCTATTATGTCAATTTCAATACCAAACAAAGAGAGCCATCCAATATTTTTTAAAAGCCTTGTATAGTAGATGTTCCAATTCTACGTCTCAATATTTTCAGTAACATGCTGTCCAGGTGCTCTGATTTCAGTAAAACCACCAAAACTTTAGAGTCTTTAACAATGACTCAATTACTGTGAAGATAACAGACTAATTTTGAATAAGACATAGGGCTTTATCTCAGTACTTAGAAGAAGCTAAACTTCTCATGGTTCAAGAGACATAAGTCTTTAGAAGTAACAATGATGTACATTCAATGAGATAATTTCCTTGGACTGTGGTAGTATTAGAGAAAACTCTAAAAATGAGAGACTTTTCATGAGCAATATCATGCACTATAGTTAAAATCAGGAAACATGTGAACAGACTTGACTTAATACAATGGGCTTAATGAGCTATCTTCATTATGTCATAGTTAATTAAAAATATTTTTTATTTTACACAATCTAACGTAGAATAAGATAGTAGTTATAAACACATAAGATTAATAACTATGGCATTTCCAACTACAGAAAGAGAAAGTATCTCTTTTTTTTTTTTTTTGTAGACGGAGTCTTGCTCTGTCAGGAGGCTGGAGTGCAGTGGTGAGATCTCGGCTCACTGCAACCTCCACCTCCCCGGTTGAAGCGATTCTCCTGCTTCAGCCTCCCAAGTAGCTGGGATTACAGGTGCACACCACCACACCCAGCTAATTTTTGTATTTTTAGTAGAGACGGGGTTTCACCATGTTGGCCAGGATGGTCTCGATCTCTTGACCTCATGATCCACCCGCCTCGGCCTCCCAAAGTGCTGGGATTACAGGTGTGAGCCACCACGCCTGGCCTACCATCTCCATTTTTAAAAACTACCTATGTAACCAACATGTATGCACCAGGTACTAAGAGTGTTTTCTTTGCTACTAAGTACTTTACTGATCTCCTGTGTCAAATACTAATGATGATGCACACCTGTAACAGAGACTTTCATTTCTATCCTCTCTCAATATCTGTCATCCCCTTTCCCTATGATTCTAGACGTTTGATGGGGATTATGTCCACCCAGCAAAAGGCAATACTTCCCAGCACCCTCTGCTGTTGCCATGCTTATATGATCAGGTAACAGACAATGAGATGAAAGAAGAATTGATTTGTGTAACTTCCGGCTCATAAATATAAGACTGAAGGAGCTGCTTCCCTCTTTCCCACTTCTATTAGCATGAATGTGAACATGGTAACTACCCACAGACCAAAGACGGAATTCAGGTTTGAAAATGGCTTACATTGTTACATGAGAAAGAACTAAACGTTTATATTGTTTTACCCTCTATTGTTTTCTGAAACTGCCCAAATGTATATCCTAAATAATATGGAATTCCTATTCTACATTTCCTCCTACAAAATCAGTGAGAAAGGGTAGATAAAATAAGTGAGTAATGTTTAATTACAATATGGAAGCAAGGTTAATGAACAAAAACATGTAAGGTTGTGTGGCTGTCCAAGTAACCGCCAGTTATATGGTAATACAAAGGTCATAAATTCCCAAATCGACACTCATGAGTGTCAAATAAACATTTCCTAGAGAATACGGCTACTTGTCTTCCACAGACTGAAGCTTTTCTTTTTGACATGATGAAATTTTTCTCGTATATGTTTCATACAAAATACTGAAATAGAGCATAACTGCATTCCTCACATCACTACACCAAAATGTCAAAGATTCACTTCTCAGCATGAAAATGCACAGCACATAAATATGAAAGGACTCTACATTCTAAATGCTGTATTCACACCTCAGTGCAGAGTCAAATGGAGACAACTGTATTGTGAACCAGTATAGCATTATCAAATAATATACTTAAGGGGACTTAATAGTATAAAATTAAATTAAAAAGCTGAAACACTATTGATTATTTCAGTTAGAAGGTGTTTCGTGGTTATAACTACTCAGAGTGATAAACAATTTAATTATTCCACATTTTTGGAATAATTTGCTTATGTAATTAATTTGGATATTTCAATGTATTGGTTATTTTATTGGTCCATATTCCTTCAGTACAAAGATTCTTTGTAGATGAAGTTCTTACAGATACATGTATTAATAATTGTATTAGTATATACTCAAATAATGGAAAACATATCTTTTAGTACATTGGTGAATTTCAAATAGTTATTTGATAACATTATTAGTATTGCAGACCTAAAGCCTGATGAAATTTTTCACTTATTACTGACCAAGCATTTTTGATCATGTGTTTATTGAGAGTAATTGGAACTTACAGACACCTGCCCAATTTCTTTACATTAAATTATCAATACAAATGTAATGTTGAAAAGTAAAGCTAAAGTCAAATATAGTATGCCTAAAAATAGAACCCAGGGAAAATATCAGATCTTGCCTCCTTCCTACTTTTGATATACACAATAAATATAATATTGTAATTAAGATCATACAGACAGATACTAATGACAATGGCACCCAAAATTTTCTGAAAGGAAGGAGGTTCAGTTGAGACATTTAGGAGCTAGAAGACAGTGTAAATTTATATTGCTTTCCATAATTTTTTGCCTAAATAAAGGGGCTGACAGGCATGGTCTTAGAAATGGCATTTTGATAAGAAAAGTTTAGTAGACAAAGAAGCATTAATGATGACTGCACTTCAGAAAGGCAATGAAAAAGGACAGCTGCAAAACAAACATTACTCAGTGTGTGATCACTTAAAGAGATATTATTTCGAACTTCATATTCTGAGTGTGAACTGCCGAAGAGACAGACAAAGTAAAATACAGGACGATGAGTTTATATTAAAAATGAGTAACAATTTAACACAGTGGTCCCCAACCTTTTTGGCACCAAGGACCAGTTTCATGGAAGAAAATTTTTCCATGGACCGGGTTGGAGAAAGAGGATGGTATCAGGATGAAACTGTTCCACCTCAGATAATCAGGCATTAGTTACAGATTCTCATAAGGAGCATGCAACTTAGATCCTTCGCATGCCCAGTTCACAATAGAGTTTGCACTCCTATGATAATTTAATGCCATTAGATTCTAATCTAATCTAATGCTGATCTGACAGGATGCAGAGCTCAGGCAGTAATGCTCGCTTGCCCACTATTCACCTCCTGCTGTGTGACCAGGTTCCTAACAGTATAGTACTAGTTCGTGGCCCCGAGTTTGGGGACCCCGATTTAACATACTCCATTTATATGCCGTAATTGCCCATAGTACAAATCATATCAGAGAATGAATATGACATTCATGAGGCAAAGACTAAGTCAAGCCAACTTACTTGTTCTCTCTGGTCTCTCAGTAAACACTAAGTGGAAGAAAAATGTTAGAAAACTCATTCTCCATAACATATTTAGGCAAAATATGAGAAAACAGTATACAGTGAGTGCCTCAGGAGTAATACACTGTCTATGGGACTTTCAGAACACTGATGAAACATTTAAAAAATTCAACCAAATAAGAAAAGTCTTTAGAAAATTTTGGAAAATGAATAGCAAAGGGAACGAGCCAACTCCATCCTTTATGATCACTTTAATCAATTGTTTTTATCATAAAAAGAAAGCTACAGCCTCTAGACAGATTCTGAGTTTCTGGTGGTATGACTTGAAAATATTTTCTTCCTAGAGATTCTCACTGGTGATGATGGTGTGGTGAAAGAATGGGAAGATAAACATCTTGCCGAAATCTCTCCATAATTAAGGTGAAACAGCACTCCTACTTATAAAATAGAAATTTAGTTACTTGGCCAATCATTTCTATCTGTTATTCCCTGAACAAATATAACTTTCATCACGAAAATGTCTGAAGGCAGTCATTCTTCTGGATATTGCTAGGAAATAAAAAAATACATTATAAATAAATATATTTAAGAGTAAACTACTCACCTATTCCAATGAAAGCAGCTTTGTAGCCTTTTTCTTTCAAAGTGCTAAGAGTCATTTCATTCACTGAAAGGCTTTTACCGCAAATTATCTATAAGAAACAATATTTTGCATAAGAAAATTTGGCATATGATTAATTAAAATCTTAATATTTAACATCAAAAAGAATGAAAAGTCAGCCAAAAATTCTATGAGATTCCATATAAAATGTGACAACATTTTTGTCTTTTAGTATATAGGTTTACATACACAAAATAGTATATAAATAGAACAGGAACATGTTCTATTAAGGGCTAAATGCAGAAGAAAAGCCAGTGTCATTAAAACCATCAGTAAACTTCCATAGCTTGCATAATATGTTCAAAGCACGATGTGGGGCATTTAAATAATAAGACGATAAATAAGACACATTTCCAGCATCAATGTACAGTCAAGTAGGGGCAAAAGATATACACAAATAAATGTAACATAAAACAAGCTATGATCACCACATGTGTATGAGAGTTCAGAGGCTGGGGAGATTCATTTTAGCTAAGCTTAGAAGGTTGAGAATACAGAGAAGTGGGATTTCAATAGGGCCTTTAAAAGGAAAAGACAGGATTTTGATAACGGACAGTGTCAAGGGAAAATGAATAAAGTCAGGAAGCAGAGGGTAGTCACCCCTAGTAAAAGTCACAATGCTTGGTCAGTTCCCAGACATGAGATAATTTTCACTTCTGGAACCTGCTGACCAGGGAGGTGTCAGGGTCCCTAGGAAGAAAGACCCTGAAACATCCCTACAAGTAAGTACTGTGATTCCCCTAGTCCTTTCCCAAAGGAAACTATGGTCATTTATCCAAGCAACTAAGCCCTGGAAAAAGGGGAATGATCAGACATTTCAAGGACTATTAAGCACTGGTTCTTCAGTAATACTGATACTTGGAAACATAAGAGTGGGTACTTACAGGGTGAGGTAAAAAATGGAGCCTGACTGAAGTCTAGTTCACAGTGGGCCCACTGAAACCACAACTCAGTTAGTGATCGTTCTCCTAGTCTCTAAGAGCATAATTGAAATTGTTACATTTGTCAATTGAAGTAATCCCTACATTGGGTCTCTGGTCTGTGAAGTAAGAGCTATAAAAGCTATCATAGTTGGGAAGGCCACATGAAAATATCTGAAAATCCAGCCAAGAGACTAAATCAAAGATAATATCCTATCCTGGGTGCAATGGGATGGGGAGAGATGTTAGTGGTCCCTGTCATATCCCCATTTAATCCACCAGCCTGTCCCCTGCCAACACCAGAGAATTTCTGGAGGATGACTATAAATGTCTGCAGGCTTAACTAAAGAGTAGTCCTGATTGCAGTTTCTGTTACAGATGTGGTATTATTGCTAGAGAAGTTTTATAAGGCCACACATAGACTGCATGTGGCCATTGATTTGGCAAATGCATACTCCTTCCACTCCAATTACAGAAGGAGATCAGAAATAGTTCAGAGTCACAGAGTATAGATAAGAATATTCATTTACAGTTTTGCCTTAGGGATATGTCAACTCTTTTCAGTAATAATATATGTAATCTGAAGCGATCTGGACATCCCACAGAACGTCACAGTGATTCATTACCTTGACGACATCAGGCAGATCAGACAGCATGAAAAAGAGGTGGTGAATATGCTGGAAACTGTTAAGATATCTGCACTCCAGTGGGTGGAAGATGAACTCTATAATCAGGGACTGGCCTCTTGAGTGAAGTTTAGAGATCCAGTTATCAAGTATGTGCCAGTAAGTCCCCTTGAAAGTAAAAGACAAATAGAGCTGCATCTCACATTTCCTGCCATATAGAAGGAAGCACAATGCCTGGTAGGTTTCTTTGTGTTCTGAAGGCAAAATGTTCCTAAAAACAAAGCCCTTAAGCTGAGTCATAGAAGAAGAGCAATGTATACCCATGAACTGGTAATTACAGCTACACTGAATAGTGCACCTAAGTGTAAAGCTCTCTTCTAAGTACTGCATATACTGACTCATTTAATCCCCACAGCAGCCCCATGAAGTGTTATCAGTATTTTCATTTTACAGATAATGATACTAAAGGACAAGAGAGCTTACATAACCTTTATTGCAGTCAAATACATAGTCTAATTTCAGAGCCAACATGCATAATTGCTGTGCTCTTGTGCCTCTTGAGGTTAGAGGGCAGAGCTGGCACCATCCTCAAGGACAAAGAACAGCATATTATACGTGAAGACCTACTAAAAAGGTTGTGTTTCAAGAATATAAAGTGCAAAGCAAGCAATGGAGCAAGAAGTTGGAGAGGAGAATATGACTGGAACTGGATCATAGAGGGCAATGTTTTGTCTTCCTAAAATAGTAATTCTGTTTTTATATTGGCAGATATGGTAACTGTCAGAAAGTTTATAATAAGGGGACAACCAAGGTGAGATTAATAACGAATATTCAGAACTCTGGAATGTATCAAAAAACATTAAACTGGAACATTAATTAAATATGTATTATTCAAAGCATTTTATAGTAAGTAATAGTATTACTATTAGAATTAGTAGAATTCGATGCTATTAAAATCATCTAATAGTGAGGCTTTAGAACTTTAATTTATTCTAACTTTTAAATAATACATATTTTATTGAAAAAGAAAAATAATTTCGCTGTTTGTTTTATGAATCAAATACCCTTCATACCAATATATAATAAAGGTTAGACATAAAAGAAAACACCAGGTCCAAACATTCTAATAGAATATTAGCAAACTGAGTAAGTATGCCATTTTCAAAGTTGAGCACTGGAATGCCATGCCAATGAATTAATTGGTGGAGGTGATTCTCAAAATACTTAATCTTAGGTTTACTTTATTCAGTGCCTCTGCAGGAAGATTCAAGAAGACCTCCCATCCTTTTTGAGGTGGGTATTTGTGGGAGAAGGCACAATAGTTTAGTTTAATAGTAGCTTTTTGTGATTTATCAAAGAGGAATAAAGACATCCCAATTCTTCCACCACAGCAGAGTGAAAATGTCTTTGATTTTGTAATATATAAGAAAGATGCTCATTCTGTATTTATACAGTCTGATTCTACTCTAATACACAATAGTGTGCAAATGGGGATAGAAAACAGTTGAGTTTTCCTTTCATGTATGGAAAGCTGCAAAGATGAGTATCTTGATCTTGGTGTGAATCTACTGGGATGGAGACCAGCAAGACTTGACTTTACCATGAACAGACATTGTGGGAAAGATGGAGGATGGTCATCACTGGGCAGCAGATCCCTGGTAGAAATGAGGACAAAGCCATAACAAGAACATTCCAAGCAGTGACAGGCACAAGGCTTCCTTCCTTTTTGTGAATGGGAACCTATTCAAATTTCCCTTTCCTAAAAGCCTGAGGCCCCAAATATTTGCCATGCAAGAAATAATCTATTCTTAGAAAGAATTAGAAGAAAGATTCCTTGACAACAAAAGTAAAGCTTTGCTTACATTATGCTTTGGGAAATTGAAATGAAATGTGTGTTAACTAAAACTGGAATTGCAAGACAACTACAGCTATCAGGAACATCATGTTGGCTGATAAGCTATGAAATCTCAATGTTATTTGTTAAATATATATGATGCTAGAAAAATCATATTACGGGCATTTTGTTTGGTGTTTTTGTTTCTTTATTCCTTGTACTTTTACATATGTAATATTTCCATCTTGATTTTCTTAGATATACATTCTACCTTCCTCTAATGACTTTAGTAACATATTATTAGATATTTCCTACCTAAATTCGGAATACAAATTCAATCTATTTCAAGTTCAGTGTAATAGTCACTACTTTATTCCAGCAGTTCTGAATGTCATATACCCTGAGCCAAAGTTCCATCTAATAGTCTCTTAGGGATTTGATGAAAACTTTCTTTATATACTATAATATGTATTCATATACATAGTAACATTTATTATGCAGGATAAAGGCTGACAACTTTTTTGTGGAGTATAAATCTTCAAATAAAATAGGTGATGCCCATTATTTTTAAAAATCAAATAAAAACATACATACTCTTCACAGTTGTCTAATAGAAAATTTGGTTAAATAGACCAAATATTTCCAGATGCTCTAAGATAGAAAATAAAATGAAGAAATTTTGAAAGTATTTAGCTATCTTTAGAAATGAAAATTATTTATTAGCTATTAGTGTACATGTTTCCTTGTGGGAGAGAAATAATATGATTTTATATTTATTTTCTAATACTATCTCATAATCACAGATATTATTGGTTCAAATAACCATAGTGAAAACAAGATGTTATAAGAGGTTATTAAGAAAAAGGTAATACCTCTATTAGATATTTCATCTAAAACTACGAAGCAGAAGAAATGTATAGAAATTACAAATTAAGGTAATCAATTAGAATTCTATCAGAATACTTTGGGAAATGACAAATATACATATTTTAAATATGCAAAAATGCAATATCTTCATTCATATTTTATACTTTTAACTTTGAAAAATTAGGATATAAAGACCATGAAACAAAAATATGTATTTCTATTTAAATTCTGAGTTGCATTACAAAAAAAGGTATAAATAAACATCAGCTAAGAAGCCATTTCTCCTAAAGGGAATACCCAATTTTATTACACTATAAATGATCCTTTGGTGTAAAATCAATTGAGAGTATGCTTGATAAATTTAAAAAATGCAAATATGGCTAATAAAGTGAAAAAATAATGAATTATATCACAAGAATACAGAAGCAAATGAAAATACTATCCTACATAACTGTTGTCTACACGGGGGAAAAAAACCTACTTTCTGAAGAAAAATAAAAATAATAAAATAATGAAAACACATGGATGCTGACAAAGATTTTTCTGAAACTAATAACTTTAAATGTTTTCATTATTCAATCTATAAAATGAAAATGAAGTAAGTTTACAACTCAAGATTTTACAGCAAATAACAAATAAGTTCCACTCTGATCTTGCTTATTTCTTGTCTTCTGCTAGCTTTGTGGATATTTTTCTCTTGCTTGTCTAGTTCTTTTAGTTGTTATGGTAGGGTGTCAATGTGAGACCTTTCTAGCTTTCTGAAGTGGCATTTAGCGCTGTAAATTTCCCTCTTAACACTGCTTTAGCAGCATCCCAGAGATTCTGGTACATTGTCTCTTTGTTCTCACTGGTTTCAAAGAACTTCCTGAGTTCTGCCTTAATTTCATTGTTTACCCAGGAGTCATACAGGAGCAAGTTGTTCAATTTCCAATTGCGTGGTTCTGAGTGAGTTTCTTAATCTTGAGTTCTAATTTGATTGTGCTGTGGCCTAAGAGACTGTTAGTTATTATTTCAGTTGTTTTGCATTTGCTGAGGAGTGTTTTACTTCCAATTATGTGATCGATTTGAGAGTAAGTGCCATATAACTCCAAGAGCGGAACTGAAGGAGATAGAGACACGAAAAATCCTTCAAAAAAATGAATGAATCCGGGAGCTGGTTTTTTGAAAAAAAAATATATATATATATACACACACACCAATAGGTAGACTAATGAAGAAAAAAGAGAAGAATCAAATAGAAACAATAAAAAATGATAAAGGGGATATCACCACTGAACCCACAGAAATACAAACAAGCATCGAAGAATATTATAAACATTTCTATGCAAATAAACTAGAAAGTCTAGAAGAAATGGATAAATTCCTGGACACATACACCCTCCCAAGGCTGAACAAGGAAGAAGTTGAATCCCTGAATAGACCAATAACAAGTTCTGAAATTGAAGCAGTAATAAATAGCCTACCAACCAAAAAAAGCTCAGGGCCAGATGGATTTACAGCTGAATTCTACCAGAATTACAAATAGAAGCTGGTACCATTTCTTCTGAAACTATTTCAAACAATTGAAAACAAGGGACTTCTCCCTAACTCATTTTATCAGGCCAGCATCATCCTGATACCAAAACCTGGCAGAGATACAACAAAAAGAGAAAACTTCAGGCCAATATCCCTGATGAACATTGATGCAAAAATCCTCAATAAAATGCTGGCAAATGAAATTCAGCAGCATATAAAAAGCTTATCCATCACAATCAAGTTGGCTTCATCCCTAGGTGCAAGGCTGGTTCAACATATGCAAATTAATAAATGTAACTCATCACATAAAGAGAAATAAAGAAAAAAACACATGATTATCTCAATAGATGCAGAAAAGTCCTTTGATAAAATTCAATATCCTTTCCTGTTAAAAAATTCTCAATAAACTAGGTATTGATGAACATACCTCAAAATAATAAAAGCCATTTACAATAAACCCACAGCCAATATCATACCAAATGGGCAAAAGCTGGAAGCATTCCCCTTGAAAACTGGCATAAGACAAGGATATCCTCTCTCACCACTCCATTTCAACACAGTATTGGAAGCTCTGGCCAGGGCAATCAGGCAAAAGACAGAAATAAAGAGTATTCAAATAGGAAAAGAGGAAGTCGAACTGCCTGTTTGCAGATGACATGATCCCATATCTAGAAAGCCCCATTGATCAGCCCAATAGGTTAAGTTGATAAGCAACTTCTGCAAAGTCTCAGGATACAAAGTCAGCGTGCAAAAACCACTAGCATTCCTATACACCAACAATAAGCAGAGAACCAAATCATGAATGAACTCCCATTCACAACTGCTACAAAGAGAATAAAATACCTAGAAATACAACTAACAAGGAAAGTGAAAAACCTCTTCAAGAAGAACTACAAATCACTGCTCAAAGAAATCAGAGAGGGCACAAACAAAAGGAAAAATACTCCATGCTCATGAATAAGAATAATTAATATGACAATAGGCATCCTGCCCGAAGCAATTTATACATTCAATGCTATTCCCATTAAACTACCATTGACATTCCTCACAGAGTTAGAAAAAACTACTTTAAAATTCATATGGAACCAAAAAAGAGCCCATATAGCCAAGACAATCCTAAGCCAAAAGAACAAAACTGGAGGCATCATGCTACCCGACTTCAAACTATACTATAAGGCTGCAGTAACCAAAACAGCATGGTACTGGAAAAAAATAAACACATAGACCAATGGAACAGAACAGAGATCTCAGAAATAAGACCACACAATACAACCATCTGGTCTTTGACAAACCTGACAAAAACAAGCAATGGGGAAAGGATTCCCTATTTAATAAATGGTGCTGGGAAAGCTGGCTAGCCATATGCAGAAAATTGAAACTAGACCCCTTCCTTACACCTTATACAAAAATTAACTCAAGATGGATTAAAGACTTACATATAGGCCGGGCGCGGTGGCTCACGCCTGTAATCCCAGCACTTTGGGAGGCCGAGGCGGGCGGATCACGAGGTCAGGAGATCGAGACCATCCTGGCTAACACGGTGAAACCCCGTCTCTACTAAAAATACAAAAAAATTAGCCGGGCGTGGTAGCGGGAGCCTGTAGTCCCAGCTACTCGGGAGGCTGAGGCAGGAGAATGGCGTGAACCTGGGAGGCGGAGCTTGCAGTGAGCCGAGATCGCGCCACTGCACTCCAGCCTGGGCGACAGAGCGAGACTCTGTCTCAAAAAAAAAAAAAAAAAAAAAAAAAAAAGACTTACATATAAAACCCAAAACTATAAAACTCTAGAAGAAAATCTAGGAAATACCATTCAGGACATAGGCACGGGCAAAGATTTCATCATGAAAACATCAAAAGCACCTGCACAAAAGCAAAAATTGACAGATGAGATTTAATTAAACAAAAGAGCTTCTGCACAGCAAAAGAAACTATCATCAGAGTGAAGAGGCAACCTACAGAATGGGAGAAAATTTTTGGAATCTATCCATCTGACAAAGGTCTAATGTCCAGAATCTACAAGGAACTTAAACAAATTTACAAGAAAAAAACCAACCCCATTAAAAAGTGGACAAAGGAGGCCAGGCACGGTGGCTCATGTCTGTAATCCCAGCAATTTGGGAGGCTAAGGCAAGCGGGTCACTTGAGATCAGGAGTTCAAAACCAGCCTGGCCAACATGGTAAAATCCCATCTGTAACACAAATAAAAAAATTAGCCACGTGTGGTGGCAGCCACCTATAATCCCAGCTACTTGGGACACTCGGGCAGGAAAACAGCTTGAACCCAGGAGGTAGAGGTTGAAGTGAGCCAAGATAGTGCCACTGCACTCCAGCCTGGGTAACAGAGCTAGACTCCATCCTCCATCTCAAACAAACAAACAAACAAACAAAAAACTTACGTAAAGGACATGAACAGACATTTCTCAAAATGAGACATTTATGTGGCCAACAAACAAACATGAAAAAAAGCTCAAAATCATTCAATCATTGGAGAAATGCAAATCAAACCCACAATGAGATACCATTTCACACCAGTCAGAATGGTGATTATTAAAAAGTCAAGAAACAACAGATGCTGGCGAGGCTGTGGAGAAATATAAATGCTTTTACACTGTTAGTGGAATATAAATTAGTTCAACCATGTGGAAAACAGTGTGGCAATTCCTCAAAGACATAGAACCAGAAATACTATTTGACCCAACAATCCCATTTTTGGGTATATGCCCAAAGGAATATAGATCATTCTGTTATAAAGATACATGCAGGTGTATGTTCACTGCAGCATTATTCACAATAGCAAAGACATGGAATCAACCAAAATGCCCATCAATAATATAGTGGATAAAGAAAATGTGGTACATATACACCATGGACTACTATGCAGCCATTAAAAAAATTAGATCATGTCCTTTGCAGGGACATGGACAGAGCTGGAAGCCATTATCCTCAGAAAACTAACACAGAAATGGAAAACCAAACACTGCATGATCTCACTTACAAGTGGAAGCTGAACAATGAGAATACATGGACACAGGGAGGGGAACAACACACACTGGGGCCAGTTGAGTGGGGCAGGGACAGGGAGAGAATCAGGATAATTAGCTAATGCATGTGAGGCTTAATACCTAGGTGATGTGTTGATAGGTGCAGCAAACCACCATGTCACACGTTTACCTATGTAACAAATCTACGCATCCTGCACGTGCATCCTGGAACGTAAAATAAAATAAAATAAAACTAAATTTAAAAAAGAGACTAACAAATAAGAATAGCAGGGGAAAGCATTAATAAATATATAGTCAGCAATTAATGAATAAGAAAACAAAACTTTGATAACTGTTTATTTTAAAGAAAATATTAACTGGATAGGAAAACACAAAGGAAATTTAGAGATGCAAGAGCAAATATAATCACAGGCACAGATGACATATTTTTATTGTATACTGAAATAGTAGACTTAAATTTTTGCTAATAAATTCAAAAACCTCAATGAAGCAGAAATTTTTCTAGAAATATATTGGCAAAATTGATACGAGAATAAAATCAGTGGAAAAAACTTATAGACGATATGAAGAAAAATGGTCATAGTTCTATTTCATAAGAGGGTTTGGAGAAGATGACAACTTCCAAATTTAGTAAAAAAGATGTCTCAAGATAATATTCTTACCAATGAGAAAATAATAAAATGCTTAGAAGTTTAATTTTATAAGGCTAATATAACTCTATTATCAAAAATTCACAAAACAACAAATAAAAATAAAGCAAAACAAAACAAAAAGTCTTTGCACATTTAAAACTTGTAATGGTAACAACATTATTTGACTGTTCCCTGCGATATTTCTGGTTTTAATATCCATTACATAAATAAATGAATGCACAAGAAAAATTTTAAAAATACTAACCAATTGAATCTGAATTACATGTACAGAAATAAACATGATGCCAAAATTGATAAATTTTAGAAATTCAATGATTAGTATAATTCAACATATAAACTCAACGTAAGTATTTACAAAGGGGAATTGAAAAATTTAACACACTTTTGATTAACTTTTTAAATTAATAAAATGTATTAATGTAAGACTAGAAAAATATTTATTCAATATGATTAAAAATCCCATTTCAGAGACAAGAAAAAGAATTCCATGTATTATACCTCTTTTTTTTTTTAACATACTAGATATTGAAATTGTGGAAGAAAAATATGAATAATGTACAAATAACAAACAAAATTATCTTTATTCTCTTGTAACATGATATTTGACTTTAAAAAATTAATCTTAGAACTAACAAGGACTGATTGGCTAATAAGATAAATTGAAATTAAAATATTCAATAGGAAATGCAGCTAAAAAAAGATAGTTGGGAGTGAAGATAAAGAAACTGAACTGGGTTCTGGATATAATCAGGTTATGTTATTTGGATGATAATACGCTTATTAAACTACTAAGTATACAGGACTGGAGTTCAAAAGAAGGATGGCTCTACATGGTTCTAGTCCTGGCATACTACTTGGCAAAAATAAGTTCTGAACAATTATTTGTTGAGTAAATGAAATAAACCTCTTTGGGAAGTAAAAGAGAAAGTAGAAGAATAAACAAGATAATGCTAGGTCATGAAAGTCAAAATACATACATACATATATAAGAGAACTCTTACATCATATGCTACACGGGAGTCAAACAGTATGAACCCACAAAAATAGTTCATTTCATTGCCAGGAAATTATTTTTGACTTTAAAATATATATTAGTTGAGAGAGACAAACAGAAGGCAAATTATAAAAAGAACCTCCGTGATGACTTTTCAAAAGGAGGTAATGAGCACAGACCACTTTGTCAAAATGTACCCACTTATGGCTAAAGTTCGTAAATCATAAAAGCTGCAAGAGTATCTCATCAAAGGATACAAATCCTCAAAGTGAAAAGGAATCTCACTGCTATCTTTCCTCAGAATTGTATATACAGTTTATTGTTTACAAAGCAAATTTGAAAACATCATTTCCTTCACATCTTAAAACAGCTTGAGAGATGGACAAGACAGTACTGTTAGCTTTCTCTTTAATTTAGGTTCCATTTTTTTTCCTCAATAATGTAACAGATTCACAGTTTAAAATTCAAATGTACAAAATGTTGAAAAAATTGTCCCACACCTTCTCAAAGGCAATCTGTTCTATCAGATTCTTATATCTTTCTGAGATATTCTTTGCATATGTAAACAAATATTTTTATATTTTGTTCAAATATTAGTAGCATACTTTTTATTTGAGCAGATTTTGAACAACGTTCTAGATATTAATAGACTTTGCCAAAGATATCTGACAAAATTAAAAAGTGGCATGACTATAGCTAAGATATATTTCTTGGCACTCAGTATATTGCCTACTACTGCACCTTGATGAGTTTTCAAATAAGAGTAATGGGTATGCTCTAATTTATGCAATATATCTGGTCCTGTGAAAACTGAATGCAATTTTGCAATTTTATATAAGATAAATGGAGAAATAAAGCCTAATTTCTTTTTTCATTTTTTATTAATATATAATAATTTTACATATTTATGGGGTGATACATGCATAGAAAGTGTAATGATCAAATCAGGATAATTAGGATATTCATCACCTCAAACATTTCCCATGTCTTTGTGTTGGGAACATTCATCTTCAATTCAGAATACCGAATCTAATAGTTGGAAATTTCAATAATCATTTCCATATTTGATGAGATTTAGAGAAGAACTTGTATTCAAAATGAAAGACATTTAAAAACTTTTCAGAATGTACTTCTGTAAAATAATCACCTCTAAATTATCTATTTTGAACACTGTAATTTTGAACATTAAGTTTTATAAAGTTGCCCAAATCTATACTATGTGTTTTTATTCCCAGACATCTTGTTTAGTCATTATGTGTGAATGTTTCATCACCCGGCCACTGTCAATTAAAACGTAATTATAAATATAAACCACAAAATATTTTTTTGAGTGTTTTCTCTTTTATTGATTCATTTTAAGTTTTACTGGTAAATGCAAAAGGTATGAGTAGTTTGTTAATCACTTTTCAAAGTATCTTCTGCATATACTTACAGCATGTATTATGTAAATCACAGTACATTATTAATCTATTGTGTTATATCTATTATGAAAAATTAACATTTTTGAAACAAAAATAGCAATATGTTCAAGTGAAGAGCTAGAATATAATGCTCTTAACAGAAAAGAAGAGGAATATTTAAAGCTATATGCTGAAAATAACGATGTGTCAAATTTTCAACCATCTCGAAAAGAATAACACAATATTTATTTAACAAAATAATAAAAAATACGAAGCTGTTGCTTTCTATCCCACTGATTTACTGCTTGTGTTGAGAAAGGATTATCACATTCACACTACTGACATGATGAATATAACAAATAAAATAAATCTCCATAAGAAATTATGTTCCAAATTGTGAAATACTAATGTTTCAGAGTGCACACAACTTGCATGAAAAAACATGATTAAAGAAACCAAATCCTTCTATTAGCTGCACTGAACCCCTAAAGCAATTTAGGAATTTGTTTCTTACAGACAATTAATCACATGCAGGCATGCCAGATGAGAACTATTGATTGCCCTTTTCCAGGCTAGTGGCATTCAGACAGTAGACAGACAAATGCCCTAAGCAAGGGGAAGCATCTTTCTGCTTCTGCCTGATGTAGCTTTTAATTGTTCTTTCCTAAAATGCATGACATTTGCTGTTAATCTTTAGTGTAGAGCTTACTCCTTTCTTTTTGAGCAGTACACAGATAGGTGTTTTTTTCATTTACCTTTACACCAAGGTCCTTCATTAGCTCAATCTCAAAATTCACTACATCATACGGCAGCCGGAACTGAGGAATTTCAGAAGTACTGAAAAGAAAGGAGAAAGAAAAACAGGCATCAGTAGAAAAATGACCAATCTTTGACCAATCTTAAAAAAAGGTAACATGTCTTTATGGATTAGTAGAAAATAAATATCTCTTCCAAGGATATTTATATATCACACAAGATATGCATGAGGACATCTACATTCTTATTGATATAAACATGTTACGTGGAGTGAAGATACAGTAGAAACTGATATAAAAATAACTAAATTACAGCAACAGAAAATGATAAATATAAAACTGGCCAAAAGCAATTTCAATACTTTTAAGTTCAATAAAGTATTTGGTTGATTTATTTAATAATAATTCTATAAATTCCTAAGATAAAAAATCTTAAAATCTATTAATAAAGCTAGATGGAGATATAGATTTTAATATATGTATACACATATATATATACACTAACATTCATATACATAGTCTATAAATGTACTTCTAGCTTGTTGATATGCAAATGTGTAACTGTATTACCATACTGTTTAGAATATTACAAAATCAGTTCCATGTGATCTATAGAACATTTTAGTCTTCTGTGAAAGCAATGAGTATTCCAAAAGTTCAGTCATTAAAAAACAATTCTATTGTATATTAATGCCTATTGCCTGCATTTAAAAAAAAAATGAGGCCTATGGCACTATTATTTGAGTAGTATAATAGAGTATTAAAAGTAAGCTAAAAACACTTTCCAGTGTTTTGTTAACAATTAAAAAAGCTATGTATGTCCATGAATACACAGCAATCCATTCATTCATTCATTTGCTGAATCATTCATTCACCTACTCATTAAAAGTGAATAGTGCCAGGCACAGTGTTTACGAAGTGCCAGCTAAGTGTAAGCTGCAATGATTTGATGGTGAATTTCACCAAATTCTCACTGTTAATAAGTTCTTTTTCTGATCAGGGAAGGATACACAAAAGATAATTACATTTAGAATGTGGTACGCACAATGAGAGAAGTATATCCATTATATCTTTAATGTGTATATATACATAAAATAGCAATCATATTTTATATATTATAGAGATTAATTTGGAAAATAAATAATTGTTGAAGATGAATCTTCTGGATCATCAATTGAAAAATCTCCCAAAGTACAGCCTTTTCATTGTTTGATGACTTAAGAACTTGATTATGCAATTAATTTTTATATATCAATCAGCAAGACATCATGCTCAATGCTATAGAAAATGCAAGGTATCCGCGGTGGCTCACGCCTGTAATTCCAGCACTTTGGGAGGCCGAGGCCAGCGGATCACGAGGTCAGGAGATCAAGACCATCCTGGCTAACACGGTGAAACCCCGTCTCTACTAAAAATACAAAAAAATTAGCCAGGCATAGTGGCGGGCACCTGTAGTCCCAGCTACTTGGAAGGCTGAGGCAGGAGAATAGTGTGAACCCGGGAGGTGGAGCTTGCAGTGAGCCAAGATCATGCCACTGCACTCCAGCCTGGGCGACAGAGCCAGACTCCGTCTCAAAAAAAAAAAAAAAAAAAAAAAAAAACCAAAAAAGAAAATGCAAGGTATCAAACACCATAAAATCAAAGCTGTACACTAAAGGAGCTTCCCTCTAGTTAGGAATACAAGATGATGTTTAAGAATGAATTCAGGCATAGGGCAGGGATAAAAATCTCTTAAGCCAACTTGTGAACTCCAGCCACATTACCTCAAGGTAACAAGAATGTGCCAGAATGCTCTGGGCACCAAGAAGGTTTTCCCTTCAAAGTCTAAGTAGAAAGATTCTTAACAACTATGGACTGTATGTGGACACAAACAGACACACAGACTTGATAGACATGGGGCTGCATGAGAGGGAGATTAAATATGGACTAAAACTGGGCACTGATGCAGATCCTCAAAAGGTTGAACAGGAAAGCAAAAGCAATGGACTATGAACAAAGAATTCCAGCCAAATAAACCAACTACAACAAGATGAGAATCTTAAATACATCCAGACACATTGTGAAGCCGAGAACCTTCCAATGAGTCAGGCCTACTCTTGGATTTTTATGGGATGTTAAGTAGAAGCACATGGAATAAAAGGAAAAAAAATGGTGTGAGTGCAAGTCAATGGTTCTGACTTAAGAAAAAAACTCTGAAAGGCATGTTATAAAAAGCAGGGACAACTTTTCTGTTGGTCAGAAAAAAATAAAGGAAGGAACACCTAACCTAGCAGGAAGACACCTGAGAAAGGAGGAAGGGGCAGCCACCACCCTTGGCAGTATAACTTTGAATGCAGATGCAGGCACCAGAGAAAATGGAAGCCAGGCTGCTGGAGTTCAGCAACTCTGCTTAAAACCCCATGCTGCTCTGGAACCATTGTCACCAACACTTAGCACAGTGTTAAACGAATAAGTGTGAGAGAATCCATTTCCCAGCATCTCCTGAAGCAAATCAGAGAAATATGAAATACTGAGAAATGTTAGATTTGGTTACAGTCAAGTAGGTAGGGGGTAGGTGGAAATTACTGATTGTGAAAAATGTGACGTTTTTATATTCACTAATGGATGAAGTCAGCAAATAGACGAAACACATACACACATACATCAGCAGAACAACATGACAAATGTAAAATACTAAATGTGAACAAGTGTTTCAAAGGAGGGAAGGCTTATTGTGGGATGAGATAAGTGGGTAGGGGAAATGTCTTAGGACTTTAAAATATCATCAGTGTATGATGGCTTCCACATTTTTCTTCTTAAATTCCAGACTTTTATGTTCACTTGGGTGTCTAATGGGTAACTCATATTTATCATGCCTAACAGTAAGCTTTGGTTCTTGCATCCCAACACTGGTCCTCAGACAACCCCATTTTATGAGTTGCTCAGGACCTAAACTCCATCATCACACACTATTCCCTTTCCAGCCCCACACCAAGCCCAGATGCAGGCAGTAAAGTAAAAAGGTGTGTTCTTTTTAGACAATTTAAAAACCATTATAAAACTTACTAAAGTGAGTCTGTTTTGTCTTATTTTCATGAGCTAGCAATTCTAAATAATATCACTAATATCCTAAACAATGTCCTCTGCCAAAATAAAAAAAATTCTCTGGTGAGTCTAAATTCTAAACAATAGCCATAGTTGCTATTGAGTTTTAGTAATATATATGTAAGCTTTCAATGATCCCATTTTTATTACCAACTCTTTAATAAACATTGTGTTCTACAGGAAAGTTAACTTGCAGAACTACAGTTAAATAGAGGCCATCAGCAACTGCTGATTCAGCTACAGGCATTCCTCATTCCAATTCCCCATAGGCGACATATGCCTCCACTCTTGTGATACTACAGATTCCAATATGTGAAAAGTTGATTTGGAATAGATAAAATGATAGCACATGAAGCAATATTAATTACTTCAATTCTGTCATTTTGTATGATCACATGGAATTTTTGTGTTTAAAATTGAAAATAGCTATATCCTTCACATTAAAATAATGTTTTAATCATTTTTTGTTTTACAGGAATAAATTAAAAAATAATTATTACTGGTTATTGTGTGATTCTTATTCAATCTTATTGTATAGACCAGAGGATAGCATGTTAAAAAAATCTATTCTGAGTATCTAGTATGCTAGGTATACCACTAATCCATCATTTTTTAAAAACTTCCTCCTTGCATTTATCCTCACTTAACATATTCTATATTTGGTTTATTGTTCGTTTATTGTCTGTCTCCCCACGACTAAAATATAGGGCCCATGAGAAGGCACTTTGCCTTGTTTACTTTTATGCTCTAAATAGAGCCAGAAATAATGACCAGCACATAGTTAAGTGATCGATATATATATATACTGAAGGAAGGAAGGGAGGGAAGGAGAAAGGGGAAAATACAGGTAGGTATCAGGTCGTGGAAGGGTTTTTATGCCAGGACAGATCCTTTATCTCTGAGGTTAGGAGGAGTTGTTGAAAGATTTCAAGTGGAAGAGTGATAGAATCAGATTTGAAACTAAAGGAAGAATGAATTTGAAAAAACAAATCAGGAAGCCAAGATAACTGCTTGGAAGCTACTGCAGTGGTAAAGAAAGTGAGAGGTGGCCGGGCGCAGTGGCTCACGCCTGTAATCCCAGCCCTTTGGGAGGCCAAGGTGGGTAGATCGCTTGAGGTCAGGAGTTCAAAACCAGCCTGGCCAACATGATGAAATCCCATCTTTATTAAAAATACAAAAATTAGCCAGGCATGGTGGTGCATGCCTGTAGTCCCAGCTACTTGGGAGGCGGAGGCAGAAGAATCACTTGAATCCCGGAGGTGGAGGTTGCAGTGAGCCAAGATCTCGCCACTGCACTCCAGACTTGGTGACAGAGCCAGACTCTTTCAAAAAAAAAAGAAAGAAAAAAGAAAAGAAAAAAAGAAAAAAAAAAGGAAACTGAGAGGTAAAGGATATCAGAGGACATTTTTTTAGAGTGTTCATAAAGTGGAATTGCCAGGATATTAAAGAGTAGCCCAGATAATCCCCATTTTGGTGATGCCATCCTCTGAGATGGTAAACTCAGGAAGAGAAGCAACATTGATCATTGATATGAAGTTTATACGGAGATGTCTAGGATTTGAATGTATAAATCTGTTGCTTAGAATAGAGAAAGAGGTCAGGGCAGATATGGATTTTTAAGAAATTTGCATGTAGGTGATAATTGAAACCATGAGAGTAAATGAGATTATTCTGAAGACTGCATGGTGAGAAAGGAGATAAAAGGACAGAAGACAGAATTTAATAGGAATGATTATTTTCCAAGTTTGTTGTGCTTAGGAAAACAAACTTTTCTTCTATCTGTGCTCCTGTAACAATCTAAGGCTTTGAAAAAAAAAAATTTCTTGTAATCGTAAGTCCTTTAGTATAGTCAGTGGAAAGTCAGACAACATGAAAAAAATCTTTCTTCTATTTTCATGTTTCTTTCATGTGATGAAATATATCTATAACAACTTTCCGTTCTTTTTAAAGCACAATTCTCATACTCTGACAGAGGTATGCTTCAGTTTATTACTATAGAGATAATAGACTTAAATTTGTAATACATCACACATTCTCAAAATATTTCCTATTGCTATAACTAGTTCACCTAGACCTCATTTCTCTTTATTGTCAATCAACAAGAAAAACAATAGGCCTAATGAAAACAATATAAAATTTGAAAGAGGTAAAGCAAAGGGCAGCATTGGCCTCACTATCCTAACAATAACATCATAATCCTTATATATTAATTTATAAGAGAAAAATCAGAATGTATATATGTACAAACATTCTTGAAAATCTATTAGCACTATTTTGTTTATCTTTGTTATAATATCAAGCCCTTTTAACCCTGTTAAACTCGTGTCCTAAAAACAGAAGCCACTGTTAGAGGAAAGCAAAACTACTGATTATTTTATAAATTTGTTGCAACATTAAAAATAATTGATGTGTTCAATGCAATGGAGATTAAATCCTAGATATTTTTCACTGACTCCAGTGATTTCTTAAAAAGTGGTTGTGATACTAATTCACCAGAGATAAAAGAATCTGTTTGGATGCAAAGGAGAAGGAAAGATAAAACTTGACATTACCTCTTTAAGCAATTGATTTCAAATACAAAGCTAATTTAATCTTTTTTAGCCACTTTCAAGATACAAGAGAATGAGAGGCAGCCGTAAGTAGAAAATAAAGTAACAGGAAAGTTTTGTGGCTATAATTCCGGCTAAATTCCAGCATCAGTTTTTATAATCCTGTAACAGTGACACAGAATGCCTGTACCATGGGACAGTACAAAGGAGATTGATTAAATATTTCATATTGTCTCTACATACTGAAAAGATTCAAAGGCAAAAGAAAGAATTTAACAACTTTAAAAGAAAAACCACCATGTTTGGTCTGGATCCAGAGAACTCTGTCTCACTAAAAAAATGTTCAGCAAATAAATTTAAAAAAAACAAGTTTAGTACTAATTTATATGAATTACAAATGCCTATCCTGCATTTGAGTTAAAAAAGAGATAGGCTAACAACAGTAATCTACCAAAATTGGCAATACATAGTAAGTTACAAATAGGGTTGGTTCCATTTTAGGCCTTTTGTGAAAATGCAATCAAGTGGCAAACAGATTTTTCCTAGTTTACCAGGGTACACAATTAAGTTCATATTTTAAAAATTGACTCAGATATTCACTGATGTGTATAACTGAAAACAACATACAATGCTTATACATATATTGTTAATAGATTATGTTTTTTCTAATTAATAAAGCTGTGGTAAATACCATTAAAATGATATTCTAAATCTTTCCAGAGAAATAATATATAGGACATTTTACTTTCCAGAAAAATAAATTCATAAAATACATGTAATCTCTTGGAATTCATAGTAGTGGAACATCAGTACAGAAGAATAATTATTTCTTAACAATCAGGTTATTTATGTTTCATGCCCACACTAAAGGGTCTTCCTAAAATGTGATATTTTTGCTTGATGATTCAGTCAAATAAGATTATATTAATGATAGCTTATACATCAATATTTATGTTAATAAATATATCAACATATTTATATCAATGATACAAATAATTGATAATTGATAATTTTATATTATCTTGGGCTTAGCATATTGTTGTTTGAGTAATATTGAAATTTATACATTTATTAACATATATTCACTGGTGCCAAAAAACATAAGAAACTTCACAAATTTTAGTAACAAATTTGATTAAATTTATCCTCTGTGATTATTGGGTATGATTAATTTATTTGTTACACATAGGGCAGTAGCCACAACAAATTTAAATGTTAAGCATAGAAACAGATATTCCAAATGGATACATTTTGTAATCCATGATTTTTTTGATAATATACATAGAGAAAATAAAAATCAATTGAGTAATATTATTCAGTTACCATCCAAATTCTTTATTTTGTATAAAATGTTTTAAGCAATATCTATTCCCTAATTGTAATAAATTTTATTTCTTTATGATAATGAAATATGTGTCCCGTATAGAGTTCTGTTTATTTTCAATATATATTCCCATTTCCATGTATAAATTTTCATGGGAATAATATGATCATGTGATTTTAAAAATGTATATTTAAATACATTTCTAGTACATGCTGACAAAATTTTAATCAAAAGTAAGACTTAAGAAATTTTAAACTGAAAATATGTAAGACAACATATCTATGTAGACAACACAATGAATAGTCCAATATTCCATGGATCTAGGTTTTCCACATCACTAATATCCAGGATTTTCAGTTATATCTCCATTAAAAGAAATATTCACAGGGCTAAAATCATTTTTCATATGATTGGTTCTTATAATCAAAAAATAATTTGCAGAGATTTCTCTTAAATTCACAGAACTAGAGAGAAAATTTTTTAAATAAATATTGCTTCAAGCCAACTGCAAATTTTAAAGTGAATAATGTAATCAAAACTTGAACATTTGGAAAAAGAACATTTAAAATACCATCTGTGAGCCTGAAGTTCCTATATGATTATGAACCAACAATATTCATAATTGTTTTGCTCCATCATTTCTGACACTATAAACATGAAATAAATGTAGGCATTACCTTAAACCACCAACATATTCTTGTTTTTCAAATATAGTGATGTCAGAGTACCCCAATCGAGCCAAAAAGGAAGCACAACTTATACTTGCAGGCCCAGCACCAAAAAGAGCAATCTTTGCAGAATAGGCTTCAGACATTTTTTCTGGGGGAGGCAGCGAAGGATTTCTGATCTGTGGGATACTCATTGCTTTGAATACCTACGGGGAAATCAATTGTCATGGTTAAAATTTTGAAACTAGCTTACATCCTCAAACATATTTTTAATGTTTCAAACGAATTCTTGTTTTAAATAGCAATGAGCAGTACATTTTCAGTATTAATATGGTATACTTACAACTTTTATTGTGTCAAGTAGATGAGGAGTTATGGCTAACTTTCAGTCTTTCCTTTCTAGAGTCATGCCTCCTCTAGGAAACACTCATGGGGCACATTCCCTACTCCCACCTAGAGGGTACATTAAGTGCCTCTCCTCTAAGCTCCTACAGCATAATCTGTATGTCTCTAACATAACCATCTGTGGTATGTGTTATGATGTCAGTCAGTAGAATGAATGTTAGTTCCCTGAATCAGAAAACATGTCACATGTAAACACATTACCCTTGCATTATAGGAGTTAGCATTGCGATGGCACACGGTAGACATTTAATAAATAATTTCTTGAATTCTGCTTTTGATTATGACAGATTAACTTTGGGAGAATAATGATTTAAAAAAATAGTTGAAACATTCAAGAACTACTGACGCAGGCATCTTGGAAGGGCTAACATCTCAGAGGAAAGTAAGAACAAAGTTAAGTGACCAGAAGTCACTTTTCCCCTGAGGGATTTGCGACTTCTTACCAAAGGGAGGAAGGCTAAGCATCTTGAAGAGAACCACAGCTCAGAAAAGAGATGTTGGCAGTCTTTTGAAACCAGAGAGACACAGAGTTTTGGAAATGTAGGAGGCCATTAACCTAGAGCAAAATAAAGTACAGAAGAGTGAGATTAATTCTTAAAGTGCATATGACAAAAACCTAAAGATCTAAACAGAAAACCCTATGGTCCAGGAAAAACAAAAACTGGAGTGACTAAATAAGAAAGAGCCCTAGTACACACCTCAGTGTACGGCTGAAGCTTCTGGAGGGCTACACTCTACAAGTAGGGCAAATGAGGGGTAAATAGCCAACCTAGCCTTGAGTCAACTCAGCCCTGGATTTAAATGACAGTGATCAGTCCTCACTGTTATCTATGTACCAAACGATAGAATGCACTTTCTGTGAATAATAAGTCAACCACAGTTTCTACAAATTTTTTATAAAATGCCTGGGTTTTTATTTTTAAAAGTCCAAGCCTGCAAGAAAAATAAACCTAAAAAAATTGAAAGAGATACATACATAATCTCGTAAGTGTGGTTATCAAAAATAAATTTTAGAATAACTATGATTGATATGTTCAAAAATATGTAAGAAGAATGTAAACTTCATTAAAAGCTGGAATTTGTTAAAAATAAAAAATTAAATTTACTAAGTACATTTAGTAAAACATATTTAGCAAAAAAAATAACTAGCTAATGTGGAAGGAGGGAGTGGGATTTTAAAAACACATTATTAAAATGTATTAATTAAAATTATTATAAATAGGTGGTAGAGGGTAGGAAACAAAGAAACAAATGGTAAGATGGTAAATATAAATGTCAACATGAGAAATTATATTAAATGTAAATGGACTAAAATTCCAATTAAAAGACAAAAGTTATGGAAGATAAATGCCTTAAATATAAGAGCACAGATAGATAAGTGTAAAGTTAAAGACTAGAAAAAGTTATACAAAGCAAACACTAACCAAAAGAAAGCTGGTACATATATATATTATATATATATATGAAATATATATATACCAATATTAGAAATATTACACTTTAAGGCAAGATGCATTACTAAACTTAAAGAACATTTCATAGCAAGGAAATGGTCAATCTTTCAACAAGATTTTAAAATACAATTTTAAATATATAAAGCAAAATTGATAGAACTAAAAGTAAAATAAATAAATCACTATAATCTCATTATTCTACTCTCATGAAAACTTGACTACCAATAGAAGTGGCCAATGAATAAATCCATATTATAGGTAAGTTATTTATGCTATCCAATGGATTGGCTCACACAGTTGCTTGCATTTAATAGGTCAAAGCAGTAACTTTCTCTCCTGGAAACCCAGACAGAGATCAATAGATATAAATGTAAGTTTTCTTAAGAATGAGGAATAAAGGTGACAGGACTTTACATTTTCTTAACCTCATCCCACATATACCACAAACTATTGTAAATAAAGTCAAAACACATAAGGAACATCCAAACAATCTTATTTTAAAAAATTGAAGAGGGTATTATCAACAAGTATTATAGGGTCAATTTCTAAGCATGAGATGAAAGGTCCTCATAAATGGTCTCATAATATTTTGTCATTTTCATTCTAATACTTTGTCACTTTTACTGGTTTACTTATCTGTTTCCTCTCTTAGACCATAAAATATTTAAGGGAAGACAACATCTTTGAATTCACCTTTTAATATTCAGTGTTTTTATACATAAGGGGGAATATATGTTAACTAATGAGTTTAAATTGGTAATAAAATAATTTCTTATTCCCAGCTACAATTTGTATAATTTACAAATTATTAATATGTGTTCCTGCTCTTCCCTGTGCTATCCAAACAGTACAGATTTTCTTAAATATTGTTTTTGAATCAACATATACTGTTATCTTTTATTCCTTTCTAAGCAATGTGAACAAGGAACTAAATTCTGGTAGTTTTATATGATCATTAATTAAAATGTAGTTAAAATATATTTTATATTTCCCCAAAGAAAGGTTTCACATACTTTTCATAAATATATATTTTATTAGATCATTAATTAAAATATAGTTAAAATATATTTTTTATATTTCCCCAAAGAAAGATTTCACATACTTTTCATAAAGAGATACTTAAAACATATGTTTAACGTGATCAAGGATCTCTGATCAGGGAACAGAGATATAGCTAATTTTATTTAGGGATTAAATAAATGCTAATTTCTTTCATATTTAGTTGAATAATTTTAGCTTTGTGAACTAATAATTAAATATTTAACTTTCCCATGTTAAAATCTGCTAACATTTACAAATAACATTGTGTTTTAACAAATCTTAAATGAAGACATTTATGATGTATTTAAAAGTATCATTTATTGCTGACATCTTTTACAATGGAAGCAGATTTAAATGTACTAAGGCTACAGCATTCATTATAATATGAAGTTACAGTGTCATAACCAAATGGAATATAATTTGTGCTCAGCATTCACTCATAAGCAAGAAATAGGTTAGTTCTGAAACGCCTAGCATATCTGAACAAATTCTAGCTAATGGCATGCAAATAATAAAGTAGCAATTACCAAATAATACACAATATGTATGTATTTTCACCTAAAATATTTTAATATTTTTGAATAAAAATTTAAGCCTTCTTTTAAAAAAATTATGAGATGCAAACATTGAATTATTTTAAAAAATGTTTACAGAATCCCTATTAAGTACCCAACACAGAGTTAAAGACTCTTAAAAAGTGTTTGAAGAAATGAAAGCAAGCACACTCCTCAGTACACATAGCATATGTGCACATACTAGAATGTAAATTGTTAGCCCGATTTGCTCAACCCCGTGCACTGCAGCTTAAGAGTTGTTCAATACATACTCATTACATTGCTTGGCTCAATACACTAATCTATCAATTGGTATCCCTTTGCCTGCTCTGTTCTGGAATTTTTTCTTTACAACTTTTTATTGCACTAGGTTTTCCCCGAGTTTAACAGGAGTTTGGATTAACCTTGATGCAATTTTTAAGGAAGTAAATAATTGAACCACATTTTTGTGAATTTCAGCACAACAGATGGTATATTTTTAGAAGTATGGCATTGAAACGAGACTCTTGGGGTTGAGTCTTGACTTCCATCATTCTCATGATGTATAGAATTGAACAAGTCCTTTAACATTTCTATGCCTCAGTCTCCTTAATAAGGTGGGATTAATAAAATATATTTCATAGAGATGCTTTGAGGATTTAATGAGCTAATTATATGTGGAAAGTGCTTTAGGAAACTGCCTGCCCATATAGCAAATGTTATCTACTTCTCATTTCACCTAGTGTTCAAATTCCATGAGACAGAATGTATCTAAACTCATAGTGTCCAAGACGGAATCCACTAGCCACATTTGATTAAGTTCAAATTAAAATTAAAATTAAATAAAATTAAAAATGCAAAGACCTCAGTAGCACTAATTATATTTCAAGTGCTCAATAACTACATGTGGCTAGTGGATAATACATCGAACACATCCATCACTGCAAAAATTAAAATTTCAAACATATAATGCAATAGATATAAATAATCTCATGAGCATAGTTAATGGGAAATAAATAATTTAGAGGCAGTGAGTTTGTAGTATTTGTTATAGTTATTTTTAATATGATTTTTATGACTACATGTTCATATACTTTAATTTTTCAAAATTACTGTGTTTCACAACCTGTTTACAAAATTCCTAAAAATTTAATCAGCACTAGAGCTGGTCCTGGCTGGCTTCAGCACACTATTGCACCTCGGCAATACATGAGGGCTCATTCAATGTTTTTTTAGCCACTAATATTCTTCTACCATCAACCCTAAATTCTGAAATACATAAGTTACACTTTCCAACTTAATAGAGATCTGAAGGCATAAGTGGCCCTCTATCCCTTTAAAACATCAGCAACTAACTCTTTTTTAACTGAAATACAAGTAATGGATTATTTCATATATACACAATATACTTCCATGAATGTAGCCTGATTATGACAAAATGAGGGCAAATGGATAAAAAGCCAAATAAATAGCTCCAAAAATATTTTGTGGGTGAATGGGGGGTAGTGATTTGTATTTAAGTATATTATGAAACTATGAAAATTGAAATCAATTATAAATCTAGAGTTGGCATTATATGAAAAATGTAAATTAAAATAACTAATATTGTAACACTTTAAACTGCCAATGAATAGATTGTGTAAGTTAAAAAAAAGAGGGTTAACTTAATTTTGTTAAATTTAAAAATAAAAGTTTACAAAAGTTAGTTAAAACAAATTACAAAATTTAAAATGTCCATAAATACGAAGAATATTTTTCAAAAATAATATTTTTCATTCCTTTTATTAAACTACATCAGTCTTCAGAGAAGTGCAACATAAAATTACAAACAAATTATACATAAAAGATATTATTAGGTCCAGTTACTTACAGTATCAAATTCCTAAGAGATTTTTTCTTAGAATATAGTTCCCTATTGTTTCATAATGTAACAAAAATATTATAAAATAATTTGGCTCTTTCGGTGAGAAAGACCCCTCTTTTTTTCGTTAAAGCAAATGTCAGTTGTCCATCAACTGACTAATATTCTATGATTTAATTTTTAAGTTGAAGGGTCAACTGCCGAAACAATGTAATAAATGAAATAAACTTGTTAATATCAGAAGAGAGTGACTGAAGTATTTAAAGATGAATGAAAAGTATACTTAATATGTATTTCCCCACAATAATAAGGTGGCCAATATTTATTGAAATATATCCTATGTGCCAGGCTTTATGTTAAATCTCTATCATTTAGTCTTCAACCCTCCTTTATGGAGGTACAATTATCAGATCCATTTCCTAGGTAAGAAACCTGTGGTCAGGTTCACATACAAAAGATTTTATCTTAAGGCTACTTGACTCCAAAGCCTGAACTCTTTTTTTTTTTAAATTATACTTTAAGTTTTAAGGTACATGTGCACAACGTGCAGGTTTGTTACATATGTATACATGTGCCATGTTGGTGTGCTGCACCCATTAACTCGTCATCTAGCATTAGGTATATCTCCTAATGCTATCCCTCCCCGCTCCCCCCAACCAACAACAGTCCCCGGTGTGTGGTGTTCCCCTTCCTGTGTCCATGTGTTCTCATTGTTCAATTCCCACCTATGAGTGAGAACATGCAGTGTTTGGTTTTTTTGTCCTTGCGATAGTTTGCTGAAAATGATGGTTTTCAGCTTCATCCATGTCCCTACAAAGGACATGAACTCATCATTTTTTATGGCTGCATAGTATTCCATGGTGTATATGTGCCACATTTTCTTAATCCAGTCTATCATTGTTGGACATTTGGGTTGGTTCCAAGTCTTTGCTATTGTGAATAGTGCCGCAATAAACATACGTGTGCATGTGTCTTTATAGCAGCATGATTTATAATCCTTTGGGTATATACCCAGTAATGGGATGGCTGGGTCAAATGGTATTTCCAGTTCTAGATCCCTGAGGAATCGCCACACCGACTTCCACAATGGTTGAACTAGTTTACAGTCCCACCAACAGTGTAAAAGTGTTCCTATTTGTCCACATCTTCTCCAGCACCTGTTGTTTCCTGACTTTTTAATGATCGCCATTCTAACTGGTGTGAGATGGTATCTCATTGTGGTTTTGATTTGCATTTCTCTGATGGCCAGTGATGATGAGCATTTTTTCATGTGTTTTTTGGCCGCATAAATGTCTTCTTTTGAGAAGTGTCTGTTCATATCCTTCGCCCACTTTTTGATGGGTTTTTTTTCTTGTAAATTTGTTTTTTAACGATTACATTTTCACAGTAATCGCTAAAAAATTCACTATATTTCTCTAATTTTTCAATAAGAAATGTATAACTGAAAAAATTATATGAATTTGTCATTCCTAACCCACTTAGAATATGTTATATTTTAATATATTAAATTCATACATTCTGATAAAATAGATTTTGATATATTCTAGCCACTCTACTAACAAAAATAGCTGGTTATTATAATTAATAAATTAACTTTACAAACCAAGAATTGTTCATGAAGCATTTAAAAAACACTGAACTACATCATCTGGTTTCCCACCATGCTATCCTGCCACCCGAGAACTAAGGTAGTTGGTGCATTAAGAGAACTGCCTCCCTATTATCAACATCCTCTCCATAGTGGTACATTTGAGTACATTTATTACAACTGGTGCACCTTCAATGGGTTTGCACAAATTTATTATGAAAATAGCATCATAGGACTACAGCATCATACACAATAGTTTCTTTCACTGTCCTAAAAATCTTCTTAATCTCCATATGCATCCCTCTCTCACCTTCTCCCCAGCAATCACTGGTCTTTTTAGTGCCTCCATAGTTTTGCCTTTTCTAGAATGCCATACAGTTGAAATCATACAATATACAGCCTTTTCAGATTGGCTTCTTTCATTTAGTAACATATATTTAAGTTTTCTCTGTGTCTCTCCATGGCTTGATAGCTCCTCTCTTTTTAATCCTGAATAATATTGCAATATCTGTATGTACCATAGTTTATTTATGCATCCACTTACTGAAGGATATCTCAAAAATTTTGGTGATTATGAATAAAGCTGCTATAAATATCCATGTGCAGGTTTGCATGTTAACGTAAGTTTTCAACTCTTTGGGGTAAATTGCCAGATCATATGATAAGAGTATGTTTAATTTTGCAAGATACTGTCAAACTGTCTTCCAAATTGGCTGTACCATTTTGCATTTCCACCAGGGAAGAATAAAGTTCCTATTTCTCCTAATCCTGTCAGCATTTGGTGATATCAGTGTTCTGCATTTTGGCTGTTTGGTCTCCTCTGAATGTTTGTGTCTACGCCCCCATTTCATTCAATTCGTATGTTGAAAACTAACCACAAATGTTAGAAAGGTGGGGTTTTTAAAAAGTCATTAGGTCATGACTTAGGAGGTGATTAGGTCATGAGGAGCCCTCCTCAATTAGATTAGTTCCCTTAAAAACAACCCCAGGAGAAATACCTTGCCCCTGTCACATGTAAGACAGGCACAGTAAAAAGCCTTTACCTATGACCAGAAAGCAGCTTATGAGCATATATTTTTTTTATTATACTTTAAGTTTTAGGGTACATGTGCACATTGTGCAGGTCAGTTACATACGTATACATGTGCCGTGCTGGTGCGCTGCACCCACTAACTCGTCATCTAGCATTAGGTATATCTCCCAGTGCTATCCCTCCCCCCTCCCCCCACCCCACAACAGTCCCCAGAGTGTGATATTCCCCTTCCTGTGTCCATGTGATCTCATTGTTCAATTCCCACCTATGAGTGAGAATATGCGGTGTTTGGTTTTTTGTTCTTGCGATAGTTTACTGAGAATGATGATTTCCAATTTCATCCATGGGAATTCCCAGCATCCAGAACCAAGAGAAATAATTTTTGTTGTTTATAAGCCATCCAGTTTATGGTATTTTGTTGTAGCAAACTGAGCAGACTAAGCATTCTAATAGTATAGTGGTATCCCGTTGTTGTTTCATGTTGCATTTCCCTGATGATACATATGAGGCATCTATTCAGATGCTTATTTTCCATCTGTATATCTTTCTTGGTGAGATATCTGCTAAGGTCTTTGTATCATTTTTTAAATGGGTTGTTTTCATATTGTTGGGTTGTAAGAGACTTTTGGACATTTTGCATAACAGTTCTTTATGAAGTATGTCTTTTGCAAATATTTTCTCCCAGCCTGTGGCTTGTCTTTTCATTTTCTTTCAAGACAGTTTCCTGCAGAGTAGAAGTTTTAATTTTGTTTCTGTGTTTGTTTTGAGATGAGAGTCTCACTATGCTCCCCAGGCTGGTCTCAAACTCCTGCATTCAAGCAAACCTCCCTCAGCCTTCTGAGTAGCCAGGACTACAGGTACATGCCACCACACCCAGCTCAGAATTTTTTATATTTGATGAAGTCTATCTTATCAATAATTTATTTTATAAATCTTGCCTTTGATTTTGTACCTAAAAAGTCATTGTCTAACCGAAGGTCATCTACATGGTCTCCCATGTTATCTTCAAAGAGTTCTGTAGTTTTGTATTTTACATTGAGGTTTATGATCCATCTTTAATTAATTTTTAATGGGTGTAAGGTTTGTTTCTAGATTCACTTTTTTACATATGGAAGTAGGGTGGTATAAATATCATTCGTTGAAAGGACTATCCCTTCTCCATTATATTGCCTTTGCTCTTTTGTCAAAGATAAGTTGGCTATATTTACGTGTGTCTATTTCTGGGCTCTCTATTCTGTTCCAGTGATCTATTGTCTATTATTTTAACAATATCACACTGTCTTGATTACTGCAGCTTTACAGTAAGTCTTAAAATCAGGTAGTCCGAGTCCTCCAACTTTGTTGTTCTATATTATGTTGGTTAATCTTTTGCCTCTCTATATAAACTTTAGAATCAGTTTGTCAATATCTATAAAATAGTTTCCTGAGATTTTGATTTGGGATTGTACTGAATCTATAGATCTAATTGGGAAGACCTGACATCTTGAAAATACTAAGTCTTCTATTTGGAAACCCGGAATATGTCTCTATTTATTTAGCTTTTTTTATTTATTTCATCACAGTTTCATAGTTTTTCTCATATACATATTATACCTATTTCATTAGATTTATATCTAAGTATTTCGTTTTTAAGGATGCAAATGTAAATGGTATACTTTTAATTTCAAATTCTAATCATTTATTGCTATTGTAAAGGAAAGTGGCTGACTTTTGTTTATTAATCTTATATCCTTTTTTGCCAAAATTGTGTATTAGTTCCAGGAGTTTTTCTGTTGATTCTTTGGAATTTTCTACATAGACAATTCTGCCACCTGCTAACAAAGACAGTTTTATTTCTTCCTTCTCTGTATACATTTCCTTTCCTTTTCTTGTCTTATAAATTGCATTTGTATTCTTTTTAAGGTGTTCCCTTCCCTACAAATATTGTATCACTTGGACTATTTTAAGATTATTTTAATAGGCACTCAACAAGATTTTGATGAATTTCAAAATTCCTGGCCTTCAGTGATATGCTTAAACAAAGTAGTAAAAGTCACCAAGGAAAACAGTTCTACCTTAGTGATAATGAAGAATTATCTGCAAGTGAATATCCTTTTTTAAATTTTACTTTTTAATATTTTTACTTTGTAAGTACATGGTATATATTTTTTTAATTTTACTTTTTAAATTTTTTAATATTGTGGGTACATAGTACATTCTTGAGGAACATTTTTAATATTAATTTTCTTGTGTATTCATCCTGTGATTTCTCATCTTTCATTCATCTAGAAAGTGCATGTATTTCACCACTCCAAATTGACTTTACCAGCATTTTCTCCATAATTTTCACATTACTTTGAAGAAAGGGAGAGATTATATTGATATTTAAAATGGAAAGATTGCAATGCAGAGAGGAGCCACAGGATTTTCCCCCAAGTCTCCTCACCTTCTGGAGACAGAAATAGTATAATTTTCTAATCATTATATAGTGTTCTATAAATGAAAAAAGACAAAGCATTGTAAATAAAAGTATATTTACCAATTCAAATTTGAGGGTAACTCTTGCTTGTTTTAACCCTTCTTGCTAAGAGTATATAATGAAAATAAACATAAATGTTTGATAGCTGTAATTATTCCTCAATTACTCTGTTTGTTCTAATTAACCAAACAATAGCAAATATATACCATAGGGAAGTCATGAGAAGTAAAATACTCTTGGAAATTTTAGAACATCTCTACTAGTTGAAGGATGAATTGTAACAGTATGATTGTATTCTACATACCTCACAAGAGGATTATACTCTTGCAAGTGTTTACCTTGATTTCATTATCAAATAAAAATAATTTCTGGTAATTTCTAAAGGAATGTTATTTCATCAGTGTAGGTCTAAGATAAATCTTAATAAAAATAATACATCAGTTTTTCTTTTGCTCGTTTCAGTTTCTTGAGTTACTTAATTAGTGGGATGAATGTCTCGTTACCTTTTGAATGCCTGAATGAAGAAATTGCTATTTGTGCATCCAAAAGTAAGTTTCCTGAAATTACATACCTTCTAGGAGATGCTTCTATGTAATTTTCTTTGTTGTTTGTTTCCTTTTGTAAGACAAGTCAAAGGAAATACTGAGTACATACTAATCACTGCATTCATTCTTTGAAAAGAAATATACTTGGGCTTCTTGACAAATAGTTTTCTTCATAACAATTAGACCAGGAACACCAAAAGTGAGTACTGTGTTTCAAATGTATTAAAAATGATAAAAACTTCATGTAATGTCAAATTTTTATTTATCAAAATTATTACTGTATTAGTAATTCTCAAAGATTTTTTTCCATAATTTTCATATTATTAAAATAGACATTGAGAGAAACAACTGGCAGGTTAAAAATACTGTGTTAGCTGAAATCAGAATATTCTTTCATTCAATTTCCTTTTCAATTTGGTAGGTATTGTTTAGGTACCTCCTATGTCCTAGACACCAGTATGAAAAAAAACATAGACTCTCCAGTAACTAGCTCCCTGGATAATAGAGCACTCACATGTCCTAAATATTTTTAATAAACTATATTACTATGTAGCCTGTCTGGAACAGGGTTAATTTTCACAAACGTTGCTCTCAGAGTATTTGAGAAGGTAAACCCACCTGAAAGAGAAATTGACACCTAAGCCAAACCTTAAAAACAACAATAAAAAAAACATATATATATTAGACAGTACTTCACCTTTTTAAATACCAACACTGAAAATTAAAAGAGTAATGATTACTTCAGCAATTTATTGTGAAGATTAGAGTCAATGGTGATAACTTCTTGTGATGAATGCCTTTTCCTTACAAGGCACTCTCTGGGGAACTTAATATTTATATCTCCAATCCTAAAAATCTTCGACTTTAGGTATGATTGTTCATTTTCTATACAAAGGAACTGACTCATAAGATTATAGTCTGTGTTATTATGACTAAACAAAGGTTATATTGGATATTTGATAAACCAATTGAATAGAGTGGTTAAAACTGACCAAATATAGATGAAAACGTTAAGTGTTTATAGTTTAGTTATAAGAAACTTATCCAAAATCATATGCTCAGGACACTTACATTAGCCCACAGATAGGCAAAATAATCTACCACAAAGCCTGTTATAAGATAAAGTACTGAATATTTCATGTAATTTATCGCATACAGTACTGAAAGTTAAAAATAAAGTAGGTGAATGAGTATTTGAAGTAAGTTTTCTACTAAATGTGCATCACTTTTACACCATTTTAAAGTCAAAAAATCCTAAGTTGAATCATTGTAAGTCAGGGACTATAAGTCACTGTTTTTTAGTACATGGTCAGTTTTGATAAATGTTCTGCAAGTGCATGAAAATGATGCATTCGTTCTATGTTAGGCTCAGAAAAGTATAGATTTCTTAAATCAATCCAATAAACTTTATACAAATAAACCTTACAAATTTTGAGTAAATTTATGTTGTCATGTGTATAAATGTTTATGAATATTACATCTTTTAAGAGTTTTTTATTATTATTTTTATCTTCCAAAACACGTCCTTGTCAATATTATAAAACTTTTTTTTACATCTTTATTTTTAAAACTCAAAATAAGTTATAATTACTCTGGGATCAATATTTAATTATATTCACAACCATATTTTTACACATTGTTTCTTTTATCTTTCTTTCCACATTTGTTTCCTTCCTTCTAAAGAATAACTCTTAGTAGATGCAGATGAGAAATCTAAGGTCAGAGTAATTGTCATTTGGTTTTCCAGTAATTTGTTTTCCCTTTATCTTGAAGTTCTGATTCTCATTATCCTTAGTATTGCACAATATTACCACAACCCTGTGTCTAGGTGAAGACCTTTCATCTTTCCTTTCTTCTGGAAAATTTTCCACCATAACTGCTTTAAGGCTCCTCCTGTGCCAATCTCTGTCTCTCTACTTTAGGAGCTCCCCTTACATGTGTATTGGAGTCTTAGAAGCTTCTGAACTTCTCTATTAAACTTTTCATTTATTCGTATCTCTTTATTGTGCTCTGGTTGAATACTCAGATCATATTTTTACTTTTTATTTCTTTAGTTCTGCAATTTATGCCTCTATCCAGCCCAAAACTGACCTTTTCTATTGAGATTGTCATTATAGTGTAAATTTACAGTCAACTATTTTTTATATTAAACTCACCGTTGATTTTTTTATTTTATCTCCTTTTAGGATATTATTTTATACATATTAATTTTAAAGGCCTGATTATAATATTATTTGTGTTTCATTAGGATAAAGTCAGGTACCATCAGGTAAGTCTTTAAATTATCACTAATAGATTATCTTTCCTAACATAGTTTCTACCTTTTTGTTTCTCATTTACGTTGAGTGAATTTTATTCTCTTTCGGGGCACTCCCCCTATGGCTTTGTATCAGGTGTGTGTGGCCTTCAATCAACAATACTCCTATCCCTCTCTCCCACTGCAGAACCAAGTTTCTTAAAGTCCAGGGCTCCAGTCCAAGGTGATTAGAGGCATCACAGAACCAAATCACTGTACCATAGACACATGCCCACAATACCTGCTGTACAGCTTTCTCTACTTTTTTCTGCAGCTTTCTATAAGCCTCAGCTCTGTACAGCAGTTGCACCTATTTTTTATTAAACTTTCTATGAGGTGGAGCTGAGTCCAGTCCTCTACCATGCAAGATGTTTTTGGCACTTAAGTTTATCTTAGACCACTCCCCAGCAGAAGTTAGCAGAGAATAACCTAGTCCCCATGTTTTTATACCATTTCTGGCCCAAAAGGTATTTATATTTCTTTTTCAGTTCACCTCTTAATTTTTTTTCTACTTTCATTAAATTTTACTTATCATCATTATTTGAAGATAAATGGGTGGCTTAAATGTTAACTTACAGCATCATGCCTTTTACAAGTGATTCATGTTGATACAATAATATTGCTTTATACTACCCTATATTATGAGTCATCAAATATTTTTATGAAAGTATATACATTTTTAAGTTGTTGAAGCTTAAACCAACGAATCCTTTAAAACTGTAAATTGGCAACGAAATAGTATAAATTTACATTTATTTTTAAAAACTAATGTAGAAAAAAGTAACCGCAAATAATTTTAACCATGCGATTTCGTTAAATTTCAAAGTTATTGCCCCCAAATCACGGTAGCTTATTTTTAAGTCCTAGATATTAAGATACAGTTTTAAAACAAACTAAAATATTGTAATAAAAATCATCTAGCAATTCATCTGGCCCCACAGTTCTATTATAAATCATTGTGCCAGTAAGGAATATTTTAATAGATTTCTAAAGATTTTTGGAGAAGAATGTCAGATATTTAGTGAATTCTATCAAGACATTATTCTTTTCTATTAATCACTGCATTAAGAGTAAAAGGAGAGACACAAATCAAATCTTCAAAGATGTTACTTGTATTTGCATTCCAGACAGACACATTTTACCAGGGTAAAAAATATTTATCTTATTAGTGCTTAATGCATATTTTTCATCTATATCTTACTTCTCTCAGAAATAATTCACCTTTGTGTTTGAGGGTTGGGTATTGGTTAAAGACATTCACAAATAATTGAATAGTACTATTTTAAATAGAAGTAGTATAGAGAAATCCCATTTAAAGTGATAAAACTTTGGGATAATAGGGCAAGTGTGATATATCATTAATCTAACAAATATAGTTTAATCTATATCCTATTTATAAATGACCTGCAAAAAGTTATTAGCTATATATATTAGTAATTTTTCATTATCATGATAATTTATCTTAGTTATAGATTACAAAATGAACTGATAGATTTTATTGATCAGTTTGTCAAACTGTATCATAAATGTGCTAGGTTTATTCCTAAATTTATTTGTATACCAGCTTTCACAAAATCATACTTAGGCATTCCAAAATAAAATAAAACTGCAGATAAACACTTAACGCTTCAAGGCTCCTCGTCACATAGACCCCCCCTTTTTATTTATTTATTTTTTGAGATGGAGTCTCGCTCTGTCGCCAGGCTGGTGTGTAGTGGCGCAATCTCGGCTCATTGCAACCTCTGCCTCCAGGTTCAAGTGATTCTCCTGCCTCAGCCTCTTGAGTAGCTGGGACTAAAGGTGCACACCACCACAGCTGGCTAATTTTTTTTATTTTTAGTAGAGATGGGGTTTTACCATGTTGGCCAAGATGGTCTTGATTTGACCTTGTGATCCGCCTGCCTCGGCCTCCCAAAATGCTAGGATTAAAGGCATGACCCACCACGCCTGGCCCATATAGACCCCTTCTAAGGCCTTGTATTTAAATTTTTCAGTAGTGCTGTAATGTAATTTCTAAAGAAGGAACCCAACATTTTGTTATCTGAAGCCCCATAAAACTTAAGATTCATTCCTGGCTACAGAAGTTAAAAAAGAAAAGACAAAAAAAAAAAAAAAAAAACAACTAAGCCGTATGTGTTGGTCTTACCCAACCTATTTCAATGTAGTAGCTTCATATCTAACAGAAAAACAAGGACTTGTGAGGTATGGTGACCAAGTATATTTGGCTAGCCTAGAAGATGCAACAGATACTGCTGTGGCCTTACAGCCAGAAAACCAGGGTTTACATTGAGCGCCTCTGTCTTTGACTAGTAACATTACCTGGGGCAAGTAAGAGTTTGTGAAATAATGAAAATTAAACCACTAGCTTTGTATTCCAGATTTGCCTCTCACTACATGTGAGGTTGTGGAAGTTAATTAATTTCCTGGAGTTTCCTGTTACTCATATGTAAAATGGAAATAATAACATTATTTGGAGAGTTATTCTGAGGATTAATCAAGCTCTAAATAAAGTACTCAACATTGTGCAGGACACTGGGAGTTTATTTAACATTAGCTGTGATTTTGTAATCACTTTGATTCTTAGTTTCCTTATGTCCAAAATGGGAAAAAAATTACCTGGTTTGCATGCCCTCAAGCGTTGTTTATCAGCATTTTTGAGTGAGATATTACAAAAATGCACTGAAGCACTATGCAAAGTACAATATAACTGCATTTTCTCCTTGCCTGATACTTTTCTTTGCACTAAGGTCTAATCACCTCCAAAACCATGTGACAAAAATTAATGAAGATTGGACAATAAGTCCAAGGATGCCAATGTAAACCTATATGTCTCATTACATTTACTACATTATTTCAATTGTTGGCTTTATTTCCTGAGAAACTACAATGTTCCCTAGGACTTGTAGTAAAGAAGCAGTCTACAACAACACACAGTGCTGATCAATGCCCAATCAATGTTAGTTTGATTAACTGAATCCTTACCTAGTGGGCTCTTACTACACTGGGTATTCACATAAGCCAGTTTGCCTGGGGTGGTGTTAGTTTACTCCTGCTGTACTGGACTGATTATTAATAATGTCCTGATCATTATCTAACCTATCTCGGTCATTTGATCATCTTACTTATAAAGCAATCAACATAATACACAGCTAGAGTATTTCCAACCTCACTTTTCAGTTTATGCACAAATACTCATCTTTTTGATGACTGTTTTTAATACGGGGCTTGCACTTAATATTTCTGTCTCCACTCTTCTATTTGATAGATGAAATTTATCACAGAAATACATTATTTCAGAGCACACCTGCAATACTCTATTGTTCATTAGAATACATATGTCTATGTTCTCCTAAAATAGAGTTGTAGAATACAAAAGTTTAAGAATTTCAGTGACTGCCATAACCAAGGTGAAGATATGGTAGAAGTAATATTTGCTCTATTAAAACAATCATATACTAATTTGAGTGAACAAGTTCCTTCTCCATTCCCAATTCTTCAAAACTGTTTATTATCGTTTTTAAGCAAAACATAAATGTTGATGTAATTTAAATAATTGTTAAATGTTCTCTAATGTAGTCTCATAACACTTGACATTTTTAATTGTATTAGTGTATATTTACCAGACTAATTTAACTCAAACTGTGTCTACCCTTGATAAAATATAGAAATAAATGTTTACAGTCCCTTGGAATATATAGTATATTCTTTCTTTAACCCTTAAGAAATATCCCATCATCATGTTATTAAGGCATAAGAATAGTTAACAAAATTCTGAAAATGGTAAATCAAGAATAAAACACCCCATCATATATAAAAATATAAAACTGTAGCAATTAATACATTTTGTGTCAGTGAATGGATGCATAAATAGACCAATGTAAAAAAAATAGAGCTCCAAACCCTGCCAAAAAAACAAAAGCAGACAAATTCATACATATGATCTTACTGTATAAAATCAGAGTTATTACAAATCAGTGTGGAAACAACAAACTACACAATAAATGGAATTGAGTTAACTGGCTTTCTGTAGAGAATCCAGGGTGGGTGTGTTATATCCCTAGATCCCTCCATCACCACACATATGACACAATGTACAAAGAATAAACTTTTTAAAAAAAGATGAGGAAGATGAATGGTCAATAAACAGATGAGAAAGTTTCTAAACTTCAACATTCATTTGAGAATTCCACATTCTTTGTACAATTATTTCTTAGGAAACATAAAACATAGACCATATTCATCAATGAATCAGAGTGCTTGACTTGGGAAGGGAATATCATGGCCTTTAGCATTTTATCTATAATATATGTTCAATCTAAAGCAAATAAAACAAAATACATTTTATCAATTACATGAAAAAATTCAATTTTTTATTTTTTATTTTTAATTATTATTAATACATATTAGTGTCAAATGTGTATGGTGTACATGTGATGTTTTGATAGATGCATACAATGTGTAATGATCAAGTCAGGGTAACTTGAGATATCCAACACTTCAAGCATTTGTCATTTATTTGTGTTAATGAAAAATCCAATTCAATTCCAGATAGTTAATGGGTATGAAAATACACTTACATGGAATAAGATCTACTGTTCAGTAGCACAATAGTGTAACTGTAGTTAATTATTTATTGTATATTTCAAAGTATTTATTGCATTACTGCAAATAGTATATGCTGATACGACAAGGATTGAGTAAAGTCAAATGAGAGGTGATAGTTTAGAAACCTGCTGAGAGACAAAAAGTAAAATAAAAAAAATGTTTAAAAACATAAAAAAGGAAAATCTACAGATACCTCTTTTCTGAATGAGTCACCTGATTTCATCTACAATTGCTTGTCAGTTCCATTCTCTTTTTTGGCTTAAAACCACAGAAATTTCTTACATTTTTAAATATTTCAATAGTTTTTGGGGAACAGGTGACTTTTTGTTACACTGGTAAGTTCTTTAGTAGTGATTTCTGAGACTTTGGTGCACCCATCACCCAAGTAGTGTACACTGTACCCAATGGGTTGTCTCATCCCTCATCCTCCCACCCACCATTTCTCTTCCCCCTAAGTCCACAAAGTCTATTGTATCATTCTTATGCTTTTGTGTCCTCACAAGTCAGCTCCCACTTATGAGTGAGAACATATGATGTTTGGCTTCCATTCCTGAGTTACTTCATTTAGAAAAATGGTCTCCAACTCCATCTACATTGCAGCGAATGCCATTATTTTGCTCCTTTTTATGGCTGAGTAGTATTCCATGGTGTGTGTGTGCATGTGTGTGTGTGTGTGTTTGTATCACATTTTCATTATCCAACCATTGACTGATGTGTATTTGGGCTGGTTTCACATTTTTGCAATTGTGAATTGTGTTGCTATAAACATGTGTGATCAAGTATCTTTTTCATATAATGACTTCTTTTCCTCTGGGTAGATACGCAGTAGTAGGATTGCTGGATCCAACGTTAGATCAACTTTTAGTGCTTTAAGAAATTTCCACACTGTTTTCCATAGTGGTTGTACTAGTTTACTTCCCACCAGCAATGTGAAAGTATTCCCTTTTCAACACATCCATGCCAACATCTATTATTTTTTGATTTTTAAATTATGATCGTTCTTGCAGGAGTAAGGTGGTAGTGCATTCTGGTTTTAATTTGCATTTCCCTGATGACTGGTGATGTTGAGTATTTTTTCACATTTTTGGTGGCCATTTGTATATCTTATTTTGAGAATTGTCTATTTGTGTCCTTAGCCTACTTTTTGATGGGATTTTTTTTTTCTCGCTGATTTGTTTGAGTTTCTTGTAGATTCTGGGTATTAGTACAATAAAAGTATAAAATCTAAATATAAGTAAAGTGCTAAGAGGTATATATCATAAGATGGTATATTTCACAGATATCAGAAAAATCTTATAAAATGTTTTTGTGAAATAAATTTTATATTTAGATGTCAATATCATAATCCAGTATATTCCTGAAAATTCAGAATTGAGGTGGTAATTTTAAGTATAAATTTTCCAGCTCTCATTCATTTTGACACACAAATCCTGGAAGACTGGGATTTTTTAATTTTAATATTTCTAAATTGCCTCCATAATTTTTTAATCAGTAGAAGAGAACTGATTTGACATGCAGCTAATTTTCTATGTAAAATCGTTTTTTTTCAAACTTTAGGCAATGGGTAGAAAGATGCATTCTCATTTCCTTCTGCTTTTCCAACAATTCATTAATTAAATTTCAGAGGCAATGAGAGTCTAGGTGGTCTATTAAATGTAAATAATATATAATTCTTTCAAAATTCCAATAAATACACAAATATTTTCAAAATAAAATTTTCAAGGGTTATATTTGTGCAGAGAAATTCAAAAACCATCATGTGACTGATAAAATCTATACTAAACTATTATTTCCCAGTTATTTTATTGAAACAATGTCATGATAGGATTAAAATATTACTAGGGAAAAAAAGTGCCTCCTAGAGTGAGTCACAATCACCCCGGTAGCCTGTTTACTACATGAACACACCAGTGTGTGAAGGAAGGTGGCTTTTTCACACTGCAAATGTGGAAACAGCAAAAGGCTGAATAGGAATGACAACACAAGATCCACCCCCAACCCTGCCAAAAAAAAAAAAAAAAAAAAAAAAGCAGCTGGCCTCCTGATTCTACATAAGGCTATGCATCATGTGATTTATTCCTTTTCCACTATGGTCCCTCCAAATCACATGCTCATGTTAAACTGGAGAAGAATAAGGTATGTACCTAACCAATAATGGCAGACTACTGAGTTGGTATTTTAAAAATCACTTATAAGTCACAGGAAAAACAATTTTGAAAAATACCATACTATTGTAATCTGCTTTCCTAACCTTTGCTTAATTTGGTTGAAAAAATAGATTTGTATTTCTTTAAAGGTCAAAAAACAATCATTGTTTTATCAAACAATCAAAATATAAAATTATTTGCATCATATTACACTTCAACTTAAATACTCATGTCAATAGTAGTTTGAAAGAATAACATTTCGCATTTTGTACTTTTTTCCGTGAATATCAGTGAAAACGGAGTTACTCGTTTTGTTGTTTTTTTAACTTCCTAATAACTTTGACAGTTGGGTAAATTTAAGTAAACCACACACTGACCTAGGGAATACAGGACTTTCTAAAATCAGGCACCCTAATCGGCCAACCCAAAAAAAAGGACAAAAAGCTTTTCTCAGTAGTTCCCACGAGGACATTTTTAATTTATAATTTGATATTGAAATTACAATTATACAAACTATAATTGGAATGAAATAAGCAGATACATTCCTATTCTAAATTCCTTGATTCACTTAAAATGCATCTACTGCAGTCCTAATCTATGCATAACTCTTCATTAGGTGATACTTATGGCAAGACCTAAGTGTGACCACTCTCAAATTTTAGTAAGTTTCTAATAAATTCTGTTCTGAAGGCACATGTCTCTGTCTTAAATAGACTCTGCTCTGGGAATGAGTGGTAGAACCAAGTAAGAGTTCCCAGAGGGACAGTGTTCCCAGAGAAAAGAATTAAAACCATGTGAGAGTTTCCAGAGGAATAATGTATTTCCCTGTCTCTCTCTCTCTTTCTCTCTCTCTCTCTCACACACACACACACACACACACAAACACACACACCTCTCATGACCAGATCAATTACTAATGATATCATTTTAATTCATTTTGTTTTAAAATGCTGTGTTAGTTGATATACATACTATGTGACCTTTCACTTACTGCATCTGTGAAAGCTTGCCCTGGTTTAATGAAGAGGCAATGGGTCCCCAAAGAAAAGTGAGGAGGAATTCAAGTGAATCTTCTCCATCAACTAAGGATTTTCACAGGTAGTAAAGATCATACTTCGTAGTGGTCAGGTAAGCCTAATGCAATTTTGAATTTGGTAAGAAAAGAAATTAAATCCCAGAATTTATTGCAACAATCCACAACCTCGAATTGTTTTTATTTTCTTATTCCCAGGAGCTCTTCTTTAGAATTAACCTGTCAGAAAGCAGGAAGGGAATAACCCTGATTTATTACTAAGAGCAAAGTGAGACTTAAGCTTGAGGAATATTATGGGAAGGGTCCCAAAATGAAAGAACACATTGTGTTTATGCTGACAAAACCAGATCAGTAAGTCATTAACTAAAAATCTAGGTTGACGGGCACTTAATTTGACCTTCTAGCCAACTAGTCTCCAAAGATTATAAAATCTTACTATACCCTTCATATAAGCTGATCATTTAAATGATACATGGGAATTAACCTGCTTGTTGACTCCAAATAGGAGACGTCAGAGAGCCCAAGAGTGTCTGAAGAATCAAAGTCTTTACAAATGATTCATTAAAGAGAAAGCCAGGATCAAAGTCTATGGGATAAACAGAAAAAAAAGTGCTCTCATTTTATTTCCTTATACATTTTTTACCCAAATAAAAGACCTGCTTCCAATCTATAAGTTCACAAAATCTAATGACATTATTAATGTGGTTAAATAACATTACTTAGTTTCAGGGTTTTTGAAAATTCTCTAACATTATTACTCAAAGAATACAATGAAATATGCTGTATTTCAAGCTTTAAAGATTAAGGAGAGCTTCAGGGAAAATAATCTGTTACAGAAGATAGTCTTTTCATAAGAGGGTCTCCTTGCCATACTTCCACATAAAGTTAATGAATAAGTTCTATTTTCGGATCATCTAATTTATATAATTTCAGTCAAAGTATTTTAATAACCTGCTGGGATTGCAACTAATTTGACATATGGTTTTATACACTTCCTTTTTGTAGCTAAGCTGCTGAATAAAAATAAAGTTTGTTGTACAAAACATACTTGAGCTGTGTGTCACACTAAAAATGTTGGGTATCAACAGAGCACCAAGGATTAAAGTTATTTTAAGATATTTGTGCATGGTGATGGTAGTGGGGGGATGTCACGTGTATATCATACATACCTCAGTAGCAAATTGCTGCAATCCACCAATATTAATGGGTCCCTCTTCAGTGGCATATAAATTGCATCCACCTACACAAAGATCAGAGGTTGGACATACCATTCCACAAGTCAGACCAAGTGGGTTGTCAGAAAATATCATCTTAGCAGCTCCATAATAGTTCTGCAAAATTAATACAAAATAAAATTTTACTACTTAAAAATATACTTTAAACAGCCAAATTACGACAAACATTATTTCTTCTACTAGGTAATCAGATTGAAGATAATGATGTGTATAAGATGCATAGGTTTCAATACTACTATCAGGAACCATCAATTAAAACTTAGCAGAGTATTTGACACATAGGAATATTCAATGCACAGTATGTTGATAAATGAATAACTAATCAATTTTGGAAAACTGAAGTTTAAAATATAATAAATGTTCTGTAAATGGTTTTCATTTACAAGTCATCTAACTATATCTTGTCAAAAATTATTCATTTCACTTTTTAACAAATGAAAATTAGATGGCATTGTTTGAACAAACTCAAAACCTAAACTTTAAAACAACAAAAAATGGTTATACTCAGGTTATCCTCCATTTAACTAAATTAAAAGCAGCCAGAGCTTTCATTATTTTTGGAACATATTATTTTCTGAAAAAAGAATGAATAATAAGCTGAATATTTGGGAGAATGTTTTCCTCTAATCAAAAGGAAGAATTGCATCTGACCAGTACTCCTGAAAACAATCAAGTACATCAAAAACAAGAAAAGTCTGGCAAATTTTAACAGACAAGAGAAGCCTAAGGACACATGACAAATAAATGTATTGTGGTGATTTTTATGATATACTGGAACAGAAAAAAAAGTAAAAATTAAGAAAATCTGAATAAACTAGGGACTTTAGCTAATAATCATATATCAATATTATTTCATTAACTGCAACAAATGTACCATACTAATGTAGGGTGTTAATAATAGGGGTAATTATGAGTGCATATGGAAACTCTCTGTACTACTGTCACAATTTTTCCATAAATCTAAAACTGCTCTAAAATACATTTTAAGAATAGAGCTGATAGAATGCACTTAACAATATAAACATATTGCATTTATTTTTCCTTTGGCTTTTATTTGTAATAATTTTGAAGGTCTTTGAAAGCACAGACGTTGCTTCCATGAAAAGCCTCAGACATAAGTACAGATTCCTAGTGATTACAGAATACTGATGATAACAAAAAGGAACAATGACATTTACTATTTATTGACTCTTTAATATATCCCCAGCACTTTAAAAGACTTTTATTTACTCTTAGCACCAATTATTTTATTTACTGTTATCATCTCTCACTATATAGGATGTCCATTGCTCGATCAAAAATTCCTAGATGCAAGAAGAGACAGGACCAAACGCCTGATAATAATAAGAAAACAATAAATAAAATAAGCAAACTCCTAGGTAATCAAGAAATTTAAGTCAGAATAAAAGACTTTTAAAAATAACCTTGACGAAAATTCAGGAAAAGAAAAGACAAAAAAAGAAACAATTAATAATAGCACCAGAATACTGGAATCTGTTTAAAAAGAATCAAACTGATATTTTAGAAGTAAATGAACATTTTAAAATAAAAGCTAATGCACGGCTTTCACAGCATTCGTGGTGGTTTAACAGTATTTGTCTTGTTCAGTGTCCCTTCAGCAATGAAAGTTATGTCTGCCATGTAAGAATGGTTCTTCTACATATATTTTCTGAATATGCAGTAAGAATGTGGTATGAAATTAAACTCACAAGCAATAAAACTGAAATATAAAGGGTAAATAATTAGCAAAGGATCATAAAGCAGATAAGTGGCAGAGACAGGATTCATACTAAAGCATACTGTTCATGGCTCAATAGATTACAGAATCTAGTTACAGTGATCTTATTCAGCTATGGTCCATATGTTGATGTAAACACACACACACACATGCATACACACACACACAAAAGTTCTTTTCAATATAAGCTGGAGGACATATAGCTAGTCCATTCGATTCATTACACTTTATATTAAGTAGTTTTTATTACATAGTTCTTTTAGTTGTGGTCTTTCCATCAGTTCAATGAAAAGCTTAATAAGTTAAAAGTCTGTTTCTTTTAATCAAGAGATTAGGATCTGTTTATTCCCCCAAATTGGATCAGATTTACCACTGTGTTTGTCAGAGTCTTCGGTAGTGTCTCTAAAAGAGGTTAATAATAAATCATTAAGCTGTCAAAGTATAATATCCAAAAGTCAACACAGAAATATCTTACACACAGAGAAGAAAAATGTGTGAAAGATTATATTTACCTCATTAACAAATACAGAATAAAGATAGTAAAATCTGAGTCAAGGGCATTTGAGGCTGCCATGGCTTAATCGGTGAATTGTATAAAACATATAATAACAATTTATGCTAATTTCTGACAAATACTTCTAGAACATACAAGAAGGATTTATCTCAGGAATGCAAGGTTGGTTTATATCAAAATATACCATATCAGTAGAATAAAAGACAAAAAATCACACAATCATATTAAAAGATGCAGAAAAGGCACTTGACAAATTCAACATCCCTCATGACAAAAGCTATCAACAAACTGCAAATAGAAAGAAACTTCAACACCTTAATAAAAGGCCTCTACAAAAACCCACAGTTAACATCTCACTTTATGGTGAAAACTGAATGCCTTCCTCCAATATCAAGAAAAGAATGTTCACTGCATTAGTCAAGGAGTCAAAAGTTCTCCAGAGACACAGAAAGAATAGGATGTATGTGGGGGGGGGGGGGGGTGTGTGTGTGTGTGTGTGTGTGTGTGTGTGTGTGTGTGTGTGTGTGTGTGTGTGTGTATGAGATTTATTATAGGAAACTGGTACACAATTAAGAACCTGCAAATTTCCAAGATCTGCAATTTGAGTCTGCCAGCTGGAGACACAGAAGAGCCAATGTTTTAGTTCAAGTCTCAGTTGGAAGGCCTGAGAACCAGTTAAGTTTTAGTTTTAGTTCTAGTCCAAGAGTAGGGGAGAAAGCCAATGTTTCATTTCAAAGGTAGTCAGACAGGAAGAATTATGTGTTTTTCAGGGTAGAGCTAGCATTTTGTTTTATTCAGTCCTTTAACTGATTAGATGAGGCTCACCTACACTTGGGAGGGCTATCTGCTTTACTAACCTTACTGATTTAAATGCCAATCTAATTCAAAAACACTCTCACAGAAACATCCAAGATAAAATTTAACCAAATACTTGAGCACACAAAGGTTCAATCAATCGGACACATAAAATCAGCCATCACACTAACTTTTACAACTTCTATTCACCATAGCACTTGAAATTCTTGCTAGATAATTAGGCATAAAAGGAAGGAGGAAGTGACAGAGTGGGGAGGGATAGAGATAGAGAAGAAGAGAGAGAGAGGGAGAGAGGGAGGGAGGGAAGGAAAGAGAGAGAGAGAGAGAGAGAGAGAGAGAGAGAAAGTTATCCAGATTGGAAAGGGAAAAATTATTTCTATTTCCATGTAAAATGATCTTGTATATACAAACCCTAACTAATCCACTAAAATACTATGAGAAGTAATAAAAGTACAGCAAACTTACAGGATACAAGATTAAAATGCAAATTAATTGTATTTCAATATGTTAGTAATGAACAAACGAAAAATAAAATCAAGACAGTAATTCCATTTACAACAGCAACAAACAAAATAAATTATTCAGAACTATATGTATTAAAAACTGTAAAAAGTTCAAATTTATACTCTGAAAACTATAGAAAACTGTTGAAAGGAACTAAATAATACCTAAATAAATGAAAATACATCCCATGATCATGGGCCAAAAGACTAATTATTGGGATGGTGATACTATCCAAATTTATCTAAAATTTCAATACAATCTCTACTAAAATCCCAGCTGAGTTTGCAAAAATTGACAAGCTGATCCTAAAATTCATAGGAAAATCCAGAGGATCCAGAATAGCTAAAATGAAAAATAAGAATGAAGCTAGAGGACTAACACTTCCTGATTTCAAAAATTACTGCAAAGCTAACATAATCAAGATAGTATGGTACTGACATGAGGATAAGCATGTAGATCAATGTGATATAAATATGAGTCCAGATAAAAGCCTTCACATTTATGTTCAATTAATTTTTGAAAAAGGTTTCTAAGGCAATTCAATTGGAAAGAATATTCATTTCAATGAATGATGCTGGAATATCTGAATATTCACATGCAAAAGAATGAAGTTTGACCCTATCTCACACCAAACAAAAAAATGAACTAAAAGTAAATCATAGATCTGGGGGTCTGAGAGGGAATGGACAATAACTGCTAATAAGTATGGAGGTTTTTTTTAGCGGTGATAAAATTGTTCTCAAATTGACTGTGGTGATGGTTGAAACTGCAAATGTACTAGACATCAGTGAATTGTCAACTTCACTTACATGAACAAATACATGGGAAGTGAATACATCTCATAAAAGCTGTTATGTTTTAAAGCATGCATTTAAAGGAGTGGGAATTATATACTCAATTTAATAAAGGAATAATTGCATAAAATAGCTAGATTATATACAAAACTAGGCAATGACCTGTAGGGCAATAAAACATAACTTTTGGAATCATTTTTCTTCTGAATAGAAATTGCATCTCTACTTGACACAAAGCTACTAGTTAACATGTACATTCATAGGTTGAATTTTTAAGAATAAATACAGAAGTGAGCCAATGGTTCTTTCTCCTAGAAAACTAAATAGTACTTAGTTGTTCCCTTGTATTTAAAGAATACCTTAGTATGATAATAAAAAGACACAGTCATCTCCTTGACCTGACTTTCTGGTTTTGGATAATTTTACTTAATAATAATGAAAATGAGCAATTACTAACTCAGAATTAATCAGTCTATTCCTAAGCAAACATATTTAGTTCCTGCTGAAGCCCACTGATCTCTTCACTTAGTAAAAGCAACTGAGCAGGTCATCATTGTTAGAAATAATCTCAAAGTCACTGTCAGTATTCTTTCCTCCTCTTATATGACATCACAGAAACACTTGATGTGATTCATTAACAAATATTTGACTGACTCCATGACTCAAAATTCCCATTGTATAATTAGAAGTGTCCTTGTAATATAAAAACAGTATCATGCAAAAAAATGTGATCTGCAATTGGTAGACCACTTTTAAGGATACTTGGGGTAAGGAAGCACAGAAAAAAAAAACATAATCCAATTAAACACTTAAGTATCTTTCCACAAGAATATTGATTGTTTCATGGGCCCCAAATTAGCTTCAAGATTGCACATAAAATGATATCACAAGAAGAAAAAGAGACACGTTTGAAAAATTGCAACAAATAAAATATTTAAAGTTATACTTATGGCTCATGATTTTTCTATAGCTGTCAAACTATGAGTGTCTGATCTACTACTGCCATGAAATTGTCTAATAATTCTTAACACTCTCATGACTCTAAGTAAAACCCTTTCACTAAAATAAAATTTGTAGGAGGTTAAAAATTGTTTTAAGTTAGTAAGGATTTATTGAATGTCTTCTAAATATAAAGCATTATGTGTATGTTTATTTTTTTGAAAAAAACAAGTATATGCTTCCTGATATCAAGATGCTTTAGCATCAGAGTAAGAAGTCATTTCAGGTTAAGGTGTCCAGAAACAGCATTAAATGGGTAACAGTCAAAATGATTCTGGCTGTGACTTGTCTAAGATAAGAGAGAATCATAGCCACATCATTCTTGATTGATATGAGTAAATATTCAAGAAAGTTCACAATAGGGTTTGGTGTAATGACTTGGCAATTTGGCTGAGGTAATTCATTCACTTGGGAAAGATTATTAGAAGATATATTTGAAAAATATGCATGAACCAAATTATGGAGGATTCTGACTGGCAAGCTGAGGGATTACTATTTAATTAAAGCTTTTTAATAGAAGGGTTCCAGTATTAAGAAACTAACTAAGAAAAATATTGAATAGATGATGTGGAAATTCTCAGAAAGGAAGGGGAAAGGTAGGGAGCCCAAGAGAGGTTACACAATGATGCCTAGAAAGAGGAAAGCATAGGCATGTTTCACAGAATAAAGAAGCATGATTTTGAAAATGGGTTGAACCAATATTAAGCAATGATTCACAAGTCACCTTTGCAATCTATCTATTACAAATAACTTTGAAGAAATGGTAGATAACTCCATTGTTTAGGGATCTTAGTACTCAGAGCCAAAGACACTCAGAAACCTATTAGGAGGGGAACACCTCCTCAATTCTTCCCACAGATAATGTCAAGATCAGTATCAATTTATTCTCTCATAGCAAGTGGGAAGATTTCTTGAGTCCTCCTTCTACATAAGAGGTTTGATTTCTGTTCTGTGAGCTCTTCATTCTTTTTAAAAGTAAAGGCTAGAAAATTTAAATTTAGAAGGGTACTTTATAGACACCCCAGCAGTCTCCTTCTAGAAAATACACACTACTTCAACTGGTTCATGTTATTCAATCAGTCACAAACATTTCAGTGTTCCATCATGTGAGGAAAAAATGTACAGAGCTATGTCAGGAGGGATACAAAATACATATCTGATTTTTTTGTGCATAGAGATATTTTATGTACAAAACATTAAGACTTTCAATCCTTCTCCTAACAAAAATCTAAAGACAAAAATAATATTTGAAATGTTTGCTGTTTTCAAATCAACACATTAGGCATTGAATGTTCTTTGGCCCACTAATTTACCCACAATTTGCAGGTGTTGAATTTTCTATTAGTCCTTGGGGTATTTAAAGCATGTCTATAGGCACGACATGTGCCACTTAGGTGAGTTAATTTTAAAATAATTTAATTTCTATACTTTGCTTTTTATTTAAAATTACAGCATGAAACTGCATTAGTGTCATTCCTCCACAATTTAATGATTTCCAAAGTCATTATCAAGAAATGGAAAACTCACAAGCCGCTACCCTGTCATATGGTATAACTAATTTAACAAATAGTCCTATCATATTCAAGTCTTCATATCACTACAAGATTATCAATACAGCTGGTGGATTTATTTTAAAGTGTTCTTCCTTCTTCCAATGACAGTTTTCACAGATGGAAGCACCCTTCCAAGATAAACTCCAATCTGCTGCATTTAAAAAAACACTTGGGCTAAACTTCAAGAAGTTTGCATGTGTGAGAAGGGTGAATTAACATTACTTTTATTTCTGGCTCAAGCTGTAATGGTGAATGTACTGATGTACATTAATTGAATAGAAAATGTCTCTAGCACCACACACAGAAAGTACATGCACACAGAACACTCTTTTTGTCAAGCTGTCACCATCCCTCAATGAACAACCTGTGGGTCCTCAGATATTTGGCAAAGAAGAATGTAGATATATTGTGAACAGAACACATGAAAATTCCTGCCCTCATCGTACTCATACTCTCAGAAAAAAAAAATGGAGATAGAAGAATAGGTTTGACTAGCTTTATTCTGAAAAATTCTCTTTTCATATCTTAGATATACCACATTTTAGATCAGCTTTATACAATATGATTCATTTTTAGAACTACACATTTGGTTCAGTGAGCCTCGTTTAAGCCTATACATGTAAGGAAATTAATAATCATTCTTGTAGAAGATAACGTTTTTATTGATCCTGAGATATTTAACTGGAACAAAAACACAGGCACATACAAGCACGTGCACACATACACACACGTACACGAGCTTTGAAGTCATCAACTGAATTTGAATTCTGCTTATACTATGCACAAGCAATATGACTGGGGAAATGTCATATCTCTCAGCCTCGGTTTCATCACTTGAGACATGAAGATCAAAATTCCTTCTTCGTCAGGCATATTTATATTATGCATTTTTTAACTGTGCATGGATAAGATGCCTATTCCATTATGTACTATACAATAGATTCAGTGAACTTAGGTTCCCACTCTACCCCTTTAGGCTTTTTGTCACTAAAAAGATTTTGTTAAATGTTAATACTGTGAGTTTAAGATTTTAATATTTACTAAATAAATATTAAATAAATATTCCATGTTAGGAAGTAGAATAAGAAATACAGAAAGAAAGAAGCAAAATGTATGTACAGAAAATCACTAATCTACCAAACCATAAAATATCAATGACATGGGGGCATATGAATGGTGGTAAATTTTTTATATAGAACCTATATAAATTTTAAGTCACTTCTATTACTCCTATTTTCTGCATCCTATCCTCCCTGCTCTATTTAATGAACTTGAGAACTTACAATCTTCCCCATGAGTTAGTCAAAATAACTTAGTCTATGTGTGCACATGTATTCAATTCATTATTCATCAAATATGTGAGAGCGCTTTTGGTAAGCACTAGATATGAATGAAGAATCAATATTGTTGCCTCTATATTGTTCTAGCTAAATGAAATAAAACTTTCATCTGTATCAAAACCCATTCTTTTCAGGTAACATTTCTTTTAAAGACCTTTATCAATACTTCAGCTTTTTTCCAATTGGAAGCATAATGCCAGAAAGCACTTTGTACAACAGCCTTTTGATGATTGTGTTTGTTAATATATATTTGCGGTAGTCTTATATTTTTATGACGTGTCTTATTTTTTCTTTTATTAATGTCAGAGATCATGTCTAATCAACCCCTTTTGGCTGTAAGCATATAGGCAACTACATATATAATACTAGAAACTGAACTACTGATTACTACTTATCGTCTTCTTTTTAGACAGAGTCTGGCTCTGTCACCCAGGCTGGAGTGCAGTGGCGATATCTTGGCTCACTGCAACCTCCACCTCCCAGGTTTAAGCAATTCTGCTGCCTCAGTCTCACAAGTAGCTGGGACTATAGGCATGCACCATCACGCCCGGCTAATTTTTGCATTTTTTTAGTAGAGACAGGATTTTTCCATGTTGGCCAGGCTGGTCTTGAACTCCTGACTACAAGTAATCCAGCCGCCTCGGCCTCCCAAATTGAGGGGATTACACACGTTAGTCTCTGCACCTGGCCTACTTATCCTTTAATATTGAAAATGAAAATCTCTATAAAAGGCAAAAATAAGAAAGTGCTTTATAGTTTTTGAATTATCAATTAAATAACATGAATATATATTTTAAAATTATAAAAGCCCCACTTTATCCAGGGAAAATAATTATAAATGCAATAAATTTTATAAGAAATTTAGAGGCTTAAGTTTTTCATTTCCAGTAAGTTATTAAATTTGAAGAGAGAAAGAAAAAGATGAAATACTATTTTATTTAGTGTGTAGTAGAGTTTCTACAATTTGCTTCAAAGAGGATACTTTTCTACATCGAAACACTAATACAAATACAAAAACAAAGATGTCAAAGCTAGTCATCATTAGAGTTGAAAAAAAAAGCATTGGGTATTGAAAGAATTCTACAATTTCATTTATGAATATTACACAGCTTGCAAGCAAATGAGAATCTTTAAGTTTGAGAAATTATTGAAAGGTGAAGATTATTAATCAAAGAATCTCATATTAATGTGAAATATATATATATTCAAACATATATAACTTACATATAAAATGCTGAAAACTTTTTCTTTAATGATTATTTATGCCATGCCAAAAGACACATGATTATTTATGCCATTAAATCTAGACTGTAATATCACACCATTTGTTCTATACAAAAAAGTCAGACTATTTTGTGCGAGTTTGCTCTTTATTGACGAGAATATGAGCAATTCCTTAATTGACAGACTGTTGTGATGCATAGTACAGTGTGTTATTATATTCTACAGTGGAAATAAAAGGGTTTTTCAAAAAAGCCTCCATTCTAAGTACATAATTTAAACCCATTAATAGCTTCAAAATATAATTAGTATCGATTCTAATAATTTACTTTAAAAATTTTAATTTTTCAAAGTAGTTTTCAAAAAAACTAAACTCAAGTTTCTTTAACATGAAGTCTATTACATTATACTTTTTACTCAACATTCAAGACGTTAATAGCACTTACAAAATTTGGTCATGATAGCAAATGTTCCAGCCTTTTATATTTTAATAATATTTCATAATCTGCATACTTTGTTAATATCGATAGTATAGTGTAATACAAAGGCACACTGAACAAGAAATCTAGAAAATTCAATTATACTATCAAGCAGCTGTGTCATTAGCTTTGCTGGGTTTCAAATTTCTTTTCTATACAATGAGATGCCTAGTTCAATTACATTTTCTTTTGGTCTATATTCTGTTACATTGACTTTTACTTATTAATATTAAAAAATACCCAAAATAGTATCCTATGTGTTTCTTATACAGATTTTTCTTGTCTTAATATTGTAAAAGAAAATAGTTGTGATTCCAATTTAATTTATATATATTTAGTTTTTATATCATTAGTGTTTTTTAAAAATAATTTAAATTTTATCAAATATTTACAAAAGCATATGTTTAAATTTGTCTATACTATACACAACCACAAACAATATGATGTTACTCGTTTCATATAAAACTGGCTTAAGATGTATAATAAAAATCCTTTCTCATTTATACTAACATGACTCTTGGACTTATAGTTGTTTACATTTTATAACTTATAATTGACTAACATTTGCTTTGAGCTTACAGGCTTTTCAAATCTGAACTTCCTCTATTAAAGCAAAAGTGAATAAAATCAGTGACTATTACACATTGTATCAGCTGTGATTAAAAGTAAAAATGAGCCGGGAGCTGTAATCCCAGCACTTTGGGAGGCCGAGGCAGGTGGATCATGAGGTCAGGAGATGGAGACCATCCTAGCTAACACGGTGAAACCTCGTCTTTACTAAAATACAAAAAATTAGCCGGGCATGGTGGCACACGCCTGTAGTCTCAGCTACTCAGGAGGCTGAGGCAGGAGAATGGCTTGAACCCGGGAGGAGGAGGTTTCAGTGAGCCGAGATTGTGCCACTGCACTCCAGTCTGGCAACAGAGCAAGACTCCATCTCAAAAAAAAAAAAAAAAAAGTAAAAATGTAACCTTGTGAAGTTATATATATATCAAAACAGAAGCAAGATACATCTTATATAAGCATTAATGACTCAATAGATAATGTTATATCCATCTATCCTTTTCACACCATACATTCAATTAAGATGTGATATTTTAACAATAATACCCCAGTCCTTTGTCTTTAACTCTAGTAAATTTAGTATTCCACAATTTGCCAGATTCAAGACTAGGAAGCTATTTATTAAAATTAAAGTCTGGATTCTGGAAAATTTAGTTAATAGTTACATTAACTACAGTAACATTAGTAATAAATGAATGAGTCAAGGTGGGCATACATTTACATTAATAATTAGAAATTAATATTTTATTATAGTCTGAACATGGTGCTCAATATTTATTCTGTAGAACTCTTTCAGTTTACAAAGCTAGTTTTACACGCAGAAAAAAGCTAGGATACTTTGAAAATAACTGTAATGTCAAGGAGATGCTTTTAGTTAATAACAAAATATACTACACAGCAAAGAAATTAAAACAGCTTGGTCCTGTTACATATAGATAGGTAGGACAAAGAAGATTTGAAAATAGATCTAAATAAATATGGAATCAAATAGGCAATAAAGGTGGCATTAGTATACTAGAGTAATTATTCAAAAAACATATTTGGAACTATTTTAGCAATCTGGGAGGAAAATCTTGGTATTTTTCTCACTCCTTATACCACAATGAAAACTTAGAATAGGGTCTGTCATGTGCTATTGTGAAACCTCTCAGCTTTACTTTATTTAATTTTACTACTGAATTTTAATATATTGTTTTTATTATAAAACGTATGTTCATTATAAGAAGCAAAGTCATTTAGAGATTTATAAGGAAAATGTTAGAAACCTAACTTCACCCTACACTAACCTCAATCAAATGAAGAAACTAAATTACATCCTCCCCTTTTTTGTTTATATACAGATTAAATTTTTTTCTAAAAGTAGTGTCATACTATTCACATTACTATGCAATTTGTCCTCTTTCACTTACTACAAATATCCTTTTAGACCAATAAATATAAAATGCAATTTTAAGAATTGCTTCTTAACCTTCCATAATATAAATATAGCCTAATAGATTGAGCTGATACTAAAGTATTCACCCGTTTTTATTACTTCAAACAATGCTATAATTGCTTTAAATAATATATTTGTATATGTGTCCCTTTACATTGTAATTACTTTATTTCTCTAGGTAGAACAAATTAATAAAGCATGCTGGTGAAACAGTACATATATTTTTAATTCTCAAATATATATCCATCATATCAAAGTTCTTTCCTTCCTGCTGAGTAACACAGGGGTTTACTTTTCAACTTCAACAATTTGATGAGAGAAAACTGGTATCTCATTTTTTCATTTACATCTTACTGACTAATATGCAAGCAGGCTAATTTTAATATGATTAATAGTCACTTATATGACTTCTATAATAGTAAAATTTTTGCCTATGCCTGCACTGAGTTATCCTTCTCATATAAATTTTCAGGAGCTCTTTGAGTAACAAAGATGTTAACACTTGGACTGAAACATGCATGGCAAATAATTTTTCACTTGGTTTCAAGTGTGGTTAGTTTTTATTTTAAAATATATTTTTAAAATGCAGGTAGTAAAATGTCCTCTCCCATATTTTATAGCTGCTTGTAATTAAACTTATCCTTAAATATGTACTTTTAATATCTAGGTTAGTCCACCTGAAAAGAATTCTAGGAGATAACCTATGAAAGATTCTAAAAGTAAAGTCAAAATTATTCCAGATCTACTTATTGAAGAAGTAATTAATTTTCCACTGAATTGAAATGTCCTCCTTATTATATATTACACACTCATATTTACTTGGTTCTATTTATAGACTCTCATCTGTTTGAGAAATGTATATTCCAGCACCAATACTACATTGTTTTGATTACAGTAGCTTTGTAGTATCAGTATCTGATATAATAAATCTTTTTTGTCTTCATTTTTTAAAGTTTCTTTCTTCCATATATCTCCCCAATTACTACTCCTATATTTTCCTACAAAATCTCTGGGTTTTTTATCAGTTTAGACTATCCACTCATTGTTAAATATCTACCGCACTTTTCCAGGGCATATTGAAAACTAATTATCTGCCATGACTCTTCTAATTAGAAATTAAAATTATAGGAAAATAGCTTTTAAGTCATGAATAGGCATGTCCAAGGACTGAAAATAACAAGGCAGTAAGTAGACCAGAGAAATCAGTGGGAATCATCTTAAAGGCATTTGCCAAACCATGTAAACAAAGGCTTCTGTTTTAAGGGTCTCCAAGCATATAGGTTTTAGAAAAAAAAGCTCAAGGCCCACCTAAAGTCTGAGTCTAACATAAGACTCAATCATAAAACTAGGATTGTGTAAGTCCACATCACCAGAAAGAGAAATTAAAATTAACCCCACCTAGGTCCCACCTGGAACTGCACAGAAACTTTTCAGTCTTAAACTTGGGTACACAAGAAAAAGAGGGAAAATAATGTCCTTAGCAAATTAAATTTATATTTGTATTTTTGGTCTGATTCACACAATCTTGGTGACTCGAAAAAAAACATTAAGTGAGGAATTTAGTTTAAGGTGGTCCCAGAGGACTGGCGGTAAAGCCACTGCCTGAGGGAAGCAAATATAAATCCCTTGTAAAGAAACATGCATGCTTCACAGTTCTCAGAGAATTTCCTCCAATAAGGCATCAACACAAATGACAGAGTAAAAAAATAATAATAAAAATTCAATGAACATACAAGGGAACACAAAGCACTCAGTGGAGGCAACAGATAGCACAGACAGTATCATCAGACTCGCAGAGACTTTTAATAGTAAAATTGACAGAATATGAAAACGAATATTTTAAGTTTTAAGAAATAAAAGGCGGCCAGGTGCGGTGGCTCACGCCTGTAATCCCAGCACTTTGGGAGGCCAAAGCAGGCAGATCACGAGGTCAGGAGTTGGAAAGCATCCTAGCTAACACAGTGAAACCCTGCCTCTAATAAAAATACAAAAAAAAAAAAAAAAAATTAGCCGGGCGTGGTGGCGGGTGCCTGTAGTCCCAGGTACTCTGGAGGCTGAGGCAGGAGAATGGCGTGAACCCGGGAGGCGGAGCTTGCAGTGCGCAGAGATTGCGCCACTGCACTTCAGCCTGGGCGACAGAGCAAGACTCTGTCATAAATAAATAAATAAATAAATAAATAAATAAATAAATAAATAAAACAATAAAAGTCTTGAAAAGATTAATAAAAAGCTGGCAGATTAGAAAAAAAGCACAAAAAACTCTTAGAAATGAAAGATATAATTGTAGCTCAAAACTCAATGGACCATTTTAACAGCATATTTGAAACTGGTGAAGAAATTATTAGTAAACTTCAAAACAGAATTGAAGGAAATTATCTATAATAAAACCCCCACACTGTAAATAAAAAGACAAATGTATGAAACCTAAGAGTCATTGAGAACAAAGTAAAAAGATTTAACATGTATCTAATAAGAGCTTCATAAAGAAAGAGAGACAGTGAGATATTTCCCAACATGATGAAAGAAATCAATCCAGTTTCAATAATTGCAAAGAAAAATAAGTAGGACAAATAAAAAGAAATATGGACTTAGATAAATCATGGTAAAATTGTTTAACATCAAAAACTAAAAGATCTTTAAAACAGCACCCCAAAGGCATATTAACCTCAAATGAACAATAATTAGACTTCCATTCATTTTTCAATAGTAGCATTGTATGATAAAAGGCCCCAAAATGGTAAGTTCTATGAAGTGGAAAAATAATAATAATCATTGCCAACCCTGAATTCTATAATTAGTGAAAAAACTTTTCAAAAGTAAAAAAAATGGAAATAAAAATAGTTCAGAAACAAAAATTAAGATAGTCTGGCAACAAAAAAAAAACCCTTTCTGAATAAAATTTTATTTATTCCAAGTAGAACGGCTTCCACATGGAAATTGCAACACTGAAAAAATTGACAAAAATATGAATAAAGCTAATCCAATATTGACTAAATAAAGCAATTATAATACTCTCATCAAATTTTAAAAGAGAGAATTAATATCCACAGAACGTCTTGTAACGTGGAAAGAGGTAATTAGAATTAAACCTCATTCTATGACACAAAACCCACTCACATTGATATTCTAAATGACACAAACCAACCCATAATACATAGGCCAAAATTGGCAGGTCATCTGTAATGAAAACTGGCACGAGTTCAGAATTACTTATTTAAATCACATGGCATACTCAACTCAGCAACTCTGCAGGATTATGGCTTGTGTACCCTCTAGGAATATAACAGAGATAGAGGTGGGGGTGTGTGTGTGTGCATTTGTGTGTGTGTGTGTGTGTGTGTGTGTGTGTGTGTGTAGGGCTTTATTAAGATATAATCTACATAGCATATGTACACCAATTAATTTAGAACACTGATTTTTGAATCACTCAAAAAAGATACTCCATCACCACTAGTAGTCATTACCCACTTTTATAAAATACTCCTCACCTATTTTTGCCCAACTCTCCAAACCGAGTCCCAGGAAATCACTTATCTACTTTCCGTTTCTATATAGTTGTCTATTACGGACATTTTCTAAAATATTCCTCCTAACTGTAATTCTATAACTTTGGAGACATGCTGGTCAAAGGAGATAGAGGTTTTGTTTTGTTTTGTTTTAAAGCTTTGTTCTCTTGAGCACTGTCTTATGGCAGATAGATAAGTCAATACTCTTTAAATGGATAGAGGGGTAAATACTTATTATCCAACAATAAAGATGAAGGAAATGACCTCCTGTACCAAGGGAAACCTGAAATCTTATCACTACTTTTTGTTGCATATATCTAAATCTTCACATTTTAAAAAATTACTGGGTTATAAATTACGGACTTTCCAACATTTTTTCTTCCACTTACTTCTTTAATATAATAGTGGGAGAAACCCCAATCAACTTACATAATAGATTATGTATTTGGACATTAGTTTCTAGGCACTGGGGAGTAACTACAGTTACTGAGCAAGGAAGTCAGAATTTGAGCAAAGCTTTAGAAAGTTATTCTGGAAATGATCAATATTTTGTTTGATAAGAGTATAAACCATTCAGCCATTGAAACTGAAAGGCAAACTGGAAAGCAGAAAGCACCAAATCTATTGGTTACATTTCTGCTTTTCTGCTTTGTAACAGCTGTAATATGTGTGTGTGTTTGTGTGTGTGTGTACAATATATGTACAATATATATCCCTCTCAACCATATATATATACACACACACATACATGCATACACACAAACACGTATCAATGTAACTTTCTTATAAATGCAAACATTATTATCAATAATTTCTGCTGCTTCGATTTTGTTGTTTCTTTAACTTCCAGTTACTTTTAATAAGGATCTATCACAAAGAAAAACTTTTCTTTTACATCGTGTAATTTAGTCAGCTTTTCTGTAACACATAGTATACATTTATTTATCTATACACAAAAGCCACACTAATCTGATTACACAGATTTTATAAACACATGCAAAATCATGGAAAAATCGATGGCTTACACTTTAAAAGTTTTAAGGAGAATATATCTCTATTGTTTTAAATACAGGATCACGAAATCAAGGAACACTGTTTAAAACAGCCATTTATTTCACTATATTTATAGACTGATCTCATGCATTCTCATATAAAGTAGTGTTTTTTAAAAGAAAACCTATCAAGAAATATAACCCAGGATTCACTGTTTGATGAATCTGAAATGTGTACTTCCAATTGAGAGATACAATTGCAAACAACAGCCTGCACAAACCAAACAGAGAAAAACTGACTGAGGGGGGACAATAGAATTGAGTGTACCTTTCAAAACTAGAGCTGTAATCCAGTTTGTAAGAAAATAAAGAATGGAAGTATTGGCCTAAACTCCACTGAATCACAGAAGCCTAACACAATACAAAACAAGTGACATCCTTTTCTCAAAGAGGCGCAAGGCTCATTGAGTCTGGCGATTCAATTACCCTCTCAACCTGGAAAGAACACCCCTCCTGCGTTGAGGTCCACTGGCAAAGCAATGTGGGACAGCCTACATTGTACACAGCTGGTAAATATCTAAAAAGCTGCAGGCTTTAAAGAACAACAGTCTTTGACCTTTTATGATTGCTACAGTGATCCTTCAACAAAAAATTAGGAGAGTTTTTTTTTTTTTTGAGGTTTGACAACATATTATCTTCTCAATTAATCATCTTCAAATCTCTCATATTCATATAAAAATCTTTTAAATAGATATCTAAGCACAACGTTCCATTAGGTAAAGAATATGAACAAATTAATGAAACAGAAAGTGGATTTCCAAAAATAGAGATGACTGTGATCTTGCTTAGACATTTTGTAAACCTAAGAATCCTTTTTGTCTTTTTTTCTATACATTTGTGTAGACCTTGAATAAATGAAGTGTGTACTCATAAAATAACTACTGATTCTGAAATATCTATGAAAAAATTGGGGTAGCATGGATCTTGTAAGATAGTCCGTCATAATTCTCATATTTCCTCATGCTTGATATGAAGAGTGTTAACTTAGATATATTTTTAGCGAAAATACTTTAGACTTCAATCTTTGGATTCTCCTTTTCTGATGAGATCTTTATTAAAAAATGTGATTTTATAAATAGCAGTTTACTTCAAAAACAGCAATCACTTCTATAGTATTTACCATATTGAATGAATAGGGAAACTAATAATTCCACATAAAAAATTGTTGAGTAATCACTATATTAGACATTTTCACATAAAAATATTATTCAGTTTATACTACAACTCTGTAAGATAGATGCTACCTTTCCTTCATAAGTGAAAGTAAGGAGGTAATTACCCCCAGTTTCACAATAAGCGGTTTATCTAAAAATTCAAACCAGACTTCAAATCCTAATAAATCTGACAATGCAGATTTAAATCTGACCATGCAGGAATAATTTTTAAATTCTTTCAAGACCCTAAATTTATATAAAAGTATTTATCATTTTTCTCCTAAATTATCTAAGTACTTGAAATATTAAGAAATAAACTTTATACGTAAAAAGGCACCTGGTTGTTGAAGAACGAGGAGTTAAGGTATCTTTACAGCATTTTAGAAAATTAGTGTTAAACCTTGTGAAAGGATTCTCTGTATCTTTATGGGAGACATTGTTCAGCCTTTGCTCATCCTTAAAGGATTAGACACTTGGGCGAGCTCTCAATGCTCTCTTCACAAAAACAATAGGTACTATCAATTATTCAATCAATCAACCATTCACTTAGTGAATGAAAACTGGGCTTAGACTTACATTGATTTTTAAAAAAAAATAAAGATCAAAATTCCTTTTGTTCTACTCATGCCCATATAAGCCTTTTCTTCTAATTTTAGTTGTGTATTTTTTTTGCTACAACTCTATGAGTCATTATGAATTATTTCAAGTCTTAAACATATTAACTGAATTTTAGTTAAAAAAGTCTATTACCTTGATATATCTATGTGCTAGACTTACTATCAAAGCACACTTTCATAGATATTTCACAAATCATAAATGTGTTTTGATGATCAATGACAGTTCTTGTCTATTAGTATTTAGCAAGCATAAACTAAAATCAATCTTTTCAGTGTCTTGAATTTTAAAAATCATTCATTTTAACACAAACTAATTTTCAAAACAAAAAACAATGAACCTGGATTTTCATGATAAATCACAACTTGGAAGTGCTTAATTAATAAATGTGCCACATTTTTAAATGCCTATAGAAGTCATATTTAATGGTTTAACTGGATTTGCTAAGACAAGCTGTATTCTGTACCCACAGATAATAGAGAACAAGATCAAATACTGTTATTTTCATTTGCAGAGTTAAATCTGAATTTACCTTGTTTGCAATACTTGTGATGAATGATTTAATATCAAGATTAGTTGGACAGCTCTTCTGACACGGGGCATCTGCACATTTCAGGCATCTAGGAAATAAAATAACTATGTTAAGAAACTACAAGATAAGTGAGATAATCTATTTTCTACCTTATACTCATTCAGAGTCCGTGTCTAGTAAGTATAAATAAAATCGTATCATTTTTAGGTACAAAACATTTTTAAGCAATAAATACAAAGTTTCTGTGTTTCATCTTTGGCACTCCTCTTGGGATGCATAAATGAGAATCATGCTGGCTAGTAACTGTCCCTCCTCTCAGAGTTCCTTCTTGATTTTAAGAGAATCATACTTATTTAGGACATACCATTCCCTCACTCTATCAGTTTTGTTTCATCCTTCACTATGCTGACAATACTTGCATGCAGTTTTTTATGATAAGGTTTGTAATTCTTTTAGACCAAAATTATTAAACAAATGCAAAGATTAAAGGTAAAGTCTTATTTTACCACTTGAAATATCCTTTCTTCCACTCTTCCTTCCTCCCAGCTTCCCTCTCTACCTCTCTCTCTCTTTCCAATTGTCTGAAGTCTTTCAGCCTCCATCCCATTCACAGGACAATTGAGTTCTGTAACAGATGCCTCAAAGCATAGCCCAGATCCATACCCTTCAGGACCAAAGCTTTATTCCCACAGCTGCCTTCCCTCTGCTGCTGAAGAGAATGGGCTCCAACAAGGTCAGCCTCCTTTCCAGTAGCAGCACACATACAATTCAAGGTCAGTGAGCGGGGTTGGAGGCTCTCTGCCCATTCCCATATTTGGGGAACTAGTCTGCAAGGAGCCATTGAAGCATTTATTGTGACTATTTGCTCAGTCCCACTTCCTTCACTCTTCTACAGATGTTAACCTGCATATAAACTTCCTGCATATTAATCTCATCTGACTCTCCTCTCCGGGGGACTGGCCAGAGATGTATTCAAACTTTGTTGCACCTAAGAACCACCTGGGAAGCTTGATAAATGGCACAGACTTCACAGAGGAGCCCCTACTGAGTCCAAGTTACTGACCTGGGAATCCGCATTTTGAAAAGGGCCTCTGAAGTGATTCTAGTGTTCATAGTTGGAAGCACATTGTTAGAACAACATTCTATAATTATTCATTCAGGACAACTAAAACCAATGGCCAGACTCATCCTTTATTTGCACATTAACTTATGTGTGTTTTTCTTCATTTATTCATTTATTTAATACATATTTAATAATCCTCCATTACATAGCAGACCCTGGGATATGAGAATATAAAAGTGTTGGAAAAAGATCACCATGGTCCTGCCATCATAGAACATGCAGTTTGAATGAAGTACAGACACAGAAAAAGCCACACACTGGTCAATGTGGTCAATGAGAATCTGGGTGAAATATAGCATGCTAAGGGAGCACAGATGAAAGACAGTAGTCCTGGAGGGAGGTTGTCAGGACAGGCTTCTTGGGAGGAATAATATTGAAATAGAAGCTTGAAGAACGAGTGGACATTAGGAAAGCAAATGACAGTGGGATTCTGAGTGCAGGGTCACTCAGGATAATTACCCAAGAATAGAAAGAGTATGCACCAGTGCCTGGAAAGAAAAGAACGTGACAAGGTAGGTGAACTAATGAATTTGGTCTAGCATAAAGTGAGAGTGGGAGTAGAAAGAAATGAATGTGGAGACAGACAACTAAAGAAAATATACTACTGCCACATGTGTCAGAAAAACAGCATTCTCCAAGAATTTCACTGAGCATGAATCCTACATTGCTCAGTGACAAAGGTGACTAGCTAGTTCATTTTCTATACACTTCCATGTGTAAAGACCTTGGTTCATTTCCTTCATGAAAACAATACCAGTCTCCTTGTCATTCTTTTGTGAGTAAGAGAGCCCTCTTCATTGTCTGAACCAATTTCTCAGTGCCTAATTAATATCTTGTTTTTAAATCTGATCTCTTTTCTCTGGTTTGTGCCCTTAGCCTTCTCTCTAAATTAAATTTTACACAATGAGTACCAAAGGCTTTTCATAATCAATTGTCCTCTCTGAAATGTAGTCATTAAACCTCTTCCCTATCATTTCTCTAAATGCCATTGTTAGATTCACATCTATCATTTAGTTGAATTCCTGTCTGCTCATACTTAACGTTTTTTCCCCGAAACACTATTGTTGAGTTCAAAAATAATTTCTTCGAAGTATAATCTGCAGCATACATTGCAAACAATACAAAAAGCTCCATAATGTATGGCCTATTTGGTCCTTGATGTTAAAATGAGGTGATATTTATATGTGTAACTGTCATGTGGATAAATATACTGAGCATTAATAGTGGTTTGAAAGGATTTTCTTTTATGTCGCAATACAAAATAGCTAAAAAGTAAATAATATGCCAACTTAAATGTCACCTTATTGTTGAAAAAAAGTCTTTTAAACAGTTGTAAAAATATCTGCCATCACACAAAAGTAAGCGCACACACACACATATATGGCACATCATATGGATTCTGGTTATCTCTATGAAGTCACAAGTTTTCTGCTTTTCTTTTTTCTAACACCCAACTTGAATAATAACACAATTAAAAAATAAAGTTATAATGTCAGCAGATATAAGGGAACCAAATTAATGTGCAGTGTATTTTTCTGTTCTTCCAGAGAAATCTTATATTCAACATAAACAGATTCACTTAACAGTATTGACAATGTAAGGATTTTTAGTTGTGGTTATTAAGCCTCTTTACCAAATAATTCTCCTTTTATTATTGAGCTAGTTCACAAATAACAGCTGTTGAAAATGTCAGATGTTAATGAGGCAGGGCCACGCAAACCTGAATTGTAGCATTCCTTTTTCCTTTGGTGTCATGAATATGCCAGAATGGGCAGACTCTGATAATAATACCATCTTGCAATTCTCTAAGCGCTCTGCAGACTAAAGTGCATCAGGCTGCCATTAATCCCACTTATCACTCTGACAGCTCAGTAATTACACTACTGCTATAGCCAGGTAGTCCTAATAAAATATCAACCACTGCACTGGAATGCATACTGGTGAGATGTTTTATTAAACTTTGAGCGGTGGGGGTTGATCATCAAGTGACATTAGTGTTGACCTATTTTTCTATTTGACAATAAATTATCCTTTGACCATGCCATAATAGATATTACAGAGTGCATTTACTGCACCAAATCAGAAAGGTACTGCATTACAATGATATAGGCAAATGGTGTAAATAAAATAGCAGAAATGCATGTCAGAATGTTATTACCTAAATTGCTTTAAATGATTGATACCATGAAAAATCACAGACACAGTACTTAGGGGAATATGTCAACAATTATCGTAAACCACAGTTCCACATAAATTTCTCCTTAAAAGTAACATTTAAATTACACTTGTTTTCATCTTTAGTCATTTAATTCCCCTTTTACCTTTCAAAGTTACTCTGTTATAGTGCAGTTTATTTTTAAATGCATAAGCAGCAAAAATTAATTCAGAGAAACAATTATGTCATACATTTTCCCCCAAATAGTTGTTATACATAAAGAAGTATATTTGATTTTTTTAAACTACAAGAAAACAACTTAGAGTTTTCACTAGGCATACACTTTTTAAATTTTCATATTTAATACAAAGCATAACAATGAATTTGTCGAAGAGCAAAATATAGAATACTTAATCAATGTTAATTTTTTATAATTTGACATGAACATAAAAATGTATGAAAACTTAAGTACTGTTACTTAAAGGCCAAAAACTATTAAAGATATATTTATCCATGATATTTCTCTAGAGAAAGAGAAACATGATTCCTCTTCCCAAATATCCGTGAGGCTAGACAGTTTGACTCCATAGTATGACACCAAAAATATTATAGTGAGTAATGAAACAAGCGGCATTTCATTCTTCACACATCTGAGAACAGATGCCTGCTTCTTTTATTGGTAACCATCCACAGCATTTGGAATTGTAACCTATGCTTGTTAAAGAATTTTCTAGTCAATGAGTTTAAATGGCTGAATTAATTTCTTTCTCAGATAAAAAATAATAATAAAAAAACACATACACACAAAGCTATCTGAAACCCTTAAAACTCACATTGCATTGTCTTAGCTTTGCTAGAGTTTGGTTTAATTGAGTCAGCATGGTTTCATCAGGCTATGTAAATATACGTTAATCTATATATAATGGCATTAAGCAAGAAAGTATTCACATTAAAAATTAAAATATTTTCCTAATATTAACATTGCATTTCCTTAGATATTTAATGTTCTACATCATCATTTGGAAAGTCTACCTAATTTACATGTATCAGATGGATTCAAAACCTTGTTTCCCTACCCTATAAGCACCAGTGTAGGAAAATACATAATTTAATATCTTCCTCAGTGGTGCAACATGTCTACTGAAAACTGAGCAGAATCAACTATCAGGTTGAAAAGAAATGTGAATAAAGAAATCAAAGTTGGAAGTGTCATACATGTATGAGTTCCACAACTTTTATCCTTTGCTTCCAGACCCTATCATAATAAAGGAGACAAGAAAGATGGCTGGTATCTTTAAAACATGATAGGACTAACTCCATGTTCTGATCCATTAAGCAGTCAAAACAGTCAAAAGCCATCCTCAGCTTCCAATAATTATCTGCCTATTTATACCTCTGTGCTTCTCTTAATAATCCATTAACAGCCCTTCCTATGTACTTCTGACTCTGCTTTTCTGATTACACCACAGGTTCTTAATAGCTTAGGGCTATCTGGAACTAACTTTGAATATTCTTAAATATGCATCTTGGCTCAGCCTCTATTATACTGAGCTGGCAGCTATGATAACATCAATGAAAATAACTGAATTTTTAATGCTGTGCACCATTTGCCTTTTAACCACACCTGTGATGTTCATGTTTTGAGGCTTTTGATATTTATTTGTATTTACAAGTTAATGCCAAACATAATTTTAAATAGCTATTTATCTACTAGAAATTTCCTTTTGCACATGGGTGCTTCAAAACAATTCAAGAGAAGCAAATTTAGAACAGAACACAATTCACACAACTGATGCTCAAAATTATTTGTTGGATGATAATAACCAGGAAGCTGGGAATAAAACACAGTTGAGAACTTTCCTGTAAGTATTTTCTGACGTCTATGTCAGGGGATTATTGGTTTTACCATATAATAGCTTTAAAATGTATAGTTTATACTTTTTGCATATTTTGAATTAAATGAAGGGACTTACATTAAATTCCATACACATTATTTATCTTCATCCATAACAGATTCCTAAAAATTTATAAGACTACCTCTATCTCCACCTCATAGATGAGGCTCCAGTCATCTCCCGTAAGCATAAAAGACCAGTGGCCAAGGCAGTGGAGGAAATAACTAAAACACATTTAGTATCTTACACCCAGGACTATCCCATCTACGTACAAAAACAGGTTAGAATTTTAAAAGGTGGTGTTCTAGTGACCCCATCTCTTGATGACATCAGTGCCTCCTTGCCAGAGTAATTTGAAGACTGAGAAAAAAGCAGTTAAGAAGTCACAGCTAGAAAAAGACTACAGTATTATCTCTCCTGGAGTCCAATTTTAGTTTAGGAAAAAAAAAGTGAAAGGTAGTCTTGACTGTCTCCTCAAGAGGCTTCTCAAGTCCAGATGAAAAGGTTGGAGTTTTACAGTATCACATAGTTTTGAAGGCTTACCCAACCTTAGTAGTCATTGAGGCACTATGACTCAGAGAAGGAAAGTGACTTGTCCTAAATCTTCCTCAGAGTTTATGGCAAGCTTTTCTAACTCAATCCATTGCCTATTCTAGTCTGTAACATTTATTTTCTTCTAATTCATATGCTATTATTAGGAAGCTAGTTTTATTACAATTTTAAGCAACTGTGATTTAGCTGTTTGTGCTGGAAACATACTTTTATTAGCATATTCTTATTAAAAATTAAATATGCTACAAAATCCTCAATAGCATAAGAAACCACAACCCCAATCAAGTACTTTGTGCTGTCTCACAAGCAAATAAAATATCTTCATAAAAACTTAGTACATATCACCTTTTATAAAATTTTAAACAAAGCTTGTCCTATTTTACTATACACGAAAAATATACTTATGACTATTAAAGACTGTTGCTCTTAAACGTATTTGTTTCGCTTTCTTACCCTGGAAGATATCTGGATAAAGAAGAAAAAGATTAAAAAATAGGCTTTTGGTATACAGTGGTGGAATACGAAAGACGTGATGGAAATTGTATACATTAATAACTGCAAAGGAGTCATTGGAAGAAAATACACACATCATGAATACAGGTACAGACAGTTATAACCAGGAATGAAAAGAGAACAGAGCCCATATGAAGAAAGTAGCGTCAGTACTTAATAATTTCTGAATCTACTGGGGCTCTCACTTATTGGAAATATAAACGATATAAAAATGAAAAGATTTAAATAGTAACACTAAACAACAATGACCAAAAGGCCAAAAGAAAATGTTTTTTGTTTTTTGGATTTTTTTTGTTGTTGTTAGTGGTGTGTGTTTTTTTTTTGTTGCTAAACGAATGTACTGATAATTATGCTGAAAATTATGGGATTGAATGAAATTACTGTAGGTTGCAGCATGAAGGAAAAGTGTCCCAATTCTGACTACTCTCTGTTAGAAATTTATTTATGGAGCATAAGATCATGGTTTATAAACTGAATTCTTAAAACTGAACAAAAAATAAGTTATTAATTACAACTATTAGAAGTAATTAAATATTAGCTATTCACCAGTTTTTATATATCAATAATACAGAAACAGTAACAGTAAAGACAATGAATACCAGAAAAAAATACGTAAAAGCATTCATTAAATGTTTTCCTGCCCAGTAGATATGTTGGCACTAAAATAGCTGATATAATTTGATCCCTGTCACCTGCAGCTACAAGTGAGGTACACTTTAATCAAGAAAACCAGAGAATACCATAGATAAAAGCTCTGCTTTATGTCCTGGAGGGACGGGCTTGTTGGCGACACTCTCCTAGGAAGCCATTCTTTATTCACCTTAAAGATGGTGGGGATTGAGAGTATGTACTTAAAGGGATTGAGGAAGATGGCAAGATTCAAGAAGATCAGAGTTTCCTCTGTCTTGTAGTAATGAGGAAAATAGTGATAAGCCATGTACCTAGGACAGGATGCTTTATAGAATGTCTATATTTAGCATAAGTCAGTCAGATAATACATAGCATATATGTATGTAGCTATGTATGTACATAGCATATATGCATGGACCCAGACTTTCGTGTATACTAATATTAAGTGCTCAAATGTGCTTGCTCATCCAAGGCCTTTAAGTGTATTAACTCAGAAAGCGTAGCATTGAGGTTAAGAGTACAAGTGCTGGTGCTTGATTGCCCATATTTAATTTTTGACTTCACTTTACTGGTTTTAACACATTAGGCAAAGGACTTAAACTCTCTGACATGACTTTTCTCATTTGCAAATGGGGATAACTTGTACATCAAATTGTTGCGATAATTTTTAAAGATTATACCCTTATATGCATTTCTTTAGTAACTTAACAGGTATTCTCTACAATCTTCAATATATTCTGAAACTTATATATTGCTTTCTCTTCTTTAATGTGGAAGGAATTAGTGAAGAGTCAATGTATAATGTTTTATAATTATTTATGTACATTAAACATAGTAGACATCTGACAAACATATACATATGCTTTAAGGGTTCATTTTCTCCATACGGGATTTCAGAAGAAGGAAAAGTTATTTTCCTCTCAGGAGAACCAGAGACGCCTTCTTAGATAGAGAAACTTATGCTGAAAGTTGAGGAACAGGTAGGTTTTGACCATGTAGAGATTAGTATAATAGATAGATAGAATGAAGATAGATTATGGGTTCATCCAGGACAAAGAGTATAATTTGGCCAGGCACGGTGACTCACACCTGTAATCCTAGCACTGTGGGAGGCCACGGCGGGCGGATCACGTGGTCAGGAGATAGAGACCACCCTGGCTAACACGGTGAAACCCCATCTCTACTAAAAATTCAAAAAAATTAGCCAGGCGTGGTGGCACGCACCTGTAATCCCAGCTACTCGGGAGGCTGAGGCAGGAGAATCACTTGAACCTGGGAGGCGGAGGTTGCAATGAGCTGAGATTATGCCACTGCACTCCAGCCTGGGCGACAGAGCAATACTCCATCTCAAATTAATAAATAAAACAAAAGACTATAATTCATCTTTGGTTCTCAGTGCGTATCCTATTAGCGGGCACATATATAAGTGCTCATACGCGTTTAAGAAACATTTCTCAGTCACTGTACTTCAGGAAATCAAACAACAAAAATACATGTCAATCTCATCAGTGGTCCAATATTATTTACAGTGTACTGTATATGGAATCCTTTCTTCTTGAGGCTTTTGGTTGTTTCCCCATGGTAATGGTATGATGTAAAAAATATTCTTCTAAAATAATTAAATTAAAAATGACAGGTTGGACAACACAATGTACTGTGAAGCTTCTACTTTTGAAAATGGCTACATTCTAGCTAAAAATGTAATTGATCCTTATTATGGTTGCATATGTTTGAAAAGTATCTGAAGGATGCAACTGGTAAGTATGAGAATATATGTGACAAAAGACGCTTTCCTTTATTCCTGCTCCACACATTATCTCTAGCTATTCTGTACAGCCTATCTCCCTTCCCTTTCTCAATTGTTATCTAATGAGATGGCAACAAAATATTTCTCATGTTCCAGGGTAAGGCAGCAAATTTCCGTGACAAAATAGGCTATCCATGTACAAATATGGTCTATCTTTCTGTAAGTTCTGAAAGTTATACATTGCTTTCTCTTCTTTAATGTGGAAGGAATTAGTGAAGAGTCAAAGAGTAATGTTTTACAATTATTTATGCACAATAAGGATAGTAGATATCTGACAAACATATACATATGCTTTAAGTGTTCAGTCCAACCATTTTTACATTTTGCACTGGTCATATGAATTGACTAGGCAAAAGCAAACCAACGATACTCCCATATATGAATTTCCTTTCTCAAAATCCTTCCAAAGCTTTACAAAGAATTCAGTTAAGAGTTTTAATAGAGAATTTTAAAGAGTTCAGTTAACAGCTTTAACAGAGAAATACCTATATCTTATATACCACATTAATTTAAATAAGTTTACATAAATGCAACCACATATATCCATAATAGAGAATAGTTATGCATTTAGTTAACACGTAGCCATATTCTGAAGCCCAAGGTTCAGAGTATTTTTTACAGTCCAATCATTTTATAGTTACCATTTTTAATTTAACAATAACAAGCCATATGTAATTTTTTTTTGCAAACCAAGATATTGTTCCCTGCTCACCACAACTATGGTTTCCTTCATATTCTAGACAGCTGTTACATGATGCTCAATACACTTTTGATCCTTCACAGACCTTGATGACAGTACTAACAGTTTTTATTATAGCTTTTCTATTGCACTGTAATCTTATTTCACCTGGACCATTTCCCCACTAGCATCATAAACTCTTTGATTTATATCAAATAATTATTCCAGGCTTCATAGAAAAAAAAAGGAATTATTTTGTGTTGCATATTCACATGCTATGCAAATTATCTTCTTAATTTTTGAAACACCTGTTGTATGTTTATCTTAATTTCAATGAAGCTCCTTTAGAAAACTTTAAAAAACTAATATATATTTTTCATAGATGCCCTAGAAGTAAACCTCTCAGCAAACTTCAAAACAGAGAAAGCTCTATATTTTATGACATATTTGTGGGCAATTTCAGAAATAATATATTAGTAATAGTAATCTGACATATAGATTTAGAGTGCATGTACCCTAGAACTTAAGATAAAAATAAAAATTTTTAAAAAAGAGGTGAAAAAGGAACTCAAATTGTTAAATCCATAAATAAAATAGGTTATTTGTTCCTATACAATTCCTAGATGTACGGAATATGTTTGTTATGAAAAAAACAGTATGTAGACAAATATGTAAACCCATCTTAGGGCATGTGGACTAAGATTTGGGATAGATTTTACTTTTCACAATGCTATATTGTTTGCGTTTTTTGCAATAAGTAAGTATAACTTACGTTATTAAAAACAAGACATAGATGTTGACTAAAATCACATTATCCTAAGTAATTTTTACTTTTTGCACTGGTCATATGAATTGACCAGGCAAAAGCAAACCAATGATACTCCCATATATGAAATTCCTTTCTCAAAATCCCTCCAAAGCCTTACAAAGAATTCACTTAAGAGTTTTCATAGAGTGACCATAATGGATATTCAATTTACACAGGTTTGAACTGCTGGGCTCAAGTATACATGGGCTTTTGTTTTCAACCAAACAAGGATTGAAAGTGTAGTATTTGTAGGATACAAAATTTGTCTATATGGAGGGCCAACTGAGGGACTTGAGTATGTGCAAATTTTGGTATATGCAAGGGTCCTGGCAACTCTCTAGCATATACCAAAGGATGACCATATTTCTGAGTATTTGGTGGCTCATAAAGCTACCATAAAAAAGGGCTGAGGTGGATGAAAAGAATACTGAGTGACAATGCAAGTGCTGGAGGCACTCATTCATTAAGCTGAAACAATAGTGAAAAAAAGTTTGGCCTTAAAATTAAAAGACAGTATTCATCAATAATAGAATCTTGAAGTAAATAAATGTCTCCACATATTAGCTGTGTAGGTATAATTGAACAACAGAAATAATTCAACTCAAAATTATTAAAAGGTTCTGTGTTCTAAGTTCTGTGCTGGCAAAAGGGAGGAGTTACTGGAACCTACTTAGAAGAGGATGACTTAATATACTGGACACATACTTCATGGAGAGGGCTTTCAAAATATATATATATACACACACATATATATACACATATATACATATATACACACACATATATCTATACATATATACATATATATAAACACACACATATATATACATATATGTGTGTATATATACATATATACGTGTATATATATATGTATACGTGTGTGTGTGTGTGTGTGTGTGTGTGTGTGTATATATATATATATATATATATATATATATATATGGCAGGGGACAGTGGCTCACGCCTGTAACCTCAATGCTTTGGGAGAATTACTTCAGGCCTGGGTTCCATATCAGCCTGGGCAACATAGAAAGACCTTGTCTCTACCAAAAAACAACAAAAATGAAAGAAATTAGCCATGTATGATGGTCTCTACTTTAGTCACAGCTGTAGGCTGAGGTAGGAAGATTGCTTGAGCCCAGAAGGTCAAGGCTGCAGTGAGCTATGATCATACCACTGCATTCCAGCCTCAGTGACAGAACGCTGTCTCTAAAAACGATTTTTTTTTTTTGAGATGGAGTTTCTGTCGCCCTGACTGGAGTGCAGTGGTGCCATCTCAGCTCACTGTGACCTCTGCCTCCTGGATTCAAGCGATTCTCATGCCTCAGCCTCCCGAGTAGCTGAGATCACAGGCCTGTGCCACCACATCCAGCTAATTTTTGTATTTTTATTAGAGACTTTCACCACGTTGGCCGGGCTGGTGTCGAACTCCTCACCTCAGGCAGTCCGCCCACCTCAGCCTCCCAAAGTGCTGGGATTACAGCTGTGAGCCACTGTGCCTGGCCTAAAAAAAGATTTTTTTGTGTGTGTAGTTTTTTTCTTTAAAAGTGCAACAGTGATTGCCATTATTATAGAGGATGAAATAGCACATTTGGAAAGCAATGTCCATATATGAATTGTCTTCCTCTTAGAACTGTTGAGTTTCATGTGTGACATCCATACAAGTTTATTTGGTAGTTTTATTCCATAAAAATGGTGTCATTCTCCCTTTTACAAAAATAAAAAGTAAACCTACTTCACACACACACACACACACACACACACACACACATACACACATACATTAAATTTAAATTCAATTTAAATTTAAATATTCATTCATTTTACTTAGCTAAATCTATGTTGATTACGCCAAGTGAAAGGATAATTTATTCAGCACGAATTTTTTTCTAAAGTTTTAATGCAATCCTGGTGATCTTTTTAAAATCCCTGTCTGATCACGACATTCTCCTTAAGGGGAGAATCTTGGTACAATATTATCTCTGAGCCTCGGCTTCTATTGCATTTCCACAGCTACAGCTGCAACACCTGCCTGATGCTAGAACTCTGCTCATAGTTCCATGTGTAGGTCATTTTCAAACTGTGCATTCCACATGCTCTTCCCTTTCCTGAAGAGCCACACTTCAAGTCTTCATCCGAACTCAGCTCAGATGTCTCCTGTGAAACCCCCTGGCTATCATGCTTGGAGCCATTCTGATCTCTCTAATAGCACCCCGTGGGTTCCCTTATCAAAGCAATTATCACATTGGACAGTAACAGCTGATTCACTTTTCTAGTCTATCTTCTATTTCCTCCTCCAGTGAGAAAATGGTTGGGTTCCTCTGTCTTTGAGGTTAGTCTACTTGGAAATAGATTAATTTGAATTCAGATGAAAAAGCCAGAATTTTGGCAATAATCCAGTTTTTGTACAGTTAATGTTTGGTAAAAATTATTTTTTAATAAATGTTCTTCAAATTTATGTAAATAACAAATCTTTATAATTTAAACATTATATTTAATTTATTTAGTAGGTATTTATGCAAGGGGTTACTATATGCTAGCACTGTTCTGTGTGTTTTATAAATGTTAACTCATTTAATTTTCATAATCACTCAATGAGGTAGATATAAATATTAACTCCTATGTTTATAAAAACCCAATGAGATAGATACTGTTGTTATTCTCATTCTAAAGAAAAAGATATTAAGGCACAAAATTTGCTCCTCTGATTTAGGTTTGAAATATGTTACTGCCTATTTGTATGATCCTGATAATCATCAAGAAGTTAATAAAGATCTCCTAAAAATCTATAATTCTGGTTATCTCTGCCATTTCCTCAGAACAGAGTATGGTGACATCAAGGCTTGTCTCACAGTTTGTGAAAGGCAGATTCAGGACTCTTATCCAGGTTTGACTTGCTCTACAGACCAGCCTGTGGGGATCATCATTTCATTTCTGCAATAGTTCTCATAATGATAGCCAGTAATCCCAGAGAACTTGAGAAAGTTTCCTGAAATAACACATTAAAACCAAGCATAACATAGTCATTACTATATATTTTATATATGACTGAATTTAGAAACAAGCAAACAAAAATTCCTCATTTATTTACTAGGAACTCAGCAATAATACTTGCAGATCATGTAATTATTTACAAAGCATTTTCTCGTATGTAAATTACCTATAGAAATCAGTAAGACCAATCTTTCCAGTAGAAATACTAGACAAAATAAAAGCAATTAGAAACAACATTTATAACTATCAGAAATATGAGGCATAATAGATACAATAAAAATATATAATGGATAAAATAAAAATACATATCTAACTTATATAACTTTGACTCTAAACTAATTATGTCCCTATCCAGTATCTGGAATATTATATAAAATGACATAAAAGTAGCTCAGAACAAAATTGTCCCCATTAAAACTATTGTGTGGGACCACTATAACCTCATGCAAGCTTTTGTATGAAATGGCTTAAGACATGACTTTTGTTCTTAGGCATTTAATGCCTAAGAATCAATGCTGATGTTGCACATAAAGAATATGTGGAAATTTCAGGAAATTAATGAATATGGGTGAAAAACAGATAAGAATATAAATGTTTAATCTTCTCAGTTTAATTCATATCATAAGGTAGACCACGTTTTCGGGCAATGGCACTGCTTAGAAAGTGAACTAATATGAAGATGACCTATTCATTAAGAGAAGATTTTTTGAGAAAATTAGCCTAGAAGCTAAAGGACACAATATTCAGAAATAATATCTTAAATAACATCAATAAAATTAGCTGTCTACAGCTTAATATGATTTAAACTAGAAAAACAGGAAAATAAAAAAGCTAAGGGCAAATAATATATAGTTTTGTAAAAATGGAAAATTCCCTCCACTATGCTCCTAATGAAATGCATAAGAGCACTGACAATGCTGTCACAGTACGTGGCATGCTCCATTAATTTAAGAAAGCTGAATGAAAAATTTGAGTCAAGGTAATAGTACTTAAATGTGTTTGTGTTCTGCGGAATCTTAACATGTTATTTGCGTTGTTCCTTCATTCTTTGTTTTCTTCTTTCCTTCAATCAACAAATGTCTATAGAGCACTTAACTATTTTCTGAGATTTTGCTAAGTGCTGGAGATAGCAGGATGAATAAGTTATAGGTTCAGCCCTCAAGAATCTTCACAGTGGTGGAGTCAGATAAATAAATGCCCATCCTCAGATTATGTACAGGTGGGGTAATAGAAAGATAAGAGATACAGGGTGTTTATCTTTTTCTTCAATTAAAACCCTAGTTCAGAGGTACATTCATTTGTTCATTCCTCTATCTTCAAAGCCTAGCATCATGCTAAGGACACAATGACGGTTCAATGTTCATTTGTTGATTAAATGAATGAGGTATTTATTTGTTTCTTCGGGACGAATAAGAGGGAGAGAGAGTCTTGTGGACAGGCCAAGTAACACATGGCTTTAAGAAGACACAGAATGTGAGGAATTGAAAGCACTTGTTACTATCCTACTGAAAGTAGCATAGAGGTTGCAGGACAATTCTATGGATGGCCTTGCACCAACCCGGTTCTCCCCTCTTTCCTGCTTGTAGGTCTCAAGAACAACTATAGCATGTGCTGTAAATGCAGCATCTTGAGCTAAGAAGGGACAAGGTAGAACAGATCAAGCTCTGCTCTAGTCTCCCCTAGAAACAGAGATTCCTTCAACACTTTAGCCCAATATGTCCTATGACCCTGGGGTATAAAATCCAGGGCAGGCTGCTTCCCTGAATCCCCCAGCTGTGATGCCAGTGGGATGCCCCCATTAGTGATACCATCCATGCCTGGGCAACTCTCCTAAACCTTGGAAGACTGGCCCACAATGGGTCTTAGGCTCCTGTTTTCCCTACTATCTATCTGTAAGTAATAAACCTGCTTCATGCAACTTGTTGCATGTAAGCATGTTTTGTCTCACCAGACCCAGACAAGCTGGTAACTGTGCACAATGAGTCTGCTTCACAGAGCTCTCTGCCCAACCACATTTAATTCACCCCCACTGTAAACAAATCATCCCTTCTTTCAACTGATCTCTCTTCTTTTATCCACACTCCATACATTTGATACCCACCACAACACAATATCATAAAAGGCAGTATGGTTTAATGGATTCTGGATTTAAATCCAGCTCTATTATTAGCTTTGTGATCTTGAGAAAGTTATTTAAATCCTTTGTGTCCCAGTTTCCTCATCTAAATTGCTAATTATAGTCTAGACATCATACCATTATAGGGAGGATTAAATAAATAATATATGTGGAACATTTGGAACAGTTCCTGCCATTAATGAGTGCTCAATAATGTAAATCATTTGTATTATAATCTAGGAACAATGCAGAATACAATGTGGGAAATGAGCACTGTTTTTTAATAGCCACTTGGAAGTATAGAGCTATGGTGAAAACTGTAAAACAGGGACTACCACATCAGTTACTGTGAAAATAAATGAGGTAATTATGACAAGCACCAACATCATATTTATAGTAGCTGCTCAATAAATGTTAACTAGAAAACATGATGAAAAATGTCTCAATCTCCCAAGCCAACCAAGGGGGAACACAGAAGGGAAGTAGTATGTTGAATAAAAATAAACTGTGTAACCAAAGAGATCATAATAAAATTGTAAATATTACGTGCATCTATTAGGATTATAATGAAAGCAGCAGCCATACCACAAAGCCAAACATAAACTGATCTCCATAGATACCCCATTTGCACGATGAGTTACATTACACAATGACTTGGCAATCATTATCTTATAGCGCAGGGTGGTGGGAGCAGGCAGGGAGGCCAATGAGTCTCCCTTTGTCAAGGGAAGATCTCTGATGGAAGTTTGATTTTTGCCTCGTTTATTCCTCACATCTAAAATGGATATTTTTCCAAAACATGAATGCCTTCCATATGATGAGACAACACTAAAATTTCTGCTTTAATTAAACAGAAAGAAGAAGAGAAACTTATTTTAAAATAATATTACAGAAATTTTTCTTATGTGCCACCTTTTCATTAAGCTGTGAAATTTCTCACCTGCTCCCTACTTGGTATTTTTTTAAGGTGAACTTTTCAGAACAACCCCACAGAGAGGAAATTGCTTTGCAAGCTAGGAAGATATTAATCTGTTCTCCCAGCATCATGGGTGCATAAATCCTTTCATATTGAAGAGGTGTTGTTAAAGTTCTATATATAAGATGACAGTACAGTATTGACTTTAGTAATGCTAATACAAAAGCAGTATTTTCAGTTAAATATGCTATATTCTTTCAATTTTCCTGCCTTTACTTTTGCTTTTCCCTCAATAGAAATGCGTGCTGCTCATTCCCACTCCCTATCTGGCAGGTTCCTGGGCATCCTTCAAGACACAGCATTAGGTGTCATCTCCGTTGAGAAGCTTTCCTCAACTACCCCCCACTCCTCCTAAATGTTATTTTTTTCTTATTCATATCCCCATATTTTTCAAACTATAATATAATTAATTTGTAAGCTAACTGTATCCCCAAATATCCTGATAGGTCTCAAGAGGACATTCATTCATTCAACGAATATTGTTTGAGTACCTGTTAGGTCCAGGGTCAAGGGAAAATGATGGCAAGTAATACAGAGACAGATTCTTTCTGTAACTCAGAATTAAACAAGTGAACAAACAAACATTGCATTGTAGACTAAGCTTAAATCATGATAGCACAGCACAGTGAGATCAGGGGATCAGGAACGTCTTCCTGCTAAGTCAAAAAGAAGCAGGAGTTAGCCAGGGTGAGGAGACAGTGGAAGAGGCAGAAGAGATGTGCAAATACCATCAGATGCAGGAGGCCCAGCATTTGGAGGCTCTGAAAGAAGGCCCTGGTGACTGAAGCAGGAGGTGAGTCCAGGGAGGCTGATGAGGGCAAGGAAAATGCCAGGTTAGTCTTGCATTTTCAGCAGCAGCCACACCAGGTGTTCAACAAATGCTTTTTGAATAAATAAATAATAATACTAACAAAGATAACGATGCCATTGTTTGGCTTTTGAGGATATGCGTTCCTATCTTGAAAAAACTGAAATTGTTAGAAGGTAATTTACCTCCCATTACTATAAATAGGAATATTTTTGCCTTGTTAAGACTTTCCCCTTTTCATATACTTAAAAATAATGTAGACAGCTATAATTCAGTATTAAATACAGAATATAAAGTATTTATGATGCAAGTAACTAGAAAAACACACATCTTACATACATCAGCTTCCAAGACAAGTATTCACAATATGTAGGAAGTTCCACTGTGGATCCAAGGGGATGTAGATGGTACAATCTCTTTAGGAAAAAAATGATCATTATTTTCTACATAGTGTTACCAAATGAATACCCAATAAGGCAGCTTGGCGCTAACCATTTCTTTTGTCTGCACTACTGAATTCTCATAATACGCACTGCCTGAGAAATGGAGCGCCTGCCCCTTTTTGATTATCTCATTCATAGACATCTCCCATCACAAAATACTTCAGTCATAGGGCAATCAAAGATACCTATAAATAAACTCTTGAGGGAAGACAAATAAGAAAATCTAACCCATAATTGTCCCTCTGCATTGAAAAAACACTGGACAAATAATGCAATCTGGCTGCCATTCTGTTATCAACAAATTATATAACCTTTAACAAACTACTTAACCTCTGCTAAGTGAAACCTCATTTTTAGCTATGAGCAATGGGTGTATGATTAGGTGGTCTTTAAAGTGCCTTCCAACACACAAGGGCCATTACCCCATATCCTCTTCACATATGTCAAAAGTGTTATCAGATTATGAGAGCAAAAAAAAAAAAAACAGTTTCATTTTAGGGGAAATTGATAATCACCAAAATTTTAAACTCTGAATGTTTCTTTACATGAGAGACATTAATCTTTCAATAAGAACATAGTTGAGGCCTCTCCTAAAATTTCATTAGCAGTGAAACCCTTATTTTAAAAAGAATGTGAATAACTTGAATGAAATCCAATCCACAGCAGTAAAAATGATAAAATATTTGACAACTCTAATCTGGTCCAAAATATTTGGCTACATTAAGTGATTAGGATATAGAATGTTTCCAGCTTCTCCACCCTGTAGTTCTTGGCAGTCCGACTAGTAAAATTTTGGAATAAGTCCTTAAGAGAGTTATTTAAGTTCAATTTTGAGAATCAGGCACTGACCTTCACTACAGTCAGCAATTTCCCATTTATTTCTATCCCTATCATGTCATTTTAGCCTCCTGCACAGGAAACATCAAGCTTCTTTCTAGAAAGTATAAGACAGAATAACCAAAAGATCTGGTCTGGAGCCAGAAAATAAGAGTTTATATCCTGTCCCTGCTACTTGGAGGCTGCAGGGCTTGGCTAAGCCACTTAATCTTTCTAACATTCTCCATTTGGGAAATGAGACAATATTTACCTTAGAATCATGAGAATCCAATAAAGTACACAAAGTGTTGGGGCAAGCAGCTATTCAAGACACAGTTATTTATTCACTTATACATGGTTTGCTGGTGTTCATGCCCATTCCACCAACAACTTACCTGCAGTGTACTTCTGTGGGACTAAATTTTTTGGCTTGTGTTTTGCTTACTTGCTGCCCAGTCTGTATACCAGCGTTACTGCATCCTACCAAAACAAAGCTTTGCTGCATTGGTGTTCAGAAATATTTCACTAAATATCTTAAAGTTCTAAGAGCCCAAGGCATTTGTTGACTAATCATTAGGTCAGATTTCTTATTCCTCTTGTCCTACTTCCCTTCATGTTTCTGGTTAATGCTTCTTAAAATTGCTAAAACCTTGGCTTTTGAGTCTTTACTGCCCATTTAGCTTTTAATATTATGCTCACCGACTCTTAGGCAATCCAACAAATTTATCCATATGGCTGCTTCTGACCTCACAACCATCTTTGATATTTCTTTTTCCTGCTAGCCATCAAGTTACACATAACAGTGGAAAACAGCACTTATCCAAAGTAACATTGAAATATTTCTCTTAGAAGACAAGCAAATTTTTGTTTATTATTGTGTAGAAACCATTCAGTACTGGTATTTTTTCAGCTGTGCTTTGTTTTAGATGAATATTTGTAAAACAAATAAATATTACATTGTATTGCCACCTTCTACAATCTTTTATGTATTTTTTGTTGTCCTAAATTGATATACTGTTACTAAAGGCATGATTCTGATTTAATTCACTTAATAATTACATATTTATTTATTGAACATTTCCTAGATACTTACAATGGGACAAACACTATACTATGCACCAGAGTTTCAAAGATGATCAGAATGTGATCCATAACTTACACAATAACCATATTATTGGACAGCAAATACTTAAATATCCATTTATGGATATATGGGACGTGATAAACTAAAAGCATGCGCAAAAGACTCTAAAAACACGCAGAAAGGAATGGGAAGAAACAAGATAAATGTCCCATAGAAAGTGGCTTTTGGGATGAATCTTAAAGAACGATGTCTTCAACAGAGAACGGAAGGAGGTGTTTTGGTGGAAGAAGCAGAATGGGCAGAGGCATAGAATATAGAAGTACGTAAAGCACTCAGGGAAAATCTCTGTTCCTCGGAAGAGTTAGGATAACAGATACCTGAGAGAGGGTAGCTGGAATGAAATTCTAGTCTGTATTGGAACTCAGTTTTACTAGTCCTCTAAGAATTTTGTTGTAAAACTTTTATTGGAAGCCCATCTTCATTCCAAATATACAGCCATATTTGAATCTCTCTCTCACACATACACAAACACACCCCACATATATACAGTTGATCCTCCCGTATCAGTGGGTTTCACATCTGCAGATCCAACAAACTGTAAAGCAAAATATTCAAAAATAAATTTCAAAAAATAAAAAATAGCAATACAACAATAAAAATAACATGAATTTTAAGATACAGTATAGCTATTTATATTTGTATTTACATTTTTTAGGTATATGAGTAATCTAGAGATGATTTAAAGTATACAGGAGGATGTGGAAGGATGTGTGTAAGTTACACCCAACTATTAAACCATTTTATATCAGGGACTTGAACATCAGCTGATTTCAGTATCACTGGGGATCATAGAACCTTGGTGGACGACTATAATGTCAAAGTACAGAGGGCACCTAAAGAACAACTGAGATACTTCAGGGATCAGAGAAGAAACAAAGACACAGGGTAGCAAGCATAACTGAAACTACAGGTCTGAAGTGCTCCAGGTTCTGAAGCAAGCAGAGATAGCCTAGAATCAACTCTGCTAGTGTAATTGAGACCAAACGTCCCCTGCCTCAGGTGGGGGACTGTAGTTAAGCTCCTTGCTTCAAATCGTGGGCCAGGTGGATAGGACTGATCTTCCCATGCAAGGGGTTAGAACAACACTGAAAGTCGTGCTAATTAGGATAATATAAAACCGTATGCCAAAGAGAAAGGAGGAATCCAACACAGATGTAGCTTGAATCTAAGGTGTAGGTCCAGCCACCCCTCGTGTGGTTTCCATAGATAAAACATCAACACAATTATCAATGGGACTACTCCCAGAGCCACCAGTTTAAGACATGGTTCTACATCAGGTGGCTTAAAGTCCATGTTGAGGCAATCACAGAGTTGTTAGTTCATCAAGATAAAAACAAATAAACACAACAATCACCGTAGATGCACAAATTCACAAAATTTCTAAAATGATACAAGGAAAAACTAATACCAAAGAAGACTGCCAATTACAAGAAACAAATTTATTACAAAGTGAAAAAGGAGCAATCTGAAAACGTCTTTAAAATTACTGTTTAAAATTCTCATAAGAAAAGAAAAGAAAGGAGGTACTACTATCCCTTAATGACAAAACGAGAATATATGAAACAAAATGAGCAGAAATTAAAGAGAAATGGAGGGTACTAAAATAAGCCAAGCAGAAATTCTAAAGATAGAAAATCCTGACATTACAGCTATTACTAAAAAGCCAAAAAGTAACAGATGCTGGCAAGGTTGCTGAGAAAAGGGAATTCTTACACACTGTTGCTGGGAGTGTAAATTGTTCCAATCATTGTGGAAAGCAGTGTGGCAATTCCGTAACTGAAAACCAAACTACTGTTCAATCAAGCAATCTTATTACTAGGTACATAAATCATTCTACCATAAAGACACAACTATGCATATGTTCACTGCAGCACTATTCACAATAGCAGAGACGTTTAATCAGCCTAACCACCAACACTACACTGGATTTTTTAAACAGTGTTATATATACACACCATGGAATACTATGCAGCCATGAAAAAGAATGAAAGCATGTCTTTTGCAGAAATATGGATGGAGCTGAAGGCCATTATCCTAGGCAAACACACACAGGAAAAGAAAATCAAATACTACATGCTATCACTTATAAGTGTGAGTTCAACACTGAGTATATATGAGCACAAGGAAGGAACACAAGGACACTAGGGCCCACTTGAGGGTGGACAGTGGGAGGAGGGTGAGGATCAAAAAACTACCTATCATGTACTATCCTTACTACTTGGGTGACAAAATAATCTGTACACCAAACCCCAGTTTCACACAATTTACCTAAACAACAAACCTGCACATGGACTCTTGAATCTAAAATAAAAGTTAAAAAAAGAAAAATCTGTGATTGAAATGAAAAAGTAAAAGATGAGGTACATTCCAGAGAGGACATAGTCAGAGAAAAATTTAGTGAATTGGAATATGTTACTGGAGAACTCATATAAAATGTACCACAGAGTGACAAGATTAACACCTTTATATCCGAGGATAAGAATTTTAGATATTATTGTACAGATAAAGGAGAGCCATTAAGGTTATTATTCAGAGGATGCTGTAGAAACTCAATTCTGGTGTCAGTATAAGGAATGAGTAGCAGGTTATTGTCATAGTCCTGCCAAGGAATGATAAAGTCATGAACAAATAGCTGATAGAAGGAATGGAAAGAGACCAATTATTTCCCCCTGCTTTTCTCTGTAACTCCATTAAGTCAACCTTTATATTTTAAAACTGCTTAGATTTTGTTAAAACTTGATTAGTCATTCTCTAAATCCTCTCCTTCTTAACCTTAGATTCTCTCTCCACATTTATTCCTGTCTTCATCCTTTCTTTCCAATCTACTTAGCAGAGAACTTCAGTATTTCTTGACTAGAATATAATTGTCTTTTTTTCCCAAAAAGATGTACACCTCCAATTTGTTTTAAGCATAGCAGCCATAACATTTTCAAAGAACTGTCAAATCAAGCTCACACTCCCGAAATAGGGTAGTAGAAATAGCAGTCTCTTAAAAGTAAAATGGACTTAGATTCAAATCCTGATTATTCTACATATTAAATATGCGTCGTCACAACTGCTGTGAGCCTCACTTTCTTAATCTGTATTAAGTGGCATAAAAAGCTCCTTCTTCCTAGAGTTATTATGAGGAACAAAGGAGATTAAGTCTCTACAGAGTCTAGCAAAGTGTTTGTAAAGTAGTAAATGTCCAATAAATATTTTGCTATCCTCATTAACACCCAGCATGAAAGGTATTTCCTAATATTCTTGACTGAGAAAGAAAAGACCAACACCTCCATTGTGCCTTACTTTTCTGTTTATATATTTGATTAAACTAATTTATGGACACATCTATCTCCCCCTACTAAATTGTAAAATCATTTCAGAGCAGGGCCCATATTGTATTCCTTTCTGTATCATTATATTTCTAGCACAGTGCCCAGTTAATAGGAGGGGATTAATAAATGTTAGATTAACAAATTATTGTAGATAAAGTCTAATTTATCTTCCACTCAGTGCCTATACATGCAACCAATGTTTTTTTTTAATTGCACAATACAAACTTCTTAAATTATTGTTACCTTCTCTTCCTCTTTTTTCTGTTTCTCTCATTCCCTTTAGTTTTCTTCTTCTGGCAAAAGCACACCCAATCTACCTTCATTGTGTCCATCAAGGCTGACCTATCCCTTCTCTGAACTCCTCCATCAAGAAAGGAAAATGAAAGGATTTTAACTATTATATCCAACAACATACTCTTGTTTCCTAGTCTAGTTTGTCATACACAGTAGGAATTCAAATTTGTTGAACTCACCTGAATAATCTTGCCTATTGATTAAAATAGTTCTTGCATAGGGGTAAAATGCACCATATAAAAAGGTAATGCATCTTTTAAATTATTGTGATTTATTAATTTGATTATTTTTGATTTATGTTAGGGTATTTGAAAAGAATATTTTAAAATAAAAAAGGCATCAAAATTCTCAATATTCATCCAAACATTTATTATGAATCTTATTTTTCTCTGAATGTAAAGCTTCATACTAGCTTAATTAGTATGCATTTATTGTGTGTGAAAACATCCTCAAGGATTTTCGTTTTCTTCCAGTCAGGTCACAATTGTTTGCACTAACAGTTACTACATATTTTATTAATTCAGAATGAACATAAAAGTAGGATGTCATCACTGTATTCAAAAAATAATAACACTGCTGACAGAACCTTTTGTGGTGAGAAGGATGGCATGAGACGGGAGGAAAGACAAAGTTGATAAAGAGGAAACAAGGGTCAAAGCAAACTGAATAGGAAATAAAACCGATGAAGGGGTAAATATAAAACAAAAAGTGAAAAAAGGAGGGAAGATTACATAAAGTAAAGAGAGAAAAACAAGAAAAGAGAAAATTGGAGAATAAAGAAGGAAACAAATTATAAATGCATAGTTAGATCCATAAAATTCTAGCACTAGGAAATTAAAATATAGTATAAGGTAAAATGACTGTCTTCCCAACACAGAGATTTTTAATATTTTCCCATTCCCTACTCAGAAATTCTTGTATAATTCCAAAACACTTAAAAGGAGATCTGTATTTAGATTTTAACTATCTATTCTGGTTTAGTACAAAGGTGACATTACATCTGCACTACATGTTCAAGTTAATAATAATGAATACTTTTTAGCATTTGTCTTTCAGTTCTAAGCAAAAAAATAAACTTTTAACTTTATCACTTTACACAAAGTTAATTGTCCAATTTTCAGTTCCCATATTTTATGTGAAAAGAAGTAAACTAGTTCTATTTATAATTAACTTACACTTTAAAGAATTTTTAAACTCTAGGGAAAATATCTTTTTCCTAAGAATAAACTTTAACAATACTTTATTATGATCTGAAATGCTGATTTATAAATAGCTTCACCATATTTTACGTACCATATTTGTTTTAGAGATTTATTACGTACTTCTCCCTGTAGACTGAAAATTATTTGAAAGCGATGTTAATTTTAATTTATATTATATCTCTCATCCTGTGAACAGTGCCCAACAATTTATACATTCAATGAATATTTGTTGAATGAATTAAGGAATAAATCAATGAGATGTTATAGTTTAAGTATACTTTGATTAAGTTCTACGTGAACTAATATTCTCATATGTTTGACATATTTGTATGTATTTCTTCCATTTGAATCTACCTATTACTACCAGGCCAATCTTCTTTAAATATTTATTTCATAATGGTATTGCCCATTTCCTAAACATTAAGAGGACCAACTCTTTCTAAAGCTTAAAAATATAAATGCCTTGACCTTTTTCAGTCACAGATTTTAATTCTATACAACGCCTTCACTCTTGAGTTTTACTTTTAGTTTCAAGCATTGTCATAAACTCATTGTGGGAGTTGTTTATAGAGTTTTGGGGAAGGAAATGCTTTTCTATTTTATGTTTCATTGCTTGGATATCTAATCCATTTATCAACAAAGTATTTTCAGAAATTTGTGTTTAATATATTTCTTTGGTCTAAGGCTATATAGAGAGGCTACTAGAGCACTGTGCCCATCAGCCATTACTCTGAGGCAGATCACTGGAGCTATTCAGGTATAAGCTCACAGGACACAGAACCAGCTATGTAAGACAGCAGCTAGGACAGTCAACACAGAGAATCTACCCCAGGAATTCCATATTCCATTTTTACTTAACAGCTCACACCTCCCAGGTGGGTTTAGGAAATGAACAGAATAGTTTGACAGCCTTACTCCTTAGGAGGCACTGGCAAGTCATCAGAAAATTGGCTGAGATCAGTTGAGCCCAGTGTAGACCTGCAGGACTGTCCACCTCACCCTTAGACTTGTGAGCAGTAATACATGCACGTTGTTCTAGGCCACTGGGTTGGGAGTGGTTTGATCTACAACAACAGCTAGTTGATGAAAGACTGTGTCTACAAGTACAATAATATGTAACACAAACCTAAAATATGTGGCACTGGCTCTAGGATCAGGTAGTAAGCAAAGGCTGATAATTGATGCAAAAGCTAAAAAGACGATAAGTGAACTATTATCAAAGGCTGAATAATGAAATGATCATGTGTGCTGGAAGAATGGTGACCTGTGTTATGCAGCAGCAAATGTAAAACTGTTGTGGCCAGGTGCGGTGGCTCACGCCTATAATCGCAGCACTTCAGGAGGCCAGGGCAGGCAGATCACCTGAGGTCAGGAGTTCAAGACCAGCCTGACCAACATGGAGAAACTCTACTAAAAAAACACAAAAAATTAGCCATGCGTGGTGACACATGCCTGTAATCCCAGCTACTCAGGAGACTGAGGCAGGAGAATTGCTTGAACCCAGGAGATGGAGGTTATGGTGAGCCGAGATTGCGCCATTGCACTCCAGCCTAGGCAACAAGAGAGAAACTCAGTCTCAAAAAAAATAAATAAATAACTGTTGCCTGTGGTAAATTTAAAGTAAGATAATATACCTAATGGATTTATGAAGTATGGTAAGATAAGTTTTTAGATATTATATTCAGAATGTCAGTTGGTTTTATTGCATGTGATAAGGTATATTGATAAGGAGAGAATCAAAACAGCACTCACCCATTTGCAAGCAGATTTTAGAGGGAATATAGAGAGGCCAAGGATTGCTGAGTTGGAAAATAAAATTGTTTTTCCTTATAGTCTTCCCATTTGGCAAAAGATCATGTAAAATGAGGCTTAAAGACTATGATCAAATTAAGGCTGTGGCCGTAAAACCCTTTGTTAACACCTCTGAAAGAATTAAGTGGTGCCCAACAGGGGAAAGGAAAGGGGAAGGGTGCTTCTAGAAATCTTAAAGAGTGGTCCCACAAATGTCAAATCCCTAAATAGCAGTAGTTAAGTGTGTACAAAGAAGCATTCTTGAAAATAATTGTAGTATGGATTTTGCAGCAGAGAGTAGAGTATAACCAGACTTAAAGAAAACACACAAAGTTTTACAGTAAGTTTCATAGGTAAAATAGCCATCAACTAAATTGTCTGCAACTTTCTATAGGAAAGAATAAGTCTAAGAAAACTAATCAGGTGCCAAATAGAACATTTCTTCAGAAGTGGCCCAGGAAAGTGATAGACTACGAAGGTCATCATAGAGGGTAGAGCAAAAGGGTACCATGTGAAAAAATAAACAGGGAAGTTACTCCCAAGGAGCAAAGGCAGGATTTAAGAAACATTTCCTATTCTGTAGATGAGGGACTTGGTAACATTTTTCTAGCATGATTTCAGAATTACTACTGATCGGTGATTGCTAGGTAGCTCCTGTTTTTCCCCTTTTTGGAGTTACATCTGAGAAGCCACATCAGAACTTCATGTAGTATAGGAGACCCTGGAATTAACATGATGTTAGAACTGGATTCAATTTCTGGGTTTGGATTGGGCATATTTTTTCCTTTAGGAGAGACATGTATAACTGAGACCAGGGATGGTAGTCTTTGATAGACTTGAGACAAAATGAGTCCATTTTTTTACCCTTCCCTGTATTCATAACCTTTGCAATGGGACTTTGCAGCTCTTCTTATCAAAGGGTAGGCTTTTTCCCTACTCTGTGAATTTAAACTGAGACAAACTGCTTTGACCAAGAGAATGTGGCAGAAATAATGGTATGCTCATTCTGAACCTCAGCCTCAAGAAACTCTGCATGTTCTGTTTCCTCTCTGGAACCCTGCCATTCCTATGTGAGCGACTCCTAATTTGTCTGACGGAGGATGAGAGACGACAGGGAGAAGAGTCCACGTGATGGAGCCAAATCTACCAGACTACTCTACAGGCAGCAAATCCCAAATGTGTGAAAGAGTTCAGTCAAGATAAGCAGAACAACCTACACAATTCAGCCCTGACAGGATGCATAAGTATACTCAAGTAATAATACATGTTTATTATTTGAAGCCACTGAGTTTGGGGCTGGCTTTTTTTTTTTTTTTTTTTTGCAGCAGTTAACACATGCAATGATCCCCTGCAAATATCAACTGCAGATTAACTAACATCCAAATGTTTTAAATATCTAGAATTAATTTCAGCAATCCTCTCTTTAAATAGAGCCAAAACTAGATAATCATTTTAGGTTCTTTCAACTTGACTGTGTTTTTCCTGCCAACATACCAAGGAAATGATGAGATTTGTCAAAGTTAATAGAAAATCCACTACTGCAATAGAAGAGTATCTGATTTTTACTTAAATGTTTCCATGAATAAGTTTACAATGCTCAAGTAAAGAAGGACATAACCCAGAGAGACAGCAATCAGGTCCTCGAAAGTTTTGGGAATCTGAGTAGTATTCTCATAAATATGTACATGTATCTCTTCCTAATTATGAAATATCTTGAGCAAGCAGCCCAAATAATTCTTGATTTTTTTAAATACTTGGAGCCATATAATATACAGGTTTCTGAAAGTTGCTGTATGTCTGTATGTATATCTTTGTGTGTATTAAACAAAAAAATTAAAAAATTTCCTTATAATGAGGCCATAGACATGGGACCCAGGAAAAACGAACTCGTGTCCTGAATGTGCCCTTGCCAGAGTTTATTTCAACGTGAATTGATTCTAAATACACTTTTTTGCAAGCATTGCCCAACATCATTATATAGGCAAGAATTTCACACAAATCACTGATTGACAGAAAAAGAAATTCACTCTTCTCTTTTATTGTCATTTTAGAAGATACATTAAGATCTGTGATGATAATGTAAGAACTTTAAGTATTCTTTCACATTCCAAGCTTAGTCATTTTCTTTGTAATTTAGATAGGTGAACAGTTATTGTGATGTGAAAATTGGAATAATTCAATTATAAAAGCTAAATTTCTGCTACAAGATGCATAAATGCTCCACATTTTTTGCTGTGGCTAAAAACTGATTTTCATGCATGTAGGGCTTCTAAACCCAAAAATATTATTTCAAAATGCATCTTTTCCAAATAAGAAAAAACCCACATTAGTCTACCAGGTTAAATGAAAAGGCTAAATGAGAGAGCTCTTAAATATAGCAAAACAAATTTTACAAAACACAATTTTAAGATACAATAAATATTTGTCATATTTTGGCAATAAAATAAATGGGAAATAAAATTATATTTATAATATTAACCACGATATAATCAAAAAATCTCCACAAAATAAAGAAAAAAACACATAAAAAACTCGAGTATTAAATTTAAAAGTGAAAATTTCATTTGGTTTTCCATATGAGATTACAAAAAGAAAGGCATTTACTAAGATATAACTTATAAGAGGACTTTCTATAGCTATTCATCTTTCTATTGACAGAATATCCCAGATTCTTTACAAACTATTTAGAAATTGCTGGGTTTGCCTAGATTTCCATTAAGTAGCAGTATTCCACAGGAAAGAAAAGGACATTTTGGAAGGAATAAAGTATTCTTTGGCATAATGATTTTCATTCCCAAAGAATACAAGAACTGGATACAATTATACATTTTTTTCTAAGGCAATGGAAAAGTAATAGTCAACAAGGTGGTAACAGGCTTCTTCTTTACCTTGAAAAAACACTATTTTTAACATTTTTCAACCAGAGAATAATCTCTATCATGTATTTGAGTTGTGTAACACCATTTAACATATCATGCTGGAAAACATTTGCCATTATATGATTTCATTTTAAATAATTATAAGATGATTTGTGGTGGTTAAAACACTCTGTTTTTTAGATTAGAAAAACAGTTTCGTTTCACTCTAAACATTTTCAAAGAGTAGGACAAGATCTCAGAACTAGCCCTCAAAATATTTGGTGGAAAATATTTCAAAGTGAAATGTGAAGTTGATTTAGAAATATTTCTGTTAAAATATAAATACATGTACTATCAAACTTGAACATATTAGCTGCTTATTCTACCTGTGAAAACAGCTTAAAAATTTGCAAACATTATCTCCATAAATTATTTTAAAAATCACTGTCCAAAGAAATAAAATAGAAAATTATAGGAAACATTTAAAAGAAGTTATCTTTCCACTTCGGAAGTACCATTTAGGGTGGGAATATAAGGTGGTGAGGACATGGGAACAAATCAGTGAACAAATGAATAATCAAGATGATTTCACCTGTGATTGTGCTGTGAAATAAACAAAAAACTTGGAGACTGATTTATAGAAGAAGAGATCCTTTAGATTAGGTAGTGAGGCTTTTGCATAGGAAGCCAGTATTTACACTAAGCCTGAATGATATTAAAAAGCCATTCAATGAAAGATCTGAGAGGAAGGGCATTTTGGCAGAAGGAACTGCAAATGCAAAGGGCCAGTGCTCATTAATATGTTCATGCTGTGCATCCACAACTAAACTGCAACCTGCCTAAGTTTGAAGCTCGCATGTCCTAGTTGTTTGGTGTAAAGATTATTATCAGTATGACTTTACCATCGCAACAATTAATTCATAAAAGTCTTATTTAATTAAAACACAAATTTGGCCACTTTACAGGGGTATGATATATGACAGCACATACTGATTTTAGCTGTTAGAAACAAATAAGATGTTATGATTTAGGTAATGTAAACAAAGAAATGCCCAATGTTTTTCAATAAATTAATTCAATAACAAAACTCAAAGCCTTTTAAAAAAACTTTCCATATTTTCTTTTCTATGAGTACCAAGATTTTCCAAATAAGAAAAGGGAAAAAAAAATTTTGAATAGTGAATGCTCTGCATGTAAAGGAGAAAAACTGTTTGGAATGTAAAGATATTAATAACTGTAGTGACTAACACTGTACATGAGAACAAACTGTTTTCAAACTGTTTTGAGTAGCTAGAAAACATACTAAGTTTGCGTAAGTGTTTTTTGATATAGATTCCATACAGGCTGACTAGATAATATAACAATTACTTTTATTTCATTAAATTGGGAAACTTCATAATCCTCTTGCAAATAAAAAATTTCATTGTAACAATTTATTTGCTGCACACGTCTCTTTCAAATATTTTATTTTTTAACATTTACTAGTTCCTTAATATATCTTATTATAATCTTAAAATGATATGTGCACACATATACACAGGATGTGTTTGTGCATATGTAGCTAAAACAGACAATAATATCATAAGTATTATAAACTAGTCATTGTGAAAAAATTCAAATGTTTATCTAACATATGAAAAAATGTGTAATCTAGTTATTAAGGAAATTAAATCAAAATGTACGTTTTCTAGCATGAAATTTGCTAACATTAAAAAGAAAAATAGGCTGGATGCAGTGGCTTATGCCTGTAATCCCAGTACTTTGTGGAGCTGAGGCGGGTGGATCACCTGAGCTCAGGAGTTCGAGGTCAGCCTGGCCAACATGGTGAAACCCCGCCTCTACTAAAAATACAAAAAAAAATTAGCCAGTTGTGGTGGCATGCGCCAGGGGGTAGTGGAGGTTGCAGTGAGCCGCACTCCAGTCTAGGTGACAGAACGAGACTTTGTCTCAATTACAAAGAAAAAAGAAAAATATTAATTTTGGAAAGTAAATGAGAAATAAGTACTTTAATATGCTGTTAGCGGCTGCATCAACTTCAATGAGCTATTTCACATTTCTAGTAAAAAATACTTCTGCCTTTTTAACCAGAAATTGATCTCTAGTAATATATCCTATAGAGACATGCATATATGTGCACAAAAAGACATGCATACAGATTTATTTCAAATAAATGAAGGAGATGAAATTAACAAAAAAGCATATTTTTACTGTAAAGCAGTATATCTTATTTAAAAGCACACATTCTAAAGAAAGAAAATTAAATCATGGTATGATTCTGAATAATAATTGTATATGATACCATATTCCCTTACATCTGATTCAAAACAGCTAGATGAATGCATTAATCTTCTTTAAAACTAATTATATAACCCATATTTGGGGATTAAGAATGTTTCTGACTTCATCTGTCAATATGATAGACAGTACGTTAGCCCCACAGATTTTCTAAATAATTACGAAAACATTCATATTTAATGGATAAGGAAAAAAGCCATTGCTGTTTCAAAATGAATAACTTGTGTGCTTGATTACATAGTCTAATAATTTAAAGCACCTTTTGTTTTATCTTACAAAATATATTATAAAATATTATCTGCTACATGGTCTTTTCTTATGCTCAACTTATTTCCATTTCTTAATAAAAGGAAAAGGCTATAAAATTTAGTAAGTAGAAAAATAAGTAAAAGGTATTAATATTCTTTCTTGTATTCTTTATCATATTATACAAAAATAAAAGATAAATCTTTATTTATCAAAGTCCTCTCACTTTTTCTGCCCAATGATGTTGTCTTAAATTTTTTTATCTCTTTAAACTACTCTCTGACTTCCTCATTCTCATCAGGGAATACAAGGAAAATGGAGAAAATAAGACAAGACTCTCAATTTTGCCACTCAGCATCCTCTGTATTCAATAACTACTTCTTGAGTGTCCTCCATAGTCTTAGGCACTGCACAAGGTCATGAGGATACAGCAGGGGATGAGTCAAATCCATGTTTGACCTTAAAGAACTCAGAAATTGTACTTCTTTCTTTCTTTTATTAAAGGAAAAGTTAGCTATCCAGCCTGTTCAGTTAACAACAGCAGTATTCCACCTCTCATCCTATCTTCTCTCCACAGAAAACTGTAGAGAAGCCACTTGAATTTGGAGAACTCCACAGTCATCTATAAAAGTATAATTTCAATAGATCACATTGAAGGCAGAAGTGTAATTTCACAGGTTGGAAGTAAGCATTTGATGAGGAAACAGATGCATTGTTTGTGTGTGCAGATTTGTTCAAAATAGGCTGACTTGTGAAAGAAAGAATTTAAGTAGAATGATAACTAGGGAGAACAGGAAAATTGAGCCAAAGCATATTCAGTATAGAAGAATCTCATACATGCTTACAAATGGAGGAAACTGGTAAGTAGAGGAGAATGGAGAATCTAGCATAACAACAACAACATACAAACATATACATGAGGGAACAAGGTGCTGAAGGAGGTAAACTAGTTTGATTGAAGGCATACCTTAAAAGTAAACTTACAAAGAATAGAAATATTTCTTCTAATAAAGTTGAAAAGCTGAGAGGCCAGATTTCTGAAGAGGATGGATGGTCTCTGATAGAGCTCTATACAGATGATTTTCCATGGCCTCTATGATTTTTCATGGCCTCTGCAGGAGATTCACTTGGAGAGTAGAAAATCAGGAATCTAAATAATTAGCTAGCTAAGAAATTTAAAATTTGTTTTGAACTAACTTTTTCAGAGCCCTATGGAAGAAGTGTGAGTTTTATTCTATCTCTAACAATGGCTCTGAAATAAACACTGAGTTCTTACAATGCCTATACCCCGCTAATTTTCAATAGGGTAACTTATGTATTCTTACATCAATCCTGGGAGGCTAATGCTATTTATCAAATGACTGCACAAATGAGACAACTGAGCCAGAAAGTGGTTCAAGTAAAATTTGAATCCAGGAAATTTAATTCCAACACTCTTAATCATGAATATATATTTCCTCTGAGCTTATTTCCACAAGACATATTAGGATATTAGTAAATAAGTTTAATTCATATTTACTAATGATACAGGAGAAGGGCAGGGAAGTGCTGGCAGAGAAGGGCATTGTCCCCGGTGAGGGTTCTACCCTCGGGCCTGTGGCCCACGGACCTAAGTGAGAACAGCACTCCTATTTTCACGTCCGAATGTTCCATTTTCCAAGACCACTCTGACCCACCATGCTCCCCCCATCCTGTGCCTATAAAAACCCCGAGACACGAGGAGGCACACAGACACAGGCAGCTGGACATTGAGTGGAACACACCAGCAGAAAAACACACTGACAGACACTGTGTTTGCCATCGATGGCAGAACGACACGGCCATAGATGGCAGAACGAAGCGGATTACATGGAATTTGGCTGAGGGTGGTTGGAGAAGAGCCCAGCCACTGAGCTGCCCAACTCCAGGGGAAGACCACCTTCCTACTCCATCCCCCTTCTAGCTCCCCATCCATCTGCTGACAGTTACTTCCACCACTCAATAAAAAACTTTGCACCCATCTTCCAAGCCCACATGTGATCTGATTTTTTCAGTACACTAAGGCAAGAACCCAGGATACAGAAAGAAGCCCCTCTGTCCTTGTGATAAGGCAGAAGGTCTAATTGGGCTGATTAACACAAGCTGCCTGTGGACACCTAAGCTGAAAGCACACTGTAACACACGTTCACTGGAGCTTTGGGAGCCGTAAACACCCAACCCTAGATGCTGCCGTGGGGTCCACATTCCCCACTACCTGCCCATATGCATGCTCCCCCTAGGGGTTTGAGCTTTGGGACAATGAAGAAGCAAGCCACACCACCGTTGCATGCCCTGTGAGGGGGATAAGAGAACGTTTCCTGTTTTACCTGGGGCTCATCCAGGATCCTGGAAGGAGAGTATGAATGCAAAACTGTAGGATCTGCCACTCTTCCAAAACACTGCCACCTCTCTCTCTTTCCTGTGAGTAAAAGGATCTGTTTGCCCTCATGGAGTTTTAACCACCCTAACCAGGCTGGTTAAACACCCCAGACTTCGTCTCTTGTCTCTCTCTCACTGTTTGAAAGGCTCTTATCTCTTCCTTTATGATATTAAGAGTTTTGCTAGAGGCTGTGGCAATGTTACTAGGTAAAATGAGCATTTCACTCAGCTGCCAAAGGTGCAAATCAGACCACCTGTAGAGGTACACCGACTCAGCCTCTACCTAAAAAGCCACAGGCAAGTATGGCTCTGGGTATCTACCCTTACTCTTTCCCCTCCCATCTCGGGTGCCTGGGCATGTCCACAGCATGCAAAGGCCATGCCCAACAGCCACCTTTAAATTGCTTTGCCATTTTAAGGAACACATGAAATCACATTCTACTGAGAGTTTCAAGTGTGAAATACGCAATAAAAAGTATCTTCTGGAGAGCACACGGAAACAGCACCTAAATTGAACTACCCTGAAGTAGTTGGTAACTGGGAAAGAACTAGGAAAAAAAATTCATGTATATCAGTACTGTGGGAAACGGTTTGACGATTTTGAACATTTTAAAGAACATCTTTGAAAACATACAAGGGAAAAACCTTTTGAATGTCCAAATCATCATCAATGATTTGCTAGAAATAGCATCCTCAAAGGTCACCTCACTGCATGCCAAACTGGAGTAGGGACAAAAAAAAGAAAGAAGCTCTATGAATGCCAGGTTTGTGACAGTGTCTGGGGTTTATATGTAGATTATCATCATTATATTGCCAGACTCATATTATTATCTACTATTTTAAAAATATTTGTCTTTTATATTCACTTGTACTCTCAATTTCTAAATTGTTTTCCATTCAAGTGTAAAATATTTTCCAGGTTTTTTTCCTAATAGGTTAGATAAATGGTATATTTTCTGAACCCCTGAATGTCTAAGAATATATTTATATACCAACATACATTAACTATCTTGCCTCTACGTGAAACTGTTAGCCCACAACATAATTTCTTTTAAAATTCTGCAGACAAAATTTTTCTATTATCTTCTGATATATGGAAGTGAATAGGTGAAGCCACCTAAATTTCCCCCCCTGCTCTTGGTAACCTATCTGTCCCTTTTGCCTACATATTTATTGGCAGGACTTTTCTTAATTGCTGTAGTATAATAACTTGACTAGATAATAGTAAACTAGGAAAATAAATCATTTGGAGTTATACATTCAGGTAAAGAAAAAACTCTTCTATGACATCTCTGATTATTGGTTATACTTATTTAACTTTCTCTTTGGGGTATACCTATTTCTGCCTCCCTACTCTCGATTCTTAACTCTGCTCTGTTTTTACTCAACATGTTATCATCTCCCAACATATTATATATATTCTTGTGTCCTAATGTTTATAATCTGTCTTCCTCCTCAGGATGTCATCTTTGTGAGAGCAGGTGCAATGTTTGCTTTGTTTATTGCTGTATTTCCAGAAAATTGAATGATACCATAGCTAGAATGCAAATAGTTTTTTAGTGAATTCAAGAAATCCCACATTGGGTCATCATTTATCCTGAATATTACTGAGTTTGTCTCACATTACTGTATCTTAATTTACATTTAGAATTTTAAAAATAATTTTCTATGATGTGTTTCATTTTCTGTTAATTTTTTCATTTTTACTTACGGTGGGTGCATATTAGGTGTATATATGTATAGGCTACATGTGATGTTTGATAAGGTTGGGAGGGAAAGCAGGTGGGGAAAGGTGGGGATGGTTAATGGTTACAAAAACATAGAATGAATAAGATCTAGCATTTGATAGTACAACAGAGTGTCTCACATAATTTTAAGCTTTATCATTTTCATCTGCTTTATCAAGAGCTGATCAAATTTCTTTTTTCACCACTGATTGTATTTTTCTTTAGCTATAATTCTACTCATGAATGCCTGCAAAGTGGAGTTTATTTAATGTTTTTAGATTCTTAATTCTGTCTTACCTCTTTCCTTTGTTTTATCTCAGTCTATATTTTGCTCCTTTTTCAAAGAAGTCATGCTTTCATGAACTGTGCTGAAGTCCTAAAATTACGCCAAGGTGTGTCCATATCTCTGAAGTTATCACAAAGGTTAATATTTTTCAGTATGCTCCAGGATGTTAGAATATAGTGCGTAGTAGTTGCAGGCACTGCTACCAGGGTTCATCTGTATCATACAACCTGCAAGTCTTTATTTTTTGAGGTGATCCTCTTAAAAAGGTCTTATGATTGGATTATTTTCCCAAGACGTTCTCTCTAGTTTTTCTATGCTTTTCAACATCTGCCTGCATGTAGAAGAAGAAGTAGTGGAGACCCAGGAAAAAGTCCTCTGTTTTGCACAGACAATCTAAAAAAGACAGAGAAACTGATACTCAGCTTCCTCATTAACACAAGTGTAAATTCTCCAGGCAGAGGCAGAGTATTGAAGCATTTTCCTTCCTTGGTCTTAGGCAGTCTACGTTTTGGAGCACAACAATTTGGAGCACAACAAAAATAGGAAACCTGCTTAAAGTTTTCTTATGGAAATTCTTTTTGATGTATACTTAGTGTATTTTTCTTTAGGACTTTATTAATTGTCAAAATTAGTTGTTACTGTTATTACAAGTTTAGACATTTTCTAGGGTATTTGAGAATACATAAAGGCGCAAAGCTACAAACGTGAGTTTTAATTAAAGTAGTATTCAAACTTTTCGACAAAAGTTATATACTCTAAGTGAAATTATCTAAAAATACTATAGGAAGTGTGGATATCATTTACCATGATGGAACTACTAATAACTGCAACAATTATTTATCTGTATGTCTTTTCTTCTCTGAGTATTCATTATTTACTACCTAACACCTAGTTGTAAAAATTTTAAATGTTTCGCTTTTTCACCCAGATCATTTATAACATTAAAACTTTTAAAAAATTAATATACTCCAGGCTTTTAAATGTTATGTATGTATATTTTTTCACTTACCATAGAGACAAGATTATTTAGTCATGAAAATGACTATCCATTCACTTATGAGCAACTACAAAGCTGTTTCTTGCAAATAAGGCCAAAGAGACTGCAAATACTCAAGGCCACACTAATTTCTCTTCCCTTTGAAAATCTACTGTATGTTGCTTACTTATTAGCAAATTCATAACACAAAATATTCTGTGGATAAAAGTGCCAGAAGGGACCTTACAGATGATCAAGTTCAATGTACAAATGAGAGACTGGAACCACAGAACTTTTGACACCTATTCAAGATTTCAAAGCCAGCTAACCCTAGAACACAGGTCTTCCCATTTCTTATCTAGTTTTATTTTTTCAGCCAAACAGAAAGGTATTTAAGGACAGATATCATGTCCTCTGGGTCCTAGTAACCTCCTCCATGCACATAATATTGGTAGGAAATTTAAAAATGCTTTAATGTTGATATATGGTTGATGATGAACAAGACATGCTTTTTGGTTTTTTGTTCTAGCTTGACTGTGTGGTGAAGTAGCCATTATGTACTAACCTGTCATGTGGCAAATAAATGCGACAACCCTCAAGTTTTTCTCTTAAGATTACATCAGAAAATAGAAATAGGAGCCAGGTGTAGTGGCTCACACCTGTAATCAAGCACTTTGGGAGGCCTAGGCAGGCAGATCACCTGAGGTCAGGAGTTTGAGACCAGCCTGGCCAACATGGTGCAACCCCATCTCTACTAAAAATACAAAAATTAGCCAGGCATGGTAGCACACGTCTGTAGTCCCAGCTACTAGGGAAGCTGAGGCACCAGGACAGCTTGAACCCATGAGACGGAGATTGCAGTGAGTCAAGGCTCCGCCACTGAACTCCAATCTGGGCAACAGAGTAAGACCCTGTCAAAAAAAAAAAAAAAAAAGAAAGAAAGAAAGAAAGAGAGAGAGAGAGAGAGAGAGAGAGAGAGAGGGAGGGAGGGAGGGAGGAAGGGAGGGAAGGAAGAGTTAATATATTATTTGGTTATAATAATAATTAGAAAACATCTCAAAATTTAGAAAGCATACCCATAAACATCATCTCATTAAATTCTTCAACAGTCTTGTGTGGTAAACATTATATTATCTCTAAATTATTAACAAGAAAAAAAATCCAGAGCCCAAGTAACTAGCTCAAGTTTGCAAAGCTAATGAGTGAGAAGGTAAGAAATTAAACTTACTCTATTTCATTAAAAAGCTTAAATTCTATTACTTCTCCATAGACTAATGCTATTTATTAAATCCTGCCAAAATACTTCTGCATTCAATGCTACCAAAGTCAAAGTTATAACTATTACACAATATTCAACAGGACTATAACCTAAAATGTTATATCTTAAAACATGTAAACTCACTTACTACTTAAATGTATCAATGACCATAACAAAAGGCATTTATTTTCATTGCTGTATCAATATATATAGGCATAGCTAGGGTGAAGGAAAAGGTTTTATTTTATGCAGCAGTAAGTAATACTGAAAATCAAAAGAGTAGTATCTTTGATAATTTCACACATATTACCTAAGAAATAGCTGCTCAATTTTCCTCAAAAAAAATCTACAGGGAATTTTCATACAGAGCTCAAACTAGCTAAGGAACCACTTGGTTCAACAAGCTCTCTTTCTATACTGATGGTTAGCATTGAAACATACTGCCACCTTATGACAATTCTTTTTATATCTTAATTTTCAGAATATTCTGTTATAAAAATAAACCTTCACCAGGAATATAGCCATAATGTCTAGAAATTATCTGGAATTTATTTGAGATTTTTAAGTTATTAGCTCTATTGAAAGCAACCTGAGAGAAAAACACTACATTTAAAAGGGTATTTTTAGATTTGGAACAAAATAATAATTTTGACATGGTTTCACAAGGATTTTTAAATCCAAGAATCAGGCATATAACTGATTACATGCTGGCAAGTAACCTAAAATTTAGAATCTATTTTTCCAATAACAGTTTAAGAAGTTATATTCAAGTATTTGCCCTTATTGTCTCTATAATTTTGCAAACACACACACACACATACACACACACACAAAGACTTACAAGCTGCAATAGCTTAGATTTGAAGAAAGTACAGGGAAAATAAAGACTAAAATTGAAAAAAGACTGTAAACATAAATACACTAGTGTGTGAAATTTACAAGAAGACAAAATAAAACAGTACTACAAAATTACTACTACTACAAAATAAAGTACCTGTCTACATATAACCCTCTTTTTGAGTATCCACAGTAGAAATTTCCATTGCACCATGAAACATGAAGTTTTTATACAGGAACTGATTTATTCTTCTCTATGGATCCAGTGATTCATGTTTGTAATGGGTTCTCTGTTTCCCTTTTTGCATTAGTTGCTAAAGTACTTACAGAATAATTTATTTTTTATCTTTATCAAGTATATAAGAAATCATGGCGTGCATTTTGTACAGTATTATCACTCCTGGTTGCATCTTTTTTTTTGGCCTTATTTTCACTTTGGCCTGGTAGTACCATTTACTTTATGTAACAACTTGTTTCTATGGAAAGATAAGAATTTAGAAGTTGAACAACTAGAACCAACTCTAACTTTTACTAGCTGTAGGGCCATGATCAGTTACTTCATCTCTAGGATAAATTATAGATTGTCTATTCATAAGTTGTGACAAAAAATACCTTTAGAGATATCTAATATTTATTGGGTGCCTAATATATAATGGCTACTTACATAACTTAATTTCTACATTGTTTGATTTCAGTGAAGCTTCTAAAATCAAGTTATGTTTTATAATTACATTTAATGCAGTTGTGTTCTCCCACAAAAGCAATTTTTAAATCAGTGATGTCTTGGAATTGAGGAAAAAGAGTATTAACTTATTGTACTGTACTTTTGTAATCACCTTTGTGTTCTTTTCGAATTAAGCAGAATTACTAACAAAAACATTTCAGTAAAATGCTCAGTTGCAGTTAAATCATAAATGGGGAAAAATTAGAAACTGATGAACAAATAAAGGCTATGATTAAGACTTCGACATTGTTGTTTTGAGAAAAAAGTTGACAATTCAGTAAACTTTTCCATATGTCATGAACACTGAAAATTCACTAAAACTTGTTTAAACTTCATGGACAAAAGAACAATAAATTTTTTAAAAAGTCATGCACAATAACATAATGCTTAGTTTAATTACTGATTTGCTGTTTGCCCAAAGTTTTAATCAAGAGAGTTCTTACATGTGGATAACAATGATGACATCTGTAAAAGCTAGTGCCACGTTTAACTCCTCCAGGCACTACAGCACCTGGTGACGCCACAGGGAAGAAATCATGGATACTTCTTGAACATACTGCAACAGCTGTCAACTCAGAAGGAGGTATATTCTAAGTTCTACCAAGCAAGTAGTACTCTACAAAACCTCATTCTGTCCCTTCTTTTAACTGAAAAGAAGCCAGATGGAAACATGCAACTTGTCAAATTGCAAATGAAGAATTACTATAAACTGTATTGCATGGATCTCTGGGTGTTCACCACTAAAAATTTGGTCGCTCAATTTGCAGAGTAATTTCACTGACATTTAAAGAAAACTAAAGATGCTTGATACTATTTCAGATAAAGACAATATCATATTTTTAAGAGAATACAGCAAGGTAAAGACAATGAAAATATGAACGTATCTTTAACATAACAGCAGAACAAATAACTAACAGGCATTATTCTAGAAGCTTCATAATGTCCAGAATGACTACAACTGCAACTCTCACGACAGTTAATGGGGCAATCTGCTTGGAGCACACAGCCACAGAAAACCAAGAAAACAAGCTGTATTACTCATGATACAGCAGTCTTAGCTACACTGCTATGGTTGGCTAAACCTCCACCTGTATCTTCATTATAGAGTTCTATTTCCATCCACTGTATGTGATTACTATAAATGTTTAAACATTTTGAGGAAATATTCATTGTAAATGTATACAAAAGTAAAAACTAATAAATTTGCTTTATACTTTTGGTACAAAAATTACCTATGATTTTAAGACCACCATTTGTTTGATAAAATTAGACATATGTAGTTATCTCATATTTAGAGTGTAAGCATTACCATTTCTGAGATGCCCCAGGGAATGTTTTGATTTGCTCATCCATTCTTGTATGTCTACATATATGCATCCATTGAGCACCTACTGTATAACATGTTCCATGCATGTTTAGTTACATAAAGACATCCTTTCAACATCATTAAACCCTTCTTTAACAACTAGAGTCTTGTTTAGGGTAGAAAAAATGCCCTGCAAGTTCTGAAACAAAATGATTTATATCAACCTGAATCACATCCTAAATGTATATGTGATCCTAATGATGTGATAAAGATCACTGAGTTCCTGAGAGTATCCATGAACACACCTTCCAAAACTGTGGTACAAATAATTTCTTAGCAGCTTTAAATGATAGACATTATTTACCTATCTTCTAAAGAAACCCTAAAAATTATACAAATGATTTTAACAAGTCAACTCACATTTTTTCTATACCAATAATGCATTTTAATGTGGTTAATCAGCACTAAATAATATTTCAAATGCTTATAAATTTAGATACAGCTTAGCTCAATAACCACACCATGCATGTCCACAGAGGAGAAGACTGAGTCTTAGCAAAGGTTGAGAAAGCTGCTTAAGATCACACAGAAACAGGATATGGTGGTTCTGACTGATTCACTTTAGCGTCAGGCCTGTGTCTCATTCCAATCCTTTATTCTTTGGTAAATCTCTTAGACCGAAAAGTGCAACACTGGAAGGTATTAGTACAAGGTAACCATGTAGGGACAGAAAGATAAATTTTAAGTTGTTGAGGAAGTAAACTCAGACACCTTTTTCTGTTCTCTCTCTTCCTCATCCTCTCACACTAATAGATACATGATTAAACCACTGCAAACAAAGGTCTGTGGAGGATGCTTTGTCCATACTGCCTGGTTCACTTCACATTACATAAATCACGGCGCAGAGCTACCAGCCTAAACCACCTCTGTTATCTTCATTTCTCTACAGATTTGCCTTTCTTTCAAACCCACTATCCCATTTTCTTCTGTGGCCCCAGACAGCTGTCTTTGCAGCACAACAGACAGCAGTCACTGCAGCTTTGCTTTGAGCATGTTCTACAGAAGTCCACATCCCTTGCAGTTGCCTTTCCTGGATCATGGGACCCCATCACAGTGAGCTCTTCCCTATCTGCAGGTAGAGGACTAAGAATTATACATTTGCTGGGGGCACTGCCATGTATACTCACTTTACTTCCCATTTTACTAAACTGTATTCTAATTTTATTCATTTCCCTGTTTAGATTTAAAACGTTCAGTAAAAGCACAGAAAGTAAAAGTAGTATAAAGGCAAGACCAGTGAATGAAAAACAACTCAGAAATTGACCACAAATTCAGTGCTACTTTATATGACAATCCCTTCTATCTTTAATAGTATTAATCAAATGTCTTAAATCATTTATAAAGAGTAAATTATTTTCCTTTGATACCTTTGACAGAATAAATGGTCAAACTCCTTTGTTACTTTTGTCTGTAGGAGTCAGGACTGAGAAAGTATTCTCTGGATATCAGGTGGTGGTATCATCAGGGTGATACCATGGTTCACCCTAATGTGAGCCATGTGAGCCGACATAGTGAAGGCACAGTCCTAGGGGAATGTGCAATACTGTGGTGGGCACTGGAGAATTCTGAAAGCATGGGGTAGGAGTGTGTTGGAGAGAAGCACCAAATGCTAGCTGTTATAATCCCTGTGTTACTCATCTCTCAAATGTCCCCTTTCTATTTCTTACAGAGCCAACGCTGTTGAACAGAAAAGGATAAAAAATGGATTTTTGAAAAAACTATTATTCGAATGATCATGACTATAAATAACTGGCCTCCTCCAAAATGAAAAAGAACTCCATGCCCTAGTTGTACAGGAATAGGTATTGATCATCCTACTTAAAGTAATACTTTTATACAAGATGACTTACACCACAGAAAATCAGATGTGCTTTATCGGGTTTGGCAAGTAGGGACTGCTTTCCCAGGGAGATGTTTCCAAATAAGGAAAGAATACAGCTTTGTTATTTTATTTTATTTTTTATTTATTTATTTACTTATTTATTTTTTTGAGACAGAGTCTTGCTGTCACTCATGATGGAGTATAGTGGTGTGATCTCGGCTCACTGCAACCTCCACCTCCTGGATTCAAGTGATTCTCTCACCTCAGCCTTCTGAGTAGCTGGGATTACAGGCATCCACCACCACACCCAGCTAATTATTGTGTTTTAGAGATGGGGTTTCACCATGTTGGCCAAGCTGGTCTTGAACTTCTGACTTCAGGTGACCCACCTGTCTTGGCCTCCCAAAGTGCTGAGATTACAAGGTGTGAGCCACCACACCCAGCCTTGTTATTTTATTTTTAATCAAAGTAAGGAGGCATCATTTACCAGAGGTCATGAAACTGGAAAAGACAAAAAAAGTTGCAGATTCGGAAGACAACTCATTCAGAGAAAGGCTACACCTTTCTTATGGTCAGTAATTTATTCTAAATCCCAAGTCTAACCCAATATCATGGTAACAGAAAGCATCAGCTTTTCCCTGAAATCTCTCATGCTTCCAATAAAATAATGGTTCCCATGACAATAGATGCTACCTCAGCAGAGGCAAGTTCAGAGTACAGGCAGTACACATATCTTGGCTTAATAAGCAGGGAGGAAACTACACTGGCAGTATTATCCTCTCACTTTCTTTTTGCTGTTAGTAATAGAAGTAATAGGTTATAAGAGATATGAATCACATTATCAGCCATCTAATATGCAATACTTGACTTCATTTGATTTTCTATTCCAAAGAGACTGTCAGCGTTCAACATAGGAGGAATACTAAAAAGCAAAATGGGAGACATGACGATTCCTGCTAATTGCCATTCATTACCTCTCCAAACAACAGTGTTTCCTTAGATATAAGCCATGCTTTTCCTTTTTTTAAAAAAAAAAATTACTCTTACAGTGTAAATAAAACCAATTTCTCAGCGCTTTATACCAACAGTTGAGAGTGTAGGTATCTACTTAGTAACCAAGCTTCCCTGGCAAGAAGCTCTAGGGGATATATGAAGTAGATCTCTAGATGAAGAGGACATAAAGAACAAGAGAACACACTTAAGTCTCTAAGTGTTTTAAACAAATGTAAATATATGTAGTTTTATAAGACTAAACTATCTTTCTGAAGAAGTGTAGTACAAAATGTTCTGGGTGGTTCTCATTTAACAAAATAGGCGATTACTTTACCAAGAAAAGAAATCCAGTTTATATTTCCTATTACTCCACACAGGCACTATGGAAGCACTCTCTCTCATAAATGATCTGTGTTCAAATCTACCTACCTCTCTCCTATTTCCTTTTCAGACAGTCTCTTCTAACTACTGTGAAAAACATGTGAGGGATGCATATTACCAGATTAACCTGAGTTATCCAATGTGACATTGTCATGAGACTGTGATTTGGACTGTCATCTATATCAACTTCTTAAGGCCTCCATTTTTTATACAGTTAAATAGACACTAACAAAGGTAGCCAATACATAAAATTTTATGTCCAGAAGAATTTTAATGACAAACAGATGCTAGGAAAACAATTCCTGCCCTGGTTACTTTTGTGTGAGGATATAATGTGCTTAAAAGCAAGAAAGACAATAAGCTATTTGTAAAATATAATTTTTTATAATTTCATGGTGTTCTGATTTTAATAAACACAAATAAATTTATTAATCTTTGCTGTCTAATGAAAATTATTCACATCCTGTTGTTTAGTAAAATCATTAAATGAGAATATAGCTAATACAAACTTTTATTTGTAGAAAGAGAAAAACATAGCAGCATAGCAAAATATACTTGCATTTTGTATAAGCTTCAAACACCACAAAGTCCATTGAACGTTTAATAATTATGCATATTTCATTTGTTATTTTCATAATGTATAACATATAAAAGTACTTTACTGAATATGAGAAAGGTAAAAATCTATCTCCCTGAGATACAACATGCACCACACAGATTTCTTCTATCTGTGTGTTCTTCATACTGTCATACAAATCAGTTTGGATCACTGTTTTATGTTATGCATATTATTCAATTTGAATATATATTTAAAGTGGTATTTCACAAATGGAAGAAAATAATTACTTACACACATATTTGTGATTTGAAGCTTTCAACAGGCAATGACACTCATCCATCAACAGTCTTCAATGCCGTATGTTTTTATAGCAGTTCTCCAAACATGAATAGAACCTAAATATGCAGTGAGTTTCAAGCACATCACACACCCTGTGTTTATTAATAGATCTTTATGCTGGCCACAAGAGAGATTATCTTTTTTTCTTTTGGGCCACTGACTCTTTTTTTTTTTTTTTTTTTTTTTTTTTTTTAGACGGAGTCTCGCTCTGTCACCCAGGCTGGAGTGCAGTGGCACATTCTCCGCTCACTGCAAACTCCACCTCCCGGGTTCATGCCATTCTCCTGCCTCAGCCTCCCTAGTAGCTGGGACTACAGGTGCTGGCCACCACGCCCAGCTAATTTTTTGTATTTTGTAGTAGAGATGGGGTTTCACTGTGTTAGCCAGGACGGTCTCGATCTCCTGACCTCATGATCCGCCTGCCTCGGCCTCCCAAAGTGCTGGGATTACAGGCTTGAGCCACCACGTCCGGCCGGGCCACTGACTCTTGACTGCAATGATATCTTCCCAATTTGGCCTTTAAATCTTGGGTCAACGATATGCCTCAGCCAAATTAAAAAAAAAAAAAAGAAAGAAAAGGGATTCAACTTCTCTCCCAAAATACGCAATTTAAGACAATCAGAAGATGAATGGCAATTAAATCACATTACTCTAAAAAGAACAAGGGCAACTTTTAGAAAAGCATTCCTTTCTCTTTTACATGTTTATTATTAACCAACACTTTACCAATTCTAACAAACTTGATGATTGGTGCCCTAGAAAATTTATATTTCTGATGAAATTCATGGATTCTTTTAACGTACAGATGAAAACAAGTGTGATATGTAAAAATGTGGACATTTGTGACGTGTAATTGGCCTTCACTTTTACGCAAAAGACATCTTCCTTACAAATGATTTTTTTTAAAGCACAAAGATAAAATGTGCTTAGTCCACTCTGAATTATTGTAATGTTCTCATCTAAAACCACCATCTATCAAAGATTATCTTATTTTATACCAAAGGACCATCCATTCAATATTTATCCTTCTCATCCTGGAAATGTGCTCACACACAAGATGAGGGCCCTACCTGAGGAGACATTTGTATAAGTCATTTTATTAGCTTGTCTCTGAATAAAACAGAATAGACACCTGAAGTTTACACCTAAAGAGCAGCACTATTTTTAGGCTGAAGAGTGTGATTTCTGAAGGCCAATATTAAATTACACATTCTGAAGGCAATGAGTTAACTTATGTTATCTTGGCAACAAGGAGTTATTACTTATTTTGTTTGACCTAAAAATAGCAAAAATTTGCAAAGGGAAAGCTTGTTAAAATATAGTATATACCTGAAAGAATTTGGGTGGAAATAAAAAGCTAATTATTACATAACTAGTGAGGGAGAAAACTGTGTAAATTGTTCTCCTTTTGCATGGAAGTTCCTAACTTCTAGACTAGTTAGCCATTGCTTCATATTTTATGCTTTATTTCTCTGGCTTTGAGGAAAAAAAACCACAGGTCACTGTGAACTAAGAACAGTCCTTAAAATATTCATGCATTCTCCTATTTTCCATACAATAGTAATGAAAAAAATTGAACATTTGGTCAATTACAGAAAATACTACTACAATTTTCAAGTTATATATGCACACAAATAATACCTAAATTCAGAAAGAAAATAAAGCCTCTCATCTTGTTTCACAGATTTCCCAGTAGGATACTTGATATTGGCAGTGAAAATATTTGAAAGCATAACTTAATAAGCCACAATTGCATCAACATCTAAAGTAAAATGAAATAAGTGAGACTTTTATCCTAAACAGTGAAATAGATCATAATGAAAACACTTTGGAAATAAAGAAGTTTCAAGATGCTATATCACAACTGCTGGCTTAAATTGTCAACCTGCATTTCTAGCCTGCATTTAGAATAATGGCAGTCATCCATGGCAAAGTTCCCCTGCTAGTCTGTAATACGTGAAGAAGAAGAAAGAGGTCTATTTACAAGATTCAACTTACCGTTAGGCAGAGAAGTAGCAAACACTTTAAAGAATAATTCTTGGCAAAGACTGCAAGTCTAAGGCACACCATTTAAAATAATGATCCTTCTGCAATTTTTATGATGTCCTCCATTTGTTCATAAAAAAGAAAAAAAAAGCTAAATCTTAAGGGAAATTCTGAACAAACAGAAGTTCCGTCGAACAAGGCTATAACAATAATAGAGCACTTTTGAAAACTAAGTTAAACTCAAAATCCTCTTTTCTGAAAAGAGGTGAAGATATTTACATGTAAGTGCTAAAATATAAGCATATATAAACATTGATATTACCATAATCAACAACTTCAACATAAAGATCACTCTACCATTGACCTTTATTGGTCACCTGCTGCATACATATAAGAGACAAGATTTAGTAATAAAGCTTCCTCTAGAAAAATCACACGGTAGTAGAGAGGTAGACAGGTTAAATTGCCATTGCAACACAATGTGAAAACTACTTTATTTGTAATAAGTGGCAGCTTTACTTCAAAGATGGTGCCAATAAACCCTCCCATCCCTGTATGTCCGTGATATTTATCCCATGAAGATATATAGAGAGCTGCAACAGCAATCCATGAGGTATGTGCAGGACGTGGGGCAGCTTTGGGGAAGAAACAAAGCTACAGAGGAGGCACATTAACAGAGACTTGGGACCTTCATTCCCTTCCCTTGAATCTGGACTACTTTGTGAGTTCCAATGACCTATAAAATGATGGCAGAAGTGATGCTGCACCAGTTTTGAACCTGGTTTTAAAGAAGCTTGGTAACTTCCACTTTTGCTCCTTTAGAATCCAGACCTCTAGGCTGTAAGATATTAGTTTAGCCTACCAAAGGAGGAGAAGCCATATGAGAGAGAAGAAAGATGCCAGATACCTTAGCTGACGATCAGTACCAACTGTCAACTACATGAGAGACCATCTTGGTCCTGCCAGCATCAGCGGCGCTCCCACATCACTGAAATAGTTTGAATGAGCTCAAGCAAGACCAACGAACTACCCACTGAGTCCAGCCAATTGACACAATTGCAAAAAATTATAAGTTGTTATTGCATTAGGCCATTGAGGTTTGGAATGGTTGATTATGTAGCAATTGATAACTAACATGAAGTGAGAAAAAAGTGATCAAGGAGTACATAGGCCTATAGAATCCAACCTGATTTTCCCAAGGCTAATCAGCTAATAAAGGACAGAAAGGCAATTCCCCTGAATTCTCATCCAGGATTGAATAATATTGCAAAGGCAAAAATACAAGCTGTATTATTTTTCTTATTGTTGTTGTTGTTGTTGTTGTTTGTTTCCAAGCAAACTCTGGCTCTATGGCCCAGGCACCATCTCGGCTCACTGCAACCTCCGCCTCCCAGGTTCAAGTCATCGTCCTACCTAAGCCTCCTGAGTAGCTAGGACTACAGGCATGCACCACCATGCCCGGCTAATTTTTGTATTTTTTGTAGAGATGGGGTTTCACCACGTTACCCAGGCTGGTCTCAAACTGGTGAGCTCATGCGATCTACCGCCCACCTAGGCTTCCCAAAGTGCTGGGAACAAGCTGTTTAATGCAAACACCTGTGGCTGAATAAAACCTTAACCCAAGAAATAACCTGCACTGGGGTACACATTAGTACCTTCATTCAATAATAAATTCATAGTGACCCAGAATCTGGCTAATGTCCACATAACAGCCCTAATTTGAGTATAAAATTAATCTACTAATTACCCAGTATTAAAATTTGAAAGCACTATCCATATATTACATATTTCAGAAGCAAATATAACTAATCACATGAGCTGACCCTCCCTCAGAAATGCTTTATATGAGACACAGTTTAATGATATGGCTTCTGACTATACTGGGAGCATCAATCATTTAACAGCATTTCTTTCTTTTGCAAAATTGAATCACAAGCTATTATTTGCATGTTTACTATTGATCAGTAAGATACAAAACCCTGCATGGTGAATTCTAGTAGTTTAAATTCTGGGAAATAGTTTATGAAAATGAATTTTAGGCTTTCACCCTCAGAAAATAAGTCATATTATTTATTGTAGATGATAAGGAAAATTTTAAATAGCCTTGTTTTTTCTGTGCTTTTTTTCTCACCTCCCACACTTCCTTCCAAGCCCATATGACCTCATGCTGGCCTAAGTTCCTTTGCTACTTCATAATTTTCTCAAAAGCAGTATTTGAATAACAAAATTAAGAATAAAATAAATATGTCTTCTTAGATATACCTCCTGAAAGACTCCGTGTCCACAAATCACTCAGCTCCCTTCCTCAAATCAAAATGCTCAACCTCTGAGTACAGCTGATCTCAGCTAGTTATTAGCATGCAGCTTTAACACAATATGATTAATTTATATACTGCTTTAAGTCTTTGATAGACTTAGAGATTGATGGTTTTGAAAAACAAAAAACGAAGCCCTTCAAGATTGCAAGGGAGAAATATCAAGTTAAAGAACAGAGAAAAACCGCAAAGCATCACTTGAGGTATTTGTGGGAGGTGGGGCAGCTTTGGGGAAGGAACAAGTCTAATGAGGAGCCACATTAACAGAAACCTGGGACCTACGTTGTAAACTTTTCATCTACCTCCCTCAAGAAATCATCTGGAATCCCCACACTGCTTACCATTTTCTAAGAGCAAACTCTTTCTGGTATTGGAGAAAAATGATCAATTCTGTCTTAAAGTTGGCCTAGGTTCAAAACGAATACTCTTCATGGACCCAGCTGACTTCAAGATCACGTGCTTTTTACACAGAAAAGTTGCTGCTAAAAGAGGTCACTTTTCTTGCATAAGAAAGAGAGGAATGATACTAATATTTTAGTCTCTAATAGTTATTTCTTAAACATATTGAAAAGGATGATACAAAGCCCAGAAGGATTCTACACCAGACGACCCTAGAGAGAACTGATTTTCTACAGAATTTACACATTTCAAACAAAAATACAATGTTTTCATGGAGGGCACAGAATAGTCTGCAACAATGTGATTTATATGGTTCTCTTACTTTTCTGACATTTGTCTCAGAAAACGTGCTTGAATACATTCTATTTTTCTGCAAAATGTGGATAATACCATATGTTGAAAAAGTAAAAACAGTGTGGTTATTTTCTGTGTTCTCACCATTTGGATATTATTTCTTACTCTCTTCACATCTCTTTTTCACTCATCTTTAGAATTCTTCAAAAGACTAGGCTCATGTTAGGTCACATATTGGAAAAAGTAGAATTACTAGAAAGACATTCTGTTGAGTTCAAAAGATTCAATTAGGAAAAAAAATCAACAGATGATTTTAATCAAATTTGTAAGCATGATTAAAGATTATCTACAATTTTCACGTCCTTATTTGCTTTAGTATAAGCTGCTATCAAAAATAAATTTCCAGTTATCTATTAAACTATTGAAAGACATTTTATGAATAGATAAGTTATTCTGTTGAGCTTATAGCTTCTTTATTAATTTTTACATATTCAGTAAGAAAAAAGGCAGTTGGTTCATCCAAAGTTATGTCTAAATAACAGTTTAATACATAATGTACATAAACACAGATTTTTCTCATAAGACATCAGGATTACCCACAGTTCTCAAGTGGCATGATTCACATTTTTAAGAAATATTTAATGCTTCCCTTTTATTAAATGCTTTCCACAACATTGTGGGATGTATTGTATTTCCGACCCCTTCCTATCAAATGTCAGAGAACCTAAAAATCATTGTGACAATCATTTCCAAATGTCCATACATTTCCAAATGTCCTCCAAAAGACAGGAACACCCAGTCCCCCAGTTAAGAACTACTAGACTCACAATATGATTCAGGAAGGAAAACATCTTCACAAAATTAAAACCACTGAAACCTCTGCTTAATTTGGAAACCATAATGATGTGCTTTTGCAACTGTAGCATTAGAGTATTGGAACAAGTTTTGTGGTCTAATGTAGATTCATACTACAGGTGTGCTAAATTTGTACCATGTGTAAATTTTTTGAAGGAGTAATTTGCATTTTTGGTAACACAGAATGTCTCCAGAGAAGCCATGCTTAAGTCTAGTAACTAAATGTGATGGTCTGGTTGTGAATCAGCTGGCCTCAGATACAGTTCTTTTTACTACTTTAAAAACTTCTTTCTTTTGAGAAAAAGAATAATTAAATGCTAGTGTATTGACTAACCTAATTTATCCTATTCAGTTTCCCACACTGAGGACAGAGAAAAAACAAGCATTTTATACACCTGTCTAAAGCTATTCTGATCACTAAAATTTGTGCACTCAAATATTTAGCTGCACCAATATTGTAATGGATCTTTTTTATGTTACATTGTAGGAAAAGACAAAGAAGTAGAAATATAGAAAGGAAGTTAGTAATGGGTAAAAAAGAAAAAAACCCAAATATTGTCAATATCCTATTGCTCTGCGAAGCAGAGTGCTCATAATATTTTGAGTTTGAGAAACCAATTACAAAAAAAAACTATATTTTTAAATGCTTTAGCTGATGGAATGGATTCATACTTCTTAATTGTTCTAAGAGAACCTTTCACCTGCTAACTCTATTATGCATAGTCATAATGCAGTACCGAGTGAAGATATTTCCATTAACAACTATTTTTGGTATGCCCATTAGACACAAGGAAGGACAGTGCAGTAAGAAGACCTTAATCATAGATACTCCTGACGCCAAACTAGTCATATGGCCTTGCCCATCTCCCAAAGAGAAAAATACTGCTACTGAGCTTTTATTTTTTTATTTTATTTTTTTTTTTTGAGACAGAGTCTTGCTCTGCTGCCCAGGCTGGAGTGCAGTGGTGCAAGCTTGGCTCACTGCAACCTCCACCCCCCAGGTTCAAGCAATTCTCTCTGCTTCCAGGCAGCCAACACACCCAGCTAATTTTTATATTTTTTAGTAGAGACGGGGTTTCACCATGTTGGTCAGGCCGATCTTGAACTATTGACCTCAGGTGATCTGTCCACCTCAGCCTCCCAAACTGCTGGGATTACAGGCGTGAGCCACCGCGCCTGGCCGCTACTGAGCTCTTTAGTCTGCATCAGATCTTCTTAATGCTAAATACTTTACACACATAGTTTTCTCACTTAGTGTTTACTGCATGCCATTATCATTATCTCCACTTTACAGATGATGAAACTAAGCCTCAATCACATCAAAACGCCCATAAAATTTCATGAAAATAAGAGAATGACACTTCATCTTAGTTCTTGTCCTCCCAAAACCAGTAATCCCACTCTAATCATGAGGAAAACATCAGACGAATTCTAAGTAAGGCACATTCTACAAAATACTTGACCAATACTCCTCAAAACTGTCAAGGTCATCAAAAACAGGGTAAGTTGGACAAACTGCCACAGCCAAGAGAAGCCTCAGAAGACATAACACGTAAATATAATTTGGTATCCTGGATGGAATTCTAAATCAGAAAAAGAACATTATGTAAAAACTGAGGAAATACGAATAAAGTATGCACTTCAGTTAATAATAATGTATCAATACTGGTTCATTAATTTGACAAAGCACATTTATATAAGATGTTAAAGATAAAGGAAACTGACTTGGTGTAGGTGGGAAATCTCTATATAGTGTACTGTCTCTGCTATTTTTCTGTAACCCTAAAACTATTCCTAAGTTTTAAAATATGTTTTAAAAAACTACCATGCTGAGAAAAAAATTTAAAGTCCTTACAAAATGGAAAGTTATACTATGTTCATGGGTCAGAAGACTCAATTTTGTTAAGATGGTGATTCACCTCAAATTGATATATCAAGTCAACACAGCCCCAATCAAAATCCTAGCAGATGCTTTTAGTAAAAATAGACAAACTTATTCTAAAATTCATATGGAATTTCAGGTGACCTAGAATAGCCAAACAACTTATAAAAAGGAAAACTAACTTTGAGAACTATAACTAACTGATTTCAAGACTAACTGTGAAGACAATATGATACCAGTGTTAATATAGAAAAAAAGATCAATGCCACAGAATACAAAGTCCAGAAAGAGACCCACAAATATACTGACAACTGGTTTTCATAAAAGTGCAAAGTCAATTCCGTGGAGAAATGAGTCTTTTCCACAATGGTGTTAAAACAATTGGATGCCCATATGAAAAAAACAAAAACAAAACAAAACGAAAAAAAACTTTGACCATAACTCATACCATATATAAAATTTAACGTGAAATGTAACCTAGAGCCAAATGTAAAACACAAAACTACACAACTTCTAGAGGAAAACATGGCAGAAAATATTTGCAACCCTAGGGTAGACAAAGATTTTTTTAGATATGACACCAAAATACACATCATAGCACAAGAAATTGATAAATTTAACTTCATCAAAAATAACAATTTCTGTTCTTTAAAACACCTGGTTGTTGTGTTTGTTTGTTTGTTTGGTTTGTTTGTTTGTTTGTTTGAGACAGGGTGTCACTCCAGTCGCCCAAGCTAGAGTGCTGTGGTGCAATCATGGCTCACTGCAGCCTCAACTTCCTGGGCTCAGGTGATCTTCCTTCCTCAGCCTCCCAAGTAGCTGGGACTACAGGCATGCGCCACTATGCCCAGCTAATTTTTGTATATTTAGTAAGGATAGAGTTTCACCATGTTACCCAGACTAGCCTCAAACTCCTGGGCTCAAGCAATCCATCAACCTCAGCCTTCCCAAATTTTGGGATTACAGGCATAAGCCACCAGGCAAGGCCAAAAGACATTCTTAAGAGAATGAAAAGACAACCCACATACTAGGAGGAAATATTTTCAAGGCACATATCTGATAAGAACTTGAATCCATAATATTGTTTAAACTCTCAAAAATAAATAATAACAGAAACAAGCCGACCAAAAAAAATAAACAAATGTCCTAAACAGACACATTACCAAATAAGACATACAGATGGCATAAAACACATGAAAAGATATTCAGCATCATTCACCATTATAGAAAAGCAAATTAAAAACGTTAAAGACTGATCATAGATGTTTACAGTTAACATATATTACTTCCGTTTTGTTTTTAAATCTCTATTTTAAAAAGCTTGTTTGACCTGGATTCCATTCACCTAAGGGTACATATTATCAACATGACTTACTACCATTGATATCAATCTTGATTGCCTGGCTAGTTAGTATTTTTCAGGCTTCTCTTCTGTAAAGTTACTCTTTTCCAACTCTTTACATATTATACTTTTCGGAAAAAAGTCACCACGCTTATTTCACACTTAAAAAGTGGGAAGCCATGCTTCACTTATTTCAGGGCAGGGTACATAGATTTTTAGTACACATATCTTTCACATCTTTCACAAGTCAGATTTATCCCTAGTACTGTATAATTTTTATGCTATCTTAAATGGTATTGCTTTAAGTTTTAATTTTTAATTGTTTGTTGTTAGTGATTAGAATATATTTGATTTTTGTATATCAATCTTGCAATATACCTAATCTTGTTTGTTCTAGTATCTTTTTGTAGATCACATTAGATTTTCTTTGTAGAGAACAAATAAGAGTAGGAAATAAAAATAATTTTACTTATTTCCAAAATAATAATAATGTGAGAAAGCAGTCTTAACTAATGGGATGAGCACAGAGTCCAGTTAAAGTCATACTTCTTTATGTAAAGTTACCAGTGTTGGGTAACTTCAAAATGGGTGGCAGAAAAATTTACATGAGAAAATAATTATTTTTAATTTCCTACCCTCTCTAAAAAGACATTTAGCAATGGGAGGCAGTTTACTACATATTCACCATATTTAATTCATTCATTCAACAAATATGCCTAGCTACAAATTTCATCAAATTATTTTATTCTATCATGTATCAATTTTCTAACTGCTAAAAGTGTATAATTTATAGTGTTAGAATGATAAATAAATACATAATTAACTACTCAACATTTAGTAACTGATACTAACTGTTAGCTATATGCTGATCTTGCTAACAGAATACATAAAATACGTTTTAAAAGCAAAATAACATAGAATGGAGACTAAAGATCATAATGCACATTGACGCAATTAAAAACAAACATTCCTACATAAACTCATTTCTATAATTTTACCTTTGTCTTAGCAACTTCACTTTTTGACATAGTGAACAACTCATATTTCACATGTACTCACCATTGTAGCTTTTTAAAAAATAATGGACATACTATACACACTCCTATATTATTTTATATTTCAATGCTGAAATTTTAATTAACATATACATATACTCAATAAAAACAATAAAAAATATGACTCATTCTCTGGAAAATTTCATTATTAAAATTACTGTTATTTTATAATGATAACATCTCATTTTGTTGTGCCCTAGGTATAATGAAACACTCTTTTTATTATAATAAAATGCAATAAAAAGTGTTCTTCCCTGTGTTACTGCTGTTATTTTGAATTATCCTTATAAATTTTCTGATAATGAGGGTAGGCTATCATCAAAAGATGCCTCCATTAAAATATAACAATGATGGTAATAGCTTAAAACTTGTATTGTACAGCTGAAAATTCATTTGTACACATATCTCTTTTCATCCACATACCAATTCTGTTAGGTGAATATACTTAACCCCATTTTACAGATGTATCCCCATTTATATGACAATGATCATAATAGCTTAAAACTTTTATTGTACAGTTTAAAATTCACTTTCACACATATCTCTTTTAATCCACATACCAATTCTGTTAGGTAGGCATTATTATTATCCCAATTTTATAGATGTAAGTACTAAAAAGCTAAGTTGTTTTCCTTGTCCTAAGCAACACAGCTAATTAGGGAAGTTAATTTTTCTCCACTGCTTTTAATCACATTAAACTGATCCTTCTATTCAACACATGAAGTTAACATTCTATGAAAATAAAACTGGAATCTCTGAGTCTACATTGATCACAAATTGAATGTATCCTCTCAATACACTGTTTTAGTCCTTTATATCTTTGATAGAAGTGAACATCCTAATTATGCCCATGAGTTACATATATGAGATGCCTTCACCCCACTTCAATAAAACTCTTTCTTAATGCCAATATAAAAAATACTCTACATTAATTGGTAATTGTGAAAAGAGACTCAGGGAGAGAGTCTGAATCAACAAAAGAGGAAAATATAGGAAGGAAAGGGAAAGACAAAGAAGGAGGGTGAGACAGAGAAGAGAGAACAAACATCCAGGAGTAGTGATGTGAATTATTTGCTTAGTTACCACAAAAGTAATAATTACACTAACTCTGTGGGAACAATGGTAATTTCACAGTAGCTCACGTTACTGTTATCACCTTATATCCTGATAACTGTGAAATTAATTTGTGGCACTACTGTATGTGTCGGCCATAAGCTGTTCCCTTGGTAACAGTATTATGCTACCATAGAGAAGGAATGTTTGGCAGTAAAATGGGCAGCAGCAAGCTGATTACACAGGGAAAAGCTTCTATCTAAATACACATAGCATAACAATCACCCCTGGAAAAACTACATGGCTTACCAAAAGAGGTCTCTCTGTTCACTGTCCATTATCTGTTGACTGAACTAGTTCAAATGAATAACAAGTAATGATCAAATTGCCAGTTTATATTTTACAACAGAGTCTTATCTTTAAAAAAATGCAAGGAGGAAATACAAAAATGTAATACATTTATCTTGCTTTCTTTTCTATTTCCTCCCCTGAAATTATTACTATGCTATTGGAAGCCATACAAACACATATATACACAAATATACATATGCTTCAATGAAAAGCAGGCATGCAGCTGACAGCTCGGCAACCCTGAGGTATAAACAAAGATACCAGACATATTTTTTGAAATAATTTTGCTCAAGGAAATTCATTTCAGTAGGAAGATCAGTTACTCTGCTGTCTCCTACCTACAAAGTTACAGAAGGAAAAGTTCAACATTTGGCCAAAAGGATAGTAGCTTACATTTCTTTTTTTTCCTTTTTTCAGCACAGAATTTTGAAGAGAGAATACACTAAAAGGGAAGAACATAACTACATGACATCATAAGAAGTCCTGAATTAGAAGCGTATATTTGAAAGGTCATGCATCCTGAGCTGCCAACAGCTTAACAACCAGAGGCAGAGGCCAGCTTTGCCAGCTCACTGCTTCTACTCATCTTTCATGATAGTAGCCAGGCTGAATATAGTTCCAGGATGATAATGAATTGGCTGGGCATACTGTTTATATTAGTATGTATGTTCCTGTACTAAACCAAGCATCATGAGGCCAGCACTATTTTGCCATTTTTCAGAAAAAAAATATGAACCCTTCAAAACATAGTAAGCCTTTTTTAAAGTATATATTTGATTTTGAAATAATCAAAATATATGTAGGGATATGACTGCATCCTAAGATTTATGATAAGTTCTGATGAGTAATATTTTCTTTCTACATGCAAGGCAAAGTTAATAGTAACTAGAAAGTCTTTATTTGGCATATCATAGATTTCTGTCAACCAAAACAACTAACTCTGGGGAACATAACGTTCTGACAACTTCAGAAGAGTTAAGTCACAGACAAAAGTTTATTGGATCTTAGTTGGCTCCTACCCACCAATTCTTTCTTTTCCAAGTGGAACATAATAGATTTTCAATATTTGTTAAATAATTGAAAAAATATCCTCAAAATTCTTTTTTGGCCATCTTCCCAACAAGAATATGGTCCTAACCTATATGTAGAGTCCTTTGCTGTGTCATCTATTTCTTCAGAATTATTCTCCTAATTCATATGTCTGGATAGTCTCTCTGAATTGTTATAGAAAATTAAAAATGTGAACTATGAAATTAATTTTTAAACTTTTATAACCATCTAGTCATACACAGAATAACCACAAATATAAACATGGTTTCAAAGAATTCCCTGTGACAATCAAGCAAATAGTGAAATAGTTTCTGCTATTATGAATTTATCACTTACTCAGTGTATGACCATGGGCAAATATCTTCACCTCAATCCTGTGAGGCAGGTACTATTATTCTACCCATTTTAAGTATAGATTTGCAATATTTGTTAAATATTCAATATTTGTTATTATAAAATGAGTATACTAATAGTACCTACCTCACAGTATTGAGGTGAAGATATTTGTCCATGTACGTACAATATGGGCATAATAATAGTACCTACCTCACAGGATTGTTATTAAGAATAAATAAGATAATCCATACAAAGTATTTAACACATTATTGAAAAATTAAATGATCAAAATAAAGCTTGTTGTTATTGTTATCTTTTAATAAATGCATCTAAAGTATTTTTAAATGTATTCACTTCAGTTATTTAAAGTTTCATCTGCTGTATCACAGAGCACATATATGTTCAGAAACATTTGTTAAGTATCTATGTACCAGATAATAAAGGTGGTATTGAAAAAAGAATAGGCATTGTAACAGGCAGACAGGAGTATAAAGTCCAGCCTTGCCACTTATGAGACTCCCATCTTCAAATTATGGAACCTTTCTGAATCTCCATTTTATACCTATAAAAAGGGGTAGACATTACGTCTCTACTTGCTTCTTATCATTAAATTAAAATTCATATTCCTTTCTATGGCAAGGAAACGAGTCCTGTATAGTCTTGTAATTCATCTCCCTCCACCAAACTTCATCCACACTGACTTCTTTAGGCCAAGCTTGTTCCTATATCAAGGTGAGCCTGGAAGCCTGTACACTGTTCCACAGTGGTACACCTCCTCTAGCCCTATAGAATGCAAAATGGAAGCACAGAGACATTATACAATGGTTAGCCAGTCACATTACATCAAGTAAAAACAACAAGTTACCATGAAGTTTATTTATTGGAGTGGCTTCAGTATTTCTTGAGAAACACAAATGATGACCCTGATTTGTATGATCAATCAGCAAGTTTTCAAAAAGGTTACTGAGTATATGACAGTAATTTCTAGAGCCAAAGATATACCCGCATGAATAAGCTTTCATCCTGAAAAAAAAATCACCTTCTGAAACTCCATGCTAGTTATCTGAAATAATAAAGGTGAAGTACAAATTATGTGATCTATCATAACCTGAAATAAACATATGTTGCTACTCTGTGATTTGGTCTTTATCCCAGTCTGACCCATTTCTTGAGACTGTTACCTCAAGATGCTCTCCCATGGAGCTTTCACTGAGAATACTTTAATCCATTTTCTTAAAAATCCATAACAAAATTACTAAGATCTCAATGTCTTATCAAAACTTTTTTTTGTCTCAAAAATGATACATGAAAAAGATAATCTTCAATAAATGCAGGTAAAGTATTTTATACCTGCAGCATTGAATTGTTCCACTGGAGGGTAGCAGGGGGAAAGAAAGTTCACGTTGCCTAGAACAGAACCTTGTTGTTACCTTAAAGTGTGTTCTTTCTGAATTTTCTAATTCAATCATCATCTCTTCCAATGCACATCTCCAAACCTCCCATTTCACTTGTTCAATTCCCCCATTAGTAGTGATATTTATGCTCCTCAGGATCTCTGTGTAGCAAAGTCCTTTAGCGAAGGCACAAGAACTAGACTATAGAAACATTCAAATTCCATATTTGCCATTTATTTTTTGTATAAAGGTAGATGTCTTCATATTAACTGTAAAATTAGAGTAATAATGGTAGTTTAAATTTAAGTAATAATACCTACTTCATAGGAGTGTCACAAGAATTGAGTAAATATATGTAAAATATTTAGAAAAGTTGTTTGCACATAGTAGGTGAGCAACAAATTATAGCTATTATTATTATTGACTTCTCTTATTTTTTCTTATCTATTTACTTCAAGTTTTTACTGTTCAAATTCTATTTTTCATCACTTCAAATAACTCTTTATAAAGAGCCCCCTTGCAGTTCTTCCATCATGCCTTTCTTAGAATATCCTAAGTCTAGATGAAAATATCCATGTCCACGGTGAAAACCTATGCAGAAAACTAGCCTCATGGTCTAACCTCTGTCACAGATCGAGCTCTCAACACTGCACAGCAATGGAACTTAACTTCTTTGGTCAAACTCCCACTCTCCCATTCCCCAGAATAACTCATTAAAACTTTCCTCTTTCTCTTCCAATTTCCAAGCCAGTCCTATTCCATTCCTTCTTCCTCACCAGATAACCTTTCTTTCTACTTCTGTGACAAAACAAAGTTTTCAAGTGGCACTCCCAAATAGTGCTGCCACCATCTCTGTGGACCTATTTGTAACTGCCACTGTCTTTTTTTCTGTCTGTTATCATGATGCTGTTTCTGACCCTCCTCCCAGTAAACAGGAATCCCCACAAGTGTAACTAGATTCCATCTCCTTCCACCTTCTGTAGAGTCAAATGCTTTTAACTTTCATCTCTTCTGTTGTTTCTTGGAGCCTCCTTAATACCATTTAATTATTTTTGATTGTTCCAATCTGATAACATTTCTCCCTGAGTCTTACATCTCCTTCCTCCTCTGCACAGCCAAAAAGTAGGAAAAAGTTTGTCATCTATAGTGACAATCTCCATTTCCTTTCTTTGCATTCATCCATCCATTCATTCTACAACCTATTCCAATTGTTATGGACTGAATGTCTGTGCCTACCAAAATTCACATGTTGAAGCCCTAATCCCAGTGGGAAGCCTTTGGTGGGTAATGAGGTCATGATGGTGGAGCCAACATGAATAGGATTAGTGTCCTTCTAAAAAGAGGACAGAAAGCTAGTTAATCTCGTTCCACCATATGAGGACACAGCAAGAAGACAATACTCTGAAAGTCAGAAAGAGGGCCTTCACCAAGAACCTCTACTGGCTCCTTGATCTGAAACTCCTAACCTTTAGAACTGTGAGAAGCAAATGTTCGTTGTTTAAGCGATCCATTGATGGCATTTTGCTATAGCAGCCAAAACTGACCAAAACACCAATTTAGCTTCTGTTCCTACTCCTCAAATGGATACAGCTTATGTCACTAATTATGGCCCTGCCACGAGCTTATATTTTACTGAGAGAGATGCATTAAAGATTTTTAAAATGTAAGATATATAGTATATTAGATAGTTGTAAGTTCTCAGAAGAAAAATAAATTAGAAAAATGGATAAGAAGTGTTAATGCTATAAGTTGAATTCCAATTTTATATGGTAGCCAAAAAAGGCGAACCTGAGAAGGTAACATTTGAGGAAAGAACTGAAGGATGAGAGGAAGTATCTGGGGGCATGCAAATATCTGAGGGCAGAGGGATCAGCAAATGGAAAGGCCCATTATTTTTCTCTCTCGTGTTTCTTTTTTCCTGTATTCTGTGAAACTGTTTTATGGTTTGCCTCCTCTCCCTTATTGAAATTTCAACCATGTGCAGTAACTATTCACTGCTTAGCATGTTTTTTTCCAATTTCTGTAGTTCTTGTCTCAATTGTTTAATTTAAAATGTGATAAAGATTATTTATTTTATTATTTGACTAGTAGTGTCTAATTTTCATACAAACTTAACATATCTCCTTTTAATATTTTAGAAGTAGGATATAAAATATAAATAAGAAATTAAAATTAAAATTCATCAGTATATCAATTGAGCTTTTACTTTGTAAAGGGCACTATGTCTAACAGAAAAAATGATGCAAAGAAGCCAGATTGTAGTGGGTTGAGGTATGACTGGGAGGTAAAGACGTAGAGTCACGCTGTTCAGACTACATATTCAAAAAGCTTGGCAGTGAAATGCCTTCCAGATAAATTTGTAGTTGGATACAGCACAATTCTGACAGTTGGCTCTAGCAAATTCTTTCAGGTTTTTAAAACTATTTAATTATGAACATATGAACATAAGCCTTAATTAAGACAAATCTTTCTTCTGCCTGAATAAGAACTGCCAAAATGTCAGAGGGCAAGACTAAAAGTTCCTGTCTGAACTCATTTTACAGTCTCCACATTTGCAGACTGTATAATGCTCCATACTACCAGCAATCACTCAGCACATTCTCACACTGTTTTAGGGTCACCTCTTCTGCAGTAGGAACTTTGGACTTACACAATAAGAAATATATAAGGAACCACAGAGTCAGAAGCAGCTTGTACTACTCAAAGCACAATTTTCCTTTTGGGGCCTCAGATCTATCCCTCAGATATTTATTTTACCAAGACTCCCAACTATATCTTTTCAAGATTCACTGTCAAGAGACACCTGACTTTTGAGATCTTATCCTCCCTTAGTATAGAAGTCCCAGTTCTCCCACTTATCCTTCTTGCCTTGGTTGAACTTTCTAAAACCTAGATCTCTTGCCATTAAAAGTGTCAAATTTCCACAAATCCACAAAATCAATCCTTTTTCTCCTATGCTATAGTCCAAGATGTTGTCCTGAAGTAATTTCAGACTATTTTTCAAAAGTTCTATTGGATCCTATGTCAATTTTTTTGTGATGTTTGCTGTTCGTTTAATTCACAACATCTTTTCCTCAAACTAAACTGAACTGGCAAGAAACAGATACCAGCAAAAAACTGATACAGGCAAAGTTTAAATGATTCAAAGTTTACTTCTTACATGCCTTCAACATAAAAGTTTATTAATCTTTCAAAATGAACATATTCTCTCAAACTGAAGGTATGAAATTATTACAATGAAAAGAAACTAAATATATTAAATACTGTATAATTATCTCATTTATATGGCTAAGGTTATTAGCTTATATATGGTGTCTTTAAAATAATTCCCATTTGCAGTTACATTTCAAACTGCCGATTTGACGCACCAGTCAGGAGGAATGCCACGACTCCTGCTGTGCTAAACTTACTGAAACAAATAGGAAAAACACTTTATTGTGTTTTGTTCCTGTTTTACTATTTTGTAATTGGACTACCCTACAGGAAATACTCTTCTTTATAATATATCACTAAGTTACTATAATAATCTTGTTTCATGCTCTTCCTTTACATATATTCCTGAATTATCATTTGTCATGGGTAAAAATAGTATGACAGAAAAAAATTGAGACATTAATCAAAAAGGTGTTTTAAAATTACTGATAATGGTGATTGCTCTTAATTACATGATTGAATGTATATTCAGAGAATGAAAATATGGACACACATACTTCTATCCAAGTATCTATGAAATGGGACTACACAAAAAACAGAGAGATGAGAAATATTTTGAAAAATGTGACTTCTCCAATTTTTTAAGAAAAAGATTAACAGCATATATTTCATTATTAAAAGACTACAAAGTTCCCCTTCTGATTATTAAATGAAATATGGCTGAAAAGTTAAAATTTCCTTGTATATAAAGCAGTCTTGAAATTCACTCCTGTAAACTATGACTTAGGGTTATATTTCATTATGCTTATATATTACCATGCGTTACATGGTTAGTTTTACCAAAGCAAATAACTTTTATGAAAAGTGCTGATATCTTTATTGATGAATTTAAAGTGTTAATTCAGAAAATACTTGGCAACTCCACCTCATATGTACCTGGACTTAAAATATCAAGACCATTTTTAAAGTGAAAATAACTTTGAAAATATTTTGTCACTGAAGCAGTGCAATTCATTTAAATGGTTTTAAATCGAAGTAGTTTTATGAACAATTGTGCTAAATAGCAATGAAATTTCATTTCTAGTGAATAATGAAAAGTCTCATCACAGTCTATTAAAAAAACAAAATTTGTTGTTATATTAAACGTTATTTTTCTTGACCCTTATTCTCATTTGTTATGAATATCTCTGAGGGAAAAACAAGAGCCTATGTAGTGGGATATAATATTCAATTTAGAAATTTATATAAATAATGCCTGTTCTTTATGTATTATCACCACTTACTAAGGATCAAACTACAAGAATACTAAAAGATTTTACTTTACATAAAGACACATATAGAATTTTCTCAGAAATAGACACGCTTGTGAGTAGTGAAACAATTGAAAGGAATTAAACATAATCATGCAAATTACTTCCCATAATATAAAGTCCTAAAACTATTTGTGAAGTCTCAAGATGTTAAGATGCTATACAATTTCATTAAGAAAAATAAATGAAAACATTTATTTCATAAAACATTAATTAGACAAATTCTACAGTGTATTTTGAGTTTATCTATCCCTACAGTATGTCATTGATATTTATCTTCCTACACCAAAGTCAAAGTCATTTGATTGTGTTCACCCAAGTATAGCATACTCAATGATACAGAACTCTCTCCAGAGAAAAGAGGGAATTAAAGAAATTAGAAGATAACAGGTTGCATATTCTAGCTGTAAAAACAGACACTTCAGGATAGGTAAGTGTTTAAGTGGTCACATAAAAAGCTCAATTAAAACTAATTTAACTTCATCTCTTAGGATTTGTAAACCTATTCTTTTGAGCATTGAACTGAGTTGACAGGACAAAGTTATCCTTAATTATTATTTAACTAGACCAATTAATAACTAATTCTTACCAAAGTAATAAATTATTTCATTTACATATGAGGTAGCTGCAATTCTATTATGGTTTTATAAAAAAGATAAATACTAATTTTGCACTTGATAAAATATTTTGTTAAAACAAGCAATCTAGCTACATTTTGATTCGTTTAAATGAAATATAAATTGAAAAGTAAGGATCACAGAGATTCAGAGGCTTACTAAAAATTACAGTCAGTCCCACTGACAGAGCCAGATGCAGAACCCTGGGAATGTAGGAGACCAACTAAAAGGCAAAGCAAATGAATTTGGGGATTGAAATGTTGAGTCTGAAGTTTTTGAAGAACAATCAAATGTCAAACAAACATTTAAAACTGTAAGTTTGAGATTCAAGAGGGTGACTAGGGCAGAGAACACAGACTTGAGAGACACTGATACACACAGTGGATAAGAGCCAAAGAATAGAACATGAACATAGAGTGAGAACAGGACCAGGCACGAAACTTTCTTACGTGTCCAGATTTTAAAGAAAATATAGGGGAAAAAAGACAGTGGGTTAAATATTTTGCTTGAAATAAACAAAACAGAAAGTAAATTATTTTAAAAAGCACAGTTTTGTCTTCCTTTAAACATAATGATATGTAGTTGCTTATATTCAATCAATCCATGACTTTGATTACCAAAACAATGTGCTGAGGTAGACACAGAAAGGAATTTCACCTTCTAGGCATAATGTAGTAAGTCACAGGAGGCCAGTGAATGTTCTCTCTGCTAAAATCTAGAAAAAGCTGGATAAACCACAACACCATATTTTTTAGAGGCATAAGAGATCTGAGAAAGCAAGGAGAAGTAGACAAACAAAAGTTCCTAAGAGAGGAGAACTTTCTTAAAATGGGCTAAGGAGAAATCAGCAAAACGTTTAATGATCACCGGCACAGGCGGAGGGGTGTTATAATTGGAAAATTAAGAGAACAAACACATCTGTTTCCCCACTGGACACATACTGAATTCAAGAGGTTTGTGGGAGGCTAAAAAAGAGAGGCTAGAAGCTTCCAAAATACAGAAATAAACAAAATGAATGAGGGTTCAGGAGAAGCATAAAATGTAAACTGTCAGACCTGAAAGAAAAAAACTGACCAAATTCAAATCATAGTTGGAGATTTTAGCAACCCTCTATCAGAATCATAAATAAATGACAGTAATGATACTGAAGAGCTAGATAAATCTACCTATTGCCTCAATCTAACTGATATTTATAGAACACTAAATCCAACAATTGCAGAATAAACATTTTTGTCAAGTTCACACAAAACATTCACCAAGAATAGACCACATGCAGGGACAAAAATCAAGTTTCAAAATATAATCTTACACATTTTATTTTCTTGCCATAATGGAAGAAAATTAGAAGTCAATAACAGTAAAATCTAGAAGAAAATGCAGTTGTTTCACATCTTCACCAAAATTTGGGTTTTGCCAGTGTTCTTAATATTCATCATACAAGTGGGTATAAAATAGTATGTTACTGTCGTTTTAATTTGTGTTTTCCTGATGACTAATGATGTTGAGCACACTCTCAGGTTTCTACTGGATGTGTGTATATCATCTTTTGGGACATTTTTTACTCAAATATTTTGACTATTTTTAAAAATTGTACATACTTCCTTTTTTAGAATATTTTAGGTTCACAGCAAAATTCAAAGGAATGCAGAGTTCCCATATTTCTGCTACCCCCACACAAGCAAAAACTCCCTCACCATCAACATTCTGAATCAGAGTACTACACTTATTACAATGATGAACTAACATTGACACATCATTATCACACAAAGTTCATAGTTTACATTAGAAATCAATTTTAGTGTTGTATATCCTAAGGCCTTTGACAAATGTATAATAATATGGATCTATCATGATAGTATCATACGAAGTATTCTCACTCTCCTAAAAATCCTCTGTGCCTCACCTATTCATCTCTTCATCTTAAACCCCTGGCAACCCCTCATATTTTCACTGTCTTTTAGTTTTGCCTTTTCCAGGATGTCATACATTTGGAATAATACAGTGTGTAATCATTTCAGATTGATTTCTTTCATTTAGTAATAAGCATTTAACTGTACTCCATGTCTTCTCTGACCTGATAGCTCATTTATTTTTAACTCTAAATAATATTCCTTTGTCTGGATGTACCACAATTTATTTAGGCTTTCATCTTCTAAAGAACATATTGGTTAGTTCAAAGTCTAACAATTATGAATAAAACTGCAGTAAACATCCGTGTGCAGGTTTTTGTGTGGACATAAGTTTTCAATTACTTTGGGTAAATGCCAAAAATGCAATTGCTGGACTGGATAGTAAGAGTATGTTTAATTGTGTAAGAAAGTGCCAAACTGCCTTCCAAAGTGGCTTTACTAATTTTGCATTCCCAGCAAAAATGAATGACAGTCCCTTTTGCTCCACATTCTCATCAACATTTGGTTGTGTCAGTGTTCTGGATTTTGGCCATCCTAATTGTGTAGTGGTATCTGTTGTTTTAATTTGCAATTCCCTAATGACATATTTTCACATGGTTATTTGCCATCTGTATATCTTTCTTGATGAGGTGTATGTTCAGATCTCTTGCCCATTTTAAAATCAGGTTATTTTCTTATTGTTGGATTTTAGTGCTTCTTTTTATATTTTTATGTCATTTATTTATCTGTTATGTTTCTTTCATAAAATTTTTAACCAGTCTGTAGCTTATCTTTTCATTTCCTTGACAGTGTCTTTTGCAGAGCAGAAGTATTTAATTGTAATAAAGTCTAACTTATCAATTGTTTATTTCATGGATCATGCCTTTGGATTTGTATCTAAAATGTTATCACCAAATCCAATAACATCTATATTTTCTATGTTATCTTCTCAGAATATAGTAGGCATGTGTTTTCTATTTAGTTCTACACTTCATTTTGAGTTAATGTTTGTGAAAGGTGTTAGATCTGTGTCCAGTGTGTCTAGATTTTTTTTTAGCATGTGTATGTCCAGTGGTTCCAGTATCATTTATCGATTGAAATGCCTTTGCACCTTTGTCAAAGACAAGTTGATTATGTAGGCCTATTTCTGGGCTCTGTATTCCAGCTCATTGATCGTGTCTATCCTTTCAATAACACCACATTGCCTTGACTACTGCAGCTTTACAGTAAGTCTTAAATTTGGGTACTGTCAATTCTCAGACTTTGTTCTCCTTCAATATATGTTAGTTATTCTGAGTCTTCTGCTTTTCTATATAAGGTTTGGAATCATTTTGTCCATAAGCAAGATATAACCTCCTGATATTTTGATTGTAATTACACTGAATCTGTGGAACAATTTGGAAAGAACCAACATCTTGAGAATTGTGAGTATTCCTGTCCAGAAACACAAAAGATGTTTCCATTTATTTTGTTTCTCTTCAATTTCTTTCACCATATTTTTATAGATTTCCTCATATAGATTTTGTACCTATGTTATGAGATTTATTAAATATTTCCTTTTTTGGTGCTAATTTAAATGATATTATCTTTTAAATTTCAAATTCTTATTGTGCATTGCTGACATATATGAAAACAATTAACTTTTGTATATTAATCTTGTATCTGGCAACCTTGCCTATTAGTAAGGAACTAATAATTGTTGATTAGTTCTAGGAAATTTTTTGGTCAATTTTTAGGATTTCCTACATGGACAATCATGTCATCTGTGGACAAATGTAGTTTCATTTATTTCTTCCCAAACTGTACACCTTTATTTTCTTTTCTTTCTCATCACATTAGCTAGTGCTGCCAGTATGATGCCAAAAAGCACTGGTCAGAACGAACATCCTTGCCTTGTTCCCAATCTTACCAGGTCTTAAATTGGGGTTTATATCTTTTTATTATTTAAAATATTTATTTATATATCCATAATCTTTAAAAAATATAATAAATATATGGAGTAATTTTATTTTGTAAAAACACTGCCAAACTGTCTTCCAAAGAGGCCATAAACTTTAAGTGACTCTTTCACTGCATTTGAAAAGTTTTCATGTTTAATTTCATTGTTCAGTTCAAAATATTTTTTTAATTTCCCATTATTTATTTTCTGACCTATGGTTATTTTGAAGTGTTAATTTCTCAATGTTTAGACCAGTATGGCTAAATATGAGAGATAAATTGAGTTCTAAAATATAAAGTCATGGAGGCAGTAGAGGGGATCAGGATCACATAGGGCATTGTCAGAATTTTGACTTTAAGTGCAGTTTGAAATCACTAGTGGGTTTTGAACAGAAGAGAAATATGATTTGACCAAATTAAAAGATCACTCAAGCTCCTGTGTGAAGAACAGTCTTTATGGATACCAGTTACAAGAGTAATCTTCAACCATGACTGCATTCTGAAATTATCTGCAATGGGATGCTTCAAAAACACTGATGCTAACTGCTACCTCTCCAACACATACACATACACACACAGACACGTGATTCATGCATGCCTGTGATTCTCATTTAATTGATCTGAAGTTTGTATTGGGATTCTGTTAACCACCCTCACCACACCTCCAGCCCAAGATGTCAGCTGTTACAATAGCCAGCAATTACGGTGGCTTGGACTGAAGTGGTAGTCTTAGAGGCTGTCAGTCTTTTAATATTTTGGATATATTTTTAAAGGAGAGTCAACAATAGTTTCCGATTGACTGAGTGTAGAATACGAGGGATGGTTTAAAAAAGACTAGAAGAGTCAAGGACTACCTAAAATTTGGGAGTAAGCTAACTTCTGTTGAACTACAAGACAAATCAGTGGTCACAGGGAGATGCAGGATAGCTGAGGTACCATGTAGTATACACAATATCACAGAATTAAGTGTCTGAGGTAACTGTGAGAGTAGGTGACTGGGTTAAGGTGGAGAACCAAAAATACTGGAGAAGAATTGAAGGAATAGAGGCCAGCTACTGAACGCCTCATCTATGTAGGTTATTGAATTAACAAAGAATCAGGACAAAAGTTGGACAAAGCGAGCCCAGAGACAAACTTTATAAAGAATGAGGAGTGTGACCAAAGGATCCATAGGTGTCTACAGGAAGGATGGGTAACAGGCAATATGATATAATGGGAATCACATTTTATAGATTTCCAGAAGAGAAAGGTAAAATAAACAAGCACCGGCCGGGCGTGGTGGCTCATGCCTGTAATCACAGCACTTTGGGAGGCCGACGCGGGTGGATCACGAGGTCAGGAGATCAAGACCATCCTGGCTAACATGGTGAAACCCCGTCTCTACTAAAAATACAAAAAAATTAGCCGGGTGTGGTGGCGGGCGCCTGTAGTCCCAGCTACTTGGGAGGCTGAGGCAGGAGAATGGTGTGAACCCAGGAGGCAGAGCTTGCAGTGAGCCGAGATCATGCCACTGCACTCCAGCCTGGGCAACAGAGTGAGACTCCATCTCAAAAAAAAAAAAAAAAAAAAGAAGCATCAACGGGAAATAAAAAGGGCACTTACCCATCTCGCTTAATACAACAGATGTGAAGAGAAAACAGCATCATGTGTTAAATAATTATATAGCATATCATCCTATTTTCCCTTTAATTACACATTAAAGGGAGTGAATATTTAAATTTGATATTGTCAAATAAACCTGCAAAGAAACATTCTACTAATGTACACTCTCACCAATACAGTTCCCTATCCATCCAGTTACACCAGAGACCTGACTGTTAATTCTCTTCTCCCATCCTTCACATTTTACATCCTAAACATCTCTCCAATCCCTGCACATTACTTGAGCTCTAATATCCATATTAGAGCTCTCATATCCATCTCTTACCAAAACCAGTATGACAGGCTCCCATGCAGACTCTCTGTATTCATTTTAGATCCTTCTGAACCTTTTTATTTCAGCCAGAGTGATATTTTTAAAAATTCTACAATTATGGTGATATATCTCAAAAGCTTAATTATTTTACATACTTACCTAGTATACGAAATACTCCTAGTATAGAGAGTATTTAGTAATACGAAATACTCCTAGTATAAAGACAAAATTTCTCAATGGGGTTTCCCAAGGTTGGCCCCTACCTATAGCTTCAACCTCATCTCCCACAATGTAACTCCGTACCCTCTGCGTTTTTCATATTGGTCTTCAGTTACTTTCATCTACCCCATGCCCACAAATACTTTACATCAGAAAACTCTCATTTATACACTGGCCTATTTTCTTAGCCTATATCCACTTACCCTTCTTTCAGACTTCAGCTTGATTAACTCTTTGTTGAAGACTCCCCTGTCAAATCTTCCTATAATTTGTTGAAGACTCCCCTGTCAAATCTTCCTATAATTTACACTCTTAGCAACACTTCTTCCTCTTTGTAGAATTATCTTAGTTACAATTTTATATACATTTGTGTGGTTATTTGATCAGTGCCACCTGCCTGCCCGTTATCCAATTTTCATGAGGATAAAGCTCATGAAAATTTGCTCATAACTGTATCTCCAGTTTCTACTTGTACTTTGTATATGTAAGAACTCAATAAATATTTGAAAGACTAAACCAGGTGTAAGAGTATCTCCACAAATGTTCAATGCCACTGTGCCTTCAATGGCCTTACACTATAATTCTTAAACTAGAGTCATCCCTTAGATATAAATGCTAGTAGTATTCACAAATACAAACATTGCTCAAAACAATAAATATTTCAATGTAATAACCCCTCTTTCTTAAAGAAAACCTCTAAAATGTCATAGATTAGATCTCAGCCCCTTGCACATAAAAAATAACTTTGTTTCGAAACTTCAGTTTTACAATCAATCAGTATTCTTAATTCCATCTTAATACACATACTAAAATTTAAAACTATATTAAAATACATAATCATGTTGCAAACATACATAACTTTTCCCCTATTATAATCTCCAAATTGTAGGCTGAAATTCAAAGTGTATATGATAGTGCACTGTAACTCTTAGCTATAAATAGTTCTTATAAAGCCTAATACCCTTTAATTATCAATCACAGATAAAGAGTCTGAGGTCATTAAATAAATTAATTTAAAACTATAAAAAAGTGATACATACACATTTGAAGGTATCATTAAGATTAGAAAATCACTATAAGTGGAAATTTTAGAAAACAATACAACAGTCATCTCTTTCTGGTGATAACTTCTTTCTTTCCTCATCAGTTATTATATAGCTGTGACTATTTTCAGATTTTCCTTTACCCACTGCTTCTTCCCCACTGGTTTTGCTTTAATCTTCCCTCATGATTTTAGAATTAATAAATGCATGCTGATGACTTAAAACATTTTATGCACATCACTGGCTTCCATCTAAATACTTTCAAAAAACCACCTCTTTTGACAGTAAATCTACCCCTAGGCACTAAGCTTTGAAAGCAGGAATTGAGGGCTGTTCATTCTTATACCTTAGCACCCAGCCTTGTGCCTGGTATTTGACAGGCCTCATAAATTAACTGAATTTAATGATCAAGAACAGAAAAAGATTTGCCTCATATTGTTTTTAGTAACTACAATCACTTTCTGTATAATTAGAGATAAACCTGAAATGTGATAAGCCATTCAAAAATATTCAATCTGAATCATGGTGCAAGGAATGTGTGTGTATAATATTTATGTATGTCTTCAAACACTAAGGACTTTTTTCCAAAGTACATTTTTAAGACTGAGTACCCTAACAGTAACACAATAATCTAGATTTAGTCAAGTCAAATTTATCTACTATGCTATATATTTATGAGGATACAAAATATAAAACTTGGCTTATGGAGAGGTATTCATGGTCCTAAATTATTTGGCATTTTAAAAAATACTCTATTTCTGGGCATCATCATATTTAAAATGTATTTGTTTTTATAAACAAGCAGAAAAATCATAATCACAGGCATACAATGATTCAGGTATGTCTAGAAATTATTAGTTTGCTCATATTAATTATAGGTTTCAAAGAGTATACGTTAGTATTGATATAGTCAAGAAACCCTTCTGCAATAACTATGTCATCTATGGAAATATGTGTGACAAAAATATTTATCATGCTCTTTAAAAACAGACAGGTACTTTGGTGGAAGTACTGAAAGAACAATCAATTCTCAAAAAATTTCAGATGAACAGATTATAATCCCGAGTAAATATGAAATGCAGGACAAGTCTTGTATTAATGCCAAAGAACAATAGACTTTCATTTTGGTGGAATGCCCCATACAAGGAACAACTTTCAGACTGCAGTTAATGGTAGTGACTGGCTCGAACTGGCTACCCAATGTATTTAAATTATTTAATATAGCTTCCTCATATGCAATCATCTACCTTTAATTATGTGTCAAAACTAGTAATTATTTTCATTCACAGGAAGAAAATTCTTATCATTTTTTCACTACTAAAAAGAAAAAAAATCTGATTCCCCAAACAGCTTTTTCATCCAAGCTGTTTAAATTTCAACCCAATTCTTACCTCTGGGTGAGAAATGTCTCAAGCAATATTCCCTCCCAGAATATGAAATTATAAACATCATCTAAGAGGATGAAGAAATGAAATATGAAGAAAAAATATGACAATGACAAATATAATGCCAGTAAGTAATTTAACCTTATTGTAAATCATTTTTCTTTCCCCATCTAAAAGAAAAAAAAGAATTACTCTAAACTCTCCTGAAAGATAGAGAAAGATGCTAGCAAGATAATTGGTTTGTAAACATAGCACAGATATCAACTAAGAGTATTACCTCTGTGGTCCAATGACAAACACCCATTTCCACTAAAAATTGATGTTATGGAAGATCTCTAAATAAAATTACTACTATTACTTCTATTCCCCAGCCAAAATAATGTCCCTTAAAGTGGGACAGAGCTATAAGCCTGAAGTTAGAAAACATACTAAATTAAACTAAATTTCCTAGACCCCTTGGGAAACATTAGGAAGACTGATCTTTAAATATCTGTATATAATTTCATGATATCTATTATTTTATTCCTGTATTCCTTTAATGAAGCTTTCTCTAATATGTGCATAAAGTGTACTGACAAAGTACTTTTATCCCATGGCCTAGATAGGAAACACACAGACACACACACACACACACACACACACACACACACACACACCCCTAAAATTTTCTGAGAGGTAATGAGTTCTGCAAGAGGAATGAGTCTGGGTTCAAATTCTGGCTCCTTCAATTTTGTGCCATATGCCCAAATTACTTTACCTCTTTCATTCAATTTTTATTCACCTAACCTTTATTGATCTCTTTTGGAAAAGATGACACTGAAGCTGAGAGCTGAATAGCAAGAAGCAGCAAGGCATGGAAGAGCCCATGTAAGAAGGAGCCCAGGTAAGCATCAGGTCCAAGCCTGGAAAGTTTTAGGGATGGAAAGACGGTTGGTCAGAAGCTTTGTGAGCAAGGCTGAAAGAGGTTAGACATATGGTTAATGAGTCAGAGGAAGATCACAAAGGTTTTTGCAAGACAAGTTAGGAGTAAGGAATTTGTCATTTATTCTAAGTAAAATAGCAAGCCTTTGGAGAGAAAGGTCACAATTTGGTTCATCCTGGTGATCTGTGGAAAATGGATTTTTAAGGAAAGAATGTAAAAAGGGAAATTAGTAGTTCAGATGAGAGGTAAGGAGGGTAGCAGGGGAGAAACAAAACTGGACAGATTCCAAGGATATAGCTTTAACAGGAATTTTTATACAACTTTCTTACTGATTAGATGCGCATGTGAGAGAGAAAATTTTTTCCACGAATTCCAGATTTGTAGTTCAAATAACTAAAGATGATGCTACTGCCATTTACTCAGATAGAAAGACTTGTGGATGAATTGGTTCAGTGGAGGGTTGTGGTGAGAAATCCAGGAATCTCCAGCCTGGCCAACATGGTGAAACCCCGTATCCACTAAAAATACAAAAACTATCCAGGTGTGGTGGTACATGCCTGTAGTCCCAGCTACTCAGTAGGCTGAGGCATGAGAATTGCTTGAATCTGGGATGGGGAGGATGCAGTGAGCTGAGATCGTGCCACTGCACTACAGCCTACGCGACAGAGTGAGACCCTGTCTCAAAAAAAAAAAAAAAAAAGAAAGAGAGAGGAAAGAAAGAAAGAAAGAAAGAAAGGAGAGAAAGAAAGAAAGACAAAGAGAGAAAGGAAAGGAAAAGGGAAAGGGAAAAGGAAAAGGAAAGGAGGAAGGAAGGAAGGAGAGAGAGAGAAAGAGGGAGAAAGAAAGAAAGAAAAGAGAAGAAAGAAAAGAGAAGAGAAGAGAAAAGAGAAGAGAAGAGAAAAGAAAAGAAGTCCAGATCCAGATATCACCTTTGGATATGTTAAATTTGGGTTGTTATTTACATACTGAAGTGGCTAAGTCAAGTGTCTCATTGAAGTGTAAAGCTGAAGTTTTTTTAGGGGAGACATCAAAAGTAGAGATGAAAGTATGGCAGTTATCATCAAATAGATGGTTATCTAAGGAAAGAAATGATAACTACCTAGGAACAGAGGAGAAAATAGTAGAAACAAGGCATTCCAATTTTATGTCCTATAATATGTCAATATTTAGACATTGAAAAGAGGAGGACATAGCTGCCAAGGAGAGTTAAAAGGAGTGGCCAATGAAGCAGGGGAAGAATAAAATGATGTAAAGTAACTTAAGCCTAGGAGGAAAAATGTTTCAAGAAAGGATAGTCAATTGAAGCAAATGCTGCAGACCAGTCAAGTACAAATTACAGATTTGGCAACACAGAGCACTCTCACTGAACAGACAGCAAGAGATGTCCAGGTGGAGTGGATTAAGGTGAGACCAGGAGATTAGAAAATGAAAAACCTTTATTGACAACTCTTTCATTAGGCTTTGAGGGTGAGGAGCAAAATGGAGTGGCACCTGGAGAGGAAAATGTAGACAGGTTTCATTTATTTGTTTGTCTTTAAGATGCACAATATGCAAGTATGAAGATGTAAATAACCATGTAAAAGCAAAAATTAACGTTTCAGGAGAGAGAGAGTAATTACACAAGGGAAACTTTTGAAAAGACTAGAGGAAATGGGATCCAGATCACAAGTGAAGGTGTTGGCCTTTGACAGGAGCAAGGCCTTTCCAGCCACCATATGAAGCCATTGAAATTAGGGTTTATTCCCAGTTCACTGCATATCTGCACATATCACAACAGCTGTCACCAAATAACATCTTGCACATCAATAAAACACCAAGAACATTTACATTTTTAATTTTTAATTTTTTTTTTTTTAGGAGATGGATTCTCACTACATTGCCTAGGCTAGAGTGCAATGGCTATTCACAGGTGTGGACACTGTACACTATAGCCTCATACTCCTTGTGACTCAAGTGGTACTCACACCTTAGCCTCCTGAGTAGCTGGGACTACAGGTGCCAAACACATTTTTTAAATGGAGCTTAGAATATCCTATATACCATCTCCTTTCACTCAAAAAAAGAGAAAAAAAAAAGAAAATACAAAAACAAAAAACCCTCTTTGTAGACTACAAGAAAAGTATTCAAGATTCACTAATTTATTAAATATGCATTGACTAAATTTTTAATAAAAGTAATTCTTTAGATAATTCCATGGGTATAAAACTTACAAAGGCATTAAAATAATAGACCACAATCAATATTTTTTCAATCGGTAGCAGATATCATAGATATGCCTTAGTATAGATACCATGATTCATCTACTTAAAAGAATCATAAATAAACTAACACAATGTTGTCCTTTTATAAGTACCATACTATACAAAGCTAATTGTCCAACTAAGAGCAACATTATACTGTTTCATAATGTAAATGATTCATTGGTGGTTATTCCACATTTTAACTATAAAACATAAACATGAATAATCAATGCTAGTTAATTCAGTGGCACTAGTACCTATGTCTCATGTTTGTTGCATATTGGTGATTTCACAAGCTAGATTGTCTGTTTAATTCCTAATCACACTAATTACTTGAAAGAGTAATCCAGGAAATGTGACTTATTCAATTTCAAAGAACAGCCTAGAAATTAGTAGATAGGGCACCTCAGTAATGTTATATAGTCATGTTCATTGATAAAATTGGAAGGACTTCATAGTATTTGTATTAATCTATCAGAGAAAATCACAAATTCTTAATATATTTCTCCAAACATTATTTGAAATTTCTTCTAATGGACTTAAGTCATGTTTGCTCTCAACCAGGGGTCTGCAAACTACAACACAAGGGCTAAATCCAGATGGCTGCCTGTCTTTATAAATAAAATTTTATTGGAACACAGCCACATCAACACAGCCACACCTATGCATTCACATATGGTCTACAGATGCCTTTGTACAACATCAGCACAATTGAATAGTTGTGACAGAAATTATGTAGCCCAGAAAGCTAAAAATACATGCTATCTGGCCTTTTACAATAAAATGTTTCCTTACTTCTACTCGATTTTCAAAAGAGGCAACACATTTTTTAAAAACAACTTGTCAGAATGGGAGACTTTTTTCCCCAAAATAAAATAAACACAAATACCTTCAATGGAAGGTATTTAGTACACATCATAATAACCTGTAGAAATGCTGGATAAGAAATTGTATTAATTATCTTCTAAATGGAACAAGCTGATATATGAGAAATGAGAAATATTATAACTAAATGTCAATGTCTATCTTCCAGAAGAGATGACTTACAAAAAAACATAGGGCCAGCTATTTTATTATAGTATATTGTGACATATATACCAAATAATTAGAACGAGTAATAAAAAATGCCAACGTGCTTATAAACAATATTATCTGTAAATCTATTCTATTAGTCTTCTTTAGTTGTAGAAAATGACAAATATAATTACAAAATACTTATTCAAAACATGTAAACCACTAATTTTCCACTTGTAAAAGCCTGATTCAAAAAGCAATTTACTTTAAGGTTTACTTAAGCTTTGCAACTACATTAAAATATGATAGTATATACACAACAGCTTGTTAACAAGATTATCATAACATTAAAATCATAATGTGGCACTTCAATTATGGATACTTAAAATTAAAGCTAATCCTCACAGTACCAATTTTTATCTCCTAAATAATTTTAGCTATTAGCTGCTCATTCAAAGTCTGTATCTAAAATGATAAGCATTCTAGAGTAACGACTTAGCTCTGCACTTTTCTTTGGTAGCAAAACAAAAGCTGCATCCCTTCTTTCCTAGTCCTTAATATACAATCTTTTGATACTAAGGGGAAAATGCAGTTTTTTCCTGACCTTGCTTGGCTCAGAGCTTCTTACTCATGTTGCTGTTGCCAATGCTGTTGTTTCAAACAGATACATTCTGTATATCAATGGTACATATTTCTTTTCTGGTTTTATCTTTCCAAAAATATCAAACTATCACTTGCAATATTAATTTGATATTTTCTGCAAATACTATGTTTGAACAAATGTCACCTAGTACCTACTAGGCACCAGGTGGAACAAACCAATGCTTAGATTAATGAGTATTATAATGTATTTCATAAATAAATAATTAATAACAATTAATTGTGTTAGCCTATTAACTGATTTCATTTTTTCTACTGTTTCACCAGATTTGTACTTGATAATTATGTAATCAATATTTCTCACCTTTGAATTCTAATTCAAGTTTAAAGTGAAGGAAAAGATTCTAAATTGAAAGAATTCTGTATTTATAAATGACAGTTAATAACAAATCCATAAATAATCCAGAAGCATTGTTGCCGACCATATGGTTGATTTTACTAAACACTGGTAACAGCTAATATAATTGTTTTCTTCTATTTCCCCAATTAAATTATATTTGGGCCATTTGAGCAGTGAGATTGGAAACTGAGTGTCAAATCTTGCTTTCACTCACTCCTAAAGTGAATGAATGGAAGTAATATTCCTAATTTACATGGCAAACAGATAATACCAAATGTGTGTATCCGTGTGTGTGCATGTGTATATATGTGTATAAAGACATATACACACATTCATATTACAAAATGTACATGAAACTAATTATATAAATTACCAAATGTGTGTATCCATGTGTGTGCCTGTGTATATAGGTGTATAAAGACATATACATACATTCATATTACTCAAGGTACACGAAATTAATCACATACATTACAAAAATTACATAAGACTAATTACATATATTTTCTGACCTGTATTTCAATGATATTTATTAGGGCAGGTGCATGATTATGTAAAGTAATCATGCACTTTTGTCTTTTGATTTCAAAAAAATCTGAAAGTACTCATCCTGATTGACTTCCTCATGTGTTAGGTGGCATAAACCAAATCAAAGAACCTGCTCTGGACATGGTGAAATATGTGTTTTTCTGTAATAGAAATGATAAAGATAACATGTTCTCTGTGCATAGAAGACAAGAGAATACTCTTCTCTGCTGATTTGGGGAGTAGGGCTTTCAGGAGGTTCCTGCTGATCTATTTAGTGATAGAAAACTTGGAAAAACATAATTAAGATAGAATTTTAGAAATGATTAAAATAGAAAAGAGTTGAAACATTGCTTCTGAATCCAATCTCACTGCTCAAACTTTTCAAGTAGTTAAAATATACCCTTATACATGGGCATTTCTGATTATAAAGGAATTTGTTTTTCAACACTTTGAAAATTAAAAAAAAGTTACAAACGTTAAATCATGTATTACTACTTCCATCATTACATAACATTTTCAGAATGTTTAAAAAATTATTTACTTTCCATACTATTAAACAACCTGCTAATTTCACTGGAAGTATTTTGTTAATACTTTCTCATTTTATTTATTTTATATTCTTCTTCAATGCCACTTTGATTTTTCCCTCATAGCTTTATATTTACTTTGTAAACTACTTAATCAATTTGCTAATCTCAAATACTTAGCATGCCTTGTCCTTCCACTCTTCCATTTTTAACTATTTTAAAAGAATTCCATAAAATTTCCTTAAATCTTTGTAATCCTAATGAATACACCTGAAAGGCAAGGGAAGTCCAAACTCCAAATGCTGTCACAGTGCAAGTTTTCCTTGACTGCAAAGAGGAGATTTTATAGAGAAATATATCCATACATATACACACATGTAATATCTATATAATACATACCACATATAGAAATATGCATACACATGCACACACACAAATCTCTAAGAATAAGATAAAGTAGAATAATGGCCATATTATTATCTTTAAATCTTATTCAGAGGAACAAAATTACTCGGTTCATGGTTTACTAATCACAGCTTCCTCGGAGTCATGGTTCATGTAGAAGTATCAGTTAAAGTATCAGTGTAATTCAACCATTATATTTAGCAACAGATGCAATATTAACATAACCCAAATCATAAACAGCTAAAATAATACCTAGGTTCCAGTAGTAACACAACCCTTAGGTCAGATGGTAGTCAACACCAGTACTACTGAATACTAACAGAGGAGTGAAATTAAAGACATACATTAGGCTAATACACACAGACGGGACATACCTGAAAAGCTGAAAAACTACCTCTTTTAAATGTCTTGGTATCTCTTTTCGGACCTCAGCCTTTCAATAAAAAGTTAGATTGCTATTTATATTGCTTCCACCTCTAAAAGTCCTTGAGTTGAAGGTAAAGAAACAATGACATTAAAGCAATTTTAACCTTTTGACTCAAATAATATTTAGAAATGTTAGACCTCTTAAAAGCTACTTTCCAAGTTTACATGGCTATACTTTTATATTTAACTCTGTATAAATGGCTGTTTATGATGCACCTACAAATAGTATACACACACCAGTAAAAAAGCCAGCACAGATAAACTGTGCAACTCAACATCACCATCTAGTGACAAAATTCTTAACACGTGATAAAGCCAAGCGAAAAAGAATACATTTCAGAGACATTCTGTACTGGTAGTTCATCTTTATAGTACTAATGTAAATATAACAGATCTCACTGAATAGACTTCGCTCTGCAAATAAAACAATGCCTAATGGCAATGTTGGCACTCCAAAAATAATTTGTATTCTTGCCATAGAGATATACTCATAAATCTATTAACAATCTATATTTTATGTGTATTAAGAAATACACTGTAAAAAACTCCCAATAGTATTTTTATTTTTTTTATTAATGAGTATATTCTATATGTACCTCTTCTTTTTCAGAATCTGACGTCACCTTTTCTCAAGTTATTCAATTCAAGTACCTTCCAATTGCATATATCTATTACCCATAGCCCTCTACTGCCTGTGAGACTGAAAAGGGACAAAAAGACAACACATTGGAGGCCGAGGAGGGCAGATCACCTGAGGTCAGGAGTTCGAGAGCAGCCTTACCAACATGGTGAAGCCCCATCTCTAATAAAAATACACAAATTAGCCAGGCATGGTGGCACATGCCTGTAATCCCAGCTACTTGGGAGGCTGAGGCAGGAGAATCTCTTCAACCTGGGAGGCGGAAGTTGCAGTGAGCCGAGACCGCAACAATGCACTCCAGCCTGGACAACAAGACTGAAACTCCACCTCAAAAAAAAAAAAAAAAAAATACAACACAATGTTAAAAGTGGCCCCATCCTTCCCTTTACTGTTCAGGATTTATCACAGGGGCTAAAATAGGTACAGAATATGATAGTAAAGAAATCAAATCCCTTTGGCATGATTACAGAGTTGAATCAACCAAGATAAAGAAAGAATATGATGAAAAGAAGTTGAGAATTTTACCTCTAAATTCATTATCATACTATAAACCAGAGATTTGACCTAGAGATGATGCACTTTTTTCCTGTCCTTAAAATGCTTTTTCTTTGATTATCATTTTCAGAAATGCTGTATAAGATTTCCACACCCATGGCACTACAATAGACTATGTAGAAGTTGGACAAGATATACAGCTTCTAGTATTCTATATGCTAAGACTGCAGTGAACTTCTCCATTGAATTCCATTATTTATACATTACACATGTAATTCTTGTAAGCACATACAACATTAAAAGGAAAAATGTATACAAACATTATATTTTATATCTTATTTTTATTAATTTTCATAAATTACAAAGCATTCTCTCCTCTATATCCTAGTTCCTCATATAAATCCTAGGAGATTTTAAATCCCATTTTACAAAAAAGTAAGAGTAAAATAATTAATTTACCTAAAATTACAGTTGGAGTCTCAAATCTGATTCTTACTATTGATTCCAGTATTTATTTCATATTTTTAGTTTTCTCCATTTTTCCTTCACTGTTTTTCTAATTATTCATAATATATTCCCATTACAGAAAATATAGAATGGAAAAGCATACGCCTCAAAAAATTATCTTTACGCCAACCAGCCAGATGTAATAGCCACATTTCATTCCTATTTTTTCTCTGCATTTTTTATATTCAGTTGAGATAATATTCTACAAGCAATTTTGTTTCTCTCTCTCTCTCTATATATATATACACACACACAGATTTATTTTAAATATATGTAAATCTGTGTATATATCTGTAAATATAAATATATTATATATCTGTATATATACACAGATTTTATATACTTTATAAATTTATAAATATTGTAAAATTCTAAATATGAATATATAAATAATATATATTTATATGTAATATATACATTTATATATATTTATGTTATATACATATAATTGCCTTGTCTATTGTCTTAATGGTAGACAATTAGTTCCTGTAAAATTTGTTCAGGGTTATATTCCATAATTTGAGTATCACATTCATATTATGCATAATTTCTATGGCTTCTGCATAATATATTCCTAGAAGGTAAATTAATACAAAAAAAAGTATGTTTGTTTTAAGTCTCTTAATACTTAGTGACACAATCCTTTCCTTAAATGCAGCAGTAATTTTCAATCCTCTGAGAATGTGAGAATGGCTGTCTCACCATTCCATCTCTAGCCATCTGTGAGAATGGCTGTCTCGCTATTCCATCTCTAGCACTCAAAAACTTCCCACCAAACTGCATTAGCAGCAATAAGCAAGAGATTGGTGTATTTTTTGTGAAATTTACACTTTTTGTTTGCCATTAGAGTTGAATATTTCCAAGGGTTACTTAATCATAGTTTGCCAATTATCTACTGAGTTCCCAATTTTTAAAATCTGTCATACATATGGCAATATAGTACATTGATGTCTTTTAATTTTGTGATTGTCCCCATTTGCATAAGTTTTTTAAAATAAGTTTGTTTTTAATTGGCACATAATAGTTGCACATATTTATTGGATACAGTGTGATGTTTCAATACATATTAGATTGTGTAATGATCAAATCAAGGTAATTAGCATATCTATTACCTCAAACACTTGTCTTTTTTTGTTTGTTTGTTTTGTTTTTTGTTTTTTGTTTTTTTTGAGACGGAGTCTCACTCTGTCACCCAGGCTGAAGGGCAGTGGCGTGATCTCTGCTGACTTCAAGCTCCACCTCCCCGGTTCATGCCATTCTCCTGCCTCAGCCTCCAAAATAGCTGGGACTACAGGCCCCCGCCACCATACCCGGCTAATTTTTTGCATATTTAGTAGAGACGGGGTTTCACCGTGTTAGCCAGGATAGTCTCCATCTCCTGTGACAACACTCCAAATTTTCTCACGTTATTTTAAAGTATACAATATATTACTGTTGACTATAGTCACCTTACTGTGCTATAGAACACCAACCTCTCCCCATTTCCACTCCACACTACTCTCCCAAGCTTCTGGTAACCACTATTCTACTCTCTACTTCTATGAGATGAACGTCTTTAAATTCCACATAAAAGTGAGATCATGCAGTGTTTGCCCTTCTGTGATTAGCTTATTTCACTTAACATTAACATTTTCTAGGTTGATCCATTTTCTTGCAAATGACGGAAGCTTTTTTTTTTATTATTGGAATCAAAGCTTAGTGATTTCTTCACCTACTTGTTAGCGTATCATCTCTTCCCCCATCTCAATCTCAAAAGTCACTTCTATATTCCACTGGACTTTGACTGTTTCATTTATTTCCCTTAGCTCTTTAAAAATGCATGAAATTTCCTTTGGGCCATGTGAAGTGAGACTACAAAGTCTTTTTTTTTTTTTTTTTTTTTTTGTCCAAACAGCAAAAACAAACAAGTAAACAAACAAACAAAAAAAACCTTTTATACCATTTACTGGGTGATTGAACATGTCCTGAACTACTTGGGGTACTTCATCATATAATAACTTCATCAGATCTTTATAGTATCTATTATCAATTACAGACACTATTTGTTTTAAATAACACGCAGAAGAACTTAAGAATTTCCATCTTCATTTTGAATACAATCACATTAAAAGATGTCAAATTCTTAGGGAGGTTTTGTTGTTAATTCTGTTGGGCTTTCTAGGTATAAATTATGTCTTTATAAAATAAGAGCTACCTTGTCTCCTCTATATCAAATTATACTTTTTAGTTTTGGTTTTACATCTATTACCAGGTTATGGATCTACCTTTTACTATTAGTTTTCTAAGAAAGTAAGTGTATCTATGTGTGATGTGTGTGAACATGGTTTAGCTTCACTCTGGCCTCTCCATTGTTGAGAACTCTGTTAAGTGAGAGGCAGTCAAGTGTCATATTAGCAACACAAAAACTTCCCTTTAGGGCAGCACAGAACAAACCACAGCCACTAACCACATATAAGTATTTAAATTTAAATTAATAAAAATTAAGTAAAATTAAACATTCGGTTCTTCAGTTACACTCATCGCATTTCAGGTACTCAGTGGCCATATGTGGCTGAGGGCTCTCACACTAAATGGCACAGATGGAGAACATTTCTCTCATCACAGAAAGGTCTGGGCAGCATTGGTCTAGATGTCTCTAAGAGCCACAGAAAAACGGCCAGGAATTCCATTCCCCTGTCCTTTTCTTCTTAGGCACATTATATTTCAGTCTAGTCTTACTCTGTTAGAGAAGGTTATTCAGAATTTTAAATCCCAAAATATGTTTTTTCTGGCACGTATTTTCCTAAGCCCTGTATTTTCGTAGACATCTGGCTGGACTCTCCTTCTTTCTTATCCCAATGCACTATTCTTGGAAATCATATGCCTTCCCTTGGCTACAACAAGTATCAAAATACTAACAAGTCTCAAATGCGCACATCAACTCTCAGTCTTTTCCTTGAGTTGTTGCATTGTATTTTCCCTCTGCCTATTGCACATTTACACGAGTTAACCTCAGCTATCTCACAGTCACCTGAAAACCCAAATCTTCACTAATCCTCTTTTTTTCTCTCTCTCTACATCAATTAATGTATTTATTTAACGTTTTATTTAGCTAGCATATTCCAGAGAAGGTTGTAACCCCTCGTCCTTTTTACACACCAGGGCTACAGGCTCAGGGCATCCTCAAGACTGGGATCAGGAGGAAGCATGGGAGGGATCTAAAGTGATTTGTAAACTCGGATACTGACAAGAAACCAGATTCAAGACTGCACAGCAAAGACTGGCCAGAAAGAGAGACTGGATGAGGTGGCTAAGAATCCTCTCTTTTCTGTTCTAAGCTCATAGAAATAGTAAAACCTAAATAAATAAGGAGGTACCCAAGATGGTGAAAGGCCCCCCAACACTGCAGCCACAATAGGACAATCTTCAGATGTGGGTCCAACTCTGTTCCAGTTACTCCTGGCTAGACACACTCAGGACAAGAACACCACTGTGGGGACCTGGAGCCACTTAGGGGCTGCTAAAGAGATCAAGCTAATAAGAAAAAGGGATGCTCCATGTTCTCACCCACAGGTGGGAATTGAACAATGAGAACACTTGGACACAGGAAGGGGAACATCACACACCAGGGCCTGTCATGGGGTGGGGGGAGGGGGGGAGGGATAGCATTAGGAGATATACCTAATGTGAATGACGAGTTAATGGGTGCAGCACACCAACATGGCGCATGTATACATATGTAACTAACCTGCACGTTGTGCACATGTACCCTAGAACTTAAAGTATAATAAAAAAAAAAGAAAGAAAGAAAAACGGATGGTCCCATAGCCAAGCTATGCCAGGCCAATGGACTAACAGAGAAGCTACCATGAAATATTCTGGGCCAGGGAAAAGACTGAAATACTCAGTCTCTGGGTCTTCACCTCAAGCATATTCCGAACACATTTTAAAAAGCACCTGACCCACCATATACTAAATTGTTGTATGCTATTAATTACTAAATTATTCCACTGTGTTTAATGAATCCAGACATTACCAATAATGTGTGTCTGTGTGTGTGTGTAAGTAAAATGTATAACTTAAGCAAACAAGTACATTTCATGCCATAAAATTAAATTCTCACTTAAATTATCCAGACTACTGCTTTGTCTCATAGAATGGGTGGTTGGCAAGTTATTCCAGGCAGGTAATACTTGTTTTTATCATCAGTTCATCTCTAGTTTTTTAAAAAACAGGACATCCTGGTATGTTCTAAAATGTTATGTATAACGAAATTTGGCAGAATTTAATCATCTCTTCATTTGAAGTTAATTCTTATAATTCAATTTGTTTTTTTCTTGAGGACAAATTTCCTACACTGATTACATATCCTTTCCTTGTTCCTTGTATTTTCCTCATTCACATCATTTTTCATTCACATTGCCTCTTTTCAGTTCTTTCTGTCTTTTGGTCTTCAGTTCTTTTATTCAAAGCATAAGAGTTGCCACCCTCTTTGTCTTCCTGTTTGTCTATGTATTTACTTCAAAATAAATAGATATAAAAATATAGAGAATAACTGCAGTTTTCCAAGTAAATATTGGCATGCATGTTTACTGTATTTAAACTTATCATAATAAGCATTTACAAAAAATGTTAAATTTATAGCAGTGGTAATTTTAGGATAAACCACTATGTATGGTGAAAATTAGAAATTCATTCATAATTTCTGCATTAGCTTTTTCCAAAACAAATATTTTACAACTTATTTTTAATTTGCTAAAATTTTCAATAACTTAAACTTTCTGAGAATATCTGATTGCATTTTATATAGATACAAATTCTCTATTGTGTACTCAGTTTTATTTTTCCCTCTTTTTTTTATTAGTAAAGACATTAACAATAAAATAGGCTCACTTGCTCCAGCTGGTAATTTCTCATACTAGTAATATATTATTCCTCTTTTTGTGACATCATAATCATCTATACAGAAGTACCATGTATCTTTGTGTAGAAGCTACTGTTTCCATTAAATTTAATTACCTCCCCCTGTGGTTTTAAATAGAAGTGGCTTCAAAATGAGGGCAGCTTCTATTAAATTTAATTACTTTCTCCTGCTGCTTGCATGGTAAAAGGAAGGTTACTAAATGAGAGCAGCTTCTAAACTAAAGTATATGGTAACTGTGTGCTAGCAATAACAAAATTGTATCTAAACTACCTTTCTAGGAAGCTCTTAGGTTTATCCTTTCTCTCATTTTAATCTCTTTAGCCTTAACATCCTTGAAAAATGAGCATTAAGATAGAAGAAGGCGTATTTTAAAAACATATTTTAATTTTATAGGCTAAATAAATATAAATACACTTTCTTTACAAAGATATTGGAAATTATGCTACTCAAATATTCAAGCTCAGAACTTTTAAGACTACTAACATTTGTTGTTTTCTCACTCTGTGGATGATGAGTTTTATTTCCCACAAATTTTCAATGTCTAATAAAAAGCCTTTCTTGATTCTGATCAAATAGATTTGAAAAATGCTTCACTAAAAGTTATTTAAAAGGCATCAAATTTGGGGCAATTTCATATAAATATTCAGAATTACTGATGTTAAGAAATGAAAAAAGAAAAAAAGTCAGGCTCATTATAGACCACTATAGTTGAAAGGAAGTTAATTATATGCTTTGTAATAGTGTAAAAATGTAAATCACTAAAAATACTATAATATAATATAATCCTATAAAATGTTATAGAAGATGAAAATGTAAGTACCTCTCTTTAAATTAAATATTAATTAGGAGGAAATACTACTCAATTAAAGCACCATTGTACAATGTTTATTTCTTTATATACAGGCAGAATTTAGATGAACAATATTTTCATTCAATCACACAGTTTAGTATAAGTATAAAACAAGACACCCCTTAAGCATTTTAAGTAACAAATTAAACATTTACATTTTTTACTGTGCACTGAGGCTTAACATTTATGCAGCTTCAAAACCAAAGTACAGCCTCAAGGGAAGTCTCTCCACTGACAAATTAATACCTTAGAGAACAGAGCTGAATGGTGGCAATGAACTCATTTGTTCCCCAAATAATGAAGAATGACTTTTTCTTTACCACATCTGTGACTGTTGCTATGGTGACCCAGACTTACCTCATTGCTTCTCGGAGAGCTCCTCGCTCACCAAGAGTCGTGTGCTTGATGTCATCAAAATTATTCTCCAGCTTCTCACAATTCTGCAACATATTTAAAAATTGCATTAATTCTCTAAGATCCTGAGAAAAATTGTATCTATGCAGTTATGCAAAAATGTAATTGATTATATTGATCATGGACTCATGAAAAATATGCATACCACTTTAATTGGGTAGCATTCATTAAAATTGACAGTTAAATCCAACAGTAACAAAATAAAAACATTTTATGATACAGCTGTCACAGAAGTCTCATTATCAATTTTTCAAAGTGGAGTTTCGTTATCAATTTTTCAAAGTGGATAAACAGAAGAAATGAATTTATAAAAGTAGGAAAACTTCTTAAGTTTGGAGGAATAAAAATTAGTTCTCTAAAATAATCTTAAGTATAGAAAATCCAATTTAAACTCAAAAGAGAAAACCATTAAGTTTTTGATCACCATAAACAGTATACAATAAATACCAAGTTCTAAATAAGCTAGCATTGACTAAGATGAAGGGATAGAGCACAGATATAATAATAAAAGTTTCAAAATTTTTGAATCAAAATTTTATAATCAGATCTTTAAATAACAATTTTATGTGTAATATTTACAACTGCACATATATATTTATATACTTGAAACTAAAGTTAAAATCTTAAAATTAGGTGAAAATTAGATTAGATCAGGTTCTTAGAAGAATTTTAAGATTGAGTAAATATGACATAAGCAGTTTAAATTTCATAAGTGTTTCTACTTTTTGGTAAAATAGCAATACTAGACTGAATTTTCTAAAAGTACTTTAAAAAATTTTTACTACAATTCTAAATATAATTATACGTACTTAAAACTCACTTAATCTGAGAGAACCCGAATAGGTTTTGAGGGCATAAATTGTAGAAATTTTCAATTTATATACATATATATATGAATCTTTTGGCACCCTAGATTTCTTATGGAATTTACTAGTATTTAGTTGATAAAATAACTAGATTTAGTGTATTACTTATTTTTACAGAAAGAAAAACTAAATGACAAAATTTTAGTATTAATATGTTCTTTCTATTCTTGAATAAGTATCCTGAATTTTACAAAATTACAGAAATTATATTAATAATGTCCAATGTATAAGAATGAATTGATTTGAAATATATTGGTATATAAACCACTATTTTTAACCTTGATATTTTTTAAAACTAAGTCAAATTAAGGCAAAGATCCTTTTAACAAACACACACAGTTATATGTTGTTATAATTAAAATCTTTGAAATTACCAAAATGAATCTACAATAATTAAAATTATATATTTTTCAAAAAGTCCATTTTGGGTATATACATTAAAAGTATCCTCTTCTGTCTTATCTTCCCACATTTTTAGAAGTGTCTTTCAATAAAGAGAACTGCTTAGCTGAGATCAAATTTGTTAGTTTTCTAATTTAAGTACAGTGTTTTTGTGTGCTGTTTAAGAAATTTAAAAACTTTCTCAAAGTTATAAATGTTGTTGATTGAGACCATTAAGAAAAAATACACATAATTTTTTGTTTGTTTCTTTTTGGCCCTGAAATTCCTCATCAGCTTCCTCCTCTTTGCCAATCCTACTGCAATCTTTTTTTTATTTCTTTTTTTTTTAATTATACTTTAAGTTCTAGGGTACAGGAACGTGCAGTTTTGTTACATAGGTATATATGTGCCATGTTGGCTTGCTGCACCCGTCAGCTCGTCATTTACATTAGGTATTTCTCCTAATGCCATCCCTCCCTCAGCCCCCCACCCCCAGACAGGCTCCAGTGTGGGATGTTCCCCACCCTGTGTCCATGTGTTCTCATTGGTCAATTCTCACCTATGAGTGAGAACATGCTGTGTTCGGTTTTCTCTCCTTGTGATAGTTTGCTGAGAATGATGGTTTCCAGCTTTATCCATGTCCCTTCAAAGGACATGAATTCATCCTTTTTTATGGCTGCAAAGTATTCCATGGTGTATATGGGCCACATTTTCTTAATCCAGTTTATCATTGATGGACATTTGGGCTGGTTCCAAGTCTTTGCCATTGTGAATAGTGCCTCAATAAACATATGTGTGTATCCTACTGCAATTTTTAACTTTACTTGGGCCTCCACCACTGTAGAGGAACAAGTTCATAAAAGAATTAAAGAAATAACAAAATTATTGGACATAAATTTTTTAAGGTCCATTCCTAGCATAAACAGCAGGGTTGGAAGATTACTTGACTATCTAGTTTTTCTAGCCACAGAGACAGGAGATAAACACATTCTTGGATTAAAATAAGAGACAGAAGCCTGGGCAGAGTGGCTCATGCCTGTAATCCCAGCACTTTGGGAGGCCGAGGTGGGCGGATCATGAGGTCAAGAGATGGAGACCATCCTGGCCAACATGGTGAACTCTGTCTCTACTAAAAATACAAAAATTAGCTGGGCATGGTGGGTGCACCTGTAGTCCCAGCTACTCAGGAGGCTGAGGCAGGAGAATTCCTTGAACCTGGGAGGTGGAGGCTGCAGTGAGCTGAGTTCGCGCCACGGCACTCCAGCCGGGGACAGAGTGAGACTCCATCTCAAAAAAAAAAAAAAAGAGAGAGAGAGAAAGTGGACACGTGGACACTGAGAGACTGTAGTAGCCACACTGAGTAGCCACACTGAGCGCTCAGTGATGCCAGGAATTGAAGACAGCCAAATTTCTGATTTAGCTGAAATACCGTGTTTCAGAGTACCTTCACTATAATGAGTAGAAGCGGCAACCTTAATAATAATTTTATCAGGAAGTGGTTAAAATGGCATATTCTGCCTTGATGTGGAATGGGAAACCCAAAATGAGTATTAGGCTAACTAACAGAAGAACAAATGCTCCATGTTTTACACTTTGTGTCTGCATGAAGTTTATTATACCCAACAGAACAACAAAGGAAATAAGTAAGCACTGTAGCATTTAAACAGTTAACTATTACCTTGACTAAAAATACTTCTGTATACAGAAATTGAAATCAAATCTATTTTTTATGCTTCAAGAACCATATGTAGAAGCACTAAGTAACAGACACATGATTTGAATTATATTTCAGACAATATTAGGCTCTTGCCATATAGAATAAGTATTTCAAGCAACTAACATCTTTATCTGCTCAAACTTCTCATAAATAAAAGTAAGCATTAAATATCCACTGAGTAAAGGGCAAACAGATTCACTGTCACGTTTACCACCAATAACACTTCTCTAACATTAAAGACAACTGCAGGTAAAATTGAGCCAGCGGCCTCCAATCAAAATCTGTTCTCAGCCCACTTTATATGAACATGGATCTGAGAAAAACTGTAAATTATTTGTAATCAACAAGTTATTCATTCTTGGGGATTCTGTAAGTTAGTATAGGACTGTCCCAGAATACGATTTCAGTGGTAAGTATCACATAGGGGACTTACTTTACAGGATAGGAAAGTTCATAAAAATTCAAAAAAATTATCCATGGTAGTGGCTTGTGATTTCCACCCTCCAAGTGCCTCCTAATTTCCTTTGACCAATATAATGGCATGAGAAACCTACAACCATCACAGCAGAAGAAAGGAAAAGGCAACAGATAAAAAGAGAAAAGGGGACAGAGAGAATGAATGAACAAACTACTCCTGAGAACAGCAAGCAGAAGAACAAAAATAATCAGTGATTAGTAATAAAATACTGGAACAAAACGCAGGCCTGCTAGCCTAGACAATGTGGAGCAAGAAAGTGGGAATACACAGGAAAAATGGAAGGTCACAAAGGTACTAAATTTAATGCCGACCAGACATGCCATGTAATATAACAGGCACAGGTTAGCTCTAATTAATTGGTAGAAAACTGAAAATTCGGAACAATTTGTATCAGCAACCATGGTACACATTATAGCTTTAATATATAATGTATTGTGTGTGTGTGTGTGTGTGTGTGTGTGTGTGTGTGTGTGTGTATTAATTATAGTAAACCAGTTAACATTGAGTAGTGACTCTGGGTTAGGTACTTTTTCTAGGAAGTCTAACCATTTAATCTGCATGACAACCATATGTATTCCTATTTTACAAATGAGGAAACAACCACAGGGGAGATTAAGATAAAGCTTGCCCAGGGTTATACAGCTAGCAAGGGATAAAGCAGGGATTTGAACCCAAGCAGTCTAGCCTCAGAGCCAGACTCAAACTCCTCGCGAGTCCGCTTCTAAAGAGTAAACTGCATAAGTGAATATAATAAAGTTCTGAATAGGCCTTCCTCTAGGTGTCATCAAATTTAAATACTGAGCTGGATGGAAAATAGTTTACTAGCAGAGTCAAATGTAGCAGAAGCTCTTGCAGGATTCTGTCTACATCTGTCTGGAAGTGCTATACTTTATAATGTAGAAAAATATGGAATCCAATATACACATTTAGGCCAAATTAATACCCATAAATATTTTGCATGCAACAGTCTTTATTTGGGTCTGTGACACCACCGTGACAAATATAATGAGCAATTAAATTCCCAAGTGTTCAGATTTTGGCAGCAATTGAAGTAGAAACTGGAAACTAAGCATCAAAAAGAACTGGTTTTGGTGGCCTCCTGCCAAATGAATCCCCATGGGTTGAGGGAAGGTCTAGAGTTTCAACTGTGATAGATTTCATAGTGTTTTATATCTCATCTGTGTTAAGGATTCTATAAAAGTATAATGAAACAAGTAGAACACCAACAGTCACATGAAAGAAAATAATATACAAGGAGATTTCAGAACGCTGAGGATTTTAAATAAAATTCACTGAGTTATCTTTGCTCAAATTATACCAAAAAAAATCACAAAATTCAACCAAACACCTACTGATTCTGGATGGAGGTGGAAAGAGGCAAAGAAAAAAAAAAAAAAAAGAACAGCTAGCAAATTACATTATTAAATAAAACAAATCACTGATAATTCCACAGGACTTTATTTCCATGGGACTGAATTTTTATGTTATAATTATGATAACTAAAACTAAATCAGATCTAAAATTTATATACAAACCTAAATTGAATAAATTAGGAAACCAATTTTAACAAATGAAAAGTCACAAAGAGTTAATGGCATAGCTACTGGAGTTTAAGTCTCAGAATTACTAAGTAACAAAGGCTCGAGTTAATGAATTAAATTTCAGTGCAGAAAAAAAAATCTTGAAAATCTATTACATGTCAGGAATAATACTATGCACAGGGATATGAAGGTAAATAAGACAAGACTTCAACTTGCTCACATGTAGTAAGAATACAGAGGAGAGAAAGGAAATAATTCTCTTGGAACAAGAGATGACTATGAGTTTGTTACTTCCAAACCTGTCTTTGAAATGATTTACAATTTTCCAGATTAAGAGAAAAAAAGGGGGAAGGCTAAGGTAATAAAATTGGCTCTAGCCTCAGACCTTACCATTACTGTCTACAGGCTAAGTCCTTAGGCAAGTTAATTAACTCAGTTTCCTCATCGTGAAATATACTTACCTTCTAGAGCTATCAACAAGATTAAATGAGGTAATATATGTAAATCCATTAGTACATTCAGCAACGACGTTTTCAATAAAGGTGGAAAAAGAGGAAAGAATAAACAGAAGAAGAGTATCCATGAACCCCAACTCAATCCTAATGGATCAGATTTTATATGGTGAAATAGAAAAAAATGTGCATTTTTCATGTTTAACCAGGTGATTTTTATGAATAATAAAGTAAAAGAAAGTCTTTATGGATTTTTTTAAACTTTTTGGTCATAAGACTCCTATGAGAGTATAATGAAAACCATGATCCTTTTCCTTAAAAAATTACATTTTCACAAAAGTACATATGCACAAGTACACAATATGCTATGCTATATACAATTTCAGTGGGCCAATACAGCTCCTGAAGCCCATCTATGGCCCAACGTCTATGTGCAACAAATTTTAGTATCAGGGAGGATGATTTCACAATGGACCTAGACAGCTTAGAAACGGAAGTTACAAATATAATCAGTAGTCCAAGAACCTTGTGAAACAAGGGGTCCAAAAGTTGGCAAATTTCTATTGCTGTTTGACAATAAAGCATCTTAAGTTCAAACATCAAATTTCTAATTTAAAAAAAGACACAAAAGTCAATCCTGTTGCCAAGCTAGAAATGAAAACCAGTCATTCATTCATTCATTCAATATTTATTTAGAACATAATGGGTGCTAGATAGTATGCTAATCATTGAGACACCAAGGTTTAAAACCTTTTTTTTAACTCCTTATTTTGAAAAAAAAAAGCCAATTCAATAGGGTAACTGTTATAAGGTAAATAGGCCTCACATCCATTGCCATGTATTAGTGATATATCAGCAATAATTACAAATCTCAGCTGGTTGAAAACCTGCAGGATACTAAATTTTGAAGGAACCTCAGAGAATTATCACAAGGGAAACCACCACTCTTATGAAGGCAATGATAAATTTCATATTTTAAAATATGAGGAATATTTAAATAAAATGGCACACTCCAACATGTACTGCTACAATTCTAAGGCAGTTCAATGTTGGTTACTACAAAGCTTTTCTTTAGGACATAAAGTAAATTGGGAAAAGGTAATACAAGTACATGCATTTCTCATGTAGTTAGAATTTCCTAAGGTCTAGGTTCCTCTAAAAAAAAAAAAATGAGTCAATTAGGTGAACTTACTCTTTCTGGAAAATGTTGTATCTTAATTTTTGCACTCAACAAGAAGTCTCAAAACTAGCCCTGCTGAAGTTCTTTATAAGTACAAGTAAGAAATAATTACTATATTCATATTTTTTTAATTCTAGATGAACATTCTACTGTCAATATATGATTTCCAGTTCTAATCAAGAGATTCATATTTCAATAGATAATTGCTTTTCCCTTTGGTGTGTCTTAACTAGTCTAATCCTTTCAGGGAACATTAAGAGGTAATCATATTTAGCTAATGTCATTTCACTAATTGTGGCCAGCTTACAATCAGGCCCTGTCTAGGAGAATCTTATATGAGTCACAGTGAAATACAATATAATGCAGTAGGAGAGGTAGGAGCTATGCAGAGAGAAAATTTGTTTTTGAGTTTCATCTCTACAACTAAACAGCTTATGTGTTCTTACAAAAATGCTTAACATCTCAATCTGCAAATAGTCCTTCATAAAATGAAGGTATCAATGAAGATGATGAAAGTAATATTATCCACTCAAAGTGTTATTGTAAAGATTAAAGTAAATAAAAACATGTATGTGAAAATATATACATTGTTCAAACATTATTACATATTTTTAAAAGATAGAATGAATCTCATTTCTGCCTTCATAGTCTGAAAGTATGTTAATTTTATTTGAAATATTTTAAGATTTCATCTCTCATACACAGTAAGAATTAAGTAATATTTTAGTACTTTTTTGAGATAAATTAAAAGTTTAGCTACAGTATCCTACCTGCTGATAATTCATTCCTATATCTATGAGAGGTCAACAAAGTTCAGGATAAAGTATTTGCTTTTTAATCATAATTTCATATTTAAAATTACAATGCGTTTGTTTGCATAATGTATGGTTATATTTTGATTGAGTCTCATATGGTTTACATGATAATCAAATGAAACACAGTATCATTATTTCAATATATATTGTGGAGTTCTATGTCCCATGTACTGCCAACCACAAACTATTATACAAATATTGATATTTACTATTTTGGAAGCCATTATAATTTACTTACTCACTTAATCTTGACAAGAGGGAAGGCTCTCCAAGAGCAATTTAAAAATGAAAATCTACTATTTCAACCAGGGAAGCCTGCTCACCTTTAAGCTCTGAACAATCTGACCCATCTCCACTAAATTAATTACCACCACAGGGAAACCACAGCTACACAACTGCTCTCTAGGATATTATCCCTATAAGGATAAAAAATTTGATGTAATCTAGAGGCTTTAAACTTAAAACAATCCCTTGTCCTTGATGGAGTTTTTGCTGAAGCATCTGGCAATCCCTGCTAGACTAAGTGGTGTCTAAGCAAATGAGGAAAACTTTGGTATCAGGGATGGGGTGCGGGTGGCAAAGTCAAATAAATCCACTGTTACTACTTGAACATCAGTGGTGTTCCTCTGTCTCAATTTTGGATGGTTAATTTTTTCATCTATGTTTATAGGACTATCACTCACTTAAGAATGTTAAATGTCTCATTTACTCAATCCAGTGATTTTGTTCATGCATTTATTAGTAACACAGAAAACACGTTATTCTTAGTCTTTGGAAATCAAGTTTTAATGTATGCTTAATCTAGTTAAAATATAGAAAAGTCTATTTAGATGGTATGGCTGTGTAATGCAGTGCATGATGTACTGTAATAACACCACCCAGTGTGTGTAAGATTAAAGTTAGACACCAGGTAAACTCACAGATGTAAACAGTCTTTTCTCTAGAACATACTTAGAAGGATCACTTATTTTAAAAATACGTTGTTTAAAAAACAATTAACATATGAATATGTATTACCTTAAGCTACCTCAATTCTCTGATTGGAAAAAAAAACCTTGAGATCACAATGGAGTGGGTCAGTTCAAACAGAAACAAGGAATTTACTAGATTAGGGCTCTAAAAATTAACAATCTTTGGTGTATCATGAATTTTAAATGTACATTACAAAGAAAAATATGCAAGCCAATTTAACATAAGTCTCAATAAATAGTGCCTAAATTGATAAACTGATTTTTGTTTACAAAGAAAAAATATGCCTAAGATTTCCATATACTGTACACAGTTATGGAATGGTTGGTACTAGATAGATATCAAATAAAAAACCTAAAATAGTATTCATGATCATTTATCTTTAAAAGCACATGTGTGCATTTTAATACATGAGGAAAGATTAATAGAACCATTTAAGTTTTTGTGTTAAGTTAAAATTCAGAGAAGCAATCATTTTTAAGTCACAAAAGATAAAGCCTTCCAATATCCTTCTGGTTTTGGAGGAATAAAGGCTTTTACTTGACAGTTACTTACATGAATTTGTATCAAAAAGAGAATTTGGCAGAGACTTCTAAATTCATAACAATTGTCTATTAGTCTGTTTTTAATAATTTTTCTTTGGCATGTAATCCTCTTTAATTAGATTCCACTCTCTGTTGTTTCAAGACTCCATAAACGGGTGTCTTATGTACCAGCTGCTAAAGCAGGAGTTACTGTCTAAATGATATTCACAATGAGTATTTAGAAGGTTTACAATTATACCCTTGCTAATAAATTGTGCTATTTTCCCCAACAATTTTAAGTGCTAATCTTCAGAAGGCATTTTAAAATTAGCTAAAATTCTGTCAAGAGATTTACAAAAATTGTTAGCATGAAGATAATTATGTCACAGTCCTTGGACTCCATCTCTGATTGTGTGCATAAATCAGAAAATGTCAGCTGTGTTTTCCCTTAATAATTATCCTTGCAGCAATATATTATAGTCTAAACTCCTATTATAATTTCTGTTTCTGGTTTCTAAAACACCAGACAGTTATTTCAAAAGTTTGGAACCGAATAAATAATTCATATTTCCCAGAATAATAAGTGATTATCAATTCTAAAATTGTAAGTATTAGCAATAAATAGATCAATATGGAAAAGATAAACTCTGTTTTCATAAACTCTCCATCCTGAAAAACCAAATGCTTGAATGTGATAATGACTTTTTAAAAATATTAATTAGGTAAAAATCTAACATAGCAGATAGTAGGCAAATAGAAGCAGGGATCTGAATAGAATTCTAAGGCACCCACTATTTTTTATTCCAACAGCACAGACACTTGAAACACAGATGTCTGAAATACATATCAAGTTGCTTATCATCTGATACTATCCAATTTTCTATATTTCTTATTAAGTATATAAAATTTTGACCCTCATTTTAGAAGATACAAAATAAAAAAGAATTTTTTGACTTTCATCCAAATATCAAAAATTATAAGTATGCTTTTATTTTCTCTGGTTAAACAGATTAGACCAGAAATATAATTTTTATGCAAGCTCAGTAATCATGTTAAAAACAAGTCTCAGACAGCAGTCTTTATAATAAATTAGCTAAGCATTTTGTTTAGTATGTTTCTAATACTATCAAGCATTTCAGAATTCACAAAGATAAAAAAATCCAGTTCTCTAAATACTTTAATGCTGTAGCATATCAAACTCAGGTTTATTATATAAACCATATAAATCCAGATATAATAGCAACGGTATGTGGCTCAGAGTTGTGGGTATTCAAAGACAAGTGAAAAACAGAATATATTTTCCTAGAACATTAGGTTCACGGAAACTATTTTGGAAAAAGGTTTTAAAATTTTGCTCATCAACTGTAATCAACAGAGTCAGATTTTTCAAGTTACTCAATATTGTGTTCTTTCCAATTGTGTGTTTCCTCGGAGTAGAAACAGTCATGTAACTTAAAAATAAAAGAACTTGGCCGGGCGCGGTGGCTCACGCCTGTAATCCCAGCACTTTGGGAGGCCGAGGCGGGTGGATCATGAGGTCAGGAGATCGAGACCATCCTGGCTAACAAGGTGAAACCCCGTCTCTACTAAAAATACAAAAAATTAGCCGGGCGCGGTGGCGGGCGCCTGTAGTCCCAGGTACTTGGGAGGCTGAGGCAGGAGAATGGCGTGAACCCGGGAGGCGGAGCTTGCAGTGAGCCGAGATTGCGCCACTGCAGTCCGCAGTCCGGCCTGGGCGACAGAGCGAGACTCCGTCTCAAAAAAAAAAATAAATAAAAAAATAAAAGAACTTGAGTATTACTACTGAAGTTAACATAAACTTTTCAATCACATCAAATGAACAGGGCCAATGCTAGAACAACAGGGACTATAGGAACTAGAATCCGTGATTTCCGCAGATCCTCATGAATCAATTTTCTGAAAAATAAGTTTATAGCCTTAAATCAGACTTCCTTACACCTTGGTTAAACCAACCAGCAAACAAAACTTTCTCCTACAAAATACATCCACTTCTTTCCAAAACCACTTCCTTTAAAAAACGTTTTAGTAACAAACATACTATTAACCTTCCTTCCTTTCACAGTATACTCCCCAATATATAAAGCATGTTGAAAATTACGCATATTGTAAATGGTTTAATTTTTTAACTTCAAATCTTAATATATTCAATTACAAAAGTAATATATGCCCTTTTATAAGAACTGAATACAAAGTTATGTAACAATAATTTTCTGTCTCCAACCTAACATCTAATTCTACTCCAGTGAGCTAGATTACTACCTTTCTATAGTTTTCCATGCTCACACAACACGTTTTATGTTGCAGCTTTTTGTGTGGGGTATGTGTGTGTACTTCTTGTTTCTCAGTGGGGTCTACTTACTTAAAAACATCAGTCAGCAATTCTTTGTGTGTGTGTGTGTGTGTACCACAAACAGGTGGATCTACCACCAGGTCAATAAATATGACTATAAAATTCCAAAAACTTCTCAATATTACATATTTTACTTAACAATTTTCTTAATGATGGAATCATAGTTTTATTTCCCTAGAATTTTGCTGTTAGGAATAATGCTATAATATATCCTTGTACATGTGTGATGGTGACTTCTCTTACTAGGGGATAAATTATGGTGAAAATGACAGGATCTTTTTTTAACCATTTTGATATACATTACTAGACAATTCACCACAAGTTTGTAGTAATTCACAATCCACTAGCAATGTATGAAAGAGCTTAGTTGCCTGAAACTTTGCCAGTGCTAGACATTATTAATCTCCTACATATGCCAGTTGGAGACTGAAAAGCATTTTATAATTCCCTGGATACTAATGAGGTGGAGCATCTTTTCATGTGTTTATCGGCTATTTACATTTTATTTTTAGATATTGCCTATTCATATCCTTTGCCATTTTTGTCATTTATGTCATAAATATATTCTCAATAATTTTCCCTTCACTTGTGTAGAGTAACTTTGGCCACACAATAGTTTGTTGTTTCTCTTTAAAGGATATTAAGAATAACCAAAAAATGACATAATGTTTGAGATAAAGCTATAGTGGATTTTTAGAGGAAAATGTATAGCATCAAAATATAAATCAGGAGACAACAATAAAGTATTGAAAATTATAAAGTGTTTTTTTAAATGCACGACAAAAAAAAACCCAGAACACCCTCTCCCTTAATCAACGAAATAGGAGTAATTTTTTAAGCCCAGTGCTGTAATATTTTGGTTGAATCTGCTTTGGGCCAAAGTGAAGCATCCAAGCGGAAAATGGGGTTGTTATTCATCTAAGTCTAAACCATAAAATGTAATACATAGAAATAATTTCTGAATAACTGGTTGAAAATGGAGGTTAACTAGATACTGTATTTTTCTGGGATTAAAGGATGAATATCAACAATATTCCTTATTCTTTGCCACATTCACCATTTCATCCCATTATTTTTTATGATGTCTTCATTTCCCAAATATTTAAAATTAAAATATGTGAAGAAAACATCAGTAGGGTAAGTTTTTTGTCTTATTTCTTTTTAATTATTAAAAAATATGACATTAATTGGAAAAATGAATGGAGTTATGTGCACAAATGATGTGAAATCCATGAAAGGCAGAAGCATGAGGGGATTTCACTGCATCTAGGCCTGGCCACTTTCCAAATTCAAGGAACAACAGCCTCACTCTCAAATTATACTTTGTCTCCAAGAGTTTATTTTTTCTCAATAGGTTTATTTCAGTGATAAAACAGTTGAATTATATACATACGAAGTTTCCAAAATTATAACTTTTAGTCCATTTTAATCAAATGGGCATGAATGTGGACAGTTTGCTCTTCTGACCTTCACTGGAAGAAAGTGTAGGTGTAAGAATTTTTCTCCATGAAGAAAAAATGATGCTGTATCAGAGGTTAAAAACTACAAGTAAAACAACTTAAGTTAATTGTTCACCCTAACACAGACATTTGCACATTTGGCCCATTAAAGTATTCTTACAACTTTGGGCATGATTCATTTTTTAAAAAATGTAAAGAAACAGTATATTTATGGTACATGACCAAAATGCTGCAATGAAAATGAAATTTGAAAATTGAATGAAGAGAGTTGATTATGTAGATTGCAAGGCTCAGATAATTTACATGTGATGAAAATTACAGTATCAGTTTTAAAATTAATGGCATTATCACTCATCATTATTCCCTGAACTGATCCTTTTATGAGATTATCACAGAGACAAGAGAAGATTGACCAAAAGATTAGTGACCCTTTCATCTCATCATAATCCACAAGTGGCTTAACTTGTCATCAAAAAATATACTTATCAAAATTTCTATCAACACAGCCTGGAAATATTGCACTGTACTGCTTCTTTGACTTAATTCTGAGTATCTCTTACTAGTGATTATGTTGATGTATTTTACAAGCAGTGAAAAAGGAAACTGATGGCATCTCTCCCCACATGACTGTATGCAATCTTCAATGCTATGACAGCTCAAGAATGATAATCGCCTCATTGCTGAAATGAATATCTGACATAAGTATTTAATTTAAACCAGTTTCCTGAACCTGACAGGATCATAGAAACAGTATCCCACCAATTTACCTAAAGGGAGTAGCAGGGGAAAAAAAAAATGTTTGTTCCCAGATATGGAAAATTCATATATCATTTTAATGTCAAAATGAGCAAATCTTATAGGAATCTAACATACTCAACATTATGCTTATTTTTTGTTTGTTTTTATTATTAATTTTATTAAAATAGAATGCAATCTCTAGGAGACAAGAAATTTTCCTGTATTTCATTCACTACTGTATCTGAAGGGCTTAAACAGAGTCTGACCCATTCTAGAAGTTCAAGGAATAAATAAAAAATATATTATATGTAGAATAAAAATTTGCATTATTATTAAAATTAAATAAAGACTTCATAGATATTGCCTTTTGTGGGCTAAGGGCCTGGATCTTCTCTAGTAGTCAGAGGCTTCTTTTTTTACTATTAGTGGAATTTCACTGGAAAATTTGATATGTAGTCCCTTGTTGATAAAATTCTTAAAAACTGACTTGCTACACAGGGAAAGATGTTAAGCATATTTTAATTTTATTTTTAATCAACTTTGGCGATATATAAAGTAACATTTTTATCAAACATATTAAATATTTCAACTTGAACTGAATAGCTATATTGTTATCCTTGTTAGAATAATTAAATATTGGCTACAATCATCAATAGAATAACAAGTATAATAAAATTAAATTGTCAGTGCATATGTTAATTGCAGAGAGGAAAATATTCTAGAGCTTAATTTTCAAATGGTCTTTCAAAGGAAGATCATACTAGGTGGCATTCAAGTTGATTTTCTCTCTCACTAATATATATTTATTTCTATCAGAAGACATTTTAATACAATTGAGTAATCCAAATATTTCAATGCTTTCTACAATTCATACAGGAACTTATGTTGCATAATGATTCTACTAAATGCAACTATTAATACCTTTTACTCTTCTACTGATTTCATTAATTATTATAACTAACATCACGATTATTATTTTAAACAGCTTAAATGTTGACTAGTTCTACAAAGTTATCAGCCCTCTATTCACTGACACATTGCTGAAATCATTAAACTGGAAGGGGCTTTAAGAATGCAATAAACGTTTGTTAAGGTGAATTGACACTAGTGCCTATTTATAAAGTTATGAAGAGAAAATCTATATTGTTTAAAAGATCTCTAAAAAACAAAATTCATAACCTCTCAAGGATTTAAAATCTTCATCTTAGTACATTTTTTAGTTCTCATCTAAAGCACTTATACTTCCCATCCTCTTGTTCTGCACTTGGTGGAGATGTTCAATAAATATTTGTTAAATCCCATCTTCTTGTTCTGTACTCACTGGAGATGGAAAACAGCTAGTCTTCTTTCTCTTATAAGAACCCTTCATCCTTAAAGACTGTTATTAACTCCCCACTCTTCTAGTCTCAAGCCTGAACAATCCAATCTTTTAGCCTTCCTTCATCATCCTGACTTCTCTTAAGTCTCAATTTATACAGACGCCTATCTCAGAAAACCTACTCAGGGTCTCAATTTCCCTTCTTATTAATTGAGCTTAAAATTGGAAAAGTTACCCAATGCATTTAACCAATTTTTACCATAATCAACAAAATATTGCTTTACAGCTTCTCACTATAGCAATAACTCACCCCTACACCTATCTATATGTTCTTTTGAATATAAATAACACTTCAACTCACTAGAACATTCAGATTTAGTAGAAGAGGCTATTTTACCTCATAGCAAATAATATGTTTCTCTTCAGTATAGGCAACAGGATTTTATCTTAACTTCCCTTAGCATAATCTGATTGTCTGGCCCAAAGCCATCATCTATGGAGCCTTCTGAACAATCCCCAGTGGACATTACAATATTGACTGTGTGAGAAATTTTATTTTCCTAGACAAGTTAGAAATGTGAACTTGGTTTTCTTTAACACTTATTTATAGCATTCAATCAGACTGACCTTGTTTGATGGAATACCTAAAGGATACTCATGTTTCTTTCCATAAGAAGTCAAATGTTCATTAATTTAGTAAGCAATACTCTAAACACTCCATAATTATTTTCATATGTACAGCATTTGTATGAATTTGATCTGTATGAATTTCCTAGAAAAAAATTTACAATACTTTTAGAGTTTATTCTAAATATTTATTCTAAATATTCTAGGCATCTGCCCTCATAAGCTTACATTTTAATGAATAGGGGAGAGATGATACAAATATATACTTAAAATATCTTTTTAAAATATGAAAAAATATACATACTTCAAATGTTTACATTTAACACTATGTGATAACCTCAGATACTATCAGAGTTTATCAGATAGTGTTAAACACTACAGGGAAAGAAAGGAGAATAAAGTGATAGGGAAATAAAGATCTATTACAAACAGAATGGTCAGGGAAGACATTTTCAAGATCTTAACAAAGGGAAAGGAACTGCAAAGACCCTAAAAGAGAGTCAGTATGCCTAAAATATGATAATAAGGTACATAATGGTAGAAGGAAAAATAGGAGACAGGTTTCAGATCACAGAGAATCTTGCCAAACCATGGTGATACTGCAATATAATAAAAAATACATATTTTGGTTTTCATCCCTGTTTTCTGGCACACAGCTCCTATAAGCTTTGTAATCTCAGAAGTCGTAAGTGTCTTTTTGTATGCTGATGAGATGACTGATGCCTGGAGGCTCCTGTACAGCTTCAGAATGGGGGCTGGTTGCCAGTCAATCAACCGTGTGATTACAGAGTTGGAACTTTTAGCCCCATCCCCTATCCTAGGAGAAGGGAGAGGGGCTGAAGTTTGAGTTAAAAATGACCAATAATTTGATCAATCATGCCTACATAATGTAACCCTTATAAAAACAAAAGAAAGGGGCTCACAGAGCTTTGGGTCAGTGAACATGTGGAGGTGCTGGTGATAACAGCGGTGGTCTATCTGGAGTGGCTGCTGTGAAGACACCAGCTGCAGCTGGGGAGGTATGGCTGGAGGAAGCATGGCCAGCGCTACACCCTCCATAGGGCCAGCAGGAGCCAGGTACAGGTGGGAGCCCCACACACTTCTGAGTTGGCAGGGTGGGAGCCTTGCCCTCTTGGGTGCGGCTGCAGCCACCCAGCTGTGGCTCCAGACCTGGGCAACCCTGCCTTCTCAGGGGCCTGGGAAACCCCCCACTGCCCCTGCAGTCTCAGAAGTGCCTGCTCCCACTACCTGGTCTCTCCCCACCCAGGCACCTGCTCTGATTTTGGAGCAAAGTTGTGCCTGAGCCCAGGTGCTGTCGCAACCTGGCTGGGTGTGCACACATTTGCAGCAGTGCTGACAGGCCAGCTGTCTCTCACCTTGTGCCCCTCTGGACTTTGGGTACCGATGAACAACAGTGGAAAGCAGGGGGTGCTGAGGGGTGCTCAGCATGGGCCTGCAGGCACTCTTGGCACAAATAGCCTGGGCACTGTAGATTACCTGATCAATGGCAGCAATACGCAGACAGCCTCAAGCATGGAAAGGGGCGGGTCCCCAGTGAAGCCCCACCTTCAAGCCAGGGACTTCCTGAAGCATGAGGGCTGGACTGTCAGTTCCAGGTGGAGTCCCTGGAGTTAGAACTTACAGTGCTTTTTCTGGACCTGCCCACAGCCACCTATAGACCAATCAGCACACACTTACTCCCTTCTGAAGCCCATACAAACTCTGGACTCAGCCAGACTCAGAGACATCAGGACAACCAGCTGTGGAAAGGAGCTACCCAATTTGGGTCTTCACCACTAGTTGGGACGACCTGCCTACAGAAAGAAGCTACCCACTCCAGGTCTCCTTTCTGCTGAGAGCTGGACACTCATTAGGACGACCTGCCTGTGGAAAGCTGCTAACCACTATGGGTCTCTCGAGTACTGTTCTGTCACACAGTGAAGCTCCTTTCTACCTTGCTCTCCCTCCAGTAGCCTGCGTACCTCATTCTTCCTGGACATGGGACAAGAACTCAGGACCCACCAAATGGTGGGAATGAAAGAGCAGTAACAAAAATAGGGCTGAAACAGAATCCTCCTACTGCTCGCCAGGTTGTGGGAGACATGAAGGAGAGGAGAGCTGTGGCCCTTCAGGGAGGCCAGACCTAGGGGTTACCTGATCCAGGGCTGTCACATCCTCTTTGGGGCTCTGTGGCTCCTGACATTTCCAAGCTTCCGGGCACCATCACATTCCCCTCATCCACGTGTGGGTGCATACAGCAGATGCCGCATGTGGTACATCTGATCCAGCTGCAGCCTCACATGGAGCCGGGACCTGTACCAGTGCCTGGAGCTGCCCACCCTGCTGCAGCAGCAAGCATCCCTGGCTGTGTGCAATGGGTGGACCCCACACTCACTCACTCACACACCTCTTGCCACTCTGCAACTGGCTTGCCCTGGGCAGGTATGGGATCCAGACTGGTGGTGCGAGCCGAGAACAGCCTGCTGGGCCGAGTGGGCAGAATGAGCCCAGGTGGCATGGGCAATACTCAGGCAGAAGGCGTTGTTGAACACAGAGGTTTCCGGCTGGTGAAGTGACACCTCAAGGATCACGTGACACTGGGATGGTGGCACAACCAAGACAGGACATGGAAGCTCCGTGTCTTTTTTCCCCATACCTTGCTCTATGCATCTCCTCCAATTGGTTGTTCCTATGTTGCATTCCTTTATTTAAAAAAAACTGGGAATCTAATAAATAAACTGTTTTCCTGAGTTCTCTGAGCCATTCCAGCAAATGATTGAACCTAAGGAGGGTGCTCTTGCAACATCTGATTTATAGATAGTTGTTCAGAGACACAAGAGACAGCCTGGACTTGTGTTTGGCATCTGACTCGGGGGAAGTCTTGTGGGACTGAGCCCATAACCCCCAGGATGTGATGCTACATCCAGGTAGATCGTGTCAGAATTAAGTTGCAGAACACCTAGTTGGTGTCCTCAGAGAACTGGAGAATTACTTGGGGTGGGAAAACCCCACACATCTGGTATTAGAAGTGAAGTACTGAGATTGGTATGAATATAAAGAAGAAACAATATTTGTTTATTTTGTTCAACAATGATAATGTTTGCATTTATTCAAATTACAGTATGAAGTCTTTACAGGGAAATAGTTATGTAGCATCATTGTCTTAAAATCATAGGAAAACAATCACATCATACTTTCTATTTTTTAATGACTATTATTTGTTCACCTATGTTTAACTTCTCAAAATGTACAACTAATAAAACATTAGTTCATCGTATGTTTTCATAACAGAAATATTCAGTAAGAAGTACAGATTTTCAAAAAAACAGCACTTTTCAGTTGTGAAATTCAAAACCATAAAGTGGAGGGAGGGATGGCTGCCCCAGGTATCATTTTTAGCTATTCACCTTCAAATCCCACTTACACTTTGGAACTTTTACCTAAGAATCAGTCATTTATTTCCAACGGATTGCCATGAATTTAGAACTGGACTATGTGAATTTAGAACTGGACTATGTGAATTTAGAACTGGACATGGAGTTTTATATTTTTCCTCAAAATAACTGTCTTTCTTCCCAGGAACCACAAAATAAATTTGGAATACAGTGACTGCTAAAGAATAAGAATATAATCTCTACAAAAACACGTCAAATAATTACTCAAACAAAAACTCTCTCCATTTACATAATTTCTTAAATAGAAGGAATATGTAACATACAAACTGAAAATAAATGAAAAATAAAAGTGTTACAAACTTAAGCAAATGGTATTATGTCTTCAACATACCTATGAAGCTTAATAAAAATATTTAAAATCATTCTTTGAAAAAGGATTCCTAGTGCCAAAAAATAAAAAGTAGAACACATTTCAAACACAGGCATATTCTAACAAAATAACAGAAGGTATTGTCAGGCAGGGAATAAAGGCATGCTAATTTTATCTGCTTAAATGAAGGGACTCAATGGAGCCTGACTCTATTTATTGACTCTGATACTTATTGACAATTATAAAAAACAATTCAATTATGTTTAAAATTTAATATTAAGTACTTACAGAATTAAAATATAGTGTATGACATTAATCAGGAGAAAAACTTAAAATTTCAGCAAAAACAACAAAAGAAAGAAATACTATATACATTGTAGGGGTGGGCTGCGAGCTAATACAGCATTTGAATGCAAGTCCAAATATGTAAATTAAAAATAAGGTTAAACTTTTCTATTAAAGGAAAAGATTCTCAGAATCAAAAATAACCAAATAAAGCTTACTCTGTCATACACAAGCTATATCTCTATATCAAATGCCAGAATTTAAAAATAAAAGGATGGGCTATGTGAATGCAAAGCACATGATTGTTTTATATTCATAAATGGTGAAACCCACAAAGAACATACAATAATAGGAAACTAAGGTGAAAATATAGCATTTAAAATATTAAAATATTCAATGTTAATGAAAATTGTTATACCCCTCTAACGAACAAGAGAAAATATCACTTCTTTTTTTTTGAGACGGAGTCTCGCTCTATCACCCAGGCTGGAGTGCAGTGGCGTGATCTTGGCTCACTGCAAGCTCCGCCTCCCGGGTTCATGCCATTCTCCTGCCTCAGCCTCCCTAGTACCTCCAACTATAGGCGCCTGCCACCACGGCCGGCTAACTTTTTGTATTTTTAGTAGAGACGGGGTTTCACCGTGTTAGCCAGGATGGTCTCAATCTCCTGACCTCGTGATCCACCCACCTCGGCTTCCAAAAGTGCTGGGATTGCAGGCTGCACAAATACCACTTCTATTTAAAAACATTTAAGAAACTTTTAGTGACTATTTTCCAAAAATGTCATATTGAGTGAAGTGAAGTAAATTCAGTTCATCTTTTAAGAGGATGTGAAAGTGTTACTTTAGAGTATTCAGGAAGTTGGACTGTGAAATGCAATTATATTTTATGTTATTAGGGCAACAGATGTATTAGTTTTCTTTTATGCGTATCTAGCATGAAAATATCAAGCACAATTATTATATACAATAATGCTTAATTTGATATGAATCAGTGCTATTGCATCACACTTATAAAGGAAAGATTATGTTGTATAATTAAGTATAAGCAGAATCTCCCTCTGCATGGCACCATTAACCAGCATCTTGAGTATTACACTTGTTTTAGAGAAGCTCAAATAAAGAACAAAGGTTTTCAGAGGAAAACAATGAAGAAAGGTTTCGGGATTTTTTTCTGTGTATTATAAGGAGATTAGGAGTCATATGTCTCCAAACATTTGAAATTGGATCAATTTAAGCTTGTCTGAGTTGTAAGTAATGACTGAAATCTAAATATTAGAAAGAAAATCTGTATATATCCTAAGGAAATACTCTTAAATACGTGAAATGATAGTGATTACAATTACACCAATTGAGGCATTGGTTATGATAGCAAAAAACAAAACAAACAAAAAAAGCCCTGTATAAAAATTTAATGATTAGCTCTAGAGCATTAGATAACCAAATTACCATATTATTGTGATACTGAAGTCACTTAAATAATGTGTAGTATAATACAAGATTATGCAAAACATTTGCATATTATTTTAAATGAACAAAGTTACAAACTAGGAATATACACTACAATCTCATTTTTAAATAAAAATATAGACATATAGAATAAGATTAAATGAACACACTTCAAAATGTTATTGACTTATTTCTAGGTGGTAGGATTTCAAGTGATTCTATTTGCTTTTGTTCTATGTATATGTATTTCCTGAATTCTGTACACTAAAAATCCTTTAGTAGTTAACTCTTACTGAGTTCTTACTCTATATATGGCATTGTTCTAAGCAAGTGCTTTATATGTCTTAATTTGTAAACACTTCAACAGCCCTGTAAAAGAGCCATTTCTACATTCATTTTTTTTTTTTTCGCCAGCTGAGAAAACGGAAGCCCGGAGCTTAAATGACTTGCCTAGGTTTCCTGAGTAGAAACTGACAGAGCCTAGATGTGAACCTTAGAAGTTTGGCACCAGAACCAGCACACTCCAAGCACTCCACAAATAAGAACTGTATTATCTTTCATAATTTTCAAAGAACCTTAATAATAATGATAAAAATAAAGGAAGATATTTGATTAATTTTAAGTTTGCCACACTTGCCATTCATCACAAAGATCAGTTCTATCTTTATTTCTACAAATTTACAAATTTTATTTCTACAAAATTACAGGAAACAATACTGGCCAATATTCCTCAGCAGTGTTTGAATAGAGCTTTTCCTGAAGACATGAGTGTCTTCTAAACTTTTAATTTTGTGACTTTAACAAAAACAAAATATCACATGTTGTTGTTGTCCTCAGGAGCACTAAGAAATTTCCTGCCTGAGAAGTAAATGACTGAGGGGAAAAAATTATAGACCATTATGGCATGCTAATAATCCAAATTAGATAAACAAACACAAGCAATGGAAAGGAAGAAAGAGCAAATGCATTCAGCAGAGAATGGTGATAAAAAATAATGGACAGCTCATTCTCCACAGCTAAAATTGCACAAGCTGAGCTGTCTAAGGGAAATGAGTCATCTGTTTCTCAAGTTATAAGGGAATCTTACAGAATATTTTGAGTTTGAATAGCTAACACCGCAGGCAATTGAAATAGGTCTCCAAATATCTGATTAAAGTCATGCATGATTACAGCTGGTATAGAATATTTTTGTACCTTTCTTGCAAATGGTAAAATGTAGGTTAAATCTCTAATTTTCTCTGTTACTTAACTTCTAAAGTAGGTATTAATTAAAGAAATAAATTAAGATATGCTTAACTAAATTCTTAGATATGAAAATGAAGTATGAAACTTTTTATTAGTACATTATTCACTTTTACAATGCTTCTTAATGAACTATTTGGTCCTTTGATTCAACAGTCCTTTTATCTCATATGAATTCTTTAAAACAAATGGATTTTCTGGAGTAGAATCCGGTTTTAAATATCTAAAATATCAGCCTCAGAATGCCAGAGTGACTGAATAGAAGGAAAAATGAGAAGAAGAAGAATATAAAGGGTGCTGTGCAATCATGACAGATAAAAACACAGGAGATCACAGTAAAAATAAAACTACCAATAGTGTCATCTATAGAATTCGGTCACCTATTTTTTCCAACTTAATTTGATCGAGCAAATTGCCTACAAAAAAACCATCCAGCAAGGTGATTTTTGTACTTCATTGCTTATAACTATAACTCCACCATCTGTTCTATAAATGATATATTAAAAATCAAATCAATGGTGATTTTTAAAACACATGTCCTTTTTAAGAATATGATATATTATCTCCCATGATTCCTTACCAATTTGCTACTTCACAGAAAAAAATGAATTGTCCTCTGGTTTCTTAAATTGTCTATGTAATAAAACACAGTAACACATACTATGAAAAGCTGAGGGTAAAACAGAACTTTAGGATCTTTCATAAGTTAAATATGTCATAATATTTTGTCATTTCACAAAGCAATGATGCTCAAGGAGATATTATTTGAAGAACAGATAGCCATAATCTCTATTAATACAAAAATATATAGGGAAGGACATTTTCATTTAGACTTTTATACACTATGATAAGTTTCTAACAATTTATAATTTTGGAACATAAATTATCATTGTCTAATTACCATATATATATATATATATGTCACTTCTGTTGCCCTTTATTTAATACTCTTATTCAAATAAGTAAGTGGAAAGTATTGCTTATGATGAGGTCAGATTAGGATTCTCCTTATTTTTATGTTAGTGTAATATGTCACTTCATTCTTTATTCCTTTCACCAACTATATGTATTAAATCTCCTAGATGCACATAGTGCATGTAAGGTCAAGGTCAAATAAAGGTAAAACACATGAATGGCATACAGCATCACGGAAATTCAAGAAAATATAGTTATAATTTAAATATGCAGGTGCATTCGGACCTCCCCTATGTAGTCTTTTCAAATCTCTACATAATCATAACATTTTACAGAAAGTTTCTGTCCCGAAGTCCAAATATGATATTTAACCCTAGTCCTCCAAACTCAGCAAATACCAGGCCAACTTTTGAAATTTCTACCTTGGCTAATGGTGACAGTAGCAAAGAAAAAAAAAAAAAGAAACTGGGCTCTAGGCTCTAAACAAATATATGTGAAAGTTTTCTATCAATTATAATGCACTATACATGAGGATTTTCTGTCTACATTTGTCTACATGTTTGTGTTTGTGTTTAATTCAGGAAAACCAGGACTGTAAAAAAGAAAATGCTTAAAGCTTGCATCTTTGAACCAGGCAGAAAGTGCAGCAAACCAACATGACACATGTATACCTATGTATCAAACCTGCATGTTGTGCACATGTACCCTAGAGTTTAAAGTATAGAAAAAAAAAAAGACATACCAGAGACTGTGCAATTTACAAAAAAAAAAAAAAAGAAAGAAAGAAAAAGAAAGTGCAGCTACCTGATGCCTGAAGGAAACCAAATGAAAGAATGTGGAAATTAAGCCATTCAAGCATTCAAGGACCAGCACTAGGAAATTTCAAGTAGCTATTACCTAGATTTAAAAAATCAGAAATCCTTACATTAAAAACTAATCATTTGAATTCTGTTTTAATTTACTTTCTATTTTCTCTTAGGTGGGATAATCATACCTGATTAGTGCTATTATAACATAACAGTGCTTATTATGTGCCAGACCTAAGGAGTCACATACATAAGAGTTATTATTTACTGTTATTACTAATATTAGTATATATTACTTTCATCCTCATTTTATAAATGAGGAAACTGAGGACTAGACAGTTGAAGTAACCTCCTCAACATCACAGAGCTGGTAGTTTTCCAAAATTCAGTTTTCCCATCTTTAAACTGAAGAATAAAACATAATAACATGGAATCTATTACAGTAATTCTTATTGTATTAATGATGATGTTATCCAAATTGTACAAGTGGAGTGTAGCCATTGAGCAATGAACACTGCATTTTTATCAGTGATTTCCATTGTTAAACTGCTTTGTATAATGCCAACTATTTTTCGTCTTACTCAAATTCAACTGATCTGATGCTCATATAGCAACTTTCTGAATACAATTTGACTCCCAATAGATTTTCTTCTTCAAGGATGATGATTTCTCAGGTTAAATCAACAACATATTTATAATGATGATGTGTTACCCCATGAAGCTGAAACACAGGCAAAAAATGATGTTCGTCACAATTCAAATACTCATACACATTTTCCTCATTATAATTTAGTAAGCTGGCACACTGGAAGCTACTTTAGCAAGACTTATTCAGATGTATTTCCCTCAGGGATACTTCACCAATTTATTATTGAAAATCAATTGGCTGTCAATATCCAAACCCCTTTGTATCATGACATCACTTCTAGGCAGAAGTCTCCCCTGATACCCAGGGAGCCCATTCTGAGTAATGGTTGCACAGAAGGGCATCCTAGCACTTGGGCATGTGTCAAGTTGTTTCTCTTGTTTTACTGTAGCATTCTGTAGGTCTCCCTCCTGCACTAAACATTATGAGGGCAGGAACTGTCCTCTATGTATAAATGTCTGTTGCATAACCCAGTGCTTGTTCTATCATAGTTTATTATATGGTAATATCAGTTTCCTGAATTAACGCTCAATATCAATGTACTGAATTAATTATTGATTTATATTTAAATCAATCCTTCAGAAACTTCTATGCTGTTAGTTCAGTTATGCACAGTCTTAAGCATATCTTCATTCAATAAACTCTCTGGGTATTGTCATACTAAGTTTCTGAAGCAGGTGAACTGCTCTGATAAAAACAATTAAGCTTGTGTTGCCAAATGTGGGCTTACTTGATAAACATCAGTCTTTATGATATTGCTGAGCACAACCTTAAGGCTGATTTTGTTCCTAACCAAGTGTGATACATATTACACTACATGTGGCCTAGAGTCTATAACTAGAATATTACCCAAATGAAGATTTTCAGTAAATCTATTAAACCATATGAATAAATTAACAGCTACAGTTTATTTAAAATTTAGTATTTTCCAAAATGTTTTACACATCATCTTCAATTATCTTCAGACTAACACTTTTACTAGGAAGTAGACATGAAGGACATGATCAGATAACAAGAGATCATCAGATAATGCACAGAAGTCAAGTGACTTGTCTAAGATTGCGTAGTTAACATAAATAGTGTTCTCCCACTTTCCAGTATTGTTTTGCTTTACAAAACTATACTCAGACAATTAAAAGAAAATGTTATAATAAACCAGTCCATGTGGAGGCAAATCTGTCTCATCCTTGCAAAAAATACTTATGGCCAAAAAAGAATCTCATATAAGAAAAAAAATGAAAAGACATTTCTTATAGGAACAGAATTAAAATATTGCTTTGTCTCATCTTCCTGTCTGTTGCTCACACATTTGACTGCTGATTATATTGTTAACTCTTCAGAATAAAAAGGAAATACCAATTCACCATTTCTATTATCCAGAAAATATATACATAAAAAGAAAACATTCATATTATTTAATTGTTTGCCTTTTTTTCTTGATTTTTCAAGCCTCTATGCAAATAAATTTTGGAGCAAAGACAGAGATGTGCAAGATTCTCTGATAAATTTAGAAACACAAGAGATTTCTGCAAAGGAATTCATGAAAATATCTGTATTTGCAGATTTTTTTACAGATGTTGAGACTTTAATAAGCAGCATCTTTAATATCATACATCAATTTCCAAAAGTTTATTTAGCTTACTGCATATTCTCAATCTGATACTCAATAGTAGCTAAAAATAACATATAATACATTTATGTAATACATGGTTATAGTTCAAAGAGCCATCCACTACACTGGGAAGAAGCTCAGGTGCCCCAACACTCCTACCATGGGAGCAGAGAGAGTTCTATTCAGTATCAAATGCCCCCAGTTTAAGATTCTGAACACTAGCATGTAGAAAGGCTTTTGTGTCAGAAAACATTTTATCACATTCAGGAAGAGTTTAAAATCAACTTAGATAGCACATTGCTGATACGTGAAAAGTTTGAAAATTCTACTGAATACTTCTCTTCCTTAGTTTTGAAAGCTGGTATTAGTGAAGTAAGTTGAAACTCTTGGTTCAGCCTTCCAAACCACTCCCATACCCCCTGCTTATGTACATTCAAGACCAGCCAAATACAAACAAAAGAGGGTACAGGGTCAGGAGATTCTTGTGCCCATCATGAGCAGGGTGAGATGTCCATGGCCACAGAACGAAAAGTTTATTAAGAGAAGGAGGAGCACTGGCCAAGCCTAGGAGATGCAAATCCAACGCAGTTTATGCTTCCCAACAGAGAACCCATGAATGCTTTATGGGTATGACAAGACCTTGATCCCATCAGCTAAGCCCATCACCTCAGCCTCCTGCATATCTCAGGGGCCAGGTGATTCTATTATAGTCTCTGAGTGTCAGGATGTGAAGGAGGTGGGAAAGCTGTGTTCTACTGTTTGCTTCCCCTTCCCAACCTCCACTGAGGTCTGTCCTCATTGCCAGGCACTTGTTCGGTTCAGAGAAGAATTGTATACGTGTGTTCTCGAAAGTTCATAGTGGTAGGCAGGCTTCTGGCGACCTGAGATAGCTCAGCAGTGGCCTCGGGAGTCACAGAGAACGTGTTGTTGGCCATGGTGCTCTGTGTCAAGCTGGTCCTGGAACTGCTATGACAGGTGACGGTAGTGCTGCCAGAGGCCCTAAGCCCAGGCACAGGTCCCTGCAGATTTCTGGATGCAAGTAGGGACAAAGAACAGACTACTGGAGTTTTTGTCACTTTAGAAGAAAAAACATATTTATGAGATTTGTCTCATTCAAAAAAAAATGGCCTTAAATCAACTTTGGTAGAAGACAAACTTAAGAACAAATTATTAGAAATTCACAAACTGGAAATCTTTAATAAAGCACTAGAAAGCCCCAACTCTTTACTTGGGCTTATATTAAAGACTCTCAGAAAAGGACCAAAAAAAATCTAAATGTTTAGAACAATTTAGGTTGGTAGCTTAAAGACAGAATGTTTCAGTTTTTAGGAGATTCATCGAAACACAATTCACGTAGCTGCAACCAAAACAGCCTTCGAAATACATCAGAACAATGAAGAACAACTTCAGACAGCATTGAAAGACACTTCGGATAAAAATTCCAATCTTCAGGGAAACACAGAGCTGCTTTCACAAGAAGCTGAAGAGTGGAAAAGGGAAGAGGGAGCAAACATACTAAGCAGAATAAAATGCTAGAAAATTCTAAAATGTGTAGGAAACAAGTTCTAAAATATGACAAGTCTGATCAAGCTTCTGTGTGAACACAAGTTAAAGGTGAGAGACTGGGCTACTGTTCTTGGAGACGACGACATGGATGCTAAGAACTTGGATATAAAAATGCAACAGAAACGGAGACATCTTAGAAGATGAATCAAAATTTTGAAGAATCTTACTAATGGAGCTGAGTTATTTAGAAAATCTTGATTCAAAAAACATGAATGCTCACTAAATTAACTGAAAGAGGGGAGGTCATATTAAAAGTCTGCAAACTGGGAAAGCTTCACCGCACTCAGAAACAAACTAACAGGAAAACGCACACAGAAAGGAGAGGCAAAATTGCTGGTGGAAATTTCAAGTCCTTCTTGAACTGAATCAAAGAAATGAAATATATTTTCACAAAATATCCTATTTAGACTGTGTTTACCCCATAAAGATAGAGGAGAATCTTCCCAAGGGAGGTGAAAAGATCAGTCATGCATGTGAAGAGATGGACACCTATAAAATATAAGCCTAAAAGTTTTTAGAAAAAAAAAGGTCATTGGCCTATTATCAAAGCCAGATTATTTTCAATGAGCAAAATACTCAAATAACAGGTTGACAGTTCTGTTGTGTGAGTGAAACCTTAATCATGTAAGAAAACAAAATGCCTGCACATAAGACAAATTATTAACAATTTACATGTTTCAAAAAATATCCTAATATCCTTGATATTCCAAGTGAAACATTTAGCAGAGACTTCTGAGGACCACCAGGGCACACTCTGGCTAACCAGATCTCTGATGAAGGAGGAGTATCAAGTTGTGAAGGTGTGCAAATGCAAGGCCTCATGCGTGATATGGACCGGATGCCACCCACTACCCAGCCCAGGCTCAGGACTGCATAAGCAGGGTCCTTCCAACAGACCACTCCCTCCTGACATAGGAGGTCCTCCATAAGCGCAAAACTGAGTTTCTCCTGGTATCTCTGGCATTGGCAGATGCTGCAGACCTCCTTTGGGCTCAACTCTCCCACTGATGTGGAGTTTCTGGTTCAGGTTCTGGTGCTCTGAATCTATCCTATCATTCATTCTGTTAAACGGCAGCTATTACAAAGGGATCCCCAGTAGCAGGTACTGAGAAGAGGATCCTCTCCCCAACCTCCTATTCTATAAAGATGAACCTCTCCAAGAACCCTATTTCCCAGAAACTTGCCTTGCCCAGTACATCTTCCCCTGACAACAAGAAGGGTCTCAATACCAGCACTGGATTTTGTCTTCAGACCCCATAGCCTGAAAAATAGAAGTGAGTCAATTTCCTAGCTATCATGGAGTATATGTCTTAAAAGACATACACTGAAAATAGCCTAAACATAGAAGTGAGTCAATTTCCTAGCTATCATGGAGTATATATCTTCCTCCATGTTTCCTGGCATACAACTCCTAAAATCCTTGGAATCTCCAAAGTGCTTTCTTTTTGTATATTAATGTTGACTGATAGCATCAGGATAAGGCTGGTTACCAAAAAGACCAAGCCATGATTAAAGGATTGGAACTTTGAGCCCCATCCCCCAACTTCCAAGGATGGGAAAAGGAGCTGAAGGACAAGCTGATTACCAATGGCCATGGTTTAATCAGTCACGCCTATGTAATGAAGCCTCCATAAAAACCCAAAACGAGAGGATTCAGAGAGCTTCTACATAGCTGACCACATACAGTTTCATGGAGGGTGGTGTTCCCGAGGGCATGGAAGCTCCACACCCCTTCTTCCGTAGCTCACCCTATGCATCTCTTCATCTGTATCCTTTGTAATATCATTTACAAGAAACAGGCAAGTGTAAACAAGTGTTTCTCTGAGTCCTGTGAGCTGCTTCAACAAATTAGTCAAACCCAAAGAGGTGGTCATGGGAATCTCAATTTGAAGCTAGCTGGTCTGAAGTTCTGGAGACCCGACTTGATACTAGTGTCTGAAAGGGGTGCAGTCTCGAGGCCTGAGCCTTCAGCTTGTGCAATCTAACACTATCTCCAGGTAAATAATGTTAGTCTGACTAGGAAGAGACTCAACTGGTGTCTACTGCTTGGTGTATGGGGCTTCTTGGTCAAACAAGTCTTCTGTGTGAATGATTGCTGTGTTGTATGAGAGCAGAGGAAAAACAAATGTTGGTTTGGGAGTTTTTCTGAAACATAAGTTGATCCTCTTCCAATGAGTCTGTTTCTAAAGATTCAGAATTATAGCAAAATGCTTTTCTCGTCTCTTTACTTAAGGAATTTTAACTTCTTCCCTTTTATTTCTTCTGCTATTAAGTGATTATACAGTGGCTCAAATGGAAGCTTGATAGGACTGGAATCTGTAAGATAATATTTTATAACTTTAGATTATTATTTATATATGAAGTGCATAACTAAATTGCTTCAATCTTATTTGATTTGTAGGCCACGAATTCAAGTGTTTTTGTTAAGTCTGCTAAAATAATCCAGAAACACAACAAGTGTCTTCAAAATTATGATTTTTTGTTTTATTGTGTTATGGCTATTTAAGTAATTAGGAAACCTTGATAGGATTACAATTCTAGGATAGTGTTTTAATAAATGCAGCTTATTTAAAAGTGAATTTCATGAATAAATTGCTTCCTTTCTTCTACTTCCAGATATTATAAAGATAGTACATCTGTTTTTCCTGTTTGACTAGTCCCATTAACATTGGCTGTAATCAGAATTTTGTCAGGGAAATCTTCAGTTAAGATGCTTGAAACTCAAACTTTATTTCTGTATACCAAAGACTAAATTTAATCAAGTTATGATACTAATATATTTACCAAAATAAACTGGTTTAAAAAAAATGAAACTACGTAAACATACAAGCCTTTGGGGAAAAAATAGGCATTACTACCTAGTACTTCATTCAATTAAGTATTATCAAATCTTTGCTACTGTCAAAACAATTTTAATAGTAGTCATAATATATGCTTAATGAATATATACATGAAATCTTTAATCCCAAATGCAGAATGTGTTTGACAAATATTATGTAGCAGTAGTACTTAATTTTGATTCAGCATAACATGTCATGTTACAGTTCTATGAATTTACAATTCATAGAACTTAATTTAACTACTACTTAATTTTACTCGGTTTTCAAATTTTTACTCAACTTTTTCTCCTCTGTTATTTCTAGTGGTAATTTTTGATAATTTCCCTCCTTTTTGAATCATTTCCTTCTTTGTTCTTAAAAATAAGTGATTTTTCTGTGTTATGTTTTATTCTTCAGCTTTAAGATTTCTGTCTGTTTGCCTATTACACAAATAACTCTAAGCAATACTCTTTTTAAATATAAAATATGTAAGCTTAAAAAAAAGAATCTCTATGGTATGATTGTGTTGTCTAGCAACACCATTCACCACCCTTTTCAATAAAGAGCAGCGTATGGCAGATGCATCTGAAAGCAATAACTAATATTTATTTGGAGTTCTGAGCTAAGGAATCCAGGAATGATCAACCTGGAGATTCATTCCTTATCTATAAAGAACATCTGAACCTGGCCCCTCATGGGGAACATGGGCTGTACAGGGGATCAAGGCCCTTTGTTTCGGGTTAAAAGTTGTCAGATGGAGGATGCTAAGGGGAGAACGCTAAGTGAAAATGCTATATAAACTGCATGTTTTTTACAAGCGGTAGCAGTTCTCCTGTACAGCCCACCACCACTGGACCACCCTATATGTAAGTTCTCTTGGTAAACCCTATGTGTCCTTCACTAGCTCCAGGTCTCTTCTTTGGTCTCTTGAACATGGTGCTATCACTACTGAAGTCAACAGGCTCCAGCAAGACAAGCAACGACAAGGATTCCTTTCTCTAAGTCTCTTTAGTATACTAGTATGCAAAACCTTTCTTTTACTCATTATTTAATAATAGTAAAAATAAAAATAAATACTCACGTATTTACTCATTATAAATGTAAACAAAGATATAAATGACAAAGATATGTTCCACTATGAATATAAATATTTGTAACAATTTAATAATTTTTCCTCAGATTTTCATAAATATGGGAGATAGAAATTCTAAATATTAGGCTGGGTGTGGTGGCTCATTATGAATATAAATATTTGTAACCATTTGATATTTTTCCATATTTTTCTCTGATAGATCAAACGAGATACCTCAGATTTTCATAAGTATGGGAGATAAAAATTCTAAATATTAGGCTGGGTGCGGTGGCTCACGGCTATAATCCCAGCACTTTGGGAGGCCAAGGCAGGCCGATCACTTGAGTCCAAGAGTTTGAGAACAGTCTGGGCAGCATAACGAAACCCTGTCTCTACTAAAAATACAAAAATTAGCTGGGTGTGGTGATGCACTCCTATAGTCCCAGCTACCCCAGAGGCTGAGATGGGAGGATCACTTGAGCCCAAGAACAAGACCCTGTCTCTACACAGATAAATAAAATTCTAAACATTTTTTGAGATCACATTTAAACATATCTTACTTACTACGGGAAAACAATTACAAAGAGATGCAAACCATATTTGTACTAAAAAGTATAAAAGAGAAAAACATAAAATTAGCTTACTGTGGGACATAAGGTATTAAGGTATTATGAAATTTTCTAAAACAAATGAAATAAAACATATCTATAGTGGAAACCAACACATAGCAGAGAATTATGCACAAAGTAAAAAATTAAATACACAAATTCCAGTAAATATGAGGCACCTGAGTACTGGACAAATCTTTAAGTTAAAAATAAAATATAACCAGTGACATTCTCAGTGCACAACGACATTCCATACAAATGACAAACCAGAAACTGAAATTTGCAACTGAAATAATAGATACAAAGTCAGTTAACAGAAAATGGCTAAAACTATTTCTAACCTAAAATACTGAAAACAAAAGCCATATAAAAACAACTCTAGTAATTAAAAAAATCACATTATATGAAACATTGGAAAGCATTACTCTAAAGATATTTAATACACAAAGAAAATGTTTTGTCCTCTCAAACGATAAAAAGCTACAGGGTAAAAAAAAAGGAGGGACTTAAAAAAGAGATCAGGACAACATTTTTTAAGGTTTATATATCTTTTGAGATAAAATCTAGCTAAATAAGATGAGGATGGGATGAGAGAAAGGCACTTATAGAAAACTAAAATGCAATAATAGAAACATAAATCCTTTGTAAGCATTAGAAAATAGAACTGACGTTACAGACAGAAAGACAATTTACTAGTATCACAGATCAATTTGAGATCATTTCTCAAAATACACCGCAAAAAATAGACATAAAATAAATTAAGGGAAAATGATAACTATTTTGTACTAGTAAAAGAAATTCAATACATGGATAGTGGATATCTTAAAAGAATAAAACATAACAAATGATGCAGAAACAGTAAGCTGAGTATAGCAAAAGAAGATGCTCCTTAACTCAGGAAGAAAAAAAGACTTTGTATCATTGTAAAGACTTACCAAGTTTTACACAAAAGTAGTGGGAAAATGTCATTTTGAGATATAACTTCAATGAATTTTAAACAAAAAAAAATAACTGTAAAATAAAAGGGTGATAAATTCAACCAAATTAAAAATAAGAACATTTATTCATCAAAATTTAAAAAGAGTGAAAAGATATGCCACAAACTGAGGGAAGATATTTGCAACACATAAAGGTAAAAATTATATAATTTGTTATATAAAGTGCTCTTCAATATCAATAATAAAAAGACAATATAACAACAAAAAAATGGACATAAGACATGGAGTTATGGCACACAAGAGAAACATGCAAAGCCCTAAGCATAAAACGATGTTCAAACTCATTAGATTCATCCCTTACTAGTAATTTGGGAAAAGTCAAATTATGAATGTATTGAGATATAATTTTACACCCCAACGTGAACCAAAATTTAGAGGATGACAATACTAATTGTTGGAGACAATGCGGAAAGGGATTAAGATTATTTCTAAAATGTTGCTGTGGAAGTATAAATAGCATAAACAATTTGACATTCTGCTACAATGTTCTACATTTGCAGCCTCTATGACCCCCTACACTCTAAAGACTCTTTTCCACATATGTACCAGGAGAAATGTATAAATGTAAATAAAACAAAGATGTCATAAAGTAAGAAATGCAAAACAATGAAAATATTCATGAATAGAAGTGTAGATCCTAAAATCCTTACTATTATTTAATCACTGACTTAGAAAATTAGAACAATCTCAGTTTAAACATAGTTAATAAGGTCTTAAAGATAACCACTATTATTTTTTAAAGGGGAATTTTCCTCCTAAATCACTACAGAAGACAATAAAATATACCAGAGTATATGTACGATAAAACAGAAAACAGTAAAAAGATTTAAAAACAAACTCATAAAAGCATTTAACACTTGATAGAAACAAATTTATCATTTATTACTATGAGTTTAAATGGTTTCCAGTCATCAATAATAGACTACATTTTTCACCTGGAATTATATTTAAATTCAAACATACACTAAGGAGAAACAAGCCAGACACAAGCTGAGAAATCCAATTAAAGAGAAAAGCATAGAGAAAAAATATATTAAATAAGCAAAAAGAAAAGCCACAATAATATACTACCCAAGTATGACAAAAGATACCTCTTTGGAGACTATCCAACCTAAATTCCCTGACCAGTCAACAACTCTTACTTCTCCCTATTTTATATTCACCAGTATCTAAAATTTTGTCTATTTGTTTATTTCTTTATTGTTCATCTTCCTTATCTACACTGTGCACACTGTGTGATATGACTTGTTCAAACAGAGACCTGACAGTATTGTTTAAACAATGTAACTCAAAAACTCAAATTAATTGGTATATGTCAAACATAATATCCCACAGTTAGGGGATATACTTTACTCTCAATAAACATTAGAACATTAAAAAATAATGACCTAATATTATATCAAATTAAAAACATTTTATAGTCAATTCAAAAAAGGCAATTATTCTATACTTTCTCACTACCATGTAAGTGAATGAGAAAATGATAACAAATATAGCAACAGGAAAAACATGCCCATTTGGACAAAATCATCACATCAATCTCGAATATCTACTAGGCAAAACTGTAATACGAAAAATACTTTTCAAAAAATAAAATGAGAAAATGTTTATACCCAAGACCTATCCAAGCTGTAATCATTATTTTTTTAATCTTAGTGATATATTTTACTCAAGAAGTTATGACTGTTAAAGCAAGAAATGATAATAGTGAAATATAATAATAATGATATTAATCATTAGGATAAAATGTGATATGGTATGCATTGAGGGCATCCAGCAGAGGAACATGACCTAGGCCACAGATTCAGAGGTTACCCTCCCCTTTCTTTGATAAAGAAATGCCATATGATCATCAGAATATGAAAAAATTACACACACATAACAGCATTTATATCTATAAAGTAAAGGTCTGAAAAAGGGAAGGGAAACAGCAGTTACTATTTGGGAGATTATAAATTGGTAATGCCTTTCTAGAGAATAATTTGTCAGCATTCACTGTTTAAACCAACAATTCCACTTCTAGGAAGCTATATTAGAGAACCATGCAGATATATACATAAGAAGATATATACAGAGAGGTTTACGGTCACATGATTTGCAATGGTAAAGACTCAGAAGTAGTAAATGTCCTTAGAAAAAGATGATTAAATATATAATTACATATGTATATTATAGAATATTATGCATTCATTAAAATTAATGGAATAGATCAATATGTACTGCCCACAAATCAGTTAAATTCTGCCTTGTATGTAACAACTAGCAGAAGACTTTTCTAGAAGTCTTTATACGATGAACAATTCATTATAACGCTAAGTTACAATGTGATATATAATTATATATAATATTGGAGAGCAACCAATTTTAAAAAACCCTTCAAACTAGAATAAAAATAAAATAATTAATGCATGTAACACAGTAATATAGATCTGTCCAGAGGCAACTTATCTCTAGAGTCTTAATAAAGCATGAAGGTGACATTGGACTAAAGCTAATTTATATAAAACCCTGGAATACAGACCAGCCTAATTTGGCAAGAGCACTCACTGATTTCGTGTGAAAGGGAGATTCTAGAGTCAATAAATATTTTTAAGCACACAATAAAATGCCAGGAACTTAGTAGGTAAAGGAACTTATATCCTTGGGAAAAAAGACAAGTAAACGAGCAATATTAATACAATATAAGTAAGTTTTAAAACTGTATAATGTGATTATTTATAAGTGTCTGTTGTCTGTCTTTCCGTGACTAGAATGAGAGTCCCATGAAGCAAAACTTTTGGTCTGTTTTGTTATTTTCCAAATGTTAAGGCAGTGCTAGGCACTTAATAAGCCCTCAACAGAGATTGATTAATTGAAAGAAAAAAGGACAAAGAAAAGCAGAAGCGGGCAGAGTGGGCTATATTAGAGGGAGGCTCAGGGGGCTGGGGGCCTGGGAAAGATTCATTTTCCAGAAGGTATGAAATCTTAGTTGAAGCCTGAAGGTCAAGATTGGATTCAGTAAACATATTTGAATGGTGATTGTTTTCAGGCCTGAGTCAAAGAGATGACTCTAGGCCACTAAGGAGTGGAATTGATTTGGAAGAAAGGAAGTTACATCTGAAAGAAGTCTAGTAGGCATCTCTCTCTTTTTTCTCTCTCTCTCCCCTCCTCCCCCCACACCTCTGTAGATAATAAATCTTGATAAGAGAAAGCTTAAGACAGATGTTAGATAAAAACTGAGGCCAAGGAAGAGATGGGCAGAAGGAATACTGAATAGTGAGGATGGCGACTCGAGAAGCTGTTCTAAGAAGAAAAATACTTCGAGAAGGAAGGTATCCACAGTGCCAAATTATACGAAGTTCTGGTAAGGAAACACATGGAAATATGTTCACCAGATTTATTAATAGTAACAAAGAGGTCATTTGAAACTTTCATAACAGCAGTTTCACCGGTGCAGAGGAGGTGAAAGCCACATTATGGTGGCTTTAAGAGTAAGATATGAGAGCCTGGCATTTCTAGAGAATGGATAGTGTTTTTGAAGCCTGATTCTAGGTGAGGGCAAGAGATTTATTTAGCTGGTTATATCTGTGAATGCTTCTAGTTGTAATAACATACTTTCACTTTTTTTTTTGAAGTAACAAACCTAGGCTATGTGTTTGTAGAGGAGGAAATATTGCTGCAGAAGGAGAGGGAAAAAATGTCTACTGCCTTGTATGTGTCTGCTTCTTCCATAGGCTTTGGGACATTCTCACCAGGGGGTTTGAGAATCAAACAGTATAAGACAACTTACACAACAAGTTGGTCAGGTAAAGACTTGTCTGCCTATTATTTGGATTTTATAGGAAATTTAAAATAAACAGCTCTAACAAGCAGAGTAAGCTTGTTGACTGAACCATATGAGATGCATTTAATTTTTCTCACCACAGGTGTTCTCAAGCTTCTATATACTCTGTGCTTGTGGTTGTTCTAAGATAATATTTCTGAAAATATGGAAATATCTCTGGGGATATTTGAAAATAATTTATTTCAAAGAATATGGAATGTTAAGACCTAAAATCCATGATTTATTCAATACTGGGTATTCATTCATTTATGTGATGGAAAAGTTACCATAGACTTTCCATCTACATTTTCTTATTGCATCTTGTTCTGTTCCTTCAAGCCATCCTCCTTCACCCTCTGATTAACCACACAGTTCCATTCTTCTCACAATATATAGGCAGTAAATTTTTTTCTAAAAATAACAGTAAATGTGTGTGTTTAACAGTATAAGAGGTAGATCTCAAATGAGCGTAAAGATCAATAACAATTATGTGCCAATTATACTATGAATATGTAATTGGCAGAACTGTATGGGCAGACCATGAAGACTGAGCAACAGCAATTCTGATCGAACCATGCCCTAAATGTCTCTGCCTAAAACCCCAGGTTTTTAAAAGAAGCCTAATACAAACAAGTACCTAAATGAATTGAAAATATCAACACTGGCATATATTTGAAATTAATATATACAATACAACTTCTATTTTTTCATTATTCATTGAACTATTGAGCTATAAGTGGTTATATACACATAGGTGAAACAAAGAAGACTAAGACACAATTCCCTACCCTCTAGTAACTCAAATTATCTTTGAATTAAGAAGAGTTTACTATATTGTGAGGTTTTCTCTAATTTGATAATAGAAGAGATGGAAATGCATGCAGTTACATGGCCACAGACAGATAACTTCCTTACTTAGCATTGGGATAAATCCTCAAAAACTAATTCCAAAAGTATATCTAAAATAAACCTCTATTTTCCATTCATTCTCCTAACCACCTTGCCATAGACTTTGAAGTGGAAGACTTTCGGTTCAGTTGAGAGATGCCACAGGACGGCTCGTGCAGAGCAATTACTCATGTGGTGGCTAAGCATGGCTTCCACAAGACAGCTTCTTTACTGGCCTTCTGTTAATGAGTTAGAGGTATGACAACAGATACTGATGGATGTGTTTAAAGAAGCAAATGAATTTGAAAAACCAAACTTTAAATGTGAACTTCAATTTTTATATTGTGTGACTGTATTTTTTATATCATTGATTAGATTTGAGATAGTAGCATAGTTTAGTCTCTGGAATCTTTGTTTCATTCATTTAAGTAGCCACGAGGTGCCAGGTATTGTTGTAGACCCTGAAGTTACAGTTGTGAACAAAACTGACTAAGCTACTGCTCTCAGGAAACTTGAACCCTAGAGACGGAAAGAGGCATTAGGCAAAACAGTAAAGATAGAGATGATAATAAATTCTGTAGAGAAAATAAAATGTAGTCAGGAGTAATAAATAAAATGTGGTTAGGAGTAATAAGGAATGCTGGATGATGAATGTTACATATGATGTTGCGTGTTAGGAAAATTCACACTGAGTAGCTAGCATGTGATGAAAGTAAGGAAGTGCAGTATGTATATAAAACAACATAAAGAAAAGGTAGTGCAAATGCCTTGAGGCAGAAGGCCGCAGGAAGTGTTCATGAAAAATCAAGGAAGCCAGAAGACAGTGACTAGGAGCCTGGGAAAACAAGCAGCAGGAGATGAGGATAGGGGCTTGTAGGCTATAATAGGACCAGGTTTTATTCTGAGTGACACAGGAAGACAATGGAAAACATAATCTATTTTAGGTTTCAAAATAATAATACAGTTGCATTTTTTTTAATGTCTGAGGACAAGGGGAGAGGCAGAGACATCAGATAGGAGAATATTAGAGTTCAATACTGTCATTAGACATGGATAACAGAGGGTCACTTTAGAGAACCTCCATATCTCAAACATAAACACAATAAATTTATTAAACGAGTGCCTGCTTCTGTCAGTCTGATATTGGTATTAAGAGCTCACGTAGTTCTAAACTCTGTCCTAACTCTGGACCTCAGTTCTCATAACCAACCGTTCAGTCTGCAGTGAACACTCCTCTACATCTTCTGTCTTATGTACTCAAAAAAGGAAGAACCATATGAATAATTGTGGGTTATGCCACTGTTGATACGAGAAGAAAACTGCTTTGAAATGAAGGAAAGATTTGAGTTGTAGAAGCCTTTAGGTAAATGAAAAAGCAAAATTAACTACTCAACAAAACACTAACAAACCAAACTCAACAGCACATTAAAAGGACCATTCACCATAATCAAGCATTATTTACCCCCAGGATGCAAGGATGGTTCAACATACACAAATCAATAAGTGTGATATACCACATTAATAGAATAAAGGACAAAAACCATAGGATCATCTCAATTGATGCAGGAAAAAACATTGGACAAAACTGAATATCCTTTCATTATACAAATACTGTAATCATTAGGTGTAGAAAAAATGTACGTGAACACAATAAAAGCCATGTATCACAAGCTCACAACGAACATCATATTCAATGGTGAAGAGCTGAAAGCTTTTCCTCTAAGATCAGGAACGAGACAAGGATACCCACTTTTACCATTTCTATTTTACATAGTACTGAAAGTCTTAGCCAGAGCAATTAGGCAAGAGAAAGAAATAAAAGGCATCCAAAACGTAAAGGAAAAGGTTCAGTTGTGTGTTTGCAGGTGACATGGTCTTATGTATAGAAAACCCGAAAGCCAACACCAAAAATAGTTCAAACTAATAAACAAATTCTGTAAATTTACAAAATACAAAATCAACATACTAAATTCAGTAACATATCTACACATTAACAATAAACCACCCAAAAAAAAAAGAAATCAAGAAAACAATCCCATTTACAAGTAGCTAAAAAATATATAATTAAGAACAAATGTTTCCAAGGAGTTAAACTATTTATATCATGAAAACCATAAATCTTTGAAGAAAACAATTGAAGAAGAGAAACAAAAAGTGTAAAAGTTGTCAGAATCTAAATGGAGTCAACGGCATTAAATACCTTGACAAATGGGGCCACAGTAGGCCATAAAGGAAGGGTTCTCACATACACTCTTGATAACATACTATCTTGATAACAAGAACTATCACAAAAGACTTCAAATGATATCTGTAATTTATTACTAAAAGATAAAATATTATTCGAAGAAATCAAAGCTAAATGATTAATCATCTGAATTACCAATTACCAGTCATTACCAATATTTAGGTAAAACTAAAATATTAATAATAAAAAGTACTACTTAGTGAGCATTTACCATGTGCTAAACTTTGTATTATACCCTTTTAAAATTCCTCAGTTCATTTAACTCTCAAAATAATGTAGTTAGATTACCATAATTATCAAGATTTCTATTTAACAGTGAAAGAAACTAGAGCTAGCTAGTTAAGGTGAAGAATCACACCCAAGATCAAGTTAGTAAATGTAGAGACGATTTCAGTTTGGGCATGTGTCTCTGAGTCAGAGCTGATTATATTATACCCTACTGCCTCACACAACTTAATCGTAATTTTAACATATCCCATAAAAATAAAACACCTCTATCTAGGTCATTAAAACTTGACATATACCACTGTGCTCCTTAGGATTTTTTGGTTGTCTATATCTCAAACATGATTTACATAGTTTAAGCCAATAAAAAGAGTCTATCCAAGAGTATCTCACAAAACACAAAGTTGCAAAACTCTCCCTACACAAAGCCATGAGAAACCTGCGCAGCTTCTTTTTCTATGACTGCCTCTATCTTCTCTCTCCTCAGCCTGGCCTTTTCTGATTTTCAGTACATGTTGCAAGTGGAAAATGGCCACCCTGCAGCACCAAGCTTTCATTTTATTCCTGCTCAAACAGCCCAGAATGAAAAAGAATCTCTTGTCATAGATATCTAGGAGAGAATCTGATTTCCCCAGCCTCGGTCAGTTCTCTCCATCAGATTCAAGTGGCCAGAATGAGGGCCAGAGTTAGGTGGTACAAAGAAAGCTTCAAGGGTCTATGCCAATAAACTTGTGGATTTGTGTGGTAGGTACCTTCAGAAGTATACATCACAGTCAAATTTATCCAGAATTTGTGATAAATATTCCTATCTTCTAGGAAAGAATCCTATAAATAAGAAATATAATAAACAAAGGAAACAATCCAAAGAGGCTGTATGTGAGGGGGTCAGAATGTCACCGCAAAATATGTCACCTTGGTATAAGGACCATTTTGAGCTGAAAGCACTTAAGAAACAACAAACTGCAGAAAGAGCTCTTTGCTCTTTGCTCTCTCCCTATCTGCCTAAAAGCAGACATAAATTTCCTTTTGTGAAGGTGTTCCCCTCCCTTCTTCCATACCAGGAGGAGAACAATCCTTTATCACTGGATACAGAAAGTTGGCACCAAGATGGATTTGCACAAACAAACCTTGCTAAAATAGCCCTTATCTTCCATTGGTATCCCTCATATATTTATCTTCCCACAATTTATCACCCCTAGAATCCCAAACCCCTTTTCCTTTGTGTTATCACTTCTGCACGATTTATCTCCCTTTATTAAAATGGTATGTAAGCCCCTGGGTTTAACTCCTTCTTTCTGTCTTCATTTCTTTCATGTGAAGGTCTTGTGCACATATAAATTAAAATATGAACATCAAATACAATGTGTATGCATGTTTTCCTGTCAATCTGTCTTCTGTCAGATTAATTCACATGCCCCAGCCACTGAACATAAGAGGTTAAAGGAAAAGGTTTTTCTTCCCCTACATACATTACACATAAATGTAGTATATACAGTTATTGATATTTGGAGCTCCATATTCAAATATTGATGTTGGAATTTTAACTACTGATTCAATTTGCAAATGCTGAATAGATATTAACATTTTTAGGATAAATCACATGAAATATTCTGGGGAATAGGTTAGTAAAATCTAAATAGATATTAGAAATTTGAAAGAAAAGAGAAAATAAAATATTCCATTCTGTCTCACTAATGACTACTGAATCAAAGCATGACCATGCAAATAGGGTATAACACATTTTTTTTGTAATTAAAGCAACTTCAAGATAGGTAACATTAAAAATATCCTGGCTTAATGAAAACAAAAATATGAAATGCAGTTAGGATGTGTGGATCTTTATCGTGTTATATAAAAATACAAATATTTCAAAATTCATAAACTTCAATAACGGAGAGCTATGACAGCAGAGTTCCACATTTTTGTTCATATTCATTTTAAGTGCATGACTGCAGGAAGGCGTTTCTCATGCTATTTCTCTGTGGTCCCTGATATTCAAAGTAGTACATGCAATATTAATGATCTCACTTTTGTGAGTATACAGCATACACCACATTCCCACCTAAAGAAAAGCTCCTCAATTCCTAATCATTTCAATAGGCTCTAATGTAATATTTCCTACATTGGAAATCACAGCACTTTATTTAAGGAAATCAGTTTGGCCAAGTGAGCTCTATGGAGTGCAGCCTGCACAGACGTCAGTTCAAAGGATCAGATGTCAAAGTGCTCCCTCTAATGTCCTTTAATCATCACTCCGATTAGTGCATGAATAGGACTGTGATTAAAAACGCTGCTGCCATTGTCTACCTATTCAGGCCTCTAGCATTTTACGTGGGTTCCACCGATTAGTGTTTGAATAGGGGAACGATTAGAAAGACAGCTGCCATTGTATGCCCATTCGGGAAAACAGCAAAACTCACATATTTATTTGCTATGAGCACCAAATAAATGTTTTGCAAAGGTAAAATATACCATTAGACTCTAAAGACAATTTTGCTGATTTCTTTTGTTCAGAGCACTGTATTTTCCCATATGCAAAGATGTTTCTTATTTGCAAATACAGTAATATGCTTCATTAATATCTTTTAAAATATACATATTTTGTTTTCATAGAAATAGTCTTAACACACATCTGCTTTATTATATACTACTTATTGACCTATAATACATCATACAATTCCAGTTTAATATTTATGATTATGCAAAGATTTTCTGTGTAAACAAATTCAATCTATTTGGTTCCAGATCTTTTGGATCCCTTCTCAATATTCTTGGACTAATACGTAGTCTATAAGAACAACTTCTTCTCCCAAGAGAAATTTCCTTGTCAGACACGGAGAATAAATATTTCACTCTTGGGCCATTCTAAGAGAGGGAACACATTTCAGGTTAGCAGTTAGTAGCCCTGCAGGAGCTCACACAAGAGAGCTTCGGCCAGAGTGGAATTCCCCACGACAATACAAACCTCTATCCTATGATAAAAATTCTCCAAGACCAAGGCATCATGTTGAGGCTTTTTGGAGAAGGGAGAAATACAGGCAAAAAAAAAAAAAAATCACAGAAAAAGAATCCATCCATATGCAAATATAAGACAGTGCTCAAAAAAATTTTTGTGGCTGTTTCTCTCTCTCTTCTTTCTGTTTCTGTAGAAATATGCTACTAGGAAATTTCTGGGCAATAGAGGAAATATTCTGTCTTCCATTACCATCCTCAGTATCTTGCTGCTCAGTACTTCTCCATGGTTTTTCCATATACATTGTTCTCTATCCACTATCATGATGTGCTTCCATATGTAGTAACAGAAACCTCGGAGCATCCCCCTTATAAATGCTGATAATGATAAGCAATAATACTTACATAAGGTTATATATATGCCAACCACGATTTTAAGAATACTATGCACATTGACTCATTTACTCTATCAGGTAGATATTATTCTCTTAATTTAGAGATGAGGAAATGGAGACAGTAATGGAATCAGAAATTTACTCAAGGTCATACTCTAGTAAATGGCAAAACCAATAATTGGAGCTAAGCAGATTATCCCTAGAGCTTACTCTCTTAACCAAACTCTCTACTGACAACTGAGCTCTTTGGGTTCCACTGCCTGCCCTCATAAAAACCCAACCTCAAAGATAAGGAAGCTGTGAAGGGAAAATTTTTCTTCTTTTGCAAATAAAGCTAATTGAAACATACCTTACACAGGGGAAAGTTTTTTCCAGTTCAGTTTAAACCCTGAGTAGATAACTATATTCCATTAACCATAAAGTTGTTTAAAAAAATAGAGCACCCTGCTTAACCATTATTAAAATTTCAAACCAGTGAAGAACAAAATAAAAGTAACAAGGCTGATGGCTGACAATTACAAACGAGTTTAATTTGTGTGTCACATGGATGTGGAGAAAGTTGCAATCAGTCTGAAATAAATAATTAAAGCAAAGCATTTTTGTAACAGCCTCAGGAAATTAAGAGTTAACACTTTTCTTCTTTTTAGTCAATTATCATCTTATTACATATTTCTGCCTGGAGAATAAATCTCTGACAACACTGGTCCATGTGTGGAATGAAGCACTAGGAAAAAACATACTTTTAAAGAGGGATACTAATATATATCAAAACTCTAAATTACAGCATATCACAAACAAAGAATGTGCCTTTTTAACATATAACATGCACTTCTCAATGAAATAACCAGACTATAGAACTTTTCGAGAAAAAAATATTTATCATCATCATCATTGTCACTACTCTGTGGAGAGGTCCTCAGCATCATCTCTTGGTACTTTTCTTCATGCTCCAGTCTACGACTTCAGCCATGCAGTACTGACACCGTTTCAATCCCTTAACTTCAATCAGTATGCTCCCCCATCTTCGGACTTTCAGATACAAGTTTTCTACTCTCGTGAAATTCCTCTTTTTCCTTCCTTCCTTCCCTCCTTCATCTTTATTTTCAGTTTAAATTCTGGTTCCTCAGGGAGGCCAACCTTGAATTCTGAGACCAGGCTACAGTACTTCAGCTGTAACTCCCATGGAAGGCTGTACTGACGAAACTTGATCGTGAAATGAGGTTAACACCTGTGCAAATGCCCACTTAGCTGTCTGGGCAAAAACCGTTTTGTCCCTTTCCCATGACTTATCACAGTGGCTGGAACATGTTAGATCTTCCATTAATATTTAGTAATTAATAAATATGTACAATTTAGATTCAAATATTTATACTATATAAGTTTCAAAGTGAAATAATTTATATGTAGTGGTGTTACAGAAATACTGAAAAGTGTGATGCAATAAATTAATTCTTTAAGGGGGTTCATTACTCCAGAAGGTAACTTATTTCCAGCAATTGAATTAATGCCCAAAAATATTCAGGAGATAATACTCACAGTTCATACTTCATATATATATATAAACAACGGAAACCAATCAATAGCTTCATATTTTACTTGCTGTTTCAGGGTATACTTTGTATTCTTACAGAAATCTAGGTGTATGTTAGTAGATAAAACTTACATAAAAATTCTTCAAAAGAATATCAAAATACATTTTTATATATGTGTAGATTGAGCAATTCACTTATCTTCACCAAGCTTCGTATTTCCCATTAATAAAAAGAGGATTATAATCATAATAATTAACAAAACAACAGTAATAGTTCTCATCCACCAGAATATAAGTTTTGGAAGAGTAAAGTACACAGTTGTATTCTCAGCACCAAAAGCAGTGTTTAACACACACTAAGATTTCAGTAAATATTCAATTGTTATTTATTGCATACTTACTACATGTGTGGCACTATTTCAGGAGCTGAAGATACAGTTGTGAACAAAATAGGTCTTCACAGACCTTACATTCTCGTGGGGAGAAAATGACTAAACAACCAAACAAGTAAAATATGAAAAATAGTATGTTAGATGGCAATATGTTCTATGAAGAAAAATAAAGCAGGAAAGGGAGTATAAGGAGTAAATGCATGAAGTAATATTTGCTTCATAGAGTTGTTCATCAACTAATTTAGTTATTATAAACAGCCTGGTTCACTATCCACCATCCTCATTGTCTTCATCATCACCATTATCACCGGTATTATTTGAGATACTGTTACAGAGTACAGCACTGTGTCACACAGCTAAATCCTTTGTTAGATGCACTCCCTACATCATAGAACTTCAGAAAAAATGAGTGAAATGTATTTGCTTCTCAGCACAGAGATGGAAAGAATATATGAGAAACTGAATCATATAATCTAAATTAGGTATTTGTATCAGATACTCAAAAATGCTTTGTGTACATTAAACATATCATAAATTCATAAGGAAGGAGAACTACAAATATTTTACAAATCATGAACATTTATGCCACTTATGTTTACATAATTTACTTGCAGAACTAGGTGCATACAGGGTTTTTCTCAAATCAAGATACCATAAGCAAATTGATCTCTCTATACAAATGTCTACCAATATTTTCAGTTAAATTAATTTGGGACAGGAAAATAATATATTTGAGAATCCTTAAAAATGATGTGATTCAGACACTCAGAGGAATTGCTTTTTATTCTGGAAATACAAGACAAAATTATCCTAAACTAAGTTGAACTGCAATCTTGCAGTTACTAGGACTATTGTTCATATACCTATGTTTTTATTTTCAAAGAGTTTCCTTTTCATGAATTTCCAGTGCTATGGAAAGCTATCACATCTACCAACAACATTAATAAAAATTGGAGAACATTTGCTTCGGTCAAAATATTTTCTGCCTTCTCTCTGTACATGCTTTATTTTATAGTGCCAAAGACAACAGAGATTTTTAAGATATGTTATTTTTATATACTAACAACAACAAAAAACTGCTAATTAAACTGATACAAACTTTCTTATCAGATTAACTATAAAATGAATCTTAATTCCAGAGATGTGAAACTGTGATAAAATATGCATCAGAGAATTGATCAAATATGGCAAGTACCACAATGACATAATGATTCATTGTTTCATGCAGAAATGAAAATCAAATGGCATAAAAATATTAAATGAATGTATGTTATACATTTGAGTCTTCTTTTATTCTATGTTAGTTACAATACAGTGTTGTTGATAATAGCATTTTTAGTGTCAAGAATTGCCCTGAGTTTTCTTGCCTAGATGACAAAGTGATTATTTTTGCTACCAACATAGCAAAAGAAAAGCCAGGCAGGAATAGGCATGAATAATTCGGTTTTTGACATAGTCATAATCAGAAACCAATACAATATCTAGGTGGAACTATCATAAGAATCATCTGGATACAGACAGGATCTTGGATGGAGATATTCATTTGGCTGTTAATAAACACATAGATGGGCATTAAAACTATGGAGTGAATGTAGCTATCAAGAGAGGCATAATTGAGATTTTCCACTGTTCCCATCTTGAAATCTACAACTAGACTCTAAACTTTCTACCCAAAATGCCTTTGCATAAGCAGCCAGTTATTATTTTAAAATAAATACCTGTTGTATGTCAGAATTCATACAATGAAAGACTCCACCTCAACTTCAAAATTACAAGGTCTACAATATGTGTAAATGAGCTTTATACTCTGAAGGGATTTCTAGGTAGTCACATTTCACAGTATATTTTTCCCTCTCTAATTTTTTTCCCTCTGCTGAAATTTTAAGCTCGCATTTTCTTTAAAGTGTTATTTTCTTTAATTTTCCTAAGACACACACGCAAAATTATTAAATTTACACATTAATAATATCTAACATTTGTTAGAAATAAGAAAGCTATTGCCCAGTAATGATCACTTAAAATATACTTACTTCAAAGTAAACTTTTATTTTTCTAATTCATTGCAATGTTCTCAACAAATGCCACAGGAAAATTGTTTTTAAAATGTATGTATGCCATTTATGTTTACATAATTTACTTGCAGAACTAGTTGAATACGGGGTTTTTCTCAAATCAAGATGTCATAGGCAAACTGATCTCTTTATTCAAATGTCTACCAATTTTGAGTTAAATTAACTTGGGGATAGGAAAATAATAATATATTTAGTAATATATTATTCACAGTAAAATCATACCATTATCAAGTGTTCCAAAACACTCAATAATGCGTCATGACTGGTAGTGCAATTCAGAAGTTAATGTAATGACCAGGAAATCCCACAGAGTGAGCCAGCAAGTACTTCTGACTCAACCTGGACATCCAAATCCATCTGGGTCGCTACTGCGGTTTTGCAGTTGCTACTGAAGTTTAAACACCTGTGGAGACACTACTGGGTCTTGAGGCTGGCTGGTACCTCCAGGACAGTGGAAGCCCTTTGGGCCAGTAACAGGGTGAAGTAAGTGAGGCACTGAGGCACTACATTTAAGTTGGCACTCAGTTTTAGGATCACGCAAGTAATGTCCCAGCTTCCCAACATGGGGTTCCTCTGGCATTGCCTGCCCTCGCCTACCTTTCTATAATCTTTCCCATCCCAAATAGGAACTTACTCTGCCATCTCTCCCCACTCCAACAGCCTTCATTTGAGAACTTGCTGGATAGAGGGCAGGAGATGATCATCATTCATGATAAATTCAAATTCAAAATCAGTCTTTATGAGGTGGTTGTAGTTTTGCTACCATCCCTTCCCATTCCACCTAGAAATTTATACCTATTAGGCAGAGAAGCCACTGGGTTTTCATTTCTTGAAGGAAATAATATAACTACAGAAAGCAGAGAAACAAAGGGTGTTTCTTTTGGACTTAGAATTTTAGAAGTCACGTTTTCAGAAAAATTGAAAGGACTTCAGTGATTGACAGTGGATTTAGGAGGAAATGGGTGATAAGTTAAAAGTAACTTTTTTCCTCCACTCCCATCCTTCCCACCCAGTCTATATAAATATTTAATGGACAGAGAGACAAAATGAGGACCAAAAGCAAAGTGAAGGGCCCAGAGATATTGGCAGATCTTGGAGAAAGAGGATCAATGCCCAGCTCCTTAGGCTATTCTCAGAGGGCTGACAAATACCAGGTGTGGGTAAATGAAAGATGGAGAATCTGTGACTCGACAAACGAAGCCCTGGGAGAGTAGATTGAACCATGAACTTCTCTGAACCCCAGTGTTGAGTGGAACATCAGAATGACTGTCATCTTTTCAAGAATGGCTTCAAAGTAGTAGAGAAGTGAGGGATAGAAAGGGTTCTAATGAATGAAAATGAAAGATGACTCCAAAGTCCCCATGATGGTGACCAGTGGGAAGATGGCATGAAAAATCAGCTGGGCTTACCTCACAGCCCACACTTGCCACCAACCCTCATAAAACTTAGGTATCAGCTCGCAGAAATAAGGGGTGAGGGGGACAAGCAGGGAAAAATGAATACTACAAGTGACACACAGGTTTCCACTCTCACAGATACTTACAATAGAATTAAGTTCAGTTACAAGAAAATAAAAGAGGTCACGTGACTTGCATGCCTGAGTTTCTAGTTGGATATCTGCATGCTCTATACAAACACTGCATTTTTCACATACTGAAAGAGGTATTTAGTTGCAAAGAATCTGTTTTTATTTTTTTATTTCAGAAACTCAACTACTGTCTATTTTTGGAAGAAAATAATTGTCAACAATCAAAAAAGCAAGCTCATGCTTGAGAAAGTATTTTCAAATATCATATAACAGGAGGCAAGGGTAGAACAGGTATTGCTTTCTTACTGGGTATCTGGTGAAAAGTTTATTTACTTTGGAGCTTAAAAATAAAAATTCATATTGTGAATTTGATATGTCAATGGAGGGACATATATTCTCCATCAAATTTAACAGATCCCAGTAGCTGGCTATCCATGAAAGCGTGAATGAGATTGACTGCTAGTTGTACTAATTAAGTGGATTTCATCTCTTAATAGCCATGTAAACTTGAGAAGGAAAAATGGTGCCAGCAGACAAGACAAACATTAAGTATAATTTCCAAAAGTATAAAAATTAAACGTATTTGGAACATAAGAAATATTATTAGAAAAACATATTAATCTATCCTTCCTCCATGGAAGTCCCCTACTATGCTCTTGTGGTTCTCATCTCACCTCTCATAGTGCTTATAGCTAAATTCTCATCTCTGCCTGCCTTTTCCATGCTACGTTCAGTACCATGCTGAGCCACATTGGAGCCTGAGGCAAAAGGAAAAAGGTGTGTGCCTATATATATTTATTATTATTATTGTTTTTCTAGATTACTGAGTCTTTGTTAGCCCCTTATATTTTGAACCTCAGGCCAGTGCCTCACTTGCCTCACTCTAATTTCTGCCCTAATCCCAAAGGTCTAACCTGCACCCTCTTTCCACTTTACACACTCTTCCTGGGTAACTCTCCCCCTAGGCTTTTAGTTATTTACATATATCCTGATGATTCAAAAATTCTTTATCTCCATCCCAGACCCTTTACTAATCTTCAACTTTTGCAGTGATCCACAGGCACAAGACCTCAAATAATCCAAAAGTGAGTTTAGTATTTACCCTCAACTTATGCTATAAACAAGTAAACATACACATAAAGTCAACTCCCAAATCATATGTGTTTTATCTCCTAAATCAATTCAAGCTCATCCTCCCTCCTAGTCTTCATCACCTGTCTTCCAACTTTCTAAACCCAGTCCCAGAGACCTTGCCTCCCATCTTTTCATTAAATCCATGGTCCACACTGAAAGCTAGACTGATTCACCTAAAGGCAAATATGATCAACTCACACTGATCATTAAAACGCCTTAACTGTTCTTCCTTCAAAAGAGTATTATTATTATTTATTGGTATTTCAGTCTTCTTCAAAACAATGTGAGAACTTCTTGGCAAGGCCTATGTCACATAAATTTCAATGTGGCAAGTGGCACAGACAATAAATGTGAAACAAACGAGTGACTGAGATTGTGAAGCTCATGCAAGAAAAAAAAATTATCAAAACCCATATATTATTTAGTTATTTTCATTGTCTACAAGGAAAATAAGTCAATGATTTTCTTTTATTTCCTTATTCAAAAAAATTCTACTAAAAGAGCTCTCTGGCAATTGCATAGGTTCAGTCTCTAGTTCTACCATTCAGTTGTGGAACTGTGAATAGGTTTCTTATGCTTCCATGTGCCTCAATTCCCTCATCTATGAATGGATGATAAAATATAATGTATACCTGACAGGGTGCTTCTGAAGCTTAAATAAATTACTTCACAAAAAGCATTGCAAATTCTTAATATACATTATAGCTTATTCTCATTGTATTTTTTTTTATGGTGAGCACCTTGTATGTGTCATGCATTTAGAACAAATTTGCTATAATTCTTAAAAACAAGTCTAATAATTGGCTAATTGGCTGTCTTTAACTGCCTTTCCTTTTAATTTTCACCTAGCATAAGTTTTCTGATTTGTAATATTTTCTGGTCTTCAAAAATTGCTCAGGAAAAATGAGTGCAAAATATTTATGTAATTAGGATAGTTCAACATTTTCAAAAATGGCAAAAATAAACAGCAGTTATGGAACACCTGCTTAAAATATACTGGAAATAACTGCTTCATGCTTCATTAACCAGTATAAACATGTTTGCCAGTTTAAATCCCCTACTGAAGTCAGAATTTCCAATTAGTACTAGAAGAATATTAAACTACCAAGTGAAGATATTCCTGGGCAATAATTTCAGAACTGCCATTCTTAAGGCACTTTTACCGGTCAAACACATGCTTATTTTCTAAGAAGCCTATGATTTACTTATTAAACAAAATTTGTATCTATTTTAATAAACGATTTTAGACTACTTATTTTGCTAGATTTTATTCACCTCTGAGTAGCATTCAATACAGTGCCTGAAATAAGATGCTTCGAGCACCAAAGAAATAGAAAAAAGGAAGAAGAAGGCAGATAGTAAGAGAGGACTATATAATGCCTCAAGAAAAACTTCTATAATTGTTGAGTCCAATTATAACTCTGTTTTGGGTAAGTGAACATAAGAAACATATAGCCTATATATAGATAGATATCTATATATAGAGAGAGATATATGTATATATATCAATATATAGATAGAGAGACAGTAATGCAGGCTAGAAATATAAAGGAATCTTCAATCTAAAGATAGTATTAAAAGTAAGGAGATAACGAGATAACCAATGTAGTGACTATTTTAAAAGAAAGAAAGAGAGTTTGAGCTCTGGGCACTGAAATATCTAGGGATGAGAGGAGAAATAATCAACAAAGAAGTGAAGAAAAACAAGAAGGAGATGTCAGTGAGGTAAGAAGAAAACTTTTTCGTATCTCATCAGTTACTGGTTACTGGCTAGCTAGTGGGGATAAAAGTTCCAGCATCCTACTTGGGTCTTTATGAATTGAAAAACAAACCATATGTTTTGGTGACACTTTCATTCAATTATTTATGCCAGCATGAAGAGGATAATAACAAATACGTAAGGAGCAGCATTATTCAACCACACCGAGAATAACTTTCAACCCTAGCTTCATATTTCACTTTTGGGAATAAACCTTACTGCTCTGAGAAATTCATGAATGTCACAGAGAGTCTTCAAACTAACAGACATCAGTGCAATAAATCTGATCTTATAAATCGAGATTACTATTTTAACATAGATCTAAAGCTTTCATTTTATTTTTCTACTAATACTCATTACAGAAGACCTGAAATATACAAAAGTGCCAAAAAATATAATCAATATTAATATTTCATTTTTTTGTTCTTTTGTGCATATATATATAAAGGTATGGTTATGTGTAAGTGTACACAATCACTATTGAATACAGTGATGTTAAATCCTTTTTCCATGTAATGCAGATAGAATTTATCCAGATTATTATTTCAAAAACATCTTAATGACTGCACAATATACCACTGAATTAATTTACTCTAATTTGCTTAACCATGACCCACTGGTTGGAATTCAGTGGGATTTCCCCTACATTTGTCTCCATTGAGTAAATAATGCCTAAGATAATCCTCTTTGTGCTTAATTCTTTATCTATATTCCTAATTCTTTCCTTCAGATATGTTATTAGAAAATAAATTACTGGTGCAAGTGTTTGATAATTTTAAAGTATTGTTATGAACTGAACTATATCTCCTCAAAAATCTTATGTTGAAGTCCTAACCCCCACTATCTCAAAATGTAGCTATATTTGGAGAGAGAGTCTTTAAAGAGGTAATTAAGTTAAAATGAGGTTATTAGGGTATGTCCTAATCCAATATAGCCGATGTCCTTATTTGGACACACGCACACCCAAAGTGAAAAACTCAGGGAGAAGACACCATCTACAAGCCAAGGAGAGAGGTCTTGGAAGAAATCACCTTGATCTGGGACTCCTAACCTCCAGAACTGTGAGAAAATAAGTCTCTGTTGTTTAAGCCACCTAGTCTGTGGTATCTTCTTGTAGCATCCGTAGGTATAAATAGCATCCCTAGGTATAGCATCACAGGTCCAAATGAATATTGTCAAAGATATTGTCAAACTGCTTTTATAAATATTTGGGTCAATATATATTTGACAGAGAAAGTGGACCTCACTGTACCTTGGTTATTATTTTTAAAATGATAAAATAAACTCAATTTATAGGATCACATTATGAGATACAAATGCTAATTTCCATAAAATAACAACAACAGCAATCAAAATAAAGAAAGTCTCCATTTCGAAATAAAGTCCTGACCATAAATACTTTGAAAACTTATAAATGCGAGACATTAGGGAAGTCACATAGTGTCTCTTGATCATAGTTCTCAGACCTTTAAAAATTAGAGATTTAGGCTTGATAGTCTTTAAGGGCTTTCTAAGTTTAAAAATTATATCACACTCTGGGGACTGTTGTGGGGTGGGGGGTGGAGGGATAGCATTAGGAGATATACCTAATGCTAAATGACGAGTTAATGGGTGCAGCACACCAGCACATGGCACATGTATACATATGTAACTAACCTGCACATTGTGCACATGTACCCTAAAACTTAAAGTATAATAATAATAAAAAAAAGAAAAAAAACTATAATAAAAAAATTATATGATTCTTTTTTCAGTGTTATTCAATTGCTCTTATCATTAAACTGCGTCATGGCTTGTAAGTGGCCTATTCCTTGAACAATCTGAATCACACTGGTTTCCTTTTAGAGACCTCTACTAGAAGCATCATGATAGAAAACAAAGCTCCCAAAACTGGAACAAGAAAAACTGAATTCAAAATCCATGTCTGTAATTAAGTGACTATGGGATCTTTTCATGTAACATTGTTTCTCTGTTTCTTTTTCTTTTTTCATTCAAAAAAAATTGCCCAGTGGCTGGTGATAGAAAAACTTAAAATTAGATAAATACAAGCACACATGAGCACACACCCTCAGTTTCCATCCTCAAAGAGTTCATAATATAAGAAGGAGGAAAGAAGTACATAAACTAAAATCATACATTCTATAAGAAAGTATATACACGGTTCCAATTGAGCTAATGTTAAACTAATACTACTGTCTCACTCATTAATTTGGGAATGTTAATTTGGGGTAATCTGGGGAAATCAGATAAAAAGACATTTCTTTCAAAATTTAAAAACGTATATAACTTTAAGATGGAATTTCTAACATCACCTTTAAGGTTGTACTTATATCCGATCTATGGTGTCAGTTTCAGCTCTATAATCACCTCCTATATACAGTTAAACAAAGTTCTAGCAATAATCTCAGAGAAATGCTGTTTTGCTCCTACACCTCACCTGGAAATATTAGGTGTTCATAGAACATCTAATGTTCATATATTTTGTGAGGGTGTATTTTTAAAGTCCACAGATACCAGTGTATCTATAGCTTTCTTCATTTAGACTATATCTTTAACATGAAAACTCTTCTGTATCATTGTGTCATTAGGCAAAACAATTTTAAAACAAATTTTAAAGATTTTGAAAAAAGAAATTTTGGCACCAAACTAAATTTACAGGTTGCATATCCCTTATCAAAAATGCTTGACAACAGATTTGTTTCAGATTTGGGTATTATGAATTTTCAGATTTGGGTTACTCAACCTGTATATAATTTGTATTTCAGGAGATTTTTTAAAGCAGTGTAATTAAAAATACACTTTCAAACTTTTTCAAATATTAAATATTTAAAATATTTTTAAAATCACGGCTGTACTTTAATACCTTATTTCTAAGTGTATGTAAAATCTTGCCTTACAATGTGTGGAGTGAGGTAATTTTCAGCATGAAATAGTGTATCAGTGGTACTTACAAAGCAGTTCTTATCAGGATTTCTTTTCCAATGTTTCTTGTCTAATTTCTTGGCCGAAGTGGAACACAGAGTTGCATGAGTTTGTGTTCGAGGATTTAAAGCCAGGATACTCTAAAGACAGCATAAACAATGTGTAAATATATGGAAATATGTTGGCATTTGTTTAAACTTATTTTTATTTTATTTTTATTTATTTTGAGACACGGTCTCTCTCACTTTGTCACCCAGGCTGGAGTGCAGTGGTACAATCTCAGTTCACTGCAACCTCTGCCTTCCAGGCTCAGGCGATCCTCCCACCTTAGTCTCCCAAGTAGCTCGGACTACAGGCGTACGCTACCACACCTGGCTAATTTTTATATTTTTAATAGAGATGAGGTTTCGCCATGTTGCCCAGGCTGGTCTTGAACTCCTGGTCTCAAGCGATCCACCTGGCTCAACCTCCCAAAGTGCTGGGGTTACAGGTGTGAGCCACCATGTCTGGTAGCATTTTTAGGAATCAAACTTTATCTAAGATTTCCTCTTACAGGCCCCTAAAGAAAGGGTTAGCCAGGAAAGAAAACTTAGGAATCACAAAAAAAAAAAGATACATGTAAATCAGAAGAATGACCCCAAATTTGCAAGATTGTGTTTAATAAAATCAAGTGAGGAATCCTATATTTGGTTTTCCAAAAAAAAGTTCAGTATGGGAAAATCCTAATACAATGAAAATTTATATGGAAAAAGTGAGAAGATATACTTGTCTTAGAAAAAATCTAATAATGTTATCATTGATATAATGACATCATTATATCAATGTATATCATTATACATTGACAAAAAGCTAAAATATATGTTTAAAATGTTGCATGGCTCTCAAACAGCTTACATTAATAGACTAATATGGGGCAAAATATAAATCGAGTAATTGTTATTGTATTTTCTACTAATTAGCCAGAAGCAATTCTTGACCAGAAGAAAAACTTCAAGAAAAACAAATAAATATAATCAATAATGAACAACATACCATTATTTCACCAGAGAGGAGGAAACATGGTAGTAGCACATGCTTCTGTCTAACCAAATTAACATTATTACCTACCATCTTTCAATAATGATTATGTGTTGAAAAGTTAGATGCAACAGCTGAAGAAAAGCCTGGAGAAAAGATCTGGGAGAGACACAGTGTATTTCAGTAGGTGAAGAACTTTCACATGGAAGAGAGATTTAATTTGTTTTGTATTAACACAGAACCAAGGCTGTGGAAATTAATGGAGGAAGATTTGGATTCAGATATAAATTAAAAAGTGGCAGCTGAGATTGTATTAGAAATCATTCCAGCTGACATTACTGCAGTCATTTTAAATGATGTTCATTTCAAAAGTCTTCTTCCATGAAGTTACCCCTAACTAATCTAGATCCATTTTTCTGTTTCAGATCACTGAAACATCTCTACCACAGTATTTCAGTCTAAACAGTAACTGCTGCTTTAAGAATTTTCTTCCCTTCTAAACTGTGAATGTGTTGAGTTGCGGGATTCCTGACTTTTCAAAAATCTTTCAGTTTATGATATACAGTACCAGGTAGGTAGCATATGCTTATTCCTGTAAAATAGTAATTCAAAAATCATAAATATAATTTTTAATTCCTAGTACTCTTATAACTTTGAGTAAACCATTGATCTTTTTGATCTTTGATTTCCTCACATGCAAAATAGGGCAACACCTGAATCAGAAGTAAAGAATAAATGAAATGCATGATACAACATGTTTTCTAAACTACAAAAACCCTAAAAATTGAAGTGTAGTGAAAATGGAATCCAGAGGCTATGTGCAACAGTAATCCTCTGTCCATGATTTGTTCATGTAGTGGCCAAGTAAGAATTTGAAGGGGACCTGAGAATGCAATTCCTACTAGATTTAACCAAATCCAAGATCACCTTCCAAATCTAGATTCCATGATTCTTTAAAAATTATTGGGTCATGTTCATCATTTTCACATATAAAAATGAACTCTTATTGAGATCCACAGAGAACTATCAAAAAGACCACAATAAATGAACAGATAAAAGAATTATTATACTATTAACAACAGACACAAGCTAAAAATGTTATTTTCCACCTCTACTAATGTAATTCCACAATCAACATATCTAAAGTAATCATTTTCTAGGTGATATCTTAGCTGATTTTATAAGAGTATCACATGCTAATATGAAGAATTTAAAAATCATAAATGACTTTCTAAAATAAATGTTATACTTAGTATTCTTAGACAAGAATAAAATCAGAAAAAGTCACTTCATTTCATTCTGCATTTGATTTAAAGTGGTAATAACAATGCTTTGTGTTTTAAGTTTTTAGAGTTTAAAAGTTCAAAAGCTTTCACATCCATTATGTAACTTAACTTACAAACAGCTACTACTCTCTCAATACTTAGGATGAGCAAATAAATTGAGGGTGATTAAGTAACCTGCTTAAGATCTCACAGTTAATATGCAAAAAGAATTGAATTGGAACTCTGTTTTTCTGAGTATGGGACTTATATTGAACCTGATCCAAAGATGAGGGCTATATTTAAAAGTCACTTTTTGAGATATAAGGTAGGAAACATTTTTAACCACATGTTTAAATAATATCAATTTGCACCTGAGTAGCTCAATGAAAAATTAATTTCAAACCCTGTCTTGAGCAAGCCAGTAAACATGACCATTAAGAGGTCACCTCTGGAATGGTAGAGTAAGGACCTCTGCAGACTGACTCCCATAAAAATAAACATATAACTGCAAAAATAGTAAAAATGAAAACTCTTTGAAGTCTCTGGAAATTTGCCTTAAGGCAAACAGCAAATGAAGAAACAATAATACATGAAAATCTGCTAAAACTGGTAAAAGGAGTGAAGGTCTATGGCATTTGAAGTATAACCCACACCACTTCAGTCCAGTGTGACAGTCATTCTACCTCAGATGGGTATAGCTCAAAACACAGAGCTCGCTCTACCCCAGCCACCAGTTGAGGGCTATGGTATCTCCCAGAGAGGGGTAAGATGCCAGCATTTCTCATTTTCTCTCTCCCCCATGCTACACAGAGACAAAACTGCAACTGAGTGCAGCTGAGACTAAAGTGCAGCTGACAGGTCAGGAGTTCTGTTACTCCATCCAGCCCCCACTCATAGAGCCAAGGTTCTACCTCAGGAATATCATGCCAATAACACCAGGGCCCTGATTATCCTTGCCTCACCTCACTTACTGGGTAGAGATTGCACACAAGGAAGAGCAAGCTGAGAGGACTAGAGGCTATTGCCTATACCTAGTACTTTGCTCATAAAGCAGAAATTTAACTCTGAGAGAAGTGGGCCATTGTCACTATCCTCAGCTCTGGAGCAGTGGCCCAGAGATTTTTCCCAGAAGACACAAGCCATAAGAACAGAGAGGTCCCCCCAAAGGAACTGACTTTATTTGAACCTGTATGCAGGGAAGTTCAAACCTAAGAGTACTCTTATAAACAATAAAAATGTTCATGTCAAACAATTAAGAAGAGGGAGGTAGCTTCCTGAAAACAAAAAACTGAACCATAAGGCAGGTAGTTCATAAGGGAAACCCAGGGAAAGAAACATAAGATGAGTTCTCCTGGAGTTACAAAAAACCTCAAGGACTCACCTCAAAAACTACCACTGAAAAAAGGCCCAAATTTAACTGAATCACACTGTGGAACAACTCATATTCCACAGCAAAAGTAATAAAGAAATCAACCAGAAGCCACTGGAACTAAGATCTGGGTGTGACATTACTACAGGCAGACATCTTAAGAGAGAGATCAGAGAAAAAGGCAAAGAGACACCTGATAAAACCAGGGACACCCAAGAATGACTGCACATATCCAAGGCTGCACCCTGTGAGAATGACATCAGCGGTTCACACAGAGGAAAATGTACATCCCTAAATAGTATATCCAGGCCAGGCATAATGGGTCATGTCTGTAATGCCAGCACTTTGGGAGGCTGAGGCAAGTGGACTGCTTGAGGAATTCAAGACCAGCCTGGGCAACACAGTGAATCCCCATCTCTATAAAAAATACAAAAATTAGCCGGGCATGGTGGCATATGCCTGTGGTCTCAGCTACTCAGAAGGCTGAAGCAGGAGGATCGCTTGAGCCTGGGAGGTCAAGGATGCAGTGAGCTGTGACCATGCCACTTTACTCCAGCCTGGGTGACAAAGTGAGACTCTGCATTAAAAAAAAAAAAAAAAAAAAAAAAAAGTATATCCAGTCGCTAGTAACAAGTCGCCCTCCTCTAGAGGGGGTTTAGTGTCCGGCAAGAATAGCTACATTATGTAAGATGTTCAGTCTTCAATTTAAAAAAGTATGAGCCATGCAAAGAAACAGAATTGTGTGATCCATACAGACACACAAAAAAAGGAGACAACAGAAACTCCCATTAAGAGGGCCCATGTGTCAAATTTAACACTTTGATATGGTTTAGCTGCATCCCCACCCAAATCTCATCTTGAATTGTAGTTCCCATAATCCCCATGTGGTCATGGGAGGGACCCGGTGGGAGATAATTGAATCATGGGGCCAGTTACCCCCATGCTGCTGTTCTCATGATAGTGAGTGAGTTCTCACGATATGTGATGGTTTTATAAGTGACTTTTCCGTCTTTGCTAAGCACTTCTTCCTGCTGTCATGTGAAGAAGGATGTGTTTGCTTCCCCTTCTGCCATGATTGTAAGTTCCCTCACGCCTCCCCAGACATGCACAACTGTGAGTCAGTTAAACCACTTTCCTTTATAAATTGCCCAGTCTCGGGCAGTTCTTTACAGCAGCATGAGAACTAATACACACTTCAAAGCAGCCATTACAAGGAAAGTATGATGACAATGTCTTAGAGAGTACAGAATATCCATATACAGATATAAATCACTTAAATTATTTTAACAAAAACAACAAGCAGGCATTCTGGTCTTGAAAAATACAATAGCTGATATGAAACATTCACTAGAGTTCAATAGTAGATTTGAACTAGCAGAAGAAAGAATCAGCAAACTTAAAGACAGATCAAGAGAGATTACACAATCAGAAGACCAAAGAGAAAAAGAATAAAGAAAAATTAACAGAGCCTCAATGATATGTGATACACCACTGAGCAAACCAAAATACTGTAATGGGATTACCTGAAAAAGAAAAGACAAAGCAGGAGAAAATACAGAAGTTACACTGGCTTAAAATTTGCCCGATTTATTTTTTTTTTAATAAAGTAGAACAAGGTATATTACACTATACCTTCAGGAAGCTCAATGAATGTGAAGTATGCTAAATGTAAAGAGATCCACACAAAGAACATCAGTAAAAGGGCTGAAAGTCAATAGCAAAAAGAAAATCTTGAATGTAGCAAAAAAAAAATAATTCATCATGTAAAAATAGTTTCAATAAGTTTAACAGTGAATTTCTCATTAACAACCAGAGAGACCAGAGAGAAGTGGGATAAGACATACAAAGTATTAAAAGAAAAAAAAATGTGAACCATGACTCCTATACCCAACAAAACTATCTTTCAAAAAATACATTCCCAGAATAACAAACAATAAGAGAATTTGTTATTAGCAGATGTGACTTATAAGAATTACTAAAGGAAGTTCTTGGCCAGGCATGATGGCTCCCGCCTGTAATCCCAACACTTTGGGAGTCCAAGGCAGGTGGATCACCAAGGTCAGGAGTTCAAGACCAGCCTGGCCAACATGGTGAAACCCTGTCTCTACTAAAAATACAAAAATTAGCCAGGCATGGTCGTGGGTGCCTGTAATCCCAGCTACTCAGAAGGCTGAGGCAGGAGAATCACTTGAACTCCAGAGGTGGAGGTTACAATGAGCCGAGATCACGCCACTGCACTCCAGCCTAGGCAACAAGAGTGAAACTCTGTCTCAAAATAAATAGATAAATAAAAATGAAAATAAAAAGTGAAAAAAATAAAATTAAAGGAAGTTCTTCAGGCAGAAAGTAAGTAACCATAACTTACTATTCACACGAAAAAAACAAAGGTCAACAGTAAAGTATAGGTAATTATGAAATTATAATAGTATAAATGTATACTGTCAGACTAGATAAAAAGCAAGATGCAACTATGTTCTGTCTTTAGGAGACACACTTTAAATTCAATGACACAAATATGTTGAAAGTAAAAGATGGAAAATGACATATCATGCAAATAGCAGCAGCATGAAAGCTGCAGTGCCCATACTAATATCAGAACAACAAACTTTTAAAGAAACAAAAAAATTTACTAGAAATAAAGAGGAACATTTTATCATCATAAAGGCTCAATCTACCAGGAAAATATAACAATTATAAACATATATGTGCCTAACAACAAGGCCCAAAATACAAACAAATTTGAAAGGAAACAAATCTTTAAACAATACTAATTAAAGACTTCAATACTCCACATTAAACAGTGGATAGAACAACTAGGCAGAAGACCAAAAAGGAAACAGAAGACTTGAATAACAACTATAAATCAACAAGACCTAACAGACATCCATATAACACTCTAAAAGAGCAAAATACACATTCTTCTCAACTCTATATGGAATCTTCTCTAGGATATATTGTATGCTAGATGAAAAAACAACTTCTACTAACTTAAAAATATTAAATCATACAAAATAGTTCTCCCTCTTCAATGGAATAGAATTAGATATCAATAACAGAAAGAAATTTGGAAAATTCAAAAACAATATGATGAATACTGTAAACATTATGCTAAGTGAAAGATGTCAACTACAAATATGACATATTGTTGATACCATTTATATAAAATGTCCAGAATAAGCAAATCTATAGAGATAAAAAGTATATTAGTGGTTGCTCAGGCTGGCGGATTAGGGAGAAATGAGATGGCTACTATAAAAAGGATAAGTGATTTCTTTTTGGGTGAAGAAACCTGATTATGGTTATATTGGCACAACTCTGAATACACTAAAAAATACTTTGAATTCTATAATTTACATTGGTTAATTGTTGATTTGTGAACTGTATATCAATAAAGCTGTTACCAAAGTAAAACCCTATTAAATTCTACATTCAGTCGATTTAGCCATATACTTTATTCACTGTAATACCACTAAAACTTCCTTTATTAGCTCAATATAAATGTAACAAGATTATTTTTAGTAACTCCTAAATATTACAGAAATCATATTTCTTCAGTCTCTCAAGTTAGACATCTGTGTCTTTTTGAAGAAAAATATACAATAAAGCTTTAATTTTAAGTGGTGTATTCCTTATGATGAAATAATACTAACAGGACCTATTTTACAAAGCCAGTATTAGAAGATTCAAGTAATCTCATGCTTATAGAAAAAAAGTGAAAACATTTTCTTATTCCAGAATATAATGTTTGCTTATCTATTCAGTTTTCAACCATTACTAATCTCATCCATTAATTCAAATTGAGAAATAAAAAGACACATTTTTTTAAAGTAGTTATTCTAACATTTAAAGCAAACCAGCCAGGTAACATGCAAGAAAGATGGCTGCATTTATTTTAGTTTTTATTTCCATAATCCATATTGTGATAAATGATCATGTTTATCTATGTCAGCATAGCAATATAACTTTTGAGAATAAACATTCTGAATGTAATTTATTGGCTACTTATCACAGCTACTTTTCTTTCACATAGCATAAGTAGAAAGCATAACATAACATGAAATATTGGGTTAACCTTTTGCAAAAAGGCAGTGAGTTGAATTCAATGGATCTTGGGTAAAAATAAATTGGATTGTGCAAAATGGTTACCAAGGATTTGGCTTAATAATATCCCAAATGAAATGTGATATAAAATAAAAATACAAGACATGAGTGGTTCAGAGCTGTTAAAAATAATTTTCCAAAGCAAGACTTTAAAAAACTAAAAGTCAATATCATCAATAACTAAGCAGCTGACAGATAATACAGGAGAGTTCTAAATTGCATTTTTCCTAAGAAATGGCCAAAGGCACGTTCCAACAGGTCACAGAGTCCCCTCTCTGGATGAATTGAGCACTTTAAGAAGCCCATTAACCCTTTCAGATACAGGGTACATTACTTATACAGGGAGATTTTTCTCTCATCAAAGAATTTGACTTGTTTGGCTTTACCAAACATTTTCAGTAACACAATAAAGATACACTGGTTATTCCAGACGCAGAAAAAAAAATTAGAAAAAATTTAATTGTACTAATTTTACCTAGTTTAAGAAATGATGGAATATTATCCAGGGCCAAGTATAAATGAAATCAAATAAGAGTTATATATTGTCACCGTTTGGTCTGTTAACACTATTCTGTGAAGCAGTGGAATGCGGAAACATACAAACTAGAATTATACATCTAAAGAGAGTTTTTCTGTATTACCATTGAGGGCAAAAAAGAGAAGCCTGTATTGATTACAATCACAGGCCCTCATGTCACAAACAAAATCACTAAATCTTAGGCCTAAAACATTGGAGCTTCAGTATTATTCAAGAGCTTGAATTCCAATTGCAGGAAGCTACTTGACCAACATGTCCTCTTTCTTAACATGTGGTATTGTTTTATATCACAATAGTAATTATCCAAACATAGTGTACCATTAAGCTTCCTTTACCCTTTGCATTCGAACTTATAAACAAATTTTTCCTATTCAATACTGGTAATTACTTGCTATAATTCTGAGCCATTAAAATGATACACATGTTGCTGACATTTTGTACTTACATGCTTAAGATGATAAACTAAGTTTTGTCTTATTTAAATTATGCTTACATTTTTCTTTAATGGCTTATTCTGAGTTCTCTATAAGTTATCTCCTACTTTCCAATGCATCAAGTAAACAAATAATAATAATAATAAACATGTTTTTCCCATTTCTTTCATAATTGGACAGAAATACTTTGATTTCAATATAACATTGTGCTGTGGTGCCAATTTTTTATCAATAAATATTCTCAGCTAACAGAAAAACAGAAATATCTATTGATTAATGCTTTTGACGAGTATTTGTTGCCTTATCCAGGTAACAATCTAACTAAGGCTGGTCAGTGGAGAACTAAATTTTTCAGTTTATTTGCTTAACAGTCTCTTGTTTAAAAGCCCCAGTCTCAGCCAGTTATCCCACGCTTCTCCATGTCTCTCATTAGTCATAGTGTAGAGTGATTTAATTAATATCTCAGAAATTCACAAAGGTATCTTTGGTTCTTGAATAAGCTCAGAACTGATACGGCCCATCTCCTGCTAGGTAGGGAACAGAAGAGGAGAGAATGCAGCTTTATTTTGCATCCTAGGTTCACACTTGAGATACAATCAACCTTAGAGTCTGAAAATTTCAGAAACCCATGGTAATCAGTCCTGGTCAAAGACTTACATTTACCTAATAATTTTTTAAATGTACTTCCATTCTTTGCCCAGACACAGGTTTCTAAGCCCCTAGGTTGTTCTACTTTTCCAAGTAACTTATCATACTTTTTTTCCCATTTTACTAGCTCTGTACAAAGGCCAATTTTCCCTTTATGCACAGTGGGTAACTCACTGCAGTTGATTAAAAATTTATGAAGGAAAGAATCTCTGATAGTCCTAAATCTTACAACTTTCATTTTGTTAAGTATTCACTAAGCAATATGCATAGTGTTTGAGATTAAATTTGGGTTTCTATCTTAGCTCTACTATTCTTGTTGGTTATTTAAACTCTCAAGCTCTCTACTCCTTCAACTGTAAAATGGTGATTAGTAATAGTACTTACCCCATAGGGTTGTTGTGATGATTAAATAAGATAATGCAAAAGATGTTTAGAGTGGTGCATGCAGTAAGTGCTTACCACATGTTATCTATGTATGTAATAGAACTAGGTTTTAGCCACTATTAACCCAATGTATACTCATATTCCTATATTGTCAATTCTGAATGTATACATGGGAATCATATTTTTAAGTACAGGAATATAGAAAAAGGATGAAGACAACAGGTGAGAAAATATCTATAAATAAGGTAGTACAAAAAATAGAGATGTATCTCAGAGGAAACCAAATCACTGACTGAGTCATGGGTCTCTGAACTTATCATTGCCCTAAGCCCTGCAATTTCAAAGGCAGACTGCCTGAAAATACAATATGCTTTTTGCAAATTAATATGGCAGTGTGGAAGGGTCATGAAATTCAAAAACAGATTTTAATATCCATCGCATATATATATATATATATATATATATATATATAGCAATGGAGATATCATTTTATAATCCATAGAACTGTATATAACTCATGGGTCTTTGGTCCCAACATGTTTAGGTAAATTTACATTACATTTCCTTCCCAGGAAGGGCATGTCAGATGAAAAATGATGAATTTGTAAAACATCAAAAAATGTTATCAACTGAAAATAAATGAATCCCTTCAGAATGCTCATCATATCGCCTGGAATATTTGATTCATTTCTACTGAGCATATAGTTAACACAAATAGTTTACACATTTTAAAATATCATGTCTATTATGTCACTCTCACACTCAACAAGGTAAGGTGAGCCAGAGGAAGCTCTTCGTCTGTCTTTGCAAGGCCCAGTGTGTGACTCTCCTTCACTTCTAAAATACACACCACACAACAGGTGCCTAAATGATCTCTATGTGAAAAAAAAAGTCTTTTTATTGTCTTTCAGAAAAGATTGACAATTCAAACACAAGAATAATAACATCTGATATTAACCTCACAATTCTTAATACAGAACAGAGCATGCCAAAGGTAGTGACTAATTCTGACATAGACAATTTAGTCTGTTCAGGCTTTTATAACAGAATTCCATAAGCTGGGTGGCTTAAACAACAGATCTTTATTTCTCACAGTTAGAGAGGCTGGAAAGTCTAAGATCAAGGTGCCTGACAATTTGGTTCCAGGTAAGAATCCTTTTCCCTCTTCTGACTCACTCACAGCCACCTTTTTGCAGTGTGATCATGTTGCAGAGAGAGAGGATGAGAATGAGAGAAAGCTCTCTGTAGTCTTTTCTTATAAGAAGCACTAATCCCACTATGAGGGTCCCACCCTCATGACCTCATCTACCCCTAGCTACCTTCTAAAGGCTCCATCTTCAAATACCACACATTGGAAGTTAAGTCTTCAACATATGAATTTTGAGGGGACATAAACAGTTCATAACAGACAAGGAAAGGATTCCACCACCTGTGGAAGTATGCAAATACTATTAATATTGGGCATCAACTTAAAGTCACCTTTAGCCTAAGAGTTCAAATGGTACCATGTTGACTGTACCATTTTATTTTATCAAGAAGAAACTTCAGAATAACCAAAGGAGATATTTTAAAGTATTGCTTAATTTAAGAAAAGAAAAGAAAACAATATTACCAAATAATGTAACACTAGCTATTAATTATATATCTTTATTCTTTAAACAATTTAAACAGCAAAACATTAATAACATATATACTTTATATATACTGTTTGTATATTTTTATTATAGGAATTGAGAAATAAAGTGTCAAATGCAAACACTTATAAAGAGATATCAAAAATATATAAAATGGGATAACCTATACTGTACTTTATTTTAAAATTTCATTACTTTAATTATAAACTATTTTCAATTTAATATAATGTGGCAAAGCATCCATATATTACATATTTAAATTAAAACCAGTATGTAGAAAATGTGTAACTATGAAAATACACGTTGGAATATCTTGCATTTGCAAAAAGTTGAACATATGTATAAATTTATACAAAATCCCAAGACAGAATTATGTGAAAAGAAAGTTGATAGGGATTATTACGTTACCAAAAAAATTCACCAGTTCATTGGGTAAGAAAATCTATATTTTAGCATTTATACTTTTTTTCATTCAAAACAAATTAGTCAATTTACCTCAAAACTTGCTTTACAGAAATTGCCTGGCTCCTATGTAAAATTGGCCTTAGAGGGCCTTTTTCAAGTAGTATGAAAAGTATTATGATTTACCTTTAATCTAGTACCTTTTGTGTATAAAATACTCTCATTTACAAAAGACACTGCTCACAAGACCAAGGGTTATTTTAGTTCAAAAGAGGCTAAGTGTATACCAGCATGCTAAAATTATTTAATACCAGTCAACAAATAGAGATGCTGGAAAACAGGACTTCAAGGGAAAGATGAAAGCAGGACCTGGGCTAACTGAGTTTAAATGTTTTACAAATTAAGTAAATAGAGGAAGTAGCATGATTTTCAGGTTCACAAAACTGTAATAAATCATAGCGTGACTAGTTGCCCTTCATCTATATGGTTAACAGCTAAAAGGAAATATATATATGGGCTGGCAAGTGACTTATGTTAAAAATAAGAACTGATATGATAAAAATGAGTTTTCATTTCTGGATTTTATTAATTGAAGGATTATCATATCTATTTTTTGAGAAGGATCAGAGTAGAGCAAGGAGCTGAGGAGTTGGGGAATTGGGTGAGTTGAGGAGTTGGACTATTTAAAATCATGAAATTTATGAATTTAAAGTTCATGCATACAATTACTATTTAAGCTACTTTTATTTCCTTAATAAGTAATATTTTGTATTCTTAATTAATACACTTTGTTTCAATGCCTAGAGAGAATGCTTTCCATTTAAACAGTAGTATTAGCTGTATATGCAGTATGGAGTCACATCAAGATATCCCAATTTTTTTACCAAAAACAACCTAGGAATTCCAATTTAAGAGAACAAATATCTCACTTAAAATAATTTAAGTTTATACCTAAAGCAAGATATAAAAATATAACACCCAATCTTACACTGTAATTACATACTATTTGACCTAATCTAGCTTCTTTCCAGGGATTAATAAAATTAACTTGGCATCTTTTTTGGGTCCCTAGGATTTAGTATATTAGAGTTGGAATGGACTCTTAGAGATTAACATTTGATTTCACGTCCTATTTAGAAATCCTGTTCCAAACACTCATTGAACTATATCAATCAAATTAATCAAAAATGACATAGTGTTAGTCTCTTATATAAAGCTCACATAAATGGATAAGAAAACAGGAAAATATTATCAGATAAGCTGGAAAAGGGCATGAACAGATCACAGAAGAATGCATACATATCTCCAATTTAAAGTGAAAAAGAGAAACATTCAGCTACCCACTGAGTCTTCACTTTCCTACCACTACTGCAAATGCTCTTGTCAAGTCTCACCGATGATGTGCATGTTACCCAACATTCTTTGTGCATTGTTAGGTTTTACTTCTCCCCGTCTCATATTTAAGTGACTTTATTTTTTTCTTCATAGGTAAAGTATTACTTTTTTACAATAGCTTTATTGAGATATAATTCACTTACACATGATTCACCTATTTTAAGTATATAATTCATGAATTTTAGTATACCTACAAAGCTGTGCAACCATCACCATAGTCAATTTTAAAACATTTCATCAAACATATCCCTGCCAAAAACATGTACCCATTATCAGTCACTTCCAGTTTTCCCCAAACCTCCAGATTTAAGCACCATTAATCTACTTTCTAACTCTTTGGATTTGTCTGTTTTGGACATGTCATATAAATGGAATCATACAATATGTTGTTTTTTTGTAAATGGTTTCTTTCACTTAGCATAATGTCTTCAAAGATTATTCATATAGCATTTTACTTGTATATGTGTTATAAACCCCATACTTTACTGTTTAATTTAAATGACCAATTCTCTTAATGAGGTTTAAATAGTAAGTAAAAATCATATATCTACCTATGTAGTTACCATTTTTGCAATTATGTAATCCTTGGTGCAAACCCCTATTTTTACCTACTATTGTTTCCTTTTGCCTGAAGGATGTGATTTCCTTTAATATTTCTTGTAATGCGGGTCTGCTGCTTATAAATGTTTGCAACTTTTGTATGCCTGAAAAAGTCTCTACTTTGCCCTGGTTTTTGAACTCTAATTTCACTGGATAATAGAATTCTACACTGAAAGTTTTTGTTCCCTGATACTTTAAATGTCTTCTCACTTGCATTATTTCCAACAATAAATCTGCTATTGCTTTATCTTTGTTCTTCTGTATCCAGTACACCTGTTTTTTTCCTCTAGCCGCTCTGAAGATAAACTCTTTATCACTAGTTTTGACCAATTTGATTATGATGTGCCTCGGCGTTGTTTTCTTTATATTTCTTCTGCTTAGGTTTCACTGGGCTTCTTGGATTTACAAATTCATTTTTACAAATATTTTCTTCTTCTCTCCTCCCACTGCTTCACTCTCATCTCTGGGGAAATTCCATTTACATGTATATGAGGCCACTCGAAGTTGTTCCACAGCTCACTGATAGTCTTTTCATTTTTTTCTCTCTCTGTGTTTCATTTTAGAGTTTTTATTGCTATGTCCTCAAGTTAACTATCTTTTCTTCTGCAGTGTCTAATCTGTCTTCAATATTATCCAGTGTGTTTTTCATCTCCTTACAGTTGCCATCTTTAGAAGTTCAATTTGGGTCTCCTATCTATTTTGCACACCTCTACTTCATTTTTTGAACATATAGAATACAGTTATAATGACAGTTTTAATGTTCTTCTCTGCTAATTTAACATCTGTGTCGGCTTTGGATTTGTCTCAATACATTAATTTTTATCCTCATTATGGGTGGTATTTTCCTGCATCCTTTCATGCCTAGTTATTTTTAATTGGATGATAGACATTGTGAATTTTACCATATTGGGTACATGATATTTTCGCATTCCTATAAATGTTTTTGAGTTTTGTTCTAGGACATAATTGAATTATTTGAAAATGATTTGATCCTCTCAGGTCTTGGTTTTAAGCTTTGTGAGGAGGGAATCAAGCAGCATTTGCTCTGGGGCTAATTATTTCCCACTACTGAGGCAAAAAACTTCTGAATACCCAATGTCGTATGAATCATGAAGTTTTCCAGTCTGGCTGGTGGGAGGAGGCATTATTCCCAGACCCATGTGAGTGCTAGTTCCGTCGGACTGTTCTTTACGCAGCCATGGGTCATTTTCCCACATGCGTATACTAATCATTACTCTGTGGAGTACTCAAGGGGAACCCTCTGCTGATCTGCAGGTTTCTCTCTGAGCAGCTCTAGCCTCTCTGTTGTTCTGTTCTACAAACTCTAGCTTCCTTGGTCTCCCTAGACTTTCAGCTCTGTCTCTCCAATTGAAGGATTCCACCAGGCTTTGTGTGGTTTCCCCCTTCTGATCTGCAGCCTATAAACTCTCTCAAGAGGATAAACTAGAAAAATATTAGGGTTTCCTTCATTTGTTTATGTTTCTCAGGGAACACTGTATTTCATTGCTTGATAGCCAGTATCTTAAAAATAATTGTTTCATATATTTTGTTTCTTTTTTATTGTTTCAGGTGGAAATGTGTACAGGAAAGAACCTGATAGGCCTGAGTTGCTCAAATCCTGAGCAATATGGTTTGACTGTGTCCCCAACCAAACCCACCTTGAACTGTAATAATCCCCATGTCACACGGGTGGGGCTAGGTGAAGGTAACTGAATCATCAGGGAGGTTTCCCCACACTGTTTTCATGGTAGTGAATACGTCTCATGAGATCTGATGGTTTTCTACATGGTGGTTCCTCTGCATAAGCTTTCTTGCCTGCCACCATGTAAGATGTGCCTTTGCTCCTCCTTTGCCTTCCAACATGATTGTGAAGCCACCCCAGCCATGTGGAACTCTGAATCCATCAAACCTCTTTCCTTTATAAATTATCCAGTTTCAGGTATGTCTTAATCAGCAGCGTGAGAACAGACTAATACACTAAGCATTCCCAAGAAAGGCTTGTTTTCAGAAGAAGTGGCCCTCAGCTCACTCCTAGGAACCAAGCTGTGACTATTCTGTCAGACAAGAGTGTTTTGTTTTGTTTTTTTTTTTAATGCCAAAGGCCTTGGGCCACGTTGTAACAGTTGGCTAGTTTACATTAACAGTGTGATTAATGATGAGTATCTGCTTTTTCTCTGGTGGTCTGAACCTTGAATAACTGAAGTCAGTCACACAGCACTATATGTATACATGACTAACACGCAATTAAAAACCCTGGATACTAAGGTTTGGGTGAGCTTCCCTTATTGGCAACTCTTCACATGTTGTCACACATCATTTGCTGGAAGAATTAAATGTGTGCCATGTAACTCCATTGGGAGAGGACAACTGAAAGCTTGTGGGTGACTTCCTCTGAACTTTGACAAATGCGCCTTTTCCCTTTGTTTCTTTTAATTTATTCTTTCACCATAATAAACTATAACCATGAATACAACAACTTCTATATCCTGAGGGTATTTATAGTAAATCAATTGTGCCTGGAGGTGGTCTTGGAACCCCCAATACAAAATGTACATCTATTCCCTAGTGTCCCACCTTGAGTGTATGCAGAATTCCAGTAAGAGTATCATACTCTAGTGGCCACTCCTTCACATGGCTTAATTTTATAGAGCACCTGGACAAACAATACAGAAAAATTTTCAAAATGGCAATACGTAATTTCTTTACTCACTTTTATATAGGAATCTTAGGTAAATGTATTAGAGATTGATACGTGGTCATGGGACCATGGGCTTTAAAGTAGAAAAAGTTAACTTATCACAGATACTCCTGAATAAATCAGCTGCATCAGAATATCTCAGATTTCCCTACACATCTATCAATTATACATGGATAGGCCTTGGGAATCAATCAGTTTAACAAATGTCTGTGGCAGACTTTGCAGCTCTCCTGCCTCAGTATGCACTCCATCCTTCCTTCTTAGTAGCAAACCCCTATTACATTTTGGGAGCCATAGTTCTCAGCTACAGACTATAATTCCCAGGCTTTGACAAGCCATTCAGCTAAGTACCAGGAAATAATATGCATTTAGAAGTGTGTATCTTTTAAGGAGTCTCATTAAAGGGAGAGGTATACCTTGTTTTTCCTGTTCTTCTCTGCTTTTGGAGCTCTAGCTGCTAACTTCAACAGAGAGGTGAACTTGAGGATATCAGAATGGAAAGACAGAAACCTGTTGACAACAAAAAGGTGCTATACGCACTCTAGTATCTATCTCTGGACTTCTTTTACATGAGGAATAAATAAAGTTCTGTCTTCTTTAAGCCGCTTTTAGCAATTTTTCCCATGTTATACCCCAACACCTGGTTTTTACAGTGCCCAAGGTGATTCTGGTGGTCAACTAGGTATGGGAAGGACTGATAGTCCAATCAACAAGGCAAAATATTCAAAACCAGGGTGCATGGAAACTTCAAAATAAAAGCATTTGGCTTATGTACTTAAAAGATAAGTGGGAAATCACATCAGCTTAAGTATTTTTCTTGAAATCCATCAAATGTCAAAAATCCTAAACCAAAACTTACTCATTTCAAAGAATGATCAATGGAAATTTTATTGTGCCAGCACAAAAAAAGTAATTCATTTTCATCTCCATTCATTGACTGCTAATAGGTTTCTCCATTTTAACTGACATAATTTTTTTACAATATAGCATAATGATGTGAATAAAATATATCCAATGCTCCTTTGCAAACTGTTTTTTGAAAATCTCCCATGCACACAACTCCCTCCCCAAAATCCACACTTCCAACCAGTCTGTTAAATCCCTCCCTCCTATCAAGCCGCAGTAGATAACACATTTCTGTGCTCCCAAGATACACCATGCAAAACACCCTATCTCTATTAATATTCTAACTTGATTTCTGGATGTGTTCTCAGTCTAATATATACTTCAACAATAAGACAGTTTAGCAACTTTTTATCAAAATTTTATAATGTCTTTTATTCGAAAAAAATTATATTAAAAAATGATATAAGAACATTTTTTAATGTTCTTATATCAGATGACTATTTGGTAATACCTGATGTTGAATGAGAGCTTACAGTATGCCAGGCACCCCTTCAAGTGTTTTTCAAGTACAGATGAGAAAACTAAATCACAAGGAGATTGAGTAACTTCCCCAGGAAGTAACAGAGATTCTTAACCCACATATTTTGGCTTCAGATTATGGACTGTTATTCACTACTCTGTACTTCTTCTATGGGCAGCTAATATTAGTTTCATTTTAATGTAGTAACTCAACGATTGCTGCATATTCACTGTAAATACTGAAATCAATTTTGCGCTGGTGCAGCTACAGAAACAAGACCTGAAATAAGTCAGATTAAAGAAAAGTCTATTATATGCTGATTAAGCCACAATATATACCAAACTTCCTGGTACACATTGCTTATATAGTGTTACTTCAAATGAAAAGAAAGAGACAAACCTCAGAAATATTGTTAAGGAAGCTCTAGCAGGACTTGATAACAATGAGTATAGGTTGTAAAGAGACAGAAAAGTAAATACACCTCCCATATTAACAATTTGTGATTATAAGGGGAATAGTATGCACAGAAAATAAAAGTTGGGATAGAAAACTGGCTTAGAAAAAAATATTTAGTACTGTTTGGCTCATCACTTGAATAATGGTGTCATCTTACAAATGACATATAAGCAGCAACAATAACAAAAAACTGACAGTGAAATACAGCATGTCTCCAGTGCCTTTCAATTAATTGTTGGATTTGAATTAAGTTCACACATCTTGTCTAAAAAGCTAAGATTTTTCTTTAATTGTAAAAAAATCACAGATGCTCTGGTATCAAAAATACATTTACCATTCAGAAATGTCAGGTAATGCTACTTCCATTAAAATAGAAATTCTGGGTTTAATATTTATCAATTTATAAAATAGTTTACATATATTATTAAACCCTCAAATTCTTGTATTCCAATTGAAATCCACATAGTCTAAAATTCTCTGCTTATATGCCTGTCTGCCCCACTAGCCTTTCAGCTTACTGAGTATGATGACTGGCTATTACCCTTCTCAGTATCTCCAGGAACTTATATAAGGCATAAATATAGAGACTTGCAATAAATTGAATTGTATCTCCTTAGAGTGTAAGAGCCACAAGGGACCTCTATTTACAGATGCGCCTAGTGAAGTAAAAGAACAATCCATATTAAAGACTGAGTCAAGATTAGAACCAAGTCTCCTAACTCTATGACATCACCACACTCATACAAAAATATCACTACAATGAGGCTCCTGAATACTTTGAATTATCCATGACTTTACATTGCCTACGAGCCTACTTCTGATAAGAAACCATACTTGAAAGTAGCATAAGAGCAAGAATTAGAAGATGCATAAATAATATAGACCAGAGAGGCATAAGAGGTCAGAAGTTCAGTGTTTTGGATTTACTGGGTAAAACTGGTTTTCTTTAATTTCCATAGGAAAGATTACAGGATGCCCACATGTCAAGTAATTCTTTAATCATTAAGTTTGCTGTTTCCATTGAAATGTTATTCATCTCAAAGATATGTAAATTATCACCATCACTTTAATACAATGCTTCCTACACTTTCTCTGTCATTTTAAAGATTAAGACTGAAAATAAATTAAAAGCAGGGGTATGTTGCTATATAATAAGAGGTAATTTCATCAAATTAGTAACATTCAGATTCTAATGAGATTTCTTTATTATTTTAGACACAGAATATTTTCCTAAAGGAGCATACTAAACAAAACAATCTACCTTTTAAGACTTTTCTTAAATGGAGCATACCACTAGAAAACAAACAGCTATTATTTTTCATTTCAATCTAAATAACTGCAATAACTTCCAGGTGTTTAGAAAGAGGTACCTCCCAACACTACATAGTTCCACGCTTTCTTTAAACCTTCCTAACACTTAGACTTACTCAAAGATATAAACATTATTCCAAAGGATGATAAATATTGCATCGTAATTAAGGTTACTGGGCTGGCACAGAAGAGAATTTGACTTAATGGGAGACTTCTGTGATGGAAATTAATAAGTTTGCCACTTAATTACAAACAGTGTGGGTTGTGAGCAACATTCATACTATTTACACACTTGTTAAGATTTAAGTAAGAAAAGGCTTGATAATACATCTCTTATTTACTACGAAGCAAAATTAAAACTTGAAAACTAGAAACAATCTATATTTAACAATATCACAAAGAATGAAATAGCTCCGATTTCTTTTGCTTTAAAATTTGTTTTACTGAATATAATACATATTTATTTTTAAAAGTTTTAATCCGAATGAATGATAACCCCCTAAAATGCAGGTTATAGAGCTGGATGAAGCATGTGAAAATTTTTAGAAACGTATGTAAATGGTGTTTCTCACAATTTATGGATCAGTTCTGTCTATCAATTCCAAATTTGAGTTTTTGTCATAACCAGAATCTTGAAATGGTCAAAACATGTTGGTCTAGCAAATCAATATCTAACATGGACAACGCTAAGTAAATGTCCTTGGTTATTAAGTTAATTATATATTAACATATAAGTATGTTTAATATCAACAGTATCTTTTTAAAACTATTCCTTAGAAAATCTTTCTTGATACTGTCTTACAATTCATCTTTTTTCACATTCAGGCCCATTGTTTGGTAATTTTAAATTACTTCAAACTATACTAGAGGAACTAAGAAATCCAAATATCTAGAGTTTTAAAATGTTAATTCAAACTTTAGGCAGCCTTTTAAAAAGCTGCCTTTCCAAGACTGCTAGGCAAATGGCCAACAACAACATTTTAACTGTCCAAAAATCTGACGGCTGAATAAAAATTTGAATTTTACTAGCAAATGAATTAAGAGAAACAGCTAAAGTGTTGCTTCTAGAAAGGGAAATAGGAGAAGATGGAGAGGGGTGAGGTGAAAGCTAGACCCAGTGGGCACTGGAGAGAGGATAGCTAACATCTATTTCCAACTCCCTATTCTTAGGGAGGGCTTAAAATCAGCAACAGAGGCTGTATTTACCCCAGGGTAATCAGGAAGGGCTACACATCAGGATGTCCCTTCTCTGCACCATCCCTCCCCTAACTCCCATTTACTAGTTTACCATCATATCACTGGGAGGAATAGAACCACTATTCCACAAAGTTGTTTGTTTATTTTTAAATGTTTATGATATGCATGTACTATCATGATGGAAATCAAACACATTTAAAGATGTCATTATTAAAACAATGGAATAATTCAGAAATGATTATACAGGATCCACTGGGTGGCAAGGTAATCATAACATTTCAGTGACAATATCTTAATCATAATGGAAGTGTGGGAGACCAGAATATACCTTCCCAAAATATGAAGGGTTATTGCACTGAAGGCAGTTAAGAAGAAACACAGGAGAGTTCTCTGGCCTCCCTTTATTTGCCTAAAAGCAGTAGATAGATTTACAAAGAAAATGGTATCCTGCCCACCTCTCTACCAAAAAGAAAAAAGGTTAACCACCAAAGACAGCTTTAGACCCTTATCAGCCTAGCAACAGTACCAGAGGAATTTATATTAACAAGTTTTACTAACTTTTGTCTGCCATGCATTTGCCTTCTCCTCAAGTTGCCATCCTTTGTCTTTTCAGTTCTCTAAAAATGTACTGTTCTTTGTTGAAGGAGCTATTTCAAAACCACTTCTGGGAAAACTACTCATTCTCTGGGTATCTCCCATGTACTTGTGAAATATATATGTTAATCAGCTTGTTTACTTTTCTCTTGTTAATCCATCTTTCATAATAGGGGTATGTTCCAACTAAGAACCTACTGAAAGTTATTACTCCCTTACAGTTTGTACTCAAAATTCCATATCAATCCAAATCAGTTGCCATGGGTATTAAAAGGCACTACTGATCTTGAGTAATAGCAAGGGCACCTGCATAGTCAATGTAATCTAATTTCTCCAGGAAAGTTGACTTACACAATTAAAGTTACCAAACCTAAAATTATATTTATTTTAAGCCCAATATATGTTTTTATGGAAGTATACTATTTTAGAATTGATAAAATAAAGAATTTCATAGATTCTGGATTTATTTCACTTTCAGATTAACTGAGAACTAGACTAGAATTGCTTTGTTTTGAACACTGTAGTGCAAATTATAATTACCCAATATGCACCTCTAACTATTTGCTCCTGTAGCATAATTAATTCAAAATTATACAGGACTAAAGATGCAAAGGGAGCAAGGGTTAGACTAATATAAAATTAACCTTAGATCATATCCTTGTCATTATATTTTTTCAGTCCTCAATATGAACTGGTTTTCTTGACAATGACATCATTATCATTATAAAGTAGAAATAAAAAGAAAAATGTCCTTCAGTCAAGGGCTCCAGTGAATCAGTTTTATAACACATCTAAATGTATACAGACTTTAAAGAAAAGAAAACACGATATAGAATCCCAAAACCAATTCCAGTCCGGTAATCCAGTTTGCCTATTTCTTTTTCCAAATTTCCCAACAAATAAAGATTCTGTCCTGTCAGCTGCCAAAGTGGCCGGCAAAGGACAAAACTGGTCATTTGACATGATGTAGAGAAGTGATTGATGATATCTCATCAGCTCCCTCCACTGCAACCATCTGGCCTGTGGATTAGACGCCATTCATACCTTGCTTCATTTACACATGTGAAGGACTCCTTGAAGAACCGAATATTAAACATCTTATTGAGAAACTCAGTGAATACATACGGTCAGGAAAAATGAGGTAACTTTTGAAGGACTTCCCACTTCTATACCTCTATGATTCCTAATTTTCATGTCATGTATTTTAATGTCTGAATAAACAGCAATGTAAAACTGAGCTCATATTCATAGATTTTAGTTTCCAGTTCACTACTGACTTTAATCAAACCATTTAACCTTTCTATGTCCTTGGTTTCACCATTTCTGAAACGGATACATCTTTTTAAGACTGGAAACATGTTCTTAAGTAGGGAACAAGAAAAAAAAATGCTCTGAGTGCATAGATCCATGATGATCCCTATTAATTCTAACTCTGCCAGCTCCTATACTTACACCTGCCTCACACCTGACCCATTTCAGCCAGGACAGCCTTCCTTCACCTGTCCTTGGAAAATGATCACCTAATTCATTTTCTGGCCCCTAAATTACTGGATATTGAGGTGAAGGTGAAGGGAAACTGTAACAAAACTTATATGAATTTCTTTATCATTTATTAAATATAATCTAAATAATGGTGTAAAACTAAATTATTAAGTTGCATGAATGTGAATTTATAACATGCTTATTTTAACTCTTACACCATAATTCTGAACCATCATCCCCAAGTACTTATGACTTTCTGTCTTGATATATAATTATTGGTGAAATTGCCTCATCTTCTGTTCTGTATCAAAAGCACATTTAGAGGAGATGCATTTATCTTTCTAACCAGACTCTAAGTGGTACTTAATATAGTTCCCAAGATACAGCAAGTACTTAAAAATTACTTATAAAATTGAACTATGGAATAATATGTTTTGTTGGTAACTTAAGCTTTCGAAAAATGTATACAGGAGTCCACCCTAATCCACGGGGATATGTTCCAAGACTCCCCCAGTGGATGTCTGAAACTGCAGATAGTATTGAACCCTACATATATATTTGTTTTCAATGCTTTTTCCGTTGTAACTGAGCACTTCTCATGAACTGTAACTTTTACAGCCTGTGGTGCAACTGCAAAACTTGCAAGAATTTCTTTTTCCTTCTTCACAGCTTCAGGGACAGAAGATTCATTCTTACCATAGATCTTAGCAATCTCAGTATCTTTCCTTAAGTAAAGAATTTTCACATTTTCACTTGAGGAAGCACTTTACTGCTTCTCTTTGGCATATATGAATTGTCTCCATCACTACTGTTGCACTCTAGAGCCATTATTAAGTAAAATATGCGTTTCTTGAATACAAAGGACTCCAATATTGCCACAGTCATCTGAGAACTAGCATGGTTACTAAGTGACTAGCAGGCAGGGAGCTTAGAAAGTGTGGAGACCCTGGCTGGACAAAGCGATGAGTCATGGGCTGGGCAGGAAGGAGCGGAACAATGAAAGATTTCATCACATTACCCAAAATCGTGCAATTTAAAACTTATGAATTATTTATTTCTGGAATTTCACATTTAATATTTTCAGACCTAAAACTACAAAAAGCAAAAATTGGATGAAGGGGAACTGCTGTGTTTAATTTTTAGTGTGGGTTTTAAAAAATTATCTACCTGGTTCTTTTCCATATTTGATAACAAACATCTTTTCCCTTCATATAAGGACTGTGCATATCTGGAAGTTAAGCAACTTCATGATAGTAACAGCTTACATTTGCATTTGTTCTTAACTTATTTCTTCCAAACAACAACATTATAAGATAAGCAGAACAAGGATCACGATCTCGATTTTATAGATGGGGAAATTAGCTTAAGTTCACAAAGCTCAAAAGTGCCAGAACCAGGACTTTAATAGCATATTTAGGATTCTTCATATTTAGGAATAGTCAACCCCAATTACTTCCTTCAACTACAAAAATTTGAATTTAATAAATACTGTCTCTTACAAATGTTAGTTATCCCCAGTCTCATTTATTCCTAATATCAAAGTATCTGAGGTCCTCCCCTGCTTCCTCCTCCCTCCCTTCCTTACGTTCTTTGTCCTTCCTCTTTCCTTCCTTCCTTTCTTCCTTCCACAAATATCCCAGCTCCTTTGCAGTTCACATCAAAATTTGTATTCATTTTCTTGGGCTGCCATTAAAAAAATTACACAAACTTAGTGGCTTAAAACAGAAATTTACTGCCTCACTCATTCTCAAGTCTAGAAGTCTAAAGTAAAGGTGTCAACCTTGTCATATTCCCTCTGAAATCTGTAGGGGAGAATTCTTTGTTGTCTCTTCTAGGTTCTGGCAATCCTTGTTATCCTCTGGCTGGTTGATGCATCACTCCAATCACTGTCTGCATAGTCATAAGGCTATCTTTTCATTTTTTTCCCCTTTCTTTTTGGAGACAAGGCGTCACTCTGTTGCCCAAGCTGGAGTGCAGTGGTGTAATCATGGCTTACTGCAGCTTCCATCTCTCAGGCTCAAGCAATCCTCCCGCCTCAGCCTCCCAAGTAGCTAGGATTACAGGCACACACCAGCACACCAATCTAATTTTGGTATGTGTTGTAGAGATGGGGTTTTGCCCTATTGCCCGGGCTGGTCTTGAACTCCTGAGTTCAAACAATCCACACCACTTGGCCTCCCAAAGTGCTGGGATTACAGGCGTAAGTCATCGTACCTGGCCTGGCTGTCCTTTCTTATGTATCTTCCCATCATATTTCCTCTGTGTTCTACTCCCTATAACTCAGTGCTTCTGTCATCTACCAACCCCAGGGGGTTGCCACCACACCCTCTACCCAGATTCAGTGAGAATTTAACATCTAATTCTCTATGTCTTCAACTCCACTCAATTTTTTACACCAGTCTTAGTGACTTCAACAGACTCTTGGCTCATTTAGCATCTGCCTCTTTTTACTCACCATCTCACCACCAATAATTCTTGTTCTTCCACCCCACTGCAGCCACCATCACCCTTGGTTATAGTCTTGACTTTACCATGATTATCGCACTATCTCTAAAAGCTTTATTTCAAACATACCACTCCAATCTTTACCTCTGACAACATTCCACTTTCCAAGAATTATCTGACCTTCCTGAAACCATCAATCCATGGAGCGTATCACTGGTGTTTTCAGTAGTCATCTCATTCTCCTATGCTGACGTCCCTCAGATCAGCTTCCATGATACACTATTATGACTTCTTCACAACATCCTTAATTCCCTACTCTTCTCTCACTCCAACTTTATTGCCCAAGCAAAACTAATCCACTTAAACTTATCTCTTTACATCTTATTTGCCTGAACCCAAGCAGTTAAAAGTGGATGGAGAACAATCCACTATTATGTTCACTGCTCTCATGTTCAATTCTTGACTGCAAGCATCAAGTAGAAAATAAATACTGCCTAACAATCCTACTATACTTATTATTTTCATTATCCTACTTTACAGAAAATCTATTCATACTTTCACCTGTTCTTCAAACTTTTACAGCCTGTTTTCCTCTCACCCTCAGTTGGTAATCCTGCCTCATACTCTTATTGAGAAAATTAAAACCATCCATTGGAAGAGGGAACTTATTTTTTGTTCCGCCACCCAATGTGCCACCTCTGTCTCACCACCTATTCTAAACCTTATATTATCAATCCTATTCCCTCTCACCAAAAGAATCCCTTTATACAAGTAATTATCCTGTCTATGTCTTTCAACTCTAGTTTCCCCACTGCAACTCTTCCCTTAATATATGTACCTGCTCTGTTATCCCTCTCCAGCTACTTCCCTATTTTCTGTTCCCCTTTACAGGAAAACTTTTCTCCAGCATTTCCCAATGCCATTGTCTTACTTCCTCACATTCTATTTTCTTCTCAAACCATTTTTATTAGGCTTCTTTCCCCAATGGCTATTGTCAAGCTCACACTTTTTCAATGTTACTAAGTTAAAAGAAATCTTTATGCCCTCAACTACCCTCCCAACAGCAGACAAGAAAGTTGACTATATACACATCCTTCCTCCTCCCTTGGTTTCTTGGCTATCTTCTCCTCTTCTTAATGCCTAAAGTCCTCAGTCCCTTGTTGAGCTACGCTGTCTTTAAGTAATCTTACTCAGTCCCAAGACTTTAAATAACATCTTTATGTCAATAATTCCTCAATTTCTATCTCCAGCTACGGCTTCTTTACAGACATCCAAAAGTTTACTTTCAGCTGCCTACGTGGTATCTTTACTGTGCTATCTAATAGTGATTTCAAACTGAATGCCATTACATATTAAATTTGTGTTCCCCACACCTCTTACTTTTTTTGTTTACCAAAGTTCAGTCCCACCTCTTTGATTTGCTTTCATTTTTCCTCAAAAGCCCCTAGCAGACTTCTTATGATCTTCTAGATTTCAGTTCAAATGTCACCTCTACAGGGAGGCCTTCTCTGACTACCATGTGAAAAAAGACCCTACTAGCCATTCTGCATCACATTTTCTTGGTTTATTTTTACAAAAGCTCATGATATTATCTGAAATTACTGTATATTAAAGAAATTTTTTTTACTATTGTTCCTCCATTAGAATGCAATTTTATTGACTGCAGAATTCTTTTCTGTCTTGTTTGAAAATGTGTTTACAACATCTAGACCAGTGCTTAGCACATTAGGAAAAAATTAATATTTTAGATTTAAAAAAAGAGAGTAAATTCCTGTGTTTTAAAGAAGACTAAAATAACATATTGTCAAAGAGATAAATCACTGAAGTCAAACAATAGGTGGTAGCCATTATTAATAATTTAATACCTAATATTAATTGCATACTTGCCACATGCTGGAACTATTAAAAAGGATGAATCTGTAGTATTTTCTTCAACCACACAACAATCCTGTAATGTAAGTATGATTTCTATCCCCACTTTTACAATGAGAAAACTGAAACAAAAAATGTTTAAGTTATTTGCCAAGGTCAAAACTAGTAAGTGGCAGAGCTAGGCTGTGAACATTAGCACTCTAATTCCAGAGTCTATACTCTTAACCACAAATCTATGCTGTCCTTCCACTACAATCAGACTAAATATTAATTATCTGTTACTCATCATCAATAAATATTATAAAGGACAGAGGTTATCAGTCTACTGCTGTTTCTGAATTTATCTGAGGTTTGGGGAGATTTTATGTTTCCAAGATAACATTCATTTTGTTGTGATCTCATGATACATTAGCATCTAGTTTTCTTAAAATCTGTTATACTTCTACTTTTCTTATTTGTATTCTTATTTACATTTTTTTATTTTACTCTTACATTAAAATGTTGTTAAAATAATTTGTTTAAAATAAAACCCAAAATATTTTAAAATGTGGAAAAATGTTTAAAATTTACCAATATTCAAACAAATACAAATTAAACGAATCACACAAAAGTTTCACCTAATTGTTTATTTAAAAAATAATTTTTATTAACACTTGAAAGGGTATCATTTTATACATACTCATACAGCTGCTAGCAGCTATATTAATTAGTAGTACTATGTAGACATCAACTTGAAAATATTTCAAATCCTTAAAGTAGTCATACCTACCATTGATGATTCCCTTCTAGGATCCTATAATATTGTGATCTTAAGCATAAAGGATGCTTAAGTTTTGTTTCTTACTGTCCAGTCTTGGAATGAAAGGGGTGATGGGCACTAATTTTCATGAGCTACATACAAATTTTTCTCTGCAAATGTTTTTATCTCTTTCAGAAAAGACAGAGCCTTAAGCATACCAATGTCTGGAGTCTGGGTTGCAAGTAAACTTTAGCTTTAAAATGTAGCAAAAATCAAGAGTCATTTTGGTTGGCACACCCAAGGAAGAAGTATGTTTTGCTTCATTTAATTTGTATGTGGGAGAAAAATGTGTTGAGTCAAAAGTAGTTACACTCACGGACCCTTTCTTCTCTGAGTACCAGGAAGAAAAAAAAAAGAAAATGTACACACACATGCTAGTGCATATGCACATGCACACACATGACAACCCATACTTCAAAGTAAAGGCAGGCTAGGATAAAATAATTCTTTGAGAATCTGGTCTGCCAGAGTGGTTTGTTCTTGGGGTGAGGGTGAGAAGGCTGGGATAATATAAAAGTTTCCATCACATAATGAGACAGCTGCAGTTAGTATTACATTTACTCATTCTAGATAACAACCTGAGATTTATCCATTCACGACAATAATCTGAGGTTTATGAATGTTCCATCCAAGATAACAACCTGAGGTCCAACCTTACTCTTCCTTTTCTCCCAGGGCAGAAAAAATTAGGAACCATGCACGCTGTCAAGCCATTCTCCAGAAAGAAACGCTATTATCAGCACTGAGTTAAAAGGAAGTCACATCCACATCAAAGGGAACTACATCCAGATGCCTGCCCGTTCTGTTACCTAGAATCAGTGTTAGGAAGATGAGGCAAACGGTTAAACTGGTTCCATTTCCATTTTGCTCCTTCTGTCTTTGCACCCCAAAATGGTCCCCTTTTCCTTTTTTAAAACATATTTTTAAAGACACTTAATTCAGTTGAAGCATGCAAACGAGAACGGCAGAACCAAAATGCACTATATATCATTGAGCCAACACTCTCAAGTGTATTTCCAGCACAATGCTTTAAGCAAATAAAAAAAAATTGTGCTGAAACATTGTTCTTAATAACTGACTACTAAAAAACAAGGTAAATGTATGATAATAAGAGAGAGGCTTGAATACATTTTGATATCTCCACTCACAAGGAATGTTACGCCGTGACTTAAAACTGAAGTTAATATGAATATAAAGAAATGCTTTTGATAGGACAAGAAAACAAATATCAAATTATATATGACTAAAAGTATTTAGGGAAAGATTACCTCGTGCACAGGAAAGAAATGTACTACATCAATATTACGTGGATGACTTGAGTGGGATGACTATGTATCTTTGGGGTCATCTTTTGATTTTAGTTTTTTGTATGTTTTAAATCTTCTGTAATAATCATGAAAAATAATTTAAAAATCAAATCGGGGAAATAAAGCATAATAAAAGTTAACACTTTTATTACACTAAGGTTACACTAAAAGTTAACAGGAATGAACATTTTGTGGTGAACGGTAACACACGTTACCCCTAGAGATCTGTAAGGGGAACTGAATGCCTTTCTTCTTTGAACTGTGGAGAAGTTTAAATTTTTACCCCAGCACTCCTCAATATTTGGCATAGAGAAATATCTGAAAGAAGTCCCGCAAAGCTCTCAGGTCACTGTGGTACAAGGAGTCAGATTAGTATAGCTTGAATTCTGGGGACCCCATTGCTTATGCCATGGTTTTCACCTACAATCATCAATCAACAAACACACTGAAGAAATTGGCATAAAGAGTCCCATCTCCTTTTTCGAATCTCTGGTCTTAATTTCTAGTTAAAGACAGCATAATCCTAAACATACAAAATGTAAATTTGTTAATTCCAGATCACCCTTACACAGAACTCCAGCCATATATAGTACGATTGAACTTTTCTTGTATTCTCAGGCGAAATTTAGATTTAGCTACTTCATCAGATTAAAAAAGAAAAGGCAGCAAGCAGACATTAAAAAAGTTTAAAATCAGGTGAATAAGCACATGAAATTCATACAGCTGGTATAAATAGTACACTCAATCCTACCAAGTATGTAAATCGAGGAGCCAATATCTCAGCATTTCCTTAATATGAACACACACCAGGTCACATTTCCAAACAATTTCACCATTGCCATATTTTATTTCAAACCATCCTTAAAAGACTGATCAACAGCAAACTCACTGAAGATCAGAAAACTCTTCACAGTGGCTGAATGATTCCCACAAGGTCAGAGAGCAAGGGATCTATGGCATAGAGCAAAATTATCCCCAGGCTTATCCTGTATCTTGGGAAATGTACTTATTTTAATTAACAAATAGTAAATACACATTCTACTATTTTGCTGGCAATTTTCACACGACCTTTTCATTAGGCATGGTAATGTTTCTATAAATTTTAACATGCTACAATTTTTCATGTCAGTCTTAAAGAATTTCATAAAGATTAAGATCTACCGGGTGAGTCAATTCTGTGTAGGTACACTGAGTTGTAAGTTGGAGGATAAAGTTTTGGGAGAGAAGTAAAAGTGCTGGGGGCTTTGAGGGGTTGAGGTGGAGGAGAACCAGCAGAGAGAGGTGAGGAATAAAACATGGGGGGGAGGAGGAAGTGCAGTCAGGGCTCCATCCATGATCGCCTCCTATATAAATCAGGCCTGGAGTTGACATGTAATTTTGTGTGGGTCCCCTGAGAAGTGGCCCTCAGGGATTAATTATTGATGAAGAGATTTTTCTTCAAAGTGGCTCAGTCAAGAGTGCCTCAAGGGGACATTCATAAGTGCTTATAATATCAATTTCCAAGCACCTGGGAGGTAGGGACACAGATTGTCTCTTTAATTATTATGATGGAGGTAAAGTCTAGCAAAAATGCTGTTACACAGCCAAGGTAAAATTCTCAAAGAAATGAAATTATTATAGCTAGTATAAAAAGTGTAATATATGAGTCATCTCTCAGTAAGATCACACTTTACCTTTTCCTGGTGCAAAATAGGTTATCTCCAACCAACTGTTTCCTAGGAGCTAAAAGAGTTATTCATAAGCAAATGCAGTGTGTTTAGGGATGCTTAAAAGTTTAGAAAAAAATTGTTTTTGAAGCTAATATGTTTGCTTAGAAAGAAGATGAGTTTACTCCAGTTAGCACATGGAAATACAAGGGTTTGTTTTAATTATGTAGGAATTTCTTTTCAGAAAAAAATTAATGTCAAATGCCTTCTACATTTCTATGAGAATGCCAAAAAATAATTTTCACCTATGCATTAGCCCTGATCTAGTCTCAAAAACACTCAGAAAAACACAGAAGAATCAATCCATATGTATGTTGCAGTAAAAAAAGGATGGGGCTAGCCTGGATTTGAATCTTATTAACCTACGTAATAGATGTGAATAGTCATGTATAAACAAAACCTAGGCCATATACTTCCTTTGTACCATCTGAAACTTACACCAGTGGGCTCGCAGTACAACAGGTACTAAAAACATATTTTTAGACAGAAATGAAATGAAATGGGTCTCTTTAAATTGATCTGAATTTCAGAAACTCCCCAATCTCCCTCATAATATTGACAAATGTTAATTCAGTAACTTTTTCACAATAGATATATGCAACATTTATAAATCTATAATGCACCTCTTTCATAATCTTTTAACTTCATTAACTCCTCCCTTTCTCATAGATTCTAACAGACTTCAATACCACTAGTTGATTACTAGAGCAAAAACAAATTCTTGCCAATTGATGTTTATATAATGTACATGATAGACGCAGTAATAACATTTAAAATAAGTGTAACCAATTAAAAAAGCATATATTTATGTGACAAATGCTGTCTGAAGCATTTTGTGTATGTGACTCCAATTAATCCTTATAGCTATTGCATGAAATACATAGGATTAAATTCAATTCACAGAAGAAGAAATGGCAGTCCAAGAAAGAAGCTGACCACAGTCACACAAATAAAATAAAATAGTGCCAGGATTCTAACCCAGGTCTGTTTAAATACAATGTTTTCTTTTTGTACTAACCATGAAAGGAAGCTTGATTTGGGGAGATACAAAATAAATAACTTCATATAAAAGTACTTAATTCCTCAATACATATAAATATATATGTATTCATGGTGAACTGGCTAAAAGTTATATGTTGAGTTTGAATGCAGATGTTTCATATGTACTAGTGTAACATTTTAATTAAAAGCAATGGAAGCAGTAATAATTATAAACCACAGGAAAGACATAATCCTATTAAGAGTTATCTCAGTAGTATAATTGGCTCCAGGATATCAGTGAACACCCACATGACTGATATTTGAGGCCAAAAACACCTTCTGTCTTGATATGGAGGATTATGAGCAAATGAAGTCCAGAAGGTAAATATGTCACATTTTAAAATCAAAGTCCCAATTATAGATAAAGGTGTAATCTTACAATGCCTTATTAAATATTTTTAATTAAGGTGGAATATAAACAAAATAAAATTTTCTTTACAGTTTTAAGGACTGAAGGGCTCTGCAACATATTTGTCATGCATTCATACAGCTGAGAGGCAGAAAAATAAATTGGCCAATCCTCCATTTTGATCTCCTCTTTAGCTGTATTGAAGCCTGGATTATATCAAATCTCATCAGATTTTCTTTGTCATGATATTTTACGACAATCTTTTTTCAGTCTCATTGTCTTCTAGTTTTAGTGTTCCAAACTATTACTTACATTTACGCTAATTATTAGAATTCTCCCACAGTGATCAGACATCTTTATTTTACTAGGGGTTCCAGCTTTCAGCCCTTGTGTTGTTGCCAGTTTATACAGAGTTTGGTAAGATGCTGTATTCAAATAGTTAAAGAAAGGTATGATTGCTTAAAGATCTTCCATAACTGAATCAGTATTTTGACTCTAGATCTTCTTAGTGTCCTTATCAATTCCTTACTGTTAATATTCATCTTTTTTTATTATTATACTTTAAGTTTTAGGGTACATGTGTACAACGTGCAGGTTAGTTACATATATATACATGTGCCATGTTGGTGTGCTGCACCCAGTAACTCGTCATTTAACATTAGGTATATCTCCAAATGCTATCCCTCCTCCCGACCCCACAACAGGCCCCGGTGTGTGATGTTCCCCTTCCTGTGTTCATGTGTTCTTATTGCTCAATTCCCACCTATGAGTGAGAACATGCGGTGTTTGGTTTTTTGTCCTTGTGATAGTTTGCTGAGAATGATGGTTTCCAGCTTCATCCATGTCCCTACAAAGGATATGAACTCATAATCTTTTTAAAAGTGAATTTTTCTTCTAGAATGTAACAAAGGAGGCTACCAAATTCCAGCACACTTTACAATTAAGCAATCAGTCAACACCATTTGCTATCATTAAGATTAAGCAGATCCAATCTAAAAATCACCCTCCATCAAGATCCATCATTAGTCATTAATCTCCCAGATTTTAATTAAACTACCAAAACTATTCATCTGAATTCATATGCAAAGGATAGAATTTTTCTTTAAACTGCCCACAACTTTGGTGGGCCAAGCTGAAAGGTTCGCTTGAGCCCAAGAGTACAAGGCCAGCCCGGGCAATATACTGAGACCCCCATCTCTATTTTAAAAAACTGCACTGAAACACATATCAACACACTCAACTACAGAAATATGCAGTACCTTAAAACTACAGGAAGCTACCATTAGAATCAGTGACTCCTCAAATCAGATAATCAGACACATTTCTACTATCCAGCTAAACTCCTTAGAAAGGAGAAACACTTTAAAGTAAAACTATGGCCCACAAAACAGCTTAAAGTAGGAAGTACAAGCATGTTTTCAACAACTCTAACTCACAAAATAGTTTTAAAAAGTTAAAGCTTTAAAAGTCTTAATTTATTTAAGAATATATTTCCAAAAGATCTGCAGTGCCCAGTCAATAAAAGGAAGGAGAAAAGAAATGACTGATGCTTACACATTCAGTAAAAATATATCCATTTAAATCAATAAACAACTCATGGCTTTGTATAAAGTGGAATCTTTATTATCTTTTTTGGATCCATGATTCTCCTTCCTCCCCAGCAGCAAAGGCAATTATGATAAAAGATGTTCTGAAAATTTTTTTGCCATCTCTGCCAATTTATAACCCATGACTTTCCTTGTTTCAAAATTTGTAAAGTCCACTTTCTCCAAGTCTTTCCCATTATGCTTCTATTTTCCAAATTCGCTATTTTTAATCTCATTTTCCTAGTTAATCATACAGAAAATTCCCAATTACCTTTTCAAATGAATAGAAGTCACAGTATCAGTAATTCCGAAACCATTTCTGTTTGACTTAAAATGCATTTGATTTTGTGGACAATGGACTAAAATCCCTTTTTCATTTAGGGTAAATGTGAATTAAGTTTATAACCCTTTAACATTCACTAACTGATCATTCAAGGAATGGGCCTTGTGATTGTGACTGTGGTAGCAGTACAGTAACAGATAGCAACTTGGTTTGGCTACAAATATATATCAAAAGTACTAGTATTCAAATAGTTAAAAGCTTGCTGCAGCTGCATACATTTCGTTTAGATATATATACTTTCAAAGTCTATTCTCATTATCCTTGCCGGTGGAGGGGAACAAGGTCTTGAACAAAAGAGTACTGTTTCAAAATAATTCTCATTTCCTTTCAAGTGTGCAGATATTCACAATATACTGGCTGTAAATTCAATCTAAATGAAGAAGTGCTGTTAAGTTACTGCTGAGGCCTGGGAAAGTGACCAATGTCCAATACTAACCTTCTTTGAAACCATCCCAGGAGAGTTTGTATTAAAGTCATCGTTGACAAAATTCAGACTGTATCCAAACAGTACACTCACAAAGCAAAATAACTTCTAAAAGCATATAACTACTATTAACGGACTTTAAAATGCTAATCATTTCATTGGAAGTGATTTTCCTGAGAATAAGATATATTTTTCTGTTATCTTTATTTTTTAACATTTTTGTCCTTTTTCCCAACAAGATGCTGTCAACTTGTGACATTTGTTTATTATCCTTAGCAGATTTTCCATGTGCAATTCAGAGAGGCTAACTTGCCCAAACACACAGCTTAAAGTTAGACCTCAATCAGAGGCAGTTGGTTTCAGAAGCCAGGCTCTGAACCACATTAATATATCTGAAAAAAAACATGATTTCTCATGCAACTTCTATGATTACAACAACAACAACAACAATTCTGAGTAATGAGCTAGGTCCTATTACCAAGTAACACATCCTTTCCTTGCCTATCTCCCAGCCCAGGGATATTCCAGCTATGGAGTTTGGTGATCTGATTGTTTTCCATGTTCCTAACCGTCAAATCCTGATGTGATATTGGATTCAGACTAGAAATTATGAAGCAGGCACACAAAGCACCTTTATATATACCTCAATAACTTTTCCCCCAGAAACAAAGATATTTCTTGGCTGTTTCACTGAAACCTGAGGTTCTGTAGTTAGCTCATAGGGAAAAGTCAGTCACTATTAGAGTAGGTTGTTATCATCACCTTCTGTTCTTTTAACAATTGTCAAGTACTTTTCACATTTATCAATGTGTTCTTATCACATTCATTAACTGCTTCATACCAATATTTTTAAAATATTACTTGCTTATCCATGTATTTGAAGCTAAAACAATGATCACAATCAGATCTCTAGACAATGGTTGTAATGAATTTGTTCAAGAAAAGCATTCAAATTTGATGGAAAACTGAGCCTTTATAATTCATTCTAATTCTTCAACACAAAAATGAACTTTGGTAAATCAATAGGATCAACTGAGGCATTTATGCTTGAATGTGCTCCCCTAAGCTTAATGTATTTTTCCTCACTGCATTATATTTTAATGATTAATTTCATGCTCTTTCATGGTATTCTAGCTCATGAATCACGGGTATTACTTTGAGGGAAAAGTAAGGTGCTGTGAGTGATGAAAGATGTTACTGATTAAAGTGTTGCACATATGAACTACATAAGAGCTGAAGGTGTTTGAACACCAGCAATCTAGATTAAAAGTAATATTAGGCAAACTGGCCATATAGACTAAGGTTGAATTGAGTGGAGGGAGTGGGAAGGATGGGCTTCTTAAATGTTCTTAGTTGAAACAATATATGAAATCAAGCTTGGCATTCAATGTTTCACTGGCATCTTTCTCCTCAGTAGAATGTAAGAACTGATTTCGAAGACAACTGCAGAGAAAGAAATCAGTTAAGCAGATAACACACCATTCTGAAATTAAAGAGCCAAAAGCCACCCATCCTAAGTCAACTCCGATATCTTAAATCAATACTGCCTTAATACTGTCAGAAGCTTGTTTTTCGACTTAGTAAATAAAATTTTTTAAAAAGTTAAGTCAAAGTCACAAGGACCAAAAAGGAATAGACTACCCTAAATGAAATATAGAAAAAGACAAGTATCTATTATCCTGCACACAGATGAACAACTATTTGTTAAATATATCATATTGCTCAATATCAAAAAGTCAACTCTCCAAAACAGAAACCAAAAGTAAACTAACCAGAGATGTCCACATAATACACTTTGGCTCTTGTTACTAAAATGATTTTTCAAACCAAGTTATGGAGCCTGGAGAAAACAGGACTACTTCCTCCCAGAATATAAAGTTTCTTCAATTACGGAGGCAAAATGTGGCAAAAGCAGCTATTTTGCAAACAGGTGGTTTGCAAAACTTTTACTTAAGCCGCCAAAAGGACTGACGAAAGGAAAATTTTGTTATTTCTAAAGAAAACACACACACACATAATTTTCTACCAGAGTAGAAGACTCAAATAAAGAAAAGCCCCAAACAAAACAGAAAACTAAAAATCAGTTTGTCTTAGCTCAAAAGTGCTGACCTAGGTTTAGTATGTGTAAAATCACTGTTGATAATTAAATCCTTTTCATCGCATATATTAAGATACTAGAGAGAAAGGAAATGCCATGTCGTTTCAGGTAGGACCTTATTTACATAAAAAAAGATTTTTTTTAACAGAAACGGAGTGCAAGAGGGAATCAAAAACCGTTGAGAGGAGAGAAAAATACAGTTAGTTTTTCTGAGGGCACTGCATTTTTCATGTTCTGAATACTTCGTTCCATTCTCTCCATGTTAAATTATTTCATAAACAATACTATGACTAGAGGCGACTGCTACAGCTGACACACAGATGTTTTATTTCTATGCTTCACCTTTGCAAATAGCAGGATTCAGCTATTGGAAATGGGGGCAGTGGAGGTGTCCAGAAACGACATACAGGAGGTGAAGGGGTAGAACGTGTGGGAAATGGGCACTCCTACCCCCTAGAGTCCACCTCTCTGGAACTCCAGTGCTTCTTCAGTCACTGACATTCAGAGGAGGACAAGACAGGCTTCCTGAAATCTCTTCCGAAGTAAACAGGTCCCGACGCAAAGGGCAACCCCTCCAGTAGCGGAAAGTCCTCCCCTGAGCTCCCCGCCTGCCCACGCGGGCCTGTGGCTCCGCGCTCCTCCGCTCCCCCGCAGAGCTCCCACGGGGGAAACTTTCCCGCGTCTCTCACTCTCCGGGGTGCGGGGGCCGCGGGGGCCTCCCCGGCACCTACCCGCAGAGCACTCCCCACCACCCCGCCACCACCGACGAGCCGGCGCGAAGTCCGTACCTCGATGTCCGCCGAGTCCTTACTGAGCACAGGGGCCATGGCAGTGCCTACAGTCTCGAGTCTGCCAGTGACAAACCCTCCTTGCGTCCTCAAGCTCCAGCCAGAGAGCCAAGTGACAGCAGCCGGAGCGCGAGTCGAAAACAGGCAGACTAGGGCCGGCGGCGCGGGGGCGGAGCGGGCGCGGGGCGGCAACGCCCCCGGGGCGGGGCTGCGCTCTCGGTCCTGCGGCTCCCGCGCCAGGCACGGCAGCCGCAGCCCGGCCTTCCCAGTTCAGCCCGCTCCGCGCCCCAGCCTGCAAGCAGAAGGGAGGGAGGGAGTAGAGCACCCGCTCTGGGGACTGGCCTTTAATCTCTAAACTGCTAAAAACAGAGCTAGGCAGGCGGGGCCAGATAGGAGGGATCCCCAGGCAAAGGTAAAAGCAGTCCGCGCTCCAAGCAACAACTTGCACTTTTTCTTTTCTTCCACAGAAACCCCGCGAGATGTAGATACATTGTTTGAGGGGCAACTGCATTTTCAGGAACTCCTCAAGGATGAAATAGTAGATGTTCCTCCATCCATCCACCAAGTAGGTGGGCGGGGTTTGAGCTGCAGTGGAGGATACCAAAGCACCGGTCTTCTGAGAGTTCACAGCCCCAGCGGGGAGGGGAGGGAGGCGAGCAAAAACATCCACAGCCCGCAGCAGCATACAGGAAGTGCTGCAGGTGGTACATAATCAAGGTTGTCTTTTTGCAGGAAAGTCTCATTTTAATGGTTATTTTTTTAAATATTTTTTATTCTAAAACGTGAAACTCTTTTGAAAAGTTGCTCTTCGTTTTTGCTCTAGAGCTTGCTGAGGAGAAGGGAGAGATTTCCTGTAGAGTTGGTCCCAATCCAGAAAACATTCACCTCGTTTTTTGAGGATATGTGTACTCCAGACCTCTCTCCTTTTCTCCCCGCCCCCCCCCCACCCCTGTTAGATGCATCCCACCTCTCTTCTACCATAACACTTTCTACTTCCGTTAGGACATTTGCGGCACTCCTTCATGCACTTGGCTAGGTAGTGACACCTTGGAGTCAAGTATTTCTCCCTTATTATTTTTTCATTAGTCCATTCATCGTTTTATTCAACGAATATGTTTATTGAGCATTTTCAATATGCCAGACACAGACACTGTGCTAGGTTCTCCGGATATAGTCTTCAAGAATACACATCACTGTCATGGAGATTATACTCAAAATAAGCAAGTAAGAAAATGTGATGCCTGCTTGTAAGATAAAAGAAAAATAGGACAGAATAACTAGGGTATGGGTACCTTGCGTGGTTGAGAAGGCTTCTCTGAACAAACCATCAGATTACCTTCCAGAACCTGGAAATTACTAAAAGACAGATACATTTTTCTTGAATCAAATATTAACAGACACTAGAAAGTTAAATGGAAACCTTAGAATCATCTTTGACTCCTTTATCCTTATTGCCTCATTTAATCTATGCCCAAACTCTCAGAAGTCAACCTCCTAAATAGATTTTGAATCATTCATTTCTCCATTTTGCTGCATCCACCATGGTCCAAGCTACTGGTATTCTAGCTTCTATTCTTACCTCATATCCATACCAGATTGAGCTTTAGAAAGTATTAACTGGCTCATGCCATACAACGATACATCCACACACCCAGGTACCCATGGTATAAATCCTTCAATGGTCCATTGCAGTCAGAATATAATACAAACTCCCTAGTAACCGCTGAATAACCTGCTCTACTCCGCTTCTCCGCCACTCTTGCCCTGACTCATTATGTTCCAACCACAAGGTAATCTTCTCATCCTCCATCCACTTCTCTACCTTTGCACATTGCCCTCCACTTGGAGCTCTTCTTCCCCTTCTACTCATCATTTAGGTCTCACTGAAGCCTTTATGATCTAACCCCATCACCAACAAAATTACACCCACTCTGTCTTTTTCATTATATTTCGTCTTCATAGACTTTTCAAATGTTGTTTAAATATTTATTTGAATGTGATTCATTTAATATATGTCTTCTATTTAGAGAGGAAGCTCCAGGAAGAGGGGGCCCATGTGTACTTTTATTGTTTACTGGATACTCAGTTCCTAGCTCAGGACTGAAGCATAAGAGACCAAGAACACTTGGTGATTGAATGAACAGAGTACATTCGTTTATACACTGGGCAGTTCATTTTAGAAACTTTAGTTTCTCTGCATCACATATTCTCATTGTCCTACTTACTGCTGAGAAATAGGTCACAATATCTATCAATGAATTTGTAGTTAAAATGGGTCAAAATAACTACTTATCTTTTCATGGAGTAATGTTCCAAAGTCAGATGTTCCTGCATCTCCCTACAACCACACCTTACCCACTTACTCTAGATCCTCTTGGAGATATAGAGAGATAGATAAATCTATCTATATCTATTTTTCTATCAGTCTATATATATAAATACACATATAAACACCCAAATACATACATACATATACACACATATGTATATATTGAGAAAAGATATACACATATAAACATATATAAATTTACAAATATAATATATATAATTATAATACATATGATTTCTTCCCCAATTTAATCAGTCAGGTTCAATGTTCAATTTCCTAACTTACAGGGATACAGGCTTATTGCTCTTTCAGGTTACACTTTAACATACATCTTATCAGTTAGCAATTGATAGTTAATTTATGTGTACAAGAATCCAAGTTATCTTTAAGAGTTATACAGTGTATTTTCATATTCGTTTTCTGTTATAATTCTCCTAAACAACTATAGAGGATAAGTCCAATATACGGTGGTTTTCCAAAGATAAGAGTTTCATCGGTGATAGTCAATAATCAAATATAAAATTTAAATGCTATTTACCATCCCCCCCAACTTCATCAAACAGATGTATCCTGTTCTGACATATTAATTAAGGCATCTAATCACATTGCTCACGTGCCACACCTATGCTCTGTGATCAGTGATTTAATCTAATAATATTTTAAATTCATTGAAATTGCACATTAAGCACAGTTGTACCTGTAAATAATGCAAGCTGTTTAAAGCTTTTACTGCAAATGCATTTGCACCACACTTTTTAAAAGTTGTAAATTATGATGGCGTTTGTCAAGCTGTCCCTCCATCTGGAAGCACAGTGAAATATCAGGTGTTCCACATTAATTTTTTGTAGGCTTTGGAGAAACAGCTTATGTTTGAACCTAATAGTTTACAGTACATAAATGAATATTATTACTACCAAAGTCAGAAGTAGGACTTATGAGTCATCTTTAATTTCACATCTAAAAAGTTATTCAATATTACAAATTTAGAAACACAACAAAAATTCAGATTTCCATATGCCTTTATTTTCCCTTTGCAGTGTAGCATTAAGAGATTTTTTTTGGTGGGGGACATTTCTTTGAAAATGATTTCCTCCCAAAAAGTCAGAGGCTGAATGATCATGAGGTGCATTTTTTCCGCTGTCTGATTTTCAAGGGCCAAATTAATTCCTACCCATATTGACCAGTAGGATAATGACTAAAGATCAGTTAGGCCCAAATATTTCCAGCATTCCTGTTAAAAAGACCAAAAGGAATACGTTGGTTCATATTTCATGGAACAAACAGTATAATGTGCTCAACTACATGTCTATCATATTGCATATATAGATATGCAGTATATCAGCATGTATTATGTAAATGCCATAAAAAGCACAGATAACACAGAGAAACTACAAACCTCTCCCATAAATTTATTTAGCAATTATTTATTGAGTACAATTGTTTCAGACACTGTCATAAGCATTAGTGACATCTCAGTGGACAATAGAGACATTGTCTCTGTTACCACAAACCTTTAGCCACTAAATGAAAAACAAAAATTGCCGCTTAGTGATTTTAAATGAGTGGTTTAACTGAATGGATTACTATGAGAGTCAGATGTCAAAATATATGCAATAGTATTTTGTAAATTGAACAGTGTCATATAAATTAAATATTACAAATTTAAAGATATAATCTTTCAATGCCCACGTTCCCACGTTCTAGAAAAATGTCATTAATGCATGATTGCCTATGAAAGATTTTGGGTAAAATGCAGTGTAAGGGGAAAGTTTATAGACTTATCTAACTTAAAGTGGGGGAAAACATCCTTTAGAATGAATGTCCCCTGAAATAATTTGCCTTACTACTTAGGGGTCTTTTCCTTGGCCTTGTTGGTTTCCTCTCACCATCTAATATTGTCACAATTCCAAGAACTGGCATTTAAAGTGGTTTCTTGTTTTATTGCTGGAATTTTATTGTTTTATAATTTCTAGTTCATTTACATTTGAGCAAGTTCTTCATATCCTTGCCTTAAAGTATGTATTTTCCCTTTTGGTTATCTGTAGCAGATGTTATGATGTGCTTCACAGATCACCACCCATCCCCCAACCCATTCAAAACTGAGGCACTCATTCTCTCAGCTCCTGGGAATGTTAGTGGTTGACAGCTGTCTGCTGAGTCCCTCTCTGGAAATTGCCCCTGGCTAAGAGAGACATCTCACTGGAAGTTCAAGCCCTTTCCTGGGGTAGCAGATATCCAATGACAGTTGATGTGGGAATTTAAAGGCTGGGCCCTTGCCTCAATTCAAGACACCTTTTAGGGGCCATCCCACCTTCAGAGGTCCCTCAAGGGATTAGCTGGGACATAAGTTGGGACGTCTGTAGAGTTCAGCTTCTCCCTTTGCCCATCCTGCTTCATTTCCTTGCTCTCACTGGGCCTCATACAGACAGCACTGAATAATGAATATACTTCCTGCACACACATTTCTATTGCAAAGTCTGCTTCCTAGTGAACCTAAGCTGCATTGTTACCTCTGTATATTAATTAACAAATGGTCTATACTGCATGTAAAATGTACATGCTTAATTATCATCATGCCTGGACATAAAAATTAACCCATATTTTTAAATCTCATCATTTATTTCATTGTTCTGAGATGTTTCTGTATTTGTTCATTCATTCTTATCACTGATAATTATGTGCCGAACACATGCTAGGTTCAGTGGAAAACACTAGAGGTACCGTGATGAGCAAAATAAAAGTGAACTCTTATTCTCCTGCGCTTTGCAGATTAGTTAGGGAGATGGACATTTGCAAAATAATCACACAAAAATATATTTACTGCAAATGGCAACATCAATGAAAAACAAAAGGCTGTTATAGTAGAGGGCCCTGAGAAATCAATGGAGTCCTTGAGGTAATGGCCTTACTGCTGAGACCTAAAGGACAACGTAAGAGTTAAAAAGGCAAAAGGAGGTTATTAAAAGACTTCCGGGAAAGGAGAGCAAAGTGTAAAAGCTCCAGGGTCAGAGATATCCAACAGGGAAAGAAGGCCCTGATGGCTGGAGTTTAAGCAACTAGTGGGAGAGTGACCCAGGGTGAAGCTGCAAGATAAGCATGCCATGTTTTATTTAGTCTTTGTTTAGGGTTTTGAACTTCATTCTATAAGAAATGGGAAGCCATGAAAGTTTTTTAAAGTAGAAGAATGGTATGATCAAGTGTGTATTTTGAAGTATTACTCTGATTGCAATGTATGTGTAATTGCATATTCATATACTCACTTGGTTGAATGTGTGAAAATCAACCAAGGCAAGTGATTTCTGGAGATGGGCTCAGTCATTTCCTGTGCATGCTAGCCTGGGTGGTAATCATAAGTGCCATTAGAAACCAAAATAGTACATTTCTACCATATATTAACACCGTTGCAATTTAGCATGTTGTGGCACTTAAAAGGCAGATCTCTGTTTTTAATCAGAGGCCAGAAAGAAAAACCTACACTCCAGAAGGATTTCCCTCTCTCAGTCACTGGCTCTCATTCTGTTTTCCTACATAAAATTATAATCATCAATTTTTAATCATCTGAATAATGAACGATGTGCTGTTCTTGTTCTGCAGTTTGTTTTCATGATTTCCACTACCCCTACCCCTACACTACCCCTACACTGTAAGATCCTTGATAATTTTTAATGGGTCTTATCTTTTTATCCTCCATGCCTAACATAGTACCTAGTACATAGCAGGTAAATAAATATTATGAATAACTATCATATTTTTATCTTAAAACTTCATTGCAGATCATTATTTAGCATTACTCTTTTTCCACATAGCAGAGAGTATAGAAAGCCTAAGGGGAAAAGATTTCCAGTGATATACAAATAGATAAAGGGCATCAATGGCCAACTCACAAAAAAGGGAATACAAGCAGTTAATGAAAATGTGAAAATTGAGTCAACCCAATCAGTAATCAAAGCAATGTCAAAAAATTATAATGACATAGAGTTTTTCACACATCAAACTGGCAAAGATTTTTTAAGGAAATGAAGGTGCAATAAAATTAACAGGTTCGTAAGATTCCATAATGAGTAAAAACTTAGTATAGTATATAGGCAGGGCAGTTGAGCAATACATAGCTTTCTTAGTCTATTTGGCTGCCATAACTAAATACCATGAAGTGGTTAGCTTATAAACAGACATTTACTGCTCCCGATTCTGGAGGTTGGGAAGTCCAAGATTAAAACATTGGCAAATTTGGTGTCTGGCGAGCACCCACCCTCCGGTTCATGGATGATGCCTTCTCGCTGTGTCCTCAGATGGCAGAAGGGACAATGCAACTCTCCAGGTTGCTTTAATAAGGGCACTAATCCCATTTATGAAAGTTCTGCCCTCATGATCTAATCACCCCTCAAAGGGCCCACCTCATAATATCCTCACATTGGTGATTAGGTTTTAACATGTAAATTTTGGGAGGACACAAACATTTAAACCATAGCAATAGCCAAACGGTAAATATGTGCTTTCTCTGAGTCATCAACTTTATTTCTGATTTTTTTAAGAAAACAATATTCTTTTTGCAAGATGTATCCAAAAATATGTTCATTCTGAAGTTGTTCATGCAAAAATAAAATAGCATATATGCCCTATAACAGGTGACTGATAGATAACTGATTATTAATAACTGACATTGGCCGGGCACGGTGGCTCATACCTGTAATTCCCGCACTTTGGGAGGCCAAGGCAGGCAGATCATGAGGTCAAGAGATCGAGACCATCCTGGCCAACATGGTAAAACCCTGTCTCTACTAAAAATACAAAAATTAGCTGGGCGTGGTGCTGCGTGCCTGTAGTCTCAGCTACTCAGGAGGCTGAGGCAGGAGAATTGCTTGAACCCCGGAGGTGGAGGTTACAGTGAGCCGAGATTGCTCCACTGCACTCCAGCTTGGCAACAGAGTGAGACTCCATCTCAATAAAAAATACATAAATAACTGACATTAATCTGGTGAATTCATAATTCAACTTTATGCAGGCATTAGAAATGATGTTGTAGAAGAATATTAACAGAAAAAAACATGGGTAATTATATATATAAATATATATATAAAGAATATATATCAATAAATCGAATAACATGATATAAGATCTAAATATTCATGGACAAGTAACAAACACATATTAGTTAATTATACAAAAAAGTAAAAGTTATTTTACAAGCTCCATTGCACTCTGAGCAGATAGACCAATACAAAAACCTTTTATAAATGTGTATGTTTGTGCATGCAGGGTAAAAACCTCATTACTCCCACCCTTGATACATATTAGGTATTCTGTAATTTTTTTATATGAAGTGTTTTACATGAAAAGCTGAATACCAAATTTGTCTATAATCTATAGTCCATTATTAGCAAAATAATTATCATCAGTCTGGAGCAAATTATTTTTAAGAGTTATAGAAATTGGCAAGTAGCACAAACTCCTTAAGCTTTAACTAGGCAAAATAATCTAAATATGTGGAGAATGTCCTATTATAAGATAGTTGTTTGAATGTTTTGATTTATTTAATCTATGAAACAGCAATCCTGTCAGTCTCTCACTCCAAACCCATTATGTCTTCCCATTTCACTCAGTAGAAAAATTGTACAATGGCCTGCAAGACATGTATGTATATATCTAGCTTTTTGTTTCTTCTCTCCTTCTCATTCCTGCTATTCTTGTTTACTCCAACTCCACCCACAGAGATTTTTCCACTTGCTCTTCCCTCTGTCTGCATTGATATTCCACACTAGGTATTTCAACAGATAGCCCTTCATCAGCTTCAAGCACTTGCATAATGACCACCTTCTCAGTAAGGTCTTCTCGAATACCATATTTAAAATTGCAGCTCACATTTCTCACATTCACTACCCCCCTTTTCCTATTTTATTTTTCTCCCTAGCAATAGAATACAAATGACATTCTATTTGTTTTAGTGATGCGTGCGCTCATTGCCTGCCTTCTCCTAATAGAATGTAAGTTCCCTGAGGCTGTTTTGTTCACTGCTGTATCATCAGTGTCTGAACCAGTGCCTAGCATATTGTAGATGCTCAATAAATGTTTTTGAAAAAACTCATGAAACAGATTGTAGGTTATAGTCTCTTTTCATACTTATGTATTAGCATTTAATATTCTACATTTATGTGTCTGTCTCATCCACCAGACAGAACTGTTCAAAGGCAAGGACTACACCTTACTAATCTTTGAATCACTCAGTTTAGACAGTGTCTGGATTTAAGTAGATGTGCTCTAAATATATGTTGATTGAACAAGCAAATGGAATAAAAATCATCATGTTTGTGTACTTTCCCAAAAGCACCCACCTCGGTGCATCTTTAGGTATTCAAAAATTGAAATTTATCATGTTTGTCAATCAGAGAAACTCTAAGCTAAGAGCTTGCTCTGAAACACATTTCTCATTCTTGTCTTAACAACTCACTTGACAATATTTGATAAATACAGTCATTTGTGCAAAGGACCTTGGTATTTCCAATAAATTTGAAAATATTTCCCATTTCCTTGTATCTTTCCTTCAACATGTTCAAATAGTTTAATTTGTTTTGTTGTTTCAAATATTCTGAGCAGTTTCTTCTCCATTTATTAAAAATTTTATTAAATTTTAAAGAATATTCACATCTTATTTGCAGAATTTAAGGGAAAGATTATTTGGTACTTTGTGTCTTAAACAGAATAACCATTCTGAAAGTATTTTGACAATCTTTTGGAAGAACCGATATATTACGTGCTTATGCCATTGTATGTGTTGTGTATATATAGATATATACATGTATGTCTGTATGTATATTTTAAATCATCCATCATACTTTTTCCAATTGTTGCTTAAAATGAGTCATCACTAGATTCATTAATTCAACTATCTTGTTTTAGGCTTCAATGAAAAGAGCTTATAGATTTTTCCTTTTTTTATTTATTTTTCTTTTCTGGGGGTTGGTGTTGCGGGTGCTGATTACTATCACTCTTCCAAGTAGCACAAATACATTTCACAATGTGAACTTTGATAAATGTCCAAATGGATTTTAAAACTAAGCAAATTGAACCGCTTTTTGAGTCCCATAATTTATTCCAGCCATCTGTGTCACACACACGTTTGTTTCTTAAAGGCTTTATACATTTTTTAATTTTTTTGCCCATCTTCCAACCCAGCAGCACCTTAGGATGTAACAGCATTAACATATTTCAAGATTAACTTTGACCCCCTGAAGAATATAATAAGAAGAAAAATGAGAAACATTTTTCAATTTAACTATTTTCAATTTGGAGATTAAAAAGTATAGAACCAAAAACATTCTTTTGGCATGATACTTTCTATTTAAAGGCCACCAAATGTTTCTTTCTGGGAGATTGTATTGAGTGGTTAGGATCTTGGCATCCACTATTGTTCTAGGGAAAGATTTTCCTGGCCCACACTTGTTGTTCCTGGGTAATGAATGACTAGAGTATATGGACAGAGCCACCTTCCCATCTGTACTAGCTTTAACTACCATTGATTGCTGTGTTGCATCCTCTGTTGAACCATGCATGCTTAATCATTAATTTTACTTAGAGCTAATAAAAATAGCTGACTTTATTGATCATCTACTGTATGCCCAGGACATTACACATGATCTTTTATTTAATTACCACAATAATCTGAAATTAAAAATGTAGAAACTGACACTTATGTATTGTATTGGAGTTTCAGATACCTAATTTCTTTCTTGGGGGTGGTAGGTAGGAGTTATTGAAACACCACCACAATATCGTGAATTTTATTTATTTATTTTAAATGCAGTATACTTTATAAACAGCTTTTTTTGGTTTTATAAACGTCCAAATGGATTTTATTTTGGTTTTATTCATGGAACTAACATTTAGAGTTCCTATTTTGCTAAGCAATTTATTAGACATTGTATATTAATTATCATATAATTAAGAAAATCGAGGCTTCACAATGTTAATGCTGTATCTTCACAAGACTAATGGGTGGCAGATCTTGGATTCTTGCCCAGGACTCCTTCACTCAATACCTTCTATTTTACATGTCTGCCTTGAAATAGAGTAATGTGTTCCCTCACAGAATTTTCCTATTTTGCTGTTCTATTCTAGTCTAATCTGTGACCTATGAGAATCCTGATTAAAGAATGATAATATCTATTTCATGGTTTTTCCTTGTTAGAGTACGAAACAAACATATGTATATACCTATTATATATGACTAAATATATTACAGGTATCATCCACATCCTAAATAAATATGTATAGTTGTAATTGTTACGCATAGTAAATCCATGCCTACGCGATGAGTTGTATCACAGATTTTGACAGAAATATAATGTGTTAAATACTTTGTCATCTTCCTCTCATCATTTTAACTAAGCTAAATTGCTAAACATAGAACATAAATTTCTAATCAACTTGTATGTGCTTTGATACAAGAAGCAATTCATACTTTAAAGTAGATTTTTCTGGGCATAAGAAAAATTTGACTAAAGTGATAAAAATAGGGAATGATAAAAGAGTTTCAGATTCTTTAGCTTAGAGAAGACAAAGCTGGCTAAGCTTGAATAAATTATTGTATTCAAATAGTTTTTATCAGAATAGTGAGCAGTTGTTTTCTATTTTGACATCAGGTCATGAAATAGGTTTAATAAATTGAGACAATGTAATTGGATATAAAAAATAACTTCTTTATGTCAAAGATAAAATATTAGCGTGGACTACCAGGGATGATATGAAGTCTTTATCCTGGAAATCTGAACAAAGAACATAAACAGCCATTTATCCCAGCTGCAAAAAGCAACCTGATGGACAATGTGATCCTTAATAGTCTTTTCTAATGTTTTGTTTTTATAGACATCATAACTTTTTCTTCTCTTTCCTTTCACATATCCCTGCCTTTTATGATAATAGTACCTTAAAGCAGGAGCGATTTCTGATTTTTATTTTTAAACATACCTGACTATAAGATATTAACTGCAATTTCTCTTTTACGTTAAATTTTCAATAAGTGAAAATGGTAATGTATTAGCCAGTTCTTCAGGAAAAATGCAGATTTCAAGGTAGGTCACATTTCTATTATATCCCATAACATACATACAGCAATTAGATTGATGGTTGAAAAACATATTTACATCATAACACTCCCCTGTTAACCTATCAATGGATTCTCATTAAAATTAAAGTAAAGCACACATTACTTACATTGGCCTACAATGACTATACCTCTGTGTATCTGTGATCTCATGTCATCTCCATTTTACTCCAGCTTATACCACGTCAGCCACTGTGGCTTTACTATTTATCCAGCATATTAATTCTAAGCTCTTTCTATTATTTGTACTTGGATGAATATCAAAATGGTACACAGCAGGCAACTATTCAATGATGTTGGATCAGGATCTTCCTTAAGTAGGAAAAAGCAAGTGCAAAGTCATCGACTTCCCTTTCCATCATTTTCCCCTGAATATGAATGGGTACATATACACATCAATGCCCATCAGTTTCTCCCGATCGTTTTCTTTATTCTATATACGCTGACTTTGTATCTATATCTGTATACTTGTATATTGTCAGTTTCTTCTTCTCTACCATGAGTATTGTGTGTTCTTTGCTGTGTTGCCTACACCTAGAATGGTGCCTGGCACATGATAGACACTTAATAAATAAACCTTTCACTTCACTTTCAATTTAAAAGTAGATATTATTTCTGCAATGTCAAAATATGAAAAATATTGTTTATAGTTGTGACTATAGTTGAAGTCAATATATTTGTGAGTGAATATTATACTTTCCATCCATATAGTTTGTCATCATGGAAAGAGAGCCGTAGTCTAAAGGTGAAGTGGGAAGTACAATTTGCAAAAATCATTACCATTCCTTTCTAAATCCAAATCAAGGCTTATTGTCTTTGGGTAAACATGTATTATTTAAGAAACTTATACTGAAGTTCTTCTCTCCATATAAGAAAACGTTTTCTGTTAAAAAGATGTGATTCTCTGATGTGAGAAGAATTTATTCCATTCCTTATCTGAGAATTTCATTACCATTTGCATGTTGCCTGGAATACAAATTGTACTGAGTAATCAATCATTGTTTAATTGCCGCTCAAGTAAACCCTTGTAATCAGACTTGCTATAAAAATGTTAAGGTGTGCAAAAAGCATAAGGTGGCATTTTCCCCTCCTTCTTATTATGCCTGTGTAACTTCCATTAATACTAATAGGAGGCACAGCTGGTCGTCAACAGGAGATTACAGGTTGCTGTTTAAATCATATTTTATTTTTATAACTTGGCAAGATTTATGTATTGAAATCAGGTGGCCAGATTTTTGCTGTTGTTAAGAAATCTTTTACTCTGAAAGAATGAGATTGGGGGGTGGGAATTGGGTCTCACATTTTTTATTTTAGGAATATAAAGACTCGAAATCCAAGCAGCAGCTTGTCCTTATACAGCAAGTCTGTCTTATTCTTTAGCACCAGCTGGAGTCCCGTTTCTAATTTGCTGTGAAGAATTAAGTGATTTGAGACCCATACCCTGGAGTATTTGACCTCCAATGTCAACCAGCTAGCTTGCAATTCCCTTGGCTGGAAAGTTTCTCCAGAATTGATTTGAACTAACATCAGTTAAAACACTCTGAAATATGGTAGTAAATATCATTGCAAATCTGAGTATGACTTTATAGCCGTGAAAATAAACACACTGTAGAATATTAAAGAAAAGAGTTTAGGAGCATGGAGAGCCTTGAAGATCAGAAATGTTGTGGCAATAGAACGATTCACCTCAGGGTCGTCAGTTTAAGTCTGGCACAGTTGGTTCGCTACACTGTCTGAAGATGGTTGTTTGTAGCATATGTTAACTGTGCCAGTGCTTGCAAATTCATTTCATAGGGTTCAGGTCCATTTGTCATAAAACAGTTATTCCTGTTATTTTCAATTGCCACAGTGTTGACAATCCTAGAGGAGAATAGAAGGACTAATAAGAACAAAGTTAATGCAGTATCTTCGTTACCCCAAGCACAAGCCAGTCTCCTTTCCCCCAATCTTCATTTTCTCATGCTGTTGCCCTCACTCACCTAGATTCTCTCCATTTTTTTTTCTCTATACTTAATCTAGTCCTTTAAATTATCTAATGCATTCCTTCTCCCTCTCCATGAAACTTCTCCCAGTTATTCCTGTTACTGGTAGATTTCTATCATTCCTGAACTTGGTTGGTACCAACGACCTGAAATTAGATATAATACCAGTGCAACTAAGTAATAAGGTCAATAGTGCTGGAAGGATTGGTAGGTAGGAGGACACTGTGGTAGCCAGAAGAATAAATATCAATGTCCCCATAACTCTTTTGAAACTCCTCAGTCCTTATTCTCTCTTCATTTTTTCTTTTTCCAGCTTTCATCTCAGTTAATTAACCACATCATATGAAACCATATCCTGCTCCTCACCCTGAAATCTCTGGCTGCTCACCCTAGAAACACCACCTGCTAACAACCTGCAGTGCTGGTATCCATCTTTGGCCACCACCTATCCTAACTTGCTGGACTAGCACCCTATGCCAAGAAGGGTACAAAAAACGTATACGGAAGTAAGTCCTACCCACATGAGACAATAAAATGGACGGATGAGAAAGTGGATAGAAAGTGCCAGGCGTTAGTCGAGATCAAAACGTGTTAAGTGCAGCTGGGCATGGTAGCTCACATCTGTAATCCCAGCACTTTGAGAGGCTGAGATGGGAGGATTGTCCAGGAATTCAAGACCAGCTGGGACAACATAGTGAGACCTGTCTCTACTAAAAATTAGAAAAAATAAATAAATAAACCAGGTGTGGTGGTGCATGCCTGTATTCCTAACCACTGGAGAGACTGAGGCAGGAGAATTGTTTAACCCCAGGAGTTCCAGGCTTCAGTGAGCTATGATCACCACTGCACTTCAGCCTGGGTGATAGAGCAAGACCCTGTCTCAAAACAAAACAAAACACCTAGGTGTTAAGTGTGCATTCTGGTTGGAAAATAATTAAATAGCGATTACCTTTCACAACCAATTTCCTACATATATTACTTTCATATGTTTATTGAGGTACTTGGTGCATCTAATACTATTTTTCAAGTATACTGTAAGTTAATTTAGCTTTATGCCTTTGTGTAATTTCCAACCTTGAACTTGCATGTTTTTTTCCCCATGAGTAAAACGATGAGACTGAGTAACAAAAATAGCCACCATTTATTGAGAGATTATGTTATGCCACACACTCCTTTAAGTGCATGATATACATTATACATACTCATATGATACTTAATTATCAATCCAGAAGATATTATTATGCTTATTTTACAGTTCAGGAGAATGGGCCTCTAGGAGTTTAAGTTCCTTGACCCAAGACACTACCTAGTTAGGCACATTAAAGACCTAGCCTGAGATTCTGTCACAATACATCAAATTTGCTGCAAGAAAATATTATGTTTGTGCATTCAACTCAGTGCTTTATCATATATAGTGGAAAAAAGGAAGGCTGTTTATATGCTATTGTACACCAATTCTTGCTTGTTTAAGTCTTTTGTTACTAGGTCAGATTTTGAGTGTAATATTCCAGTAATTGATATATGCACTTCTTGTTCGTCCTTGACATCGCATGACACCTCATGGTACACTGAATAAATGTTCAACAAATAAATGCATGTGGCTTTGATTTGATGTTCTGATAAAATTGTGGGATCTTGTTATTCCTTTTATTTTCAATTGCCACAGTGTTGCAATCCTAAAGAAGAATCGAAGGACTAATAAGGACAGAGTTAGGGTAGTAGCTTTCAGGGATGTGAGGTTTGAACCCCTTGGTTTAAAATTGAAAGAAAAATTTTTCCTACCTCCTATTACAGTACCTAAGACCGTATGCAGTACACATCCTGGTTTTCTAGTAATGAAGTTTTAAGAAATATGTGATCACTTTCATTCACATTTTTTTCTGAATATGTGATAAAATCATAAAACACAAAACATTAAAGGGGAAAATACAAAATACTCATAATTGTACTATCAACATTTGAATTTATATCAATTTATGGAAATTTTGATTTGTTATCTTTTTTACTTAACTTGAAATGTGATTTTTAGTAGATTCATATTATTCTAAATTTTGGATGTTCCCTAAAATATTAATATGTGTAGGCTAGGTTATGCTACAATAACAAATCACTCCAGAAATTTCAGAGGCTTAATGCGACAAAGGTGTATGTCTTGCTCACGTTACATATCCCATGTGGGCTGGTAGAAAGCTTCTGCTCTATACAGATACACAGGGACTTGAGCTGCCAGAGGTTGCAATTTCTTTTGATTATACCTTCAGGAACATATGGCCTCCTCAGTCCAAGTGGTTATAAAGATGCAGAAATTTCTCACCTCAAAGTAAAATACTTAAATAAGAAATGACATATGTCACTTCTACTCATAGTTCAATGGCCAGAACAAGTTGCATTACAGTGCCTAATTGTAAGGGGTGTGCAGACTGTAAAGGAACACATGGGATATTTTATGTAATTAACCCTCCTCAATTTCTTTCTTAAATAGATGTCCCTCAGTTTTATATTTAGCAGTGTTTTCTCAAAGTTCGGGGTATAAAGAAAGGCATCCTTCCTTTTTTCAAGTGTTAATAAATCTGTAATAGTTACTAGCCTTTAGACTTCAGACTTAGGTTCACTCAAAATATAACTTACGTGTTCTATAATAAAAGTTAATTTCTATTTTGAATCCTCAATCAGCCAAGTGGCAAAACAAAATCTCAGCCAATCTAATACTTCTTCTCCCATTCACCTAGAGTTTCTTCTAAATTTAGGGGGTAGCAAAGTGCCCATATTTCAGGCAGGAGAGTGAGGCACCTGGGCCCTAGTCATTTGCATGTTCCAGTGTGGTGACTGATGAGATGAGCATCACCCATTCTATTCGCTGGTCCATCTGCATGAGTACAAGAAGCTTCTGTTTCCTAAAGAAAAGACTCTCAAAGCGTTGTGTTCTCTCTCAGTTGCTGCTGTGCCAGTGTGGGCCTCATATTCTGCTCTGAATGTGTCAAAGATGGGGTGCTGGCAAGGGGATGTAAAACATCAGGGCTCAGATTCTTTTCTCAGAGTCCCAGTAGTGACTAGTTTTTTTCCCTTGATAGGGAGGATAGGAAGTGTAGAAATTGGCTGATTGCATATTCTCCCAAATCTTACAATGTACCGTAACTTCAGGTTTTGAAATCAAGAGGCTAAAATTTGACTTTTCTAAAACTTGTCTTCTGTTTTAATAACTCTCAGCTGAAGCTATAATCCCGCTGACTGAGTAGAGGCAAAAATGAGGAAAAAAAGTTGAAAAATGCATACCTTTCATCAAAATATCATTCTATGAAAGAGATACATATATATGTTTGTGTATGTAAATGTGTGTGTGTGTGTGTGTGTGTGTGTGTGTGTGTGTGTGTGTGTGTATTTGTTGTTGTTGTTCACATTGAAAGAGATAATGCTGCCTACCAAACTAATAAGTCCTTTCTTGGAGAAATTGCCAAACCTGCTGACTAACTACTCAGGTTTCCTGTGGGTAAGGTGGTCATCTTCTGCACCATGCAACTATATTATCTAATAAAACCTGACTATCCAGTGTTTATTTGCAATCCCAGAGCCAAAATTCTTCTTTAATAATATGCATCCCAATCATATTCTTAACTTAGTATTTTACCTGGAGGCTTAGGTGTTCCCAGAAATACATTTTTAAAATGTATTTTAGAGGTGGTGGTGATGGGATAGGGGATTATTATTTGTATGCTCATTTGTTGGTTAGCTGTGGCTTTAGAAGAGCCATTTTGTCTGTCATTGGAGGAAGGTGACTCACTAGTTGTAAATGTAATTCCCTCCCTTTCTACATCCAGTTTCCAAGAAGGAAGACTTGCCACTGTGTTTCTAATGAGTCATTTTTTAATCATGCTGCCCATCAAGCAAAGACAGATGAATAGATTATTTTTTCATTTTTGTGGATAGTTTTGCAACCCAATAAGCACTTCTTCTTGAGACATTAATCCACTTTATGAGAGAGAACAGGACCAGGATAGTGGAGGGTTTATGTTTTGGGAGGCAGTTGGAGTGGGTAGGGTTAATGAGAGAGTTTCCTGATTGGGAAATGGGAAGGAGAGGAAAAGAAAAAGGAAGTACAAGTTCCACAGAGTAGAGGCCCCCTGAATATGTAGGTTCATAGAAGGAGAAGCCTCTGTGGGTCCCTGTAAAGACTTAGCACTCAATTTCGCTGTTTCAAGGATCTTGGCGAGTGTCTCTCACAACTAAGCCAGGAAAAGAGGAAGTTCATCTTCCACGGGAGCCACAGCCATCATAAAATGTTAGAGTGGAATGACCAGTGAATGAGTGGAAAATGCAGTGGAAGAGTAAAGTTTAATAGTGACAGTGTATAATCCCTAGACGATCCCTCTACTTTTAACAGACTTTTAATTTTAGAATAGTTTTAGATATAGAGAAAAGTTTCGAAGATAGTACAGAGAGGTCCTATTCATCTCACACTCAGTTTCCATTATTGTACCTTCTTACATTAGTATGGTACGAATATTACATTCATGATCCAATGTTAGTCCATTATCATTAACTAAGTTCCTACCTTACTCAGGTTTCCTTGGCTTTTACCTAATAGTTTTCACTCGTGCAGGATCCCACCAGTGTACCATACTACATTTACTGGACATGTCTCTTTAGGTTCCTTTTCACTGTGGCAGTTTCTCAGATTGTCCTTGTTTTTGATGACCTTTGAGTAGTACTAGTCAGATATTTTGTAGAATCCCTTAATTAGATTTGTCTGGTATTTCTTAATGATTAGATTGGCTAAAGATTTTTAGGATGAAGACTTCAGAAGGAAACTTCCATTTTTATCCCATCATAATACAAGTGTGTGCTAGCAATATGACTTATCACTGTTGATATTAAATTTGTTCACCTGGCTGAGATATTGTTTGTCAGGTTTCTCCACTGTAAAATTACTCTCTTCTTCTATTTCTTTTCATAGTGTATTTTTTAGAATGAAGTCCCTTATGAGAAGACCACATATAATCATTAGAAATAAGAAAGATCAGCGGGGCGCAGTGGCTCATGCCTGTAATCCTAGCAGTTAGGGAGGCCAAGACGGGTGGATTCCCTGAGCTCAGGAGTTCAAGACCAGCCTAGACAACATGGCAAAACCCTGTCTCCACTAAAAATAGAAAAAATTTAGCTGGGTGTGGTGGTGCGTGCCTGTAATCCCAGCTACTCGGGAGGCTGAGGCAGGAGAATCACCTGAACCCAGGAGGTGGAGGTTGCAGTGAGCCAAGATCATGCCATTGTAGTCCAGCTTGGGTGACAGAGTCAGACTCTGTCTCAAAAAAAGAAAAAATAATAATAAGAAAGATCAGTGGTGGTAGGGAGGAGTGACCAGATTGGAGAATAATATAAAATAAGTAGAGTTTGATTTGTGCTTTGAAAAAAAGGTAGGGTTTGGATAGGTAGTAGGGACAGAGGATGGGAAGTTATGCTCCCCCTCCTTATAGCCAAGTACCTACATAGATTATTTGGAATTCTGCATGAAAGCTCTGTTTATTCTCCCCTATTTATTTACTTATTCAATTATTTATTTATATTAATATGGACTGATGGATTTTTTTTATACTTTGAGTTATAATCCACACTACTTTTTTTTTTATTGTTGCTCAAATTTTTCCAGCATTTGACATTGAGAGCTTTTTCATTTGGCTCCAGTGTCCCTTTGATATGCCTCCTTCACTCATCATTATGTGTCTGTGTTTGTGTCTCTGTGTGTGTATGTGTGTTTTAACACTTCCTTACTTTTTGGCACTACAATATGCCCCAAGCTTATCTTGTATATTCCTAGCCTCAGTTTTGGAATCAACCATTTTCCCAGGTAACTTGCTTCCTTCAATTGGAGAAATGTACATTAGAAACAAAGATCTGGGCACTAGGTGTGCTTATTGCTATTGGAGTGTCATTTTTCTAGGTCTTCTCAGCTGACAGAGCAAAAACAAATTTATGTATACTAACCCTTGTATGCACATTTATCTGTAAATATTTCCGTAATCTGCTGTAATATATAGAGGAAATTAAATAATGTGCTAAATTAAACATGAGTTCATACTAATGTCTCTAACTTTAACCCATTGCTACATTGATCATTCTAACCACCCCTAGTGTTTTTGTAACTTCCCACTCCAACAGTGAGAAACCTGGCTTCCACCATCCATTTACTTAATTCTTCAGTTCCAGTGTATATGTATGGTAGTGTCAGAATTGTTAAGCCATAACCCTGCGGGAAACAACTTTGTCAACTATACTACATTGCTTAGGTACCATGTCTTTTGTCACTAGCTTTGTGGACTCCACAAACTTCTGGAGTTGCTTCCATCAGTACCTTTCTCCCTACTTTCTTCAGTGAGGTTATTTCATCCACTTGTAGTAGAGTTAGATTCTTCTGTCACACGTTGCCTTCCATCATGGGATTTCTTAATCTCCTATATGATTTTGTTTTAATTTACATGTGTTAAGCTTTACTGTTGGTGCTATAAAGTTCTATGGGTTTTGACAATTTAATTGTCAAATTAAATTGCATTTAATATATATGCACCATTTAATATGTATGCACCATTTAATATGTATGCCATACCATTTAATATGTATGCACCATTATAATAGCATACAGAAAAGTTTCTTGCCCAAAATATCCGCTGTATTTTTTCTATTTAAACCTGCCCTCTCCTGGAACCCTTGGCAACCACCGGTCTGTTCACTGAATCTATAGTTTTGCCCTTTCCAAATGTCATATACATTGAACTGTAAGTTATGTAGCCTTTCAGACTAACTGCTTTCACTTACTAACATGCATGTAAGTTTCATGCATATTTTTGCATAACTTGATAGCTCCTTCCTTCTTATCACTAAAGAGTATTCTATTGTTTGGATAGACAACAGTTTGTTTAACCTTTCACCTACCAAAAGACATCTTGGTTGCTTTCAGTTTTTGCCTATTATATATAAGACTTCTAAAAACTCGTGCAGATTTGCTTTGCAGCTTTATCATTTAATTTTTTTAATTTAGATATAATTTGCATACCATAAGATTCATCTTTTTAAAATGTATTTTTAAATATATATTTCAGTGTTTCTTAGTACATTCACAGTATTGTGCAGCCATCACCACCATCTAATTCAAGAATATTTTCAGCACCCAAAACCATGTACCCAACAATTATTTCCCATTCTCCCTTGCCTCCGACCCACTAATCTACTTTCTGTCTCTATAGCTTTGCCTATCTGGACATTTCCTACAAATGGAATCAAATGATACATTACCTTTTGTGTCTGGCTTCTTTAACTTAACACAGCGTTGTCAAGGTTCATCCATGTTGTAAACATGTGTCAATCATTCCACTTTATGTCTGCATATTATTCCATTATATGGATATACCACACTTCATCTTTTCGTCAGTTGTTGGACATTTGAATTGTTTCCACTTTTGGCTATTAAGAATAATGCTGCTATAATCATTTATGTACACATTTTTGCATAAACATATATTTTCATTTCTCATGGATATATATCTATCACTGTAATTGCTGGGTCATATGGTAACTCTTTGCTTAACTCTTTGAGGAGTTCCCCAACTATTTTTGAAAGCAGCAGTACTATTTTAGATTCCCTCCAGCAATGTTTGAGAGTTGCAATTTTGCCACCTCCTCACTAACACTTGTTATTGTCCATCTTTTTTATTATAGCCATGTAATGGGTGTGATTTGATATCTCATTAAGATTTTGATTTGCATTTCTCTAATGACTAATGATCATGTGCTTCACATGCAGGTTTCTGTATGTTCATAAGTTTTCAAATCAGTTTGGTAAGCACCTAGAAGCACTATTACTGGATTATGTGTTAAGATTATGTTCTCTTAATTTTTAGTCAATCAAATAAATGTAATCATCTAAAACAACCAATATTTGTGAACTCTCATCTGTTACAAACAATGATAGCTAGCTAGTTGTTAGCCAGAGAGGAAACAGAAAACTCATGTTGTTCTATGTTATTCTTCCCTGAGTGCAAATGATTATTGCACCTTCTAGGGGAGATGACAAGGTGCTGGGGTACTTTCAGGTGTCACAATGACCATGTGTGCCACAAGCATTTAGTGTCTGAGGATGAATCAATATTGTGCAGTGTGTGAAAGAGTCTTGCACAATTAAGAAATGTTCTATTCCTAATGTCACCGAACATCCCAGATGAAATTAATAGACAAATGTAGGAGTCAACAGAAACTGAAAGACAGAAAAGATAGAAGGTAGAGTTCAAAATTTGCAAGTGAAAAAACAAGTATGGAAAGGAAATAGTGGTTAACTGACAACTTTCTGGGACTGATAAGATCTGCTTCCTAGAAATATTTTGAGACTTAAATAATCTCTGAGACCTATAAATGTCACAGTCTTTGAGACTGTTGTTTTTATTTATATTTTGCATCTTCATCCTGACTATCTAACATTATTTAGATTACCTTACTGAGTGGCCTTTGCAGTCAAAAGATGCTAACCAGCACACTTTTTTTTCCTATAAAGGTACGGACAGGGTGGAATTTGAAGGAGGTGTTAAAGTTCCCACTTTACTCTGAAGTTATTCATTATAAGCTGTTAGGACTAACATTTGCATTGTGGTTAAAAAATAACAAGTAATTGTGGTATCTTTAAACATTAACCTGGCAAGCTCATTATTTGGGATGCTTTGACTAATTATTTTTCTTTGTGATGCTAATGAATTGCTTTCTGAGGTCTCATAAAATTATGAAATTGAGGCTAACATAAAATCAAATATTTGGTTAGGAGAAAGTAGCAAGTGCTTTGCATCCTTATTCCAAGTATGTGGGATAGTATTCTAAAGTATTATTCAGCATTATAAACCAGGAATTAACACAGAAAAAATGAAAATTTCTTAATTTAATTCCCATTGGTAGGATATTGTGGTGAAGTGGAACTTTTTCAAAAAAAAAAAAAAAAAAAAAAAACCAAAAAACCCAAGTCACACTCTGTACATACCAAAGTGTTTAATTTCCATTTAGTTGATTTTTGCATGTTACCAAAATGCTAAATTCATTTTCCCCCAACAATTAAAGAATAGAATACATTGTTCTATATTTCTCGCAGCCAACTCAGTAAGTAGTGATTAAGCCTTCTGGCAGTCTGTTCCGTTCATGGCCCCCAGTGAACAAGTTTCCTGGTATTCATCCCCTTGTATAATTCTTTCCCATCGAATCTGGGCTGGACCAATGACATGCTTAATCAAAAGAACATGTCAGAGTGCCAGTTCCAGGACCAAGCTTTAAAAGGTCTGGAAGTTTTCACTTTTGCACTCATAGGAGCTCTGAGCCTCCAGGCAGAAATACAGCTATGCTTCTGGAAAGGGCATGTGAGAAGCACCAAGCAGAATGAGAGAACCTGTGACTACATGGAAAAAGAAAGATGCCTAGCTCTCTCAACTTCCCGACCTGCCCACCGCAGAGTTACCAATTGAATTCACCCACAGAAGTGACCAGCAGCAAGACAAGCAGAAGAATCAGTTGCTGAGTCCAGCACAGACTGCAAAATTGTAAACAAATTAAATAGTTGTTGTTTCAAGCCAGTAAGTTTGAGAATTTAGTTTTGAAGCAATAAAAAAACCATGGCACCTGCTATATATCCAGCACTACATAATTTGACAAGGAAGCACAAAAAAATAGAAAATGAAGGAGTGATGAACGTTTGACTTCCAGTTGTTGAGCTGGATTATGGTGTACTACATCTTTTCTTTTTTTCTTTCTTTCTTTTTTTTTTAGACGAAGTCTCTCTCTGTCGCCAGGCTGGAGTGCAGTGGCATGATCTCGGCTCACTGCAACCTCTGCCTCCTGGGTTCAAGTGATTCTCCTGCCTCAGCCTCCGGAGTAGCTGGGAGTACAGGTGCATGCCACCACGCCCAGCTAATTTTTGTGGGTTTTTTCTTTTTTCTTTTTTTTTAGTAGAGACGGTGGGGGGGTCCATGATGTTGGCTAGGATGGTCTCTATCTCTTGACCTGATGATCCACCCACCTCGGCCTCCCAAAGTGCTGAGATTACAGGTATACATCTTTTCATAAGAATTTTGGAAATTATGTTTTTATCAGTAATATGTTTCAGCTACATTTCAGATTATCCAAAATATGGCTGGAATATTAATTATACTTAGCATTTTTTAGGCAAATGAATTCTTCAACTTCCAACAAGTAACTTATCAATGAACTTTGGGAACATATTAATTTACTGGGTGTTACTGGTATCATGACATGCAATCTTTCAAGGAATAATTTCCAATTATTACAATAAGTCAAGCAAGGGAGAAATTTGGACTTGCTGTGTGATACAAGGAAGATGCAACACACTCAGTTTCAGGAACTGATCGGAAGGAAAGGGTCGGAATGAGCCAGGCATAAAAGAACAACAAAAACATTCTAGTGGAGGAAGCCGCCATCTTAGAAGGGTACACAGGATTTGGTTTATAATCACACTGGATGGTGAAAAGGATTTTTATGAAATTACTCAAAGATAACAAGGAAATTACATGGTTAGGTCATGTTTTAGAATTATGAATTTGGCAGCAATTCATAGTAGAAGAGGGAAAGATTAGACAAAATCTTTAAAAGACTTCCTGACATCCAGTATTTTCAGTAGCTTTCTCCAGTATTCAAAAGAGATTTTTTTTAGTTCACATTTTATATTTTCAAGTGTAAAATAATGAAATAAATGGCAGTAAGTACACTTATTTTGCAGTTTAGTCAAATGTTTTCACATGATGTCATAATAATATCAAATTTTCTTGACCAAATATCGAATCATTTACTCAAATAACTTTGATGATCCCCTGAGTTCATCCATGATATATTAAATAAAGAGATGTATGGTTTTTACATGCATGACCTTTGATATCCTGAAGAACATTTTATAACGACTTTCCTTAGCAATATTTTTGTGAATGTATATGTTTATATGTGTTTTTCTCTTTTCGATTTTTTATTCTGAGCATGATTTTTAATATTCTGCCAAGAGAGTAAATAGCAGAGCATTATCTTATGTACTTAGCTGTATTTCCTTGTGAGGAGAAAAGATTTTTAAGAAAAAAAATCAGTTGGGTACTAAAGAAATAATTGAGTCAGGATGAAAAAGAAAATGAAAAAATCCTCCCCAATTCTTATTTTAGCCCTAAATTTCTTTTAGAGTATCTTATGTCAATGTACTTCATATTGTTATTTGCAGTTGCATAGACTGTATCACAAGAACTAAGAGAAAAATATCTTGCTGGGATTTACTACCACTATAGGCTTTGTAAACAAATAATTTGTTTATACACAAATATATTATCTAATGGTCTGACACAGTGCCTAGTAAACAGTTATGGCCAGAGTTAGTGCGAGAAAAGCAGATCCATAAGGTCTGTTCAATTTATATTTCTAGGAGGATGAGCTGGGTTTGGATTCCTTCTAACATGTAACTTGGATATATTGTTCTATAAAACTTTACTGAAATTGGGGGAAGTCTTTCCAAATTAGGTAAAGTGTTTTAGAGGGCTTAGTGCTTAAATTTCATGAATTGGTCTCAGTGCTGATCTGTGCTTTAGTGGCATATGATAACTACTTCAGGCATTTTCTATGGCCAGAATTGATGTTGTATGTGCTTCTGTGATTTGTAGTGTTATGTCATATCACTGGATTACAGGTAATTCATTTCCCATTGAAATATGTAGCCATGACCAACCACAGTGGCTCATGCGTGTAATGCCAGCTCTTTGGAAGGCCGAAGCGAGCAGATTGCTTGAGCTCAGGAGTATGAAACCAACCTGGCCAACATGGTGAAACCCTATCTCTACTAAAAATAAAAAAAAAAAATTAGCCGGGCATGGTGGCGCGTACCTGGGGTCCCAGCTACTCCGGAGTCTGAGGCGCAAGAATCACTTGATCCTGAGAGGCGTGATTGCAATGAGCCTCGATCGTGCCACTGCACTCCAGCCTAGGTGACAGCGTAAGACTCTGTTTCAAAAAAAAAAAGAAAAAGAAAAAGAAAGAAAGAAAAAAGGAAAAAAGGAAAAAAAAGAAAGAAAAGAAAACGAAAAAAAGAGAAGAAATACGTAGCCACAAACTTCAACTGAGTAAAGAATGAATCAAATAAGAAGCATGGTGAATGTTTCTAAAATGCAAAGTCTGTATTTATTTTTAGGTTTGTATACATTAGAATCTATATTATAAAGTATGGAAATTCTTTTAAAATCCAGAAATGCTACATGTTTTTGAAAAGCATTACTCTAAATGGTATAATTTAGGTTTAAAGTATAGTTTGTGATAAAATATTAAAGGTAGTTTTTGATTTGAAATATTTAAATTAGAGCTGTCTATAGATTAATTTCAAAATTATAACTCATAATCAGATGTTAATTCTAATTCTTTTTAGTGTCATATAAGTGTAAAATTGTATTTTTATCTCTAAGGTAGCATAATGAACTGTGAATCTAAGATTTGAAAAACGGTGTACTAATGAACTTATAATTCCTTGGTGCATATGTTGGGGGGGCCTTTTTCAAAGCATATCTGAAAGTATAAAGAATCTGTTTTTAATGTTTGATTAGCAGCAAAATTAGTGGGCTAGAAACATTATTCATAATATAATAGAGGTGTAGGAAAGTTGGAAACTCTCCAATTGGATATTTATTTGGAAACAGGGACAACTTAATTGTTCTGAGGTTGAGAGACAAATTACTGATTACATTTTCTCAGTAAAGGTTTCTTTTTAAAATTAAAACTAAATTTGTTTATATATTTTACTGAGAAAATGCTCATCTCCTCCTGCATAATGGTTGGCACATAGTAGGTGCTCAATACATATTTTTAAATTAATTCTAAGAAGTGCAATATGTCCATTAATTTTGTCTATTGGGCATGCTGCTTATTTGAACTTGGTGAAAATTATGGATTCTAGTTTTTCTATTTTATGAATTAGACACAGTCAGAAGGTATGAATGTTGATGTCATTTTTGGTGATTTTATTTTGAAGTAAAAATAGATAAATAATAAAAATTAAATTTAAAATTTAAATTCTAAATTTGTGATTTATGATATTTTGACTCAACATTTCTATTTCTAGTGTACAAATTATATCTGATTCCTGGGAAGTATTAAGGGTAATTTGTTGTATATCGAATGTTTTTATCTTTTTTATAATACCTCTTAAAAGTGGTTTTTGAATATAAACCTTAACAATAGAAGAAAGAATGAAAGTGCTTACTTATTAAATGAAATATTTAGAGGGGTATTTCTTAAGCTATATCCTCTCAAATTGAAGGTAAGAATTTTCTAGGCAGCATAAGAAATTATGCTAAAATGAGTTCCCTCTGTGCATGTGAGCTGGTATATATTCACATTAGTGATGTGTATCTTTTACAATAAATGGGAAAAATAAATACTTCTTGTAGTTGAGTGGAAACTTCATTGCCCCAAGTTGTGTATGCATTAGATAAAAGAATGTTTTAAATATTCAAACTCGGTATCATAGTTATATGCATTAAGGACATTCTTCCACTGTATGGAAGAAGCATGCTTATGCAAGCCTGGAGTCGGGAAGGGAAAAATAGGATCAAGGATCACTAAGGATGTAAGTAAAGATAGCCATGAACTAACTAACCACAAGTATGAAAATACTTTTATTATTCATTGGACAAGAAAATTACAGAACCAGGCATTTGGAAAATCTTCACATACTGACGTGTGGTTTCAGTTTAAAAGGTGCTGCTAAATAGAGACAGAAACAAGCTCAAATATTCCCAAATGATGCTTGCATCTGAAAGAAGAGGCAGATATGTCAAGCTTTATTCTAATCTACCACTAAATCTGTCTGATCTCATCATCAAGTATTTATTAATAATCTAACATTTATGTGCATACTATACTATGTTAAATGACAAGAAGACAGAGCATCATTAAGTATACTGTACAACAATCTTAAGTTGTATAGTCTTATTACAAAGCCAGGCATCCACCCATAGAGAGTAAACTCTGGTATCATCTGCTTTGTTCCAAATATGTGTAAACAAAAACAAAAATGCTATATTCAGCTATTATATAAGGTGAAATATGATAATTGTTCAAACCAAATAGCATTGGTACCTAAAGTTGGAGAAATTAAAATTGGGGAAGAAGTCAGATTTTAACAGTCTAAGATTTGATGTAATGGATATAATGAAGTAAAGGCACTAATATTAGAAAGATGGAGTAAGATGAGGGAGTTTCCACAACTGAGCATACAACAGTATAGTGATGTAGTTTCAAATATTGGACTAAAGGATACTAATTATATTAAATAATCCTGTAAAACTATCAAAAGAGATGTTGAATTTTAGGAAGGAAACTCTGATAGAGGGCAGTGAAAAGAATGGAGTGAAGGTGTGGGAGACAAGTTGGAAAGTTTTAATAATCCAGATGATTGTTATAAGACTGAAATAGGACAAGAACAGAATGAATGGAAAGCAAGAAGTAGATGATGTTGCAGAGATTGAAATAAAAATATTGCACATACAAATAGATGTTTGGACAGATAAAATTGGTAAAGATCTTAGTAACTAGTATTTGTTACAGGTTTTTACATCTATATTCATGAGTAATATTGTCTGAAATTTTATTTCTTTTAGTGTCTTGTCTGGTATAGGTGCGGGATAATGCCAGCCTAATACTGAGTTTAAATGTCTTTCTATCTCATCTGTTTCCTGCAAGGATTTGTGTAGAATTGTTACTATTTCTTCCTTGAATATTCAGTAGAATTCACTAATAGAATCCAATTCTTTAATAGATACAGAGCTACTTCTTCTTGAGTGAGCTTTGGAGGTTTCTGTCTTTCAAGGAATTTGTCCATTTCATTGATTTATGAAAACTATTGGCAACAGTTTTTCATAATATTTTTTCTTCTTCCTTTATTTTCATGTCATTTGCAGTTATATTCTCTCTATTTCTGACATTGGTGATTTGTGTGTTCATTCTGTTTTTACTTGAGCAGTTTGGCAAGAAGTTTATTAATTTTATGGATCTCATCAAATAATTAGCTTTCAGTTTCACTGATTTTCCTCTATTGGTTTTGTGTCTCCTATTTCAATGATTTCTGATTTTATCTGTATTGTTTCCTTTCTTTTGCTTTCTTTGAATTGAAATTGTACCTCTTTTTATGTATTGTTAAGATGGAAATTTATAACATTAATTTGAGAACTTTCTTTTTTAATAAAGACATTTGATGCTTAATTTCCTTTTTTTTTTTTTTTTTTTTTTTTTGTGACGGAGTCTCACTCTGTTGCCCAGGCTGGAGTGCAGTGGCGCGATCTCGGCTAACTGCAAACCTGCCTCCCGGGTTCACGCCATTCTCCTGCCTCAGCCTCCCGAGTAGCTGGGACTACAGGCGCCTGCCACCACACCTGGCTAATTTTTTCTATTTTTTAGTAGAGACGGGGTTTCACTCTGTTAGCCAGGATGGTCTCGATCTCCTGACCTCGTGATTCGCCCGCCTCGGCCTCCCAAAGTGCTGGGATTACAGGCGTGAGCTACTGCGCCCGACCTAATTTCCTTTTTACAACTGTATTAGCTGCACCCTGAAAATTTTGATATATTTGTTTTCTAAAGTTCGTAATTTCAAAATAGTATCGGTTCCCATTTAATCACTATGAAAATTATTTGGCCTTGGTAGGGAAGATATAATTATTATATAGATTACAACATTCTAGAAATGAAGATTCAGGCAAATCATACTCAGATCTGGGTTTTCAAACCAGATAATCTGCTTCTAAGCATCTTGCTCTTCACACTATACCACATGGCTTCGTGGGCTACTTTACAAGTTCTCAAGTGTGGAAGACTTGAAGAAAGTTGAATATATAAGCCAAAGTTTTGAATACAGAAAGAGAAACAGATTTTTTTTTTTTTTTGGAGGGGAAGTTAGTTGTTTTATCCTATGGTGAGCTGAAGCTATTGATGTGAGAAATAAAAGGGCTGTCTGGATAAATGCTCATACCTTGAAACATCATGAAATCTGCTCTTAGAGACTATTTCATCCAGAAGAAAGGCACTTCCCATTTTCTATTTCTGAGATACCGTTAATTGAATTGGACTAAATATTGTTTCGTTTTCCTCCCAACTACAGCTTTCCATATTCAGGTACAGACTTCAGTTCTAAAGAAGCAAACAATTAGAAATAGGATACTGAAGATGGCACAGTGGTTTTCAGATATATAAAATCTATGAGTATGTCCTAACAGAAAGTTGTAGAACCCAGAAAACCTCTGCTCAGTATGCATCCTAGTCAATTACATGTTATACAAAGATATTTACATTATTATGGAGTATCAGAGTATCAATCAAGAGCATAAAAAGATGTCCTCTCAAAGGAGGAAGGGAATAGGCAAAATCTGATAGAAACTGAAATGTATGGGAAATATACATGTATTATCCTCCCTGTCAAATTTACGTCTGAAAAGGTTTTCCAGAATCACTGTTGGAAAATGTGCTGGGACAAGACGGTTTGCTCACCATCTTAACTGACACACTGTAAGTGTAATTAGTTATTGTCTTCTTTAAGAATGAGGAAAATAAATAAAATAAAGGCCAAACTTGAATACGTGAAAACAATAAAAAATAATAGAAAGAAAAGAGCTTCTGGATAACTTAGTAGAAGAATTTTGTTTCTGAAAGGATTTGCTGCAGGAACCAGAAAAAAATACTATCAGAATACAATTAGCACTCACGGAAGTACACAAGAAAGCATTATTTTTAATAAAAGAAGGATAAAACTATGTTAAGAGACAATGTTCATATGAAATGGTAAGAGAGTAACTTAAAATATTAAAGGATGGTGATGAAATTTAAAATTATATTAACAGGATGAAAATCCAAAAAGCCTAATAATAACGTACAGGCTGAACTTGGAGATCAACCAGAAACAGAAGAAAAGAATATTAAAACAGTAGAAGATTTACCTATTTTTTGTCTCTGATATTTCTGTAAAGTATAAAATATGAGAGTCAGATATAATCCATGGGTCTTGTCTTCAGAAAATATGTACAGATAAACAAGCATATACACATAGAATTCATCAATTTCCAAGGATTTAAAGAACTTCTAAATGGCATTCATGTATCCCATGTTAGGTGAAAAATTCCCAATATGCAGCGGAGCTGAATAATCTAGTTTAACATTTCCAAAACCAATACTCCCATGAACACATTATTTTCCCCCAACTGGTTATGACCACTCAAATAAGTTTTGGGAATGCTCGGGTAAGTAATATTAAGCAGATTCCATTACTTCATTACTTTTCAGAACCTCTTATAGGCAATGTCTCAATATATAGCTCTTTCAAAATGTGCTTACTCTCTGCCAGGCATTGTTCTAAGTGTTTCACACTTAAATCCTCCTAACAATCCTATCAGATAAGTACTATTATTTTCTGTATTATACATAGAAACTGAGGAAAAGCAAGATTAAATAACTTGTCTGGTTCACACAGCCTGTATATTAAGGAAGCTAGGATTTGACAGTATGGTCCAGAGTCTGTCATTTACCACTACAATAAAAGCAGGAAGTAGAGCACACAGGGATGATTTAACTTTTTATTTTGAGGTGAACCTATTAATATTCCATAGAAGTGTGCTTTATAGAGCATAGTATGGAAAGTAGTAAGGTGATTGATTAGATAGATTGAACCACATGTAAATACATATGAAACTTACACATACACACACAGTTAAATAACTTTTAAAACTAACAATACAGGAACTATTTACAAAACCTGATCATCTATGAGGTAACCTAAGATGTCTCAATATATTCCAGGCAGACTTCGTACATTATATATTATTTGATAACAATGCAATGTAACTAAAAATTATTAACCGTATTAGTTATAATTACAGTTGCTGATGTAGGGTTTCAAAATAAAGGGTTTTAAATGAGATAGAAATTTCTTTCTTTCTCATGAACAATTATTTTATAAACATAGGGCAGCTCCTTGGTGTCAGGCACCCAGGCTTCTTCTATTAATACTTGCTTATTCCACACACCTCCACCAGCCATCTCCACCCTGGGGTCCAAAGTAGCTGCTTCAGCTCCTGTCTCCTTCACGTCTGCATTTCAGGCATTAAGGTGAGGAAGACACACTTTTCCTTTCAGAGTAAGAGTTTGCACCGTTTCATCATTCCATCACTTTCACTCATATCTCCTCATGGAATTTAGTTACATGGCAAACCCAGCTACAAGAGACCCTGGGAAGTAGCACTCTTTAGGCTGGTGGTCACGTGCTCAGCTAAAAATATGTTACCATATAAGAAGAGATTAACTGATATTGAGGTGCTGGAGCAACCAGTAGCTTCTGCTGAACAGAAAGTTTCTCTTAACTCAGATAAAAGATGAAATCAAAAGTATAATTACGGAAGGTTTAAAACCGGTAAAATATTGCCAAACCTAACTCCAAAGAAAATTGAATGCTTTAATGAATGTATATTAAACATGAAAGAATGAAAATGAATGAGTTTATCATTCAAGTTAAGAAGCTAGAAATAATTCTTCCAACTGAGTATAAGAAAAGCAAGGAAGAATTAATAAAGATACAAATGTAGTTTAATAATTTATAAATGAAAAACAAGTTGAATTATTAAATTTGAACATGGGCTCTTCAAAAGACCATTAAAAGAGATAAACTGCAGAAAATACAAATCAATAAAAAAGAAGATGCATATCTTTAATGTTATATATGAAAAAGAGAATATAACTACAGCTGTAAAAGAAAATTAATAATCATAAGATTAATAATTATACCAGCACCTAGTACAGTGCCTGGCAAAGTACCTGACATAAGTACTAGGACCTTAATTATTACTTAATTAATTACCGAATAAACTCTGGCCTACAAAACTCTTGCCTATAATATAGAAATCTATTACAATAACAAAATCAGCTTAAGAAAATCTTGAGATATGAATCACCAAAGCAGAGAAGAAGAAAGGAAATCAATCTTTTTCTGGCACATTCTATGTACCAGGTGTTTTACATAATTTTTGTCTTTTATTTAAGCTTCGTAACCCTGTAAGGAAGGAATTCTAAATTTCAAAGCTTAGAAAGTTGTGATTTAAAAAGATTCAGTCTCAGACAGTAAATGATTGAATTGGTGTCTGTACTAGTCTGCCTAATCTGAATGTTGGTGTTCTTTCCTCTGCACTTTTTCATTATTTTTTAGACTCCTCTTTCCCGAGAAAATCCTACCAACTTCCTTATATCTGAGCAGGTCCATTTTATCTATTTTACTGGTTTAAATGATGGGAATTTGATTTGTGTGATACTTTTTTTGAAAAAGGAGTTTGATTCTTACAAAATATTTTTGAAAAATGGTTGCATCTATGTGGAAGGGAACTTATCTATGCAGAAATTTCTCTCATGTTTCAGTACAAACCATATTGTTTCTAATCAACTGGTCTGTTTTATCTTTCAGACATTTGTGGGCATTATAATTGACTGTGCTTTTCTCTCGTCTTGGCTGGTGGGAAGATAAAAAAGCGGAGGCCAGTTTATCTCTAAAACCCTATAACACAATATCCCATGTATGTTTTTTGTGCTAATATTAGCTCTGATTTTATTTTCCCCCTACATGTTTTATTTGACTTTTTGCGTCTTTATTTTATCCATGATATTCTGAATATTTTTGTTAGTCATTTAAAAGTGAATGTGTATAAAAATATATAAAACTGATAAACAATTTTCCTAATCACGTTCTTATTTTTGAATATTTAGTTGCTTTCATTATACTTTTCTGCTTTTCTAACGTAGTTTACTAGTTTGCTTTGGCACTAGCAATGTTTGAAACTGCCAGTTTTACCACTGACACATTTATGGTGGATACTATCATAACCCATATTTACTTTAATATTAGTAATAATAGGATTTTATTATAGAAAGAGAAGAAAATCAGGAATGGGAAGGGAAAGTATAAAGAATTCATTTGATCACAGAGTAAACACCAAGAATAGTGGTGAGCAAACCAAATCATGGTCGAAAAGGATATGGCAAACTCAGGCTTGATTTGTTCTGAGAATATCAAAGTATAAGCCAGTAGATTGGAACAGAGTCAGCAACAATTTCAAGATGGTAGTAATTCCTGTGGTAAGGTAGGTGGTACCATCAAGATTTCAGGGCACTGTTTTTCAGTTTAAAGCAAAATTCAGCTAATTGCTAGCAGTACAGATCAGAGTCCAGTGCCTAGTCCAGAGTCTAGCAGTCATCAGAGCTGATTTGATTGGAAAGAAAATACTTATTTTCATTCTCATTTTTGATAAGCTCATCAGCCTAGCAGGTTCTTAAACATTTAGTTATTAAATTTACCTCCTCATTAAAACTTTTTAATAAACTATCCTACTAGCTATTGAGATATTAATGTTTTATTAGCTTCTATGACCTCTTTGTATAGATATATACAATATCCATATATAGATATTCACCCTTTTTACTTTTGCGAAAATATTTTCCTGGTTTTTTATTTAAATATATGTGTATATTTACAACTTGGAGAATTTGTGTTAGATTTTAAGTGTTTCCTTTTGAATGTATTGATCACCTTGAGAGATATTGCATCAGATGTAATTCCAGTTATTGGCATGGTGGAATGCCTTGCAATGGACCAACATTCCTGTTGAGAACAAAAAACGGTGATTTTTTTAAGTGCATATGAACTCTGTATTTTCTGCTCAATTTTTTTATAAATCTAAAATTGCTCTAAAATAAAGTTTATTAATTAAAATTATACAAGTGTTCTATGGTCTGAATGTTTGTGTTCTCATCAAAATTTATATGTTGAGGTCCTCACCCAACAGGTGATGGTGTTAGGAGATGAGGCCTTTTGTGAGGTGATTGGGTCATGAGGGCAGAACCCTCATGAATGAGATTACTACCCTTATCAAATAGACCCACGGGAGGTCCTTCTTTCTTTCCACCACGTGAAGACATAGTGAAAAGACACTGTCTATAAGCCAGACACCTTTTTCCTTGGTCATGGACTTCCCAGACTCCAGTATTGTGAAAAATAAATTTTTGTTGTTTATATACCACTCAGTCTATGGTATTTTGTTATAGCAGCCTGGAGGCACTGGTGAACTTCAAGCATTAATAGGACTAGGGAGACTCAAGATTTTGGATGCAGACACAGTCTAAGACAAGCTCTTAGACTGATCATAGTTTTTTCCTGAGGATATTTGCCAATTCTGGTTTCATGATAAGCGTCTGATAATCCAGGATTTCCTCCTGCAGCAGAACAAACTCCAGGGACAGAGAAAAGAGCAGAGCTTTGGTAGACTCCAAGGCTTAAAGATGAAATTTGAGACCTGTGGGGATAAGATCCTGGCAAGAAGGGAGGGATAGAATGACATTGACACTTGACAAATTTTCCTCACCAGATATTTGCCATTTTCTGAAGCTACACAGGTGACAGCCAAGAAGCTGAACAGCTTCTGAAAAACAGATGGGAGATTTCTGCACTCTTGCCAAACTGAGTAAACAACAACAACAACAACAACAAATCATTTCACAGCCTACCAGAGAGAATAATCTAAGTGAATAAACTAAGTTTTACTACAAAAGTTGTAGGTGGGTTCAATGAATGAGAACAAGCCAGAAGTAGAAAAAAAAATCATATCAAAGCTGTAACTGATCCTAACTTAGCTCAGCCCCTGATTAAATCAAGCCATCACTTTACTCACTCTGTCTTCCTGGCCAAAAAAAAAAAAAAAAGGTGAAGCTTAACCCTCTCTGCAAGAAGATAATATCATATGGAGAAGCCAGAGTGACAAAAATTTATGAATGACAAACATTCAGTTATAAATTACCAGACAGGCAAAAACAAGAATACATGAATTTTAAAAATAAGATTAAAAACTGAAAGAAAGAATAACAGATGATAAATACATTAGAAATTAACAGGCAGGAACGTCTAAGTAAATATAATTAATATATTAAAAGAAATAGAGGAAAAGAGAAAACAGATTAAAAAATTGAGAATTTCACCAGCAAATTAGAATATGTAAACATAAATAAATAATAATTTTAAAACTGAGAAATATAATAATTGAAATGAAAACCTTCAAAGATGTGTCTAAAAGAAGACTAGACAGTAGAACAGAGGATAATAAACTGGAAAATGAGTTAATGAAATCAGGCAAACTGAAGTACAGAAAAAATGAAAATACAGACAAGCATAAGAGAAATGTAAGACAGTGTAAAGATATAATAAGCATATAATTGGATCTCATAAGAAAAATACAGAGAGAATGGGGTAGGAGCAGTATTTGAATACACAATGGCCACAAATGTTCCAAAAATGATGGAACACATCAACAGTTGAGTTCAGAAGTTCTGATAGACCTGAGAAGGTTAGATATAATAGTAAAGCTGCTTCATATAAGAACAAAAATACAATCATACAAATAGTCACAATAATAGAAACATTGCCTTAAAAGAGCATCAATACATTCATAAAAGAAACAATAAAACCAAAAGACAATGAAACAATATCCAACTGATCAAAGAGAATCCTATTCCCAGAGAAAATATCCTTTGAAAATTAAGATGAAATAAAAATTTTCACATAAACAAATGGTGAGAGAATTTGTTCCTAGCTGAACTAAACTAAAAAAAAAAAATCCGATAGAAGAAAAATTATCTCAACGGAAAAAAATGAAGAAGAAAATGAATAAAAGAAGGATAAGTATACAAGTAAATATAAGTAAATATCCATGTTAGATAACAATCATACTTATGGCTTGGGGGATTTACAATGTATACAGAATTATAATGTATCATAACAACACAAAAGGCAGAAGTGGAATAAATTGAGTCAAACTATTCCAAGATCCTTACATCGTCTGGGCAGTGAGAAAGTAATAACTTATATTCAAATACGCATGTTTTAATAATTATCCACAATAAGACAAAAAAAAAAGAAACGTATAACTAACAACGTAGTAGAGGGAAAATGGAATCGTGAAAAATAATTGATTAATTCTAAAGAAGATAAGAAAAGACACAAAAAAATATAAAACAGGTAGATTATATAGAAAACAAATAGTATGCTAATACCTATCAAAGCCCCATCAGTAATTATATTAAATTAAAAGGGATTAAGTATTGAGTAAAAGATTAAAAAATAAAACCTAACTATGCTGTTTATTGGAAACATATCTTAAATACAAGAACACAGAAAGCCAAATTGTAAAAAGATGTGAAAAAGATATACTATAAAAACACTACTCAAAAAGAAGCTAGGTATTACATTAATGTGAGACAAACTAGATTTTTAAGACTAGTTAAATTTCTAGAGAAATGCTGATAAAACGTCAAACTAACAGAAGCATATAAAATTATAAATTTGTATATACCCACTAACTTAACATGTTACTATAGACGGATTATAGATAGATGATAGATAGAAGATAGATAGATAGATAGATAGATAGACAGATAGATAGAGAAAAGTTGGCAGAAGAAAAAAGAGAAACAATTCCAAAATCACTGGAAAGAATTTAATTCACCAATCTTCCTAGACAATAAAACAAATGAACATGTAAGAATAAAGAATATCTAAACACAACAAATAACTTATTGTCATAAATTGACCAGTGCATACAAATATCATAAAATGTATATTATCTTTAAATGCATACTCAATATATACTAAAAGCTATTATTAGCAAATGTTAACTAACTGAATAATTCAGAGAATATACACTTGGCCACTACTGAATTAAATTGTAAAATAATAGCATAAATAACTATAAAATCTCCAACTTTTGGAAATTAAGCAATATACTTTTCAATAATACATGAGTGAAATAAGTCATGATGGATATTGAAAATCTTATGTGCTAAATAGAGTATGATACAGTCAGTGTATCAAAACTTTTGAAATACCAAATATTGTTTCTAAAGACTTGTTTACAGCCTTAAATTCTTACATTAAAAAATGAAAAGAGCTGATAATCAATATCTAAGATTCTATCTCAAGAAGCAAAAGAAATAAACAGCACATTACACCCAAAAATTAGACTGAATGAAGTAATAAACAGCAGAAACCGATGAATTACAGTAGAAAGCAAACACACTACAGAGAAATTGAACAAAACACAAAATTGCTTTCTGTTTTTGAAGATTAAAATTTCTAATCACTTACAGGGCTGATCAAGTAAAATAAGAGAAAAGCCACTTGCCAATATCGGGAACAAAATAGGTCTGTAGGTCCTGTCTGTTGCAGAAAGAAACACTCTTTCAAGTTGACTTCGCCAGTGAATTCTTCCAAATATTAAGGAAGAAATAATGCCAATCCAGCATAAACCCATCCAGAGGGTTAAAAAACAGGGGAAACACTTTCCGTTCTTTTTATGAGGCCAATATAACCTTGGTATCAAAATCTGGCAAAATATTACAAAAAATTAATATCACACATTAAATCAACCTGTTTCAGGAATACAGGTGAAAAAAGTTCCTGAACAAAATATTAGAAAATCAAATAGAACAATATATTAAAATGATGGGTTTTATTGCATGAATTGTAATGGTGTTTTACCAATAAAAAATAGATTAATATAATCGACATGAACAGAAAAGATGAATAATACATAAAATTATATCAATAGATTACAAAGTTAAATATCATTTATTTTAAAAATCCTATTAGTAAGGTAGGAACAGATGAGGTCTTCTGTTCTACATAAGAGCTTCAGATAAAGTGTCTACAAATATTGTAGTTAATTGTAAATCGTTGAAAGTATTTTCAGAAATTGAAAATGAGACAAAAGTGTCTGGAGGTCTCAACTAGTGCAGAAAGGCATGAAAAAAGAAGTGAAAGGGAGAAGGATGTTATAGGCAGAAATAAAACCATCATTTTTGAAATATATGATTACATATGTAGCAAATCCAAAAGAATATCTAGACAAATTATTGAGATTCACAAGTGACTATAACAAGGTCACAAAATACAAGGCCAATACACCAAAATCAATTGCTTATCCATATCGTAGCAAGATAAAAGATAATATAAAAATTTTAAATATAACTTTTATAACAGCATAAAACAGAAGCTATTCAGAAATAATTTAATAAAATATGTACAAACCCTGTGTCCTAGAAACTACAAAACTTTGTGGACGGAAATTATAGAAGGCATAAATAAAAGATAGCATACAACATGCTCAAGAGTTGTAAGAAATAACAGTGTATAAGATGGTCATTCTCCACAGAATGATCTATAGATTCAATGCACTCCCAATCAAAATCCCAGACAAGTTTTCATTCTGGTGGAAATTGATCATCCGATTCTAAAATTTGTATAGAAATGCCAAGACCTAAGACTAGCCAAAGCAGTCTTGTAGGAGAAAAAAGCAGAAGGACTTTCATTACCAGTTATCATGTCTTATTGTCAGACTGCAGTAAATATGACAGTGTGATATTGGCAAAAAAAAAAGAAAAAAGACAAATAGACAAAATAAACAAATGAAGGTCCAAAAAGAGACCCACATTCATTTGGCCACATGACAAAGATGACATTGCAGGGCCAGGGGGAATAAATGTTACTGATTCCATTTAATATTCATACAGAAAAATTGCAATTTTTGACAACTACCTCATGCCATACAGAGAAGTAAATCTCAGAAGAATTGTAGGCCAAAATATTAAAATGAAAACAAAGAGATTAAGAATATAAATAATGGATTTTTTGTTGGAAGAATCAATGATTTATTAATCAGGACACAGACCACACTAGTTTTACATAAAGGAAAAAATGATAAAATTGATAATAGAGTTAAGTGTATAAGTTTTATTACAGTAGGCTTAAGGATGTTCAATATTTAAAAACATAGAATCAAAACCAAGACACAGTGGTAAAAAATATTTACACACATAGACACACGTAAAACAAAAGACTTATATAGAATAAACTAAGAACATCTTCAAATCAATTTTTTAAGTATATAATCCAATGGAAAGATTGGCAAAGGACTTGAATAGACAAATCACAAAATATTATATCCAAATGACCAATGGCTGTGATACAAGAAGCTCAATTCCAGTGATCATCAAGTTAGTGAAAATTAAAACCAGATTGACATGCCTACTAACCCACTCATATAAAATGAAAAATACAGATAATTCTAGTGTTGGTGAGGATGTGGTGCAACCAAAACCTTCTGTAGTGCTAGTGAGAATATGAACTGGTACAGAGAGTTTTGGGCTATAAGATAATGACCCTAACCTTGTAGACAATGGTTAAACAGTATCTTCTGAAGCTGCATATATGCATTACCAACAATTCCACTCCTTGGTATATCCAACAGAAATGAGTAATATATTCACCCTTCCCCAAAAACAAACATTCTAATGATCACAACATATACTTATGACTATTCATTTCAGCAAAAAGCTGGGAACAACCCAAATATTCATCACCAGTAGAATGAGTAAATCAACTGTGGTATATCACATAATTTAATACTAGAAAGTTATGAAAATAAACAAACTATTGCTACCTGCACCAACATGGATAATACCCAAAGACATAATGTTGACTAAAAGAAACCAGACTAATAAACACTGCATGACTATATTATATAAAAATCAAAACCAGCCAAAACTTATCTATGCTTTTAGAATTTGAGATAGTACCCTTGGAGTTATTAAATCCTTGAAGAGAACATGAAGAGTAATTCTGGGGTGCTGGTAATGTTCTAGTTTTTGGTCTGGAAGCTGGGTACACAAGCATGTTTACTTTGTAAAAATTCATCAAGAAGGATACTTATGACTATGCTTTTATTTTATGTGTTACATACATCAAAAGATTACTAAAGAATTGAAAAAAAATTTCTCAGAAACGTTTCCCACCAAAGTCTTGATAACATACTGCATTCCACTAGTTTTAAATAATTTCAATTGTTACATAATTTTCTTTGTGTACTATGTGAATTTAAACTGATGTTATATAACTGCTAAGTAGCTATCCGTACAGCACTTATCATAAATCTTTTCTACTGTTTGAACATGTACTTTATATATTTTAATCATTTTTTATAAAAGGGATTTCTATTATATTCTATAGTTGTATATTTCCAGTTTTGTTCAGTATCTTGTTGTTTTATTTTTGGTCGATTTTAAAATAGACAACTTTCAGAGTACTCCTTCATCAGTCTTCATGATTTGCTTATATTCTCTCGTGTTTATTTTTTCACATGAATTTTATCCACTCTATTGAAATAATTCTTTTCTTTCAGCTATCTTATATAAACAAAAAGATAAACCATCAAAACTTTTCATGCAGGATTTGACCCAATCATATTAGTGTCATAAAATGAATACATTGATATGAATAAAGACTAAGTATGGAAGCACATTTTAATATTGAAGACAATATGTGACTAGCACATGAGATGAGCCCAAGAGTAGGAGGAATAAAGAGTGGTAAAACACCCATGAAAAGTTCATGAAGTGTAATCGGTGATCAAATAAATATGAAGAACATGAGAGAAGGAGTAATTAAGAATAATTCCATCTTGAAGTATTTAGCAGATGTTGATATTAAAAGGTCTAGATTTTAAATAGAAGGAGAGAGATTTGGGCTATAAGATAATGACCCTAACCTTGTAGCATTTACCTCTGAATTGCCCGTCAGATGCCCAAAGAAAATATGACCTGGCCAGGCATGGTGGCTCTCGCCTGTAATCCCAGTACTTTGGGAGGCCGAGGCGGGCTTATCACCTGAGGTTAGGAGTTCAAGACCAGCCTAGCCAACATGGTGAAACCCTGCTTCTACTAAAAAGACAAAAATTAGCCAGGCGTGGTGGCACATACCAGTAGTCCCAGCTACTTGGGAGGCTGAGGCAGGAGAATCTCTTGAACCTGGGAGGCGGAGGTTGCAGTGAGCCGAGATCGCACCATTGCACTCCCGCCTGGGTGACAGAGTGAGACTCCGTCTTAAAAAAAAAAAAAAAAAATGACCTAGAGGAGATGAGGCTTTTTTTTTTTTTTTTTTTTTTGACAGTGTCTTGCTTTGTCACCCAGGCTGGAGCAGTGGGATGAACTCAGCTCACTGCAGCCTGAAACTCCCTGGGCTCAGGTGATCCTCTCACCTCAGCCTCGCAAGTTGCTGGGACCACAGACACGCAACACTACACCCAGCTAATTTTTTGTACTTTTTGTAGAGACGGGGTTTTACCATGTTGTCCAGGCTGGTCTTGAACTCTTGGGCTCAAGCAATCCACCCGCCTCAGCTTCCCACTGTGCTGGGATTACAGGCGTGCACCACCAAGCCCTGGCTAAGCTCTTTTCTTATTTTAGATTTGAGAGCTATTAGCATGCATGGATAAGAAAAACCATTGAAATTACTTTTTCGCAATAAGGGAAGAAAAAAAGACACACACAAAAAATCAAATTTAAGCGTTGGTTAGTATCTTAATTGGCTGCTACTTGTAGCATTAAAGTAACTTCCTCCAAGGCAAAGTGTGCAGGAATGCTCTCAAAAACCTCTCCAGCTAGGGCCCAGGTTCCTGGTCTGTTGCCTTGGTTCCAGTTTCATTATCTTAGCCATCAAATGGACGTGTTGAGATTGTTTTACTTGATTCCAAGCTTACCTTTGCATTCTTCACTTTCTAATCTTTCTCTACTCTATATTCTAACATCTCTGAGTAACTTTCACTCTATCCCTATAACTAGAGCTTTCTTCCAGAGCACCAGCCCAGGAATTGCCCTCAGAGCCCCTCCTTTGCTTGGAAGAAAGGAAACACTAAGGTGTCCGTGAAGCAGACAGAAAACCAGCAATCAGAGAAGAACCCCACTGGTTAAATGGGCACTGCTTTTCTAATTGTTCTAATTGTCTTGTCACTTTTGTATCACCAACATTTTCCCACATTGGTGAAAACTGATCCTAGATATACTCACCTGGCATCCTAGATATTGCTCTCCTGGCATTCTTCTGGGCATACATCTATTATCAAAATAATTAACATATTTTCAGATACTTTGCCAAGGGAGGAAGTTCTGACTGTTGAAATTCCTGTTTAACACTATGCTTTGACTTCGTGATAGTCTTGTAATGTTTATCAGAATAGTGTCATCTGAACTCTTCACAAAATCCTCCAATGGTTTCACTGCCTTTGTCCCCTTCCCTTGTTTCTCTATTCCCTTTGTTCCTTTCCAAAGTTCAAGAATTTCCACTTGTACCCACAACTTTATAACATACAATGCTATTCTCAACCCCCTTCCACTGAGCATGTTTTAAAATATATTTAAAACCCTTTTATTCTCTCTTCTACTATTGAATTCCATCTCATCAAGCTGTGTCCATAAAACTTTTTTAAGTTTAACATTTCAAAGTAATTCTTATATTAAATACGAAATCTGGAACAATTAGCTTTCTGGTTGTTTTTCTTTTTCCTTTCCTTTATTTTTTACATTTTTTACAGTAGCTTCATTTCACACCCCTTCAGAGTAGAACTGTGAGAAACTTCATTACCTAATTGGCATTTTGCTGCATGATGTACCGCCCATAAGAGAATCAGTTTTAGAAATTACACAACAAATCCATTCTCACTGAATTTAGGCGAGGTTAAAAAATATATTTTTCATTCTAAAAGTATTCATGAAGGGATAAATGTTAAAAAGATCAATTCCATAATAAGGAGAAAATGTTTGACATCTGGTTAGTGGGAGGGGGGATGAAAATAAGAAAAAAACTAGAGATGATATAACTTCTGAATCCTTACAAGTTTTAAATATTCGAAACCTAACATAATGCCATCTTCTCTTCTCTCTGAATTTCTCTCTGTCTATGCACTTTTTCTTCTTCAAATCCTTTAATTATAGCCCTAGACCAGCTGCAGTAGTGCGGACTGTAACTATGATTTGCTAACACTCTAAGTTTCTTGGTTTGCTGCAACTGGCTACCTCCTAAAAAAGATTGGACTTGCACCTCAGCTCTCAGATAAAAAGTAAGAGCACTTGTACTCAGATGAAACTGAGTATAAGCAGATCCAGGCGGTGCAGAGATGGACTGTACTAGGCTCAGTTTATGTGCTACCTGAGTTCTGCCTGAAACCACCTTCATCACGAGACCTCAGCCACTTGCCTCTCTGGTAGAGCAAGAGAGGCACTAGTGAAGACTCACACCTTCCACAGCTGTGATGTCCTGGATACTGCCACTGGTACTGCCACCTCCATCATCACAGATTTAGGAGCCTCCACACACTGCATCTACTGACATAGGGACACAGAATCTACCCATTGACTGTATTGGTCACATGGAGGCTTTGACTTCTCCAACATATATCTGAAGGGGCAAGATAATACACCCAGCATATGGTGGCATTAATGCTAAATGAATAGACTTTAACCAATAAAAGGGAGAAAACAGAGGGGGGCAGAAAATAAATGTTTGCCATCCCTTCCTGTAATTATTTTTTATAATAGTTTCATATAGCCTCTCTGGAGACTTCCTACAACAATTAGCAATCAACTGTCATGCAAGGCTGCGAAAAAAAAATTCAGGAACATACTCCTTAGTCTTAATTTTTCCTTTCCTCTTGCTTTTCTAAAATTCTATCCTCAAGAAAGTTGTAACACATGAACTTTTGCCTCAAGGTCTGTTTTCCAGATGGTCCAGATGGACCTTCCAGCTTCCATCTTCCAGAAGCTTATGCAAGATGGGCTAACTATCAGCAAAAATGATATTTTACATTGGCTATTCTAAATGATGACAACTAAAACCTAAGGATATGGAAAATTTGAAAGAAGTATGAAAATATATATAGCAGGCAAATAGTAAATTTTTAAAACTACTGTAGTTCTATTAAATAGAGATAAAATAGATTTTAAGGAATAAAAACTGTAAGTAATAAGGTGGATAAATACTCAATTATATAAAACAAATTTACCAGAAAGAGTTAATAATTATTTTGTGTGCAGCTAATAAAATATCATCAAAATGTAAACAGCAAAAATGACTGAAACACCACTAACAAAGTGACAAATTCTCAATCACAGGGAGAGACTTCAATTTACTTCTTTTAATTGTTGGTATGTTAACCAGGAAGGAATTGGGAAATATAAATAATTAAACACATTATTGAAATATTTCTAATAGCAATTTTTGAAAACCTAGAATGAATCAAAATATCATTTGACTGATGACTTGAAAAGTTGTATAGTCACTCAGAGAAATATTATGTAGCCATGAAAACGAACAAATTACAGCTATGTGCAACAACATGATGAACCTAAGAAACACAGTCTTGAGTGAGAAAAGCATGTTGCAGAACACATTGACTATGATACCAAACTATGAAGTGCAAAATCTAGAGATAAATTCATTTGTAATAGAAACTATTTTCAAAAGCAAAGGAACAATAAACCTAACATCTAGGATACTAATTGAGTTTTGGGGTTGGCAGAGGGATGGGATTTGGAGGAAAGCATAGATACAGCCTCAGTGATATTCGTAATATCTACCTCATAAGCTGGTTGGAGGGTTAGTGACCATTTTATTTTCATGCTTCATTACTTTTATGTAAGTTGCACATATTATTTTTATGTATTAAACATTATAAAATAAAATAATATGTAAAATTTAAAAATTGATTTTAAAGTATATGTCTAGTAAGTAGAGCAAGGTAAACCATTAATTACTGAAAAAGTTATTTACAAAAAATGAATTTTACCAATTTTGTTACCAAGCTTTACTTACAACAGATCTTGAATTTGGTCTAAGATCGTACTGCACTGAGTTTCCTAGATTCTCCGTCAAAAGAACTGTAATTTAAAAAACGATAAACATTGATTCAATTTAATGAGCTGCTTTCCAATTTTACTACATGATTTCTTTCAATATGGAAGGGCTTTATGGTAATGTCCAGGGAAATTCGGCATGTTTTATTTAATTGTGGTCAGAAATGTAACTATAATTTTGAAACTACCAGTGAAAATGTGCTAAAAATGTATCAGTATAGAGGAATGCCAGCATTACTTGATGTCATTTAAATATTCTTCCTTGAATTACCATATGCTATGTATATATACTGTATACTGTTACATACCCCGGTCCTCAACCTGCAAACCATTAGTATAGTCAGCACACAGAGCGACAATGTAAGTGATAACCCCAGAGAACATGAATTGCTACTCTGTTCATTTTAATGCTACATACAGCTAAATGTCCATATACAGTCTATATCTCAATTATCCACATGCGTTGAGATACGTAATGATTACTGGCTTGTTCCCAACAGACTTGGATTTATTCACTTATTAGCTGTGGGACCATGGCAGTTTTATTATTGCTCTGACATATTTTCTGCATTTTAACAAAAGTGATATTATGACTCCCCAATTTAGAGGTCTGTAGTGAAGATCAAATAAAGTAATATATGTAAAATTCATAGCACGATGTCCTTTTCATTCATTGTGAGCACTCAATAACAGTAAGCTGTTGTCATCATCATTATATGGTTGGGTTAGTGCTCACATCCATGACCAGCTTCTAGCTCAAAAGAAACACTGTTGGTCTGTTATTTTTCCTAAGACTTTGGACTAGCCAGACTCTATAAGAATATAGAGTTCATATATATGGAGAATATAAATAAAAGAATGATGAGTGTATGAATTTCAGCTGCAAGAAATAGAAGACCCAACTAAAAGTGCCTTAAATAATAAAGAAATTTTATTATGTCACATATTAAGAATTCTTTTATAGAGGTAGGGTGGTATGGGGTTCGTTATTCAGAAGCTCATGAATTTCACCAAAAACCTGGGCTGTTTCTATCTTTATTTTCTGCTATCCTCAGTGTGTCTGTTAGTCTCCCCAGACTTGCCAAACGGCTACAGCAACTTCAGGTAAGCTTCATATAGGATTGTTCAAAGATTGTCTGAAAAGATATCTCTCCCTTTTGTCTGAAGACTATGGAAATGTCTTCCTAGAAGATGTTGCCTCATGTTCAGTGATCACAATTGCATCTCTTGTCCATTCACAGAAGTTGGGAGTGGAAAGGCTGTTAAGGATAGGTAACTGACAGTATCTGTTACACGGAGGATGAGAAGTAGGTGTCGGAAGTAGCATTGAAAAGGTTAATCGATCAACAAATAATTACTGTACAGTATCTATTACAGAGAACAATTCTATGAATATGTGAGAAAATTAAAAAATGAAGATGGCAATATGCAGTTGAGAAAAATAAATGATAATTTTTATGAAAAAGCAAAAATACCAGCAGGGACATAAAATTAAGTAAAATAAGAAAAATTTACAGAATTTTAAAACAATATTATCTTATTAGTTATGTATAGTGAATGTCATTATTCTAGGCATATCTCCCCTTTATCTTTAATTACATTTCCCTCAAGGGAAATAACACTCATTTTATTTTCAGTATTAGCATACCACATGGCTTAGAATTTTTTTTTTTCTGGTTGTTACCTGGACACTAACATTTTAAAAATAAACGAGAACCCTAGAAAAGTTAAATTATCTGCATTACACAATTTAAATTCAAGAGGAAAATCATAATGATAAACTAAGCACTTAGCATGCATATATAATATTGTGCTTAGATTCTCAGGCTTACTGACAAATGATCAGTATATAAACACTTACACAAACAAGGAAGTAAATTACACTTTTGTTCAAAGCCATCACAGAAGCCATAAAATTCCTCCCTGTGCATTTTTGAACTTGAAAATATTGATGATTTATATATACCATGTATTAAATCAAAATAGTCATCAAGAGAGTGACCAGTAAATATTTAATGGATTTATGAACATTAGACCTATTATTTTTAACTTGTTTCCATTATAGTTAAAAGGAATATTGAAAAAAAATTCACAGTGGTGTTTTCTGCTGAAGACATCATGTTTTTAAAGGCTCTGAACTCATAAAAATTTTAAAGCTAATAGCAACCTTATAAATTATTTCATCCTGCCTCCTAATTTTACTAATGAGATCCAGGTAGATAGAGGCTGACAGACTTTTTTTTCAGGTCATTTAGTTGGTTAGGTGTTTGCTAGGACTGGCTTCCCCTCTTTGCAGCCTGCATTTGGACCTTTTTCACAGGATTTTTCTATTTTCTTCTCTAATGTTTTATTGTTCTTGATTTTTTCTCTTTCACTGTTAGACAAATAACATATATTAATATTTTACTTAAATTTAAACAACTTCTTGTAGAAATATAACCACGGAGAGATGAATTTTTTTTCAAGTCAGTTGTACTCTAATACCTGTGAAGAGCATTTCCTTCATAGCTGGGAACTCTAAATACCAGTGCTGTTTCTCACAAACACCCCTTCCTCAGTGTTATCCAAAAGAATATTTAATAACATAAAAGAATAAGTACCATAATTATATTACTGAAAAGAAAATCAAAGTGTTTCAAAGTCCCTTTCCCAAAGCTACGTATAGTCCCTGCAGGAAGATTGGTCTGAATAAGGACTTTACCTTCCAATCCTTGTCCCTGCACTAAAATCTACCACTTTTCTTTCCTTCAAAGTAAAATGCCCACAAGGGGACATGGCCCAGTATTATTTTCTGAATACATCTCTGGGTCTATATTGCTTAAGTCATCTGCTTTATATAAGCACATCCTTTAGGCAGTTTCCACTTTGTCTCGTTACTGTTCATGTCCATTTCCTATGCTGGTAAAATCAGCTAGCTATTTCCCATTCAGAGATTCATTCCTTCGACAACTATTTGTTGAACACCTCTTGTATTCCTGGCATCCTAATAAGCTCTGGGGATATTTTGGTGAGCAAGAAAGACACAATTTCTTTCCTTACAGAGTATTTAGTTCAACAGGGAAGGTAGGCAATTAGATAACTAAGCTCAACGTGCTATTTGCTCTGAACCAGAAATTATGGAGTATGATGAGAGCACATAACAGTGACACCTAATACAACTTCCAGAGGAAGTTACTTTTAAATTGGATACTGAAGGCTGAGTAGGGAGTTCACAGGCAAAACAGGCCAATTTCATTTTCACAATTTTGTTTTGAACTTCTTTATTTTTCAATAAAATCATTCCTAAAATAACGTTTTAAAATCTAGAAGCTTCTCATTTGGAAACTCTGTTAAGTCTTTTGCACCAGGATTTTGCTGCCATATCTCGATTTCTGCATTTCCTTGAACTGAATCTTAATATCTGAATTCAATTTCTGCTGTGGCTGTGGTTTCTCAAAGAAGGGTCACTATCTAAGAATCACTTAGGCCAGGCATGGTGGCTCATGCCTGTAATCCCAACACTTTCGGAGACTGAGGCGGGCAGATCACGAGGGCAGGAGATCACGACCATCCTGGCTAACACAGTGAAACCCCGCCTCTACTGAAAACACAAAAAATTAGCCTGGCGTGGTGGCAAGCACCTGTAGTCCCAGCTGCTCAGGAGGCTGAGGCAGGAGAATCACTTGAACCCGGGAGGCAGAGATTGCAGTGAGCTGAGATGGCGCCACTGCACTCCAGCCTGGGTGACAGACACTCCTTCTCAAAGAAAAAAAAAAAAAAAGAATCACTTAAAGTAATATTTAACCTTGAGATTATAGGGTCAACTCTAGTTCCACCGAAGTATGATCTCTGGGGCACGTGGGAGAGTCCTCAAATTTGCATGATTAACAAGTTCCCTTCATACACACTGAAGTTTAGGACTTACTGGCTGCCATCATTGAATGTATATACAGAATGTAACTAAAATCGTCTCCCCCAATTTTGTTCTAATTGTCTCAAAATGGAGTATATTTGCCCTTTCATGGGAAAGCTATCTGTGGCTGTCCAGATGCCAAAAACTCACCTTGATTATTTTCCCATTACATTACCCTAAGGCAGTATGTTGGTATACAAGCATTTCTTGGGACTAAAATGACACATGCCTAGGGCAATCACCGGTTATTGTAGCCCTCTTACTTGGGAGAATTAGGAATTAGAAAGGTCAGTGTTAGAAATTCCTGTTTCGCCTACCTGGAGTTGTATATTTTTATCTAGGAAAATAAAATCACAGTTACTGTAAGTAACAAGCCTCCGACCAACTCAGAAAATTGGGGCAGAGTTTATCAAAGTACCCTAGAGTTTTTGACCCAAGATCCAATGTTTTACCAACTAAATCATTCTGATGCCAAAGTATATTGTATAAAACCATTACTTTAGTTAGGATAAGAGTAGCCTGCTATGAAAATGACATCCATTGATAATTCAGTGGCTTAAGGAAGATTCAACATTATAGTGTTTTAAGTTGGGGAAAGTCCTTGCTCTACATAGGTTTTAAGTGATCAAGGTTCCTCTCATTGGTGCTCCTCCTTTCTCTAGGACATTCTAATTCTCTGAATTGTAAGTCAGTTTGCTATAGATTCCAGGTAGTGGAGAGGGGAAGAAGAGCATAGAGAAAGCCCAAGAAATCCATGCATGATTGCCATTCATACTCTAGAAGTGAAAACCTAGTCTTGTGGTCACACATAATTGACATAGAAGCTCAGAAATGTATTCCCTGACTGGGTGGGTGCATGACCAGTTCCAATTGTGGAAAAAGGGAAGAAACAGATAGTGGTGTAAAACTAGCAGTCTCCATAACTGTACTTTAGAGATGCAAACTGAATCGTAATCTTTTAGCCATAGAAGGATTATTGGCCCTGCGGGGGGCGGCCGGGGGGGAGGGTGGGTACGGCTTGTATTTTTTTATGAGCATAAAAATTAATTCATTTAATAAAAAATGGGACATATTCCCTTTTGGAAAACAGTTCTGTGCCATTTATCTATTGCTGCTTAACAAATCACCTCAAATCTTAGTGACTTAAAACAGGGATCAGCAGGCCGGGCGCGGTGGCTCACGCCTGTAATCCCAGCACTTTGGGAGGCCGAGGTAGGCGGATCACGAGGTCAGGAGATCAAGACCATCCTGGCTAACACAGTGAAACCCCGTCTCTACTAAAAATACAGAAAAATTAGCCGGGCGTGGTGGCTGGCGCCTGTAGTTCCAGCTACTCAGGAAGCTGGGGCAGGACAATGGCGTGAACCTGGGAGGCGGAGCTTGCAGTGAGCGGAGATCGGGCCACTGCGCTCCAGCCTGGACTTCGTCTTAAAATAACAAATAAATCATGCTGCTATAAAGACACATGCACACGTATGTTTATTGCGGCATTATTCACAATAGCAAAGACTTGGAACCAACCCAAATGTCCAACAACGATAGACTGGATTAAGAAAATGTGGCACATATACACCATGGAATACTATGCAGCCATAAAAAATGATGAGTTCATGTCCTTTGTAGGGACATGGATGAAATTGGAAATCATCATTCTCAGTAAACTATCGCAAGAACAAAAAACCAAACACCGCATATTCTCACTCATAGGTGGGAATTGAACAATGAGATCACATGGACACAGGAAGGGGAACATCACACTCTGGGGACTGTTGTGGGGTGGGGGGAGGGGGGAGGGATAGCACTGGGAGATATATCTAATGCTAGATGACGAGTTAGTGGGTGCAGCGCACCAGCATGGCACATGTATACATATGTAACTAACCTGCACAATGTGCACATGTACCCTAAAACTTAAAGTATAATAAAAAATAAAAATAAACAAACAAAAAAACAACAAAAAAACCCAACCAACCAACCAAACAAGCAAACAAAAAACAGGAATCAGCAAACATATTCTGTAAAGGGGAAGAAGTAAATATTTTGGGCTTTCCAGGCCATATGGTCTCTGCTGTAACTATTCAACTCTGCCACTGTAGTGTGAAAACAACCTTAGACAATACACAATATCATGTAGTGGACTGGATTTGGTCCATGGGCTGCCAATCCGCAGTTCCAAACAAAATTTTTATTTTATTTTTGCTCATGAGTCTGTGGGTGATAAATTGGTACTCCATTTAGCAAACAGGTCATACAGGGCTGAATGGTCTACAGTGACCTTGCTCATATGTCTGGTGTTTGGTCCAGGGAGCCTCAGCTGGTATGGTTCATCTCCGCCCAATGTGGTCTCTCCTCCCAGCAGCTAGCTCAAGCTTTTTCACATGGCACTCTCAGGGCAGCAAGGACAGCAAGCCCTAATGTGCACGTGCTTGTCAAACCTCTGCTCTCATCAGGTTTGCTAGTGTCATATTGGCCAAAGCAAGTCAGCTGGCAAAGCCAGATTGAAGGGGGAGAGAAATAAAGTTTAGCTCTTGATGAGAGGAACAGCAAAGTCATATTGCAAAGATGTGTGCATACAGGGATAGGAGAAATTATTTCAATTTTCTTTGTAAACAATCTACCATAAAGTCTTTGAAGTAATAAAGGACTTACATTTCAATTCAACTTCAGTAGTTTTTTTTTCTCTACTAGAAAATTACTTAGATCCTTAAAATATTTTTAATGATAACATGATCTTTACAATTTATAAGCTATATCAGAAAATGCATATGTATGATATTTTAAAATATTACAAATAATTAAATTCCAAGGCCAGAAATGAAAAAAGGATCTTAAGAGTAATTCATATTGAAGACTACCTGGATGAGAGTTTTTAAGTAGGCAACTAAGCAGGGTTATCTCTAGACTGTTTAATCTTTCCTTAAATTTATTTCCTGCAGTGTCTACCTTTAAAGTTTCAAGTTACACATACCGTCTGTCATCATGATAGACACAGTGGCCTCTGGCTCAGAATTTTCTATGAGAGCTTTCTGAACAGTGGGGCGTATAGCTAGCATCAGTACTCATGTTAACTTATCAAGAAGTTTTGAAGAACTGAAGCCATGAATTTAATCTAATTCAGGGGAGTGGGTTAAAACTTCAAGAAGTGCCCTTGAGCTTCTATATGTGTGTGTGTGTGTGTGTGTGTGTGTGTGTGTGTGTGTGTGTGTGTATATATATAGAGAGAGAGAAGCTTATATATATCACTGTAGGAAACAGTTTTTTTCTAAACTAATCATACAGAAGGAATTTACTATTCAAGTATTAGTAACTGTTTATCTTCTTCACAAAAATCTAATAATATTTAGGAGAAACCATTTCATCTATAAAATCAGTAAAGTCATTTTTACAAGTCCTCCTCTCCTGGAATTTTGATGAACTATTTGAAACGCTTTCTAGGATGTTAGAAATGTGAAACTGTTCTATGTTCTATATACAATAGGCTGAATTAAAATACTACAGTGTTACCATTATTGAAGTTTACTATGTACCAGGAATCATGTAAAATATATCATCCTATGAAGGGTTTTCAGAGTCTTACGTGAACCTGTCGTATTTAATTTTACTTTTCAGATGAAAAAAAAATCCCTTTAGGTTCATAAAGGTTAGGAAACTTGCCCAAAGTCCAGTGGTGTTCTGGTAAGCTGGTACATAGGGAATAAAACCATGATTGTCTGATTTAGTGTGCCAATTTTAGAGGTGTAAATAATCTCATCTTGGCTGATTTCAAACTACCAATTATGTCACTGAGCACAATGTTGGGAAGAGATGCACACAATCAGCTATCATAAACCAGTAGGAGGTGGCTCTGACACATGACTGCCAAGATCACAGATATAATAGGAAGTAGGAGAGCCAGGATTTGAGCTACCAGTTGTCTACAAAGCCCATCCTCTAAATCATCATACAGTGATGGCTTCCTAACATAATAAACTAGTCACCTGACAAATCATAAAAAATTATGAATGTCAATAACATTTTTAATTTCAGAAACACAGATATCTTTTACACTATTTTGGAAATTAATACAGGAAATGGTTTTTCAGAATTATACAAGTTATATGTTAGACGTCAAGGAAAAGTTTTATGCTTCTTTCATTCCATTATCCTCTTTTTTTCCTTAAGCTTTCACAATTTCTTTGTGTTATTTCTTATTTGCATTTTATTGCCACATTTCATCTTAAAATTCTTATGTTTGGCCCCCGACAAATTTCTTTGCTGTTTTAGACTGTTTGCTGCTGCTGTTTCCTTTCTTTTTTCTTTTTCATCACATATTTATTTTTTTCTTACCTTATGGCACAACTTTCACATTTTGACTTGTTGGTTCTTCAGCATTCTGGTTTGAGCAAGTAAGAAGATGGATAGGAAGTCTTATTACTAAAATAAGGTGGGCTCACATTTTAAAAATTATTTACCCACTCTGTATCAGAGATTTTTCATCTATAAATGGGGATGACATAATACTTACCTTGTGCTATATAAGTTGTTGATCAACTAAAATAAAACAAAACAATAGACTATACAAGAAACACATATGGAAGCCCTGAGATAGGGATGATACCTTGAGAATGCATAAGATCCAAAATTATTTGATGCAGATACAAAAAAACATTTGATGATTGATAGGGACTCATTTTAACAATTTGGAAACAATTGAACTTTTCAAACTGATAGCATTTTTTTCACAACATAAATAAAATTGTACTTGGGTACTTTCTTCATTTAACCGATTTTACACCAAGAATTTTTATCCTTTGTTAAAATAATAAAGGTACTCAAAAATACCATTTAACATTATCATGGATTGAAAGAATGATAAATGAGAAAATCTATTTTTCCCAAATTATCTTACATGTGTTAAGCTTTAAAAAATAAGAAAAACAATTTTGCAAATTGGTATGAATTTCTATCTGATTGGTTGAGGGGAAATTTATGAAAGCATACCTGTGATGACAGATCAATGCATGGCTACACTACACCAGAGCAAGCACAAACTTTAAAAACTCATCGGAATTTTCATAATTTCTTCAAATGTTTGAATTGAAGTGAGTAGATACCCAGCAAATTTTTCTCATATGCTTCTGTGAAAATATAAAGGTATAAATTAAATTGGTTTTTCTTTTTATAAAATGAGTTTCATTGTATATTTTTCTTCCAATGTAAAGACAGAATATATCCTGTGAAATAGCTAGTTGATAATGGATTGTTATCATGGTCAATAAGTTAAAAAAAAACTTACCTGTTGTCTGATGTGTCATTTTTATAAATCCATGGCAAAATCGAGTGGCATCTTGATTTTCTGTTGAAATTACTACTTTTATTATGTACATTATGTAGCATATCCTAGAGTTTTGAAGAGTTGTACAAAATGGTGAGTAAGAATTTTTTTTTTCTGAATGCATTTTCAAGTACCTCTAGGCAAATAAAAAATAATGGATAGGAAATAGAGACAATTTAGAAGACTGAGGTTCAAATAAATTAAAACCAGCAATAGAAGCAATATGGAACTCTGAATCAGGAAATACAGCCAGCAGTGAATTCGAATTAAATAGTGGTTAGTTATAATTAAACTTCAAACAAAATTTGTAAGTCATGTATAAGGCCACTGAATGGAACATATAACAAAGTTTGGATTTTGTGTATTTTTATTTACTTTTTCTTCCTCAGCTCCTACCCTGACATTGGTGTTGTTCTATGAGAAGCCATTTTGTATGACAAACAGAAGATAGTTTAAGACTATAGTAATGTTAGGGGCTAGAAAGGAATCTTGGGGAGAAAAAAATCATTAACTCAAAATTTAACCAATATCCTTCTAAAAGATGGAAAGTGATGATGATGGCATAATTGCTGTCTCAGCCTAAAGAAAACAAAACTATTGAACAAAATACCTCTGTTCTTTCCAAAGCCAAATGATTTTATTGACTATTCCAATGGCTTTACTTGTTAATTTCATCGCTCAGCAGACAGAAAGTGCACCTTGGAAATAACATTATCATATTGGCTTTTTTCCTTTACAATTAAAGAATTTAAATTTTTCTTCTGCATATCACATTACACTAGACATACGTATTATTTCTCTTCTAATTTTGTTGTTACTATAAGGTGTGAGCCTCACTTATTAATACATGGTAATTGACAGCTTCTTTTCTTTATTCAAGGAAAGAATGGGGATGATCAGTTTTTGCATAAAACTTTAGACTGTAGTAAAGTCTGTTTCTCTCAAAATTCTGGGTTACATTTTATTGACCTGTAAAGCACATGACATTTTAGGAGCTTGTAGTAATTTATTTTATCTGTAGGAAAATGTATCACTGATGAATATTAAATCTAAACATATTCTAGTTTAAACAGATGGTGAAACAGAAGTAGTGAGAAAGCTAAATAAATAATAAATAAATTAAAGAGAAGTCAGGATTAGTCACAAAGTGAAAATGAAAGCTCTAATAATGACAAGGTTGTGAACAAAACATTTAAAGAAAATGCAAGACGCATAGCTTGGATATCTAAATTCTATTTCTTCATAATTTTCTTGGCTTCATTTTATTATGAAATTATCAAATTTAGCTCAATGAATATAAAACATGCTGAACTTATGAGAAGTGCTACCAAGATTATCTTGCAACATAAACATCAGTTTTGTGGATCCTTAATATAACCTCTATATTGTCAAGATGTTATATTTAATAGTTCTAATCCTTCAATGAAGACTACTATAATTCCCCAAAGTTAACTTTATTTGGTTATATAAACAAGCCATTTCAATATTACACCATGCTTTTTATTTTAAGCATTTTATTTTTATATTAATTTTAATTTCCAGAAAACAGTTGATAATGTTTAAATTGATCATTTTTAGGGAATGCATGGTTTGTCATAAGCAACATAAATAAACACATTAATTGCCTTGTCATACTTTTATCTGACAGATGGGTCCCCAGGCATAGAGCCTAACCTTTTATTTTGACACCTGCCACATTTTGCCAGCCCTGACCCTTTTTTCTTTGCCAGAATGTCACTGTGTTCACCATGGTTGCACTAATCTCCAGCTTTTGAAAGGCTTAATATTGGAACCCTTCTGAGAATCACTGCTATCAATCAGCTGATACTACAACATAAAGATTTCACAGATCTATCCAACATCCCTTCTCTCCTGTGATTCAAGCACATTTTCTCTTATTTCTATGACCTACTGGCTCAGTAAGATTACATGGAGCTTGTTTTAATCTAAAGCCGCATATTGTTAACATCTGACACAAACCATTTAATTTAGCAGTAATTTAAAATTTAGAATTTACTGAAGAATAAAAAAAGAAGCTATGATTTCATTTTTGTACTAAGAGAAACTTTTAAACTGTGAAGCAAATATGCTATTTTAATATAGCTAAGGAGTTAAAATCTATCTGAACATTTTCCTTTTTAAAAAAAAAGAAGCATCAAGCAATAAAACATGTTTTGAAAATCACTGTGCACTCAATTTCATACCTACACCTTTGATTTCTGGGGTGATTCCAGAAGCCATTAATATATGATGTGTGTCTGGGTTAGTGCAACTAAAAGCACATGTCTGGCCCATTAAAGAGTAGGGGTTGGTTCTAAAAAGCTCTGCAAATCGGAGAACATACAGCGGGCAGATGAATTGTGGGAGCTCATCCATTATTGAGATAATTTGGTATAAATTTTAAGATATTTCCTCCTTGAGCAAAATCAGACTATAATTAACTATGAAAAATGTTGTAATTATTCTTTTTTTGTGACTAAGTTAAAAACAAAGAAACTGAAAAGTAGGTATGTAGGAGACAGATTTTAGTAGCAAACAGAAGATAGTTCCACCAGATCAACACAGTTTGGTTTACAATCTCATTGCTGAGATGTGGATGCCAATAACTTGTCTTTCAAATATGGCTTCTATTGGTTCTGAAATAAGCTTGTTTGGCATAATAAGAAAAGCCTGGGACTATGTCCTGGTTAAGCTAAGCTTCTTGAATAATTCAGAGACATATTTGTGCCAGCTAGGATATAGATGTACATTGTAAGAAGTGTAGGATCTGTATCTTAGGACATTCAAAGAAAATGATGTTTCATGCCTTGGGCTAAGGGGTACTGGGGGTAATTCTAGAATTCTAGCAGCTTTTTCAGCTTCAGCACAGTTCTTTAATCTTTGTTGTTGTTGTTTTAGATGGAGTCTCGCCCTGTCGCCCAGGCTGGAGTGCAATGGCGTGATCTTGGCTCACTGTAACCTCCACCTCCTGGGTTCAAGCGATTCTCCTGCCTCAGCCTCCCGAATAGCTGGGATAGGCGTGCGCCTACATGCCCAGTTAACTTTTGTATTTTTAGTAGAGATGGGGTTTCACCATGTTGGCCAGGCTGGTCTCGAACTCCTGACCTCGTGATCCATCCGCCGCGGCCTCCCAAAGTGCCGGGATTACAGGCATGAGCCACTGTGACTGGCCCAGCAGTTCTTTAATCTTTAGTCATCTACTATTAATATGACTCAGCTGCATTGCACATATTCCTCTATCTGCCCTGCCCCAATCCAGCTTTCACGGATTACTCAAAGTTTCTGCTCGTTCACATTTTAACCATGTCCCAAACCTTGGAATTTCATAGAAAATTTTTTTCTTCGCATATTATATCTAAGTCTAGAGACAAAAATACTGATGAGCCCAGCTCATCTTTTGCAGCCTGGCCACACAGTTCAAAAATTGCTGGCCAATCTATTTTTTGGCCCCACTCCATTCAGCTGTAAATTTAAAGAGTTAGTGTTTGGGTTGGGTTAGCGTTAGGGTTAGATCCTGTGTGAGTAAACATAGCAATTTAGATGGCAGATGTTCTGGATGAGGATGATTCTTTTAGAAGGGATATGTCATGATTGACACAAGCAACACTGAAAGTGTGATCCAGAGACTGGAGCTGTTCCATGTGCTATTTGTTATCCAACCAAAACAATAAGTACATTGAAATTAACAATTTAGGAATTCTTCGTCTTATTTTTTTATTTTTCTAGTAGTTCAATTATATTACTAAAAAATAATGGTTAGCAGCATATTGGGGGTGGGTGGGGAGTTGGTCTTTCAGTGCAGATACTCTGAGAGAAACTGGATTAGAAGACTCCTAGACTCTAATTATGGCACCTCCTTAGCCAATTAATAATGATCAAATCTTTATCATCAAATTATAATTCTCTGAACACCAGTTTCCTCCTAAATAAACAAGGACTATCATGGCAGTCACTCACCTTTCCAAGTTATCAGTCATGAGAAGACACAGGAGAATGAATTTTGAAAAGCTGCAAGAGGCTAATCAGAATTAAGTTATAATAGTTTCTTTATAAATACAAGCATACATATATATCCATATACACGTCACATGGGAGAATTAATATCAATACTCAACATTATCATAATAAATATATTTATTTTAAATCTTATCACTTTCCCATATAAAATGTAAGATGTGGGCAGTGTGGGTTTTATTGCTTGTTTCTGTTGTATTTACTAGTTTTTACAGAAGGCAATTAGAGAGCAAATTGATAAAGATGAACTTAGCACTCTGTTCTCAAAAAGTTTACAGTTAAATCACTGCATACAAAAGTTAAATAAAAATATTAAGCAGCATAACTCTAAGAACTATTGAGAATGAACATATTTAATAAATTAATGATACAAATATTAAAGACCAAAGATATCCAGAGGAAGGAGAGAGGATTCAATGCTACTGTGGCCAGAGAAGCATAGGCAGGATTTATACAATGTTTTGAAGAATGGATAAGATTTAGAAAGATGGAAAGGATGAATGGGGTTATTCTGGGTAGAACAAAATTTTCAAGCAAAAGTCAGAACATCTATGTAAACATATGTGTGAATATGTCTGTGTGTGTTCTGATAGAGAAACGTCAGAAAACATATGAAATTAGAAATATAAATAAAATTTAAAATCTTAAAAATCATATTGTAAAATGAAAATTTAATTTTTTTAAATTTTTTGCCACCAATAGTATGATAGTAAGTTATTAAAACTGGGCTCCTTGAAATAAAATTCCTTTTGTATATATATATATTTATATATATAAAATTTACTGTCATATATGTGAAATGTAAATGTTACAAATAAAAAGTAATGTAACAAAGAATTTTCTCCAAATAAAACACAATACATTATGTTAAATGATTTTTTAATCTCAGAAACAATGCAAAGAATAAAAACACAATTTTAAAAATATTAGCAAACTTTCCAGTGACCTTCTGACATTTCAATCTAATGCAAAGACACTAACTAAATAACAGGAATTGCTTCTTCTGATGGGCAACTATATGACCTTAGCAATTTTATTACTTTACAATAGAGTCACAATAATTAAATTACAGAATATTTCAGAGGATTATGTAAATTTGGACCACTGTACCTACAGTGCCTCACTTAGAAAAGTCCACCTAGTAAAAATACCATTATTTTAAGAAGTACTGTGATATTAATAATGCAATCTAGTGATTTCAATACAGGCTTTCAGTATTTCAGCATTCAATAATGTCATATTAATTTGAAGTCCAAAGTACTGGTAATTTTGTTAGTATAATATTGTTTTATTATTCTGACATTTATTACATCATACAAGTAAAATGAATGATTTCATTGTTCAATTTATACAAAAAAGACAAACAGACAAATGGTCCACACATAATAAGCAAACATACTGTGGTGCTGCAAACTTGTTTTGCAGGAATAAGCCTACTCTGATGGCACATGTGTTAAGACAGTGTTGATAGGGAGAGCGGTAACTCTGCATAGGTATTTCCAAGTACACAAAACAAAAGACGGTAAATACAAACTGGAAATGTTAAAAAAAAAAAGAAATAAAAATTATGGGTCTAACTGAATTAAAAATATTCCAGTTCTTGAAAAGAAAAAAAGGTAGTAACAAAGATCTTGCATTTATGAAAAAAGTAGGATTATCTGAAGATGAAGGAATCAAAGGAAAATATCCAGAAAGAGTTTACAGTGTCCTCTACAGCGTTTCCCTGAGCAGTGTAGATGTTAAAAGAATTTCTGGAGCAGTTAGAAAAATTACAACAAAATGGAGCAAATGAAGCTTTGCTTCTTTACATCACAAATCTGTAAAATCCAAGAATATTATTTTGCTTTCAATTATCTTAATTGTTTTTTCCACTTAATCTACTATTTTGTTTGCTATTTTAATAATACTTTAATTGACTCTGAATAATTTATACTGGAATGATGTTTAATATTCCCATACTATGTACTATAATTTTACATTTTTGCTTTTTGCATTCCTCCTTGTAATATATTCATAAAAGTTTGTGTTTGACATGTATGAAATATTTATTTATTTTTATTTTTGTTATACTTTAAGTTCTGGGATACCTGTGCAGAAGGTGAAGGTTTGTTACATAGGTATACACGTGCCATTGTGGTTTGCTTCACCCATCAACCCATCATCTATGTTTGGTATTTCTCCTAATGCTATCCCTCCCCTAACCCCCTCACCCTCCAACAGGCCCCAGTGTGTGATGTTGCCCTCCCTATGTCTGTGTGTTCTCCTTATTCAACTCCCACTTATGAGTGAGAACATGCGGTGTTTGGTTTTCCGTTCCTGTGAAATATTTAGTTAGCTTTTTTTCATTGCTTCTTGATAATATTCATATAAACTACCAGAATAAATACTTACATGGTTTGGACAAATAGTGGAGGTTATTAGAATTTGAAAAATCAGTAATTTAAAATTCTTATACATAAAAAAAATCACTGGAGGTTTTTGGACATGACCAGTTATGTTTTGCAATAAGGAAGTATGTATAGAGAGTCAAGTTATATCACTGTATTTATATTCTAGACCAACATTAAATAAGACTATAAGCACAAAGTGAGAATCCAGAGGAGGATGCAGATGTAAGGAATACTGTTGAGGGAAAACCCACACAATTTGTCAACTCAAGACATGTGGGAAGGAGTCAGCGCCAGGCTAATATCCAAGCTTAGTTTTCTAGGATTGTGGTCCTAATATCTAAGGACTAGGAAAATGTGTGGAGAGAGAAGAGAGAAGCTTTTGGATGTGTTGCTTTTGTGGTGATGGTGAGATATCAGGTTGGCCTTATTTTTTTCTTGTATATCTTTTAATACAGTATTTCACCTGTCTTTTCCCCCTTATACTAGACTCTCAGTCACTTGAGAACTAGGGCTTTGTGTTATTGGTTGGTGTTCCCGAGATCTTCATGTAACATTTAATTCTGTCATCTTAATATATATGTTGTCAGGGTGAATGAACAAATGACTAAGGTAGCTTTTACTGACCATGTCTTTATCCCTGAAATTCTGACATCCTAGAGTAGGGGATCTTAAGATCAATGCTAATAAAGCTAATAAAAAGACTAGAATGTTGGTTCTCAGCCCTGGATGCACACTGGAATCACTGGGAGGATTCTGAGAAACACTAATGCTCCACCTACAGAGATTCTGATTTAATTGCCCTGGGTGGGATTCACTAAATGGTATTTTTAAACGTTCCCCCAGACAATTTGAAGTACACCCAAAGTTAAAAACTTTTGAGCTACAGAGTAAGTGTAGGCTGGGGAAACTTGAATTTTTAATTTAGTTTAAGATTAATTTTCATATACTATATTTACCCCAACAATCAAATCCACCCAAATTAATCTTCTCACTGTCTCTATGCAATGGAATTTAATACCTAATGGATAATGTACATAGAAGAAAGAATTGATCTTAATAGAAAATTTGACTTTTAAAATCTGTATGTAATTATCTGAGATTAGAATATTCAAAAAGAATATGTTGCAGGACCAGAAAGCAAACCATCATAATTTATGCCTGGGATTTTTATTCTATTCATGCAGTTATCTATTCATTTAACCAACATTTATATTCAATTATGTTTTTGTTGGCTAAAATTGGAATTTTAATTAGTACCAACATGATTCCAAATCAGGCTATTTTAAATTTTAGAATGTATTGATCCTTAATACGCATTAGGTGATTATTAACAGTATTGATTATCTGGAACCCTGGTAAGACCTTCAAGGTCATTACGGATTTTAAATCCTCTAACTATGCTTTAAAGAGCATTACACTGCACTTACTGACTTACTAAGGGAGTGGATCCAATTGAAGTAGACATTTCTAACTTTAATGTTCTTATTATTTTGTCTCGCTCTCTCTTTAAACACAGATATAACACATATTTCAAAGTACTTTTTACATTTTACATCTCACCAAACAGCCAATCAATATTAACTAATCCTTCTTGTTTTAGAAAGTAATTGAATGGTTTTAATATCAAATTTGTTGACTCAGCAATCCATTAATTCATTTTGGAATATTAACTGATTTCTTTTTCCTTCATAGGTTCCTGAAGTGAAAGAAGAAAGTATTTAGTTTTTTGTTTTTTTGTTTTTTTTTTTCTGAAACCTGTTTCAAAAAATCTGAAGCCTTCTGGGAATGGAAAGGACTCAGACTATACGTAAATATTTGAGAGGGCAGTTCCTTAAAATCTAAACGTGTACCACTCTCCTACCCCCGCCCAGGCTTGCTGAGTGTACAGTAGGTAGATGGAGATGGAAAATGCTATAAACAAGTTCTCTCTCTCTCTCTCTCTTTTTTTTTTTTTTTTTTTTTTTTTGAGATGGAGTCTCGCTCAGTCGCCCAGGCTGGAGTGCAGTGGCGCGCGCGATCTTTGCTCACTGCAAGCTTCGCCTTCCGGGTTCACGCCATGTTCTCTGTCTTTAGAAACATACAAGGGATGGAGTAAAGTGAGCCACGACAAAGAGGAAATCAGCCAGGAATAAGGACTATGCAATAGATGATTGCAAGCATGGGCGTGAGAGCCAGGCAGCCTGGGTTAAAATCCCAGCTCTGATGCTCACCAGCTGTGTAACCCAAAGCCAGTTATTATTGTTGTCTAATTTTCCTAAACTATAAAAACGGGAATAAATGGACTGCCCACCTCATTAAACTGTTGTAGGGATTAATAAGTTGTGGGTGCTGGAAAGAAATGGAATCTTACCAAATCTCCCATCTCCCCACATCCTTCACATTTTTTTCCTCCCTGGGTTTTTAAGATCCTGCCTCATCCTTATTCCCTCCTACCACTTTGATTATTCTTCAAACTCAGCTTGTGCAAGACCACTGTCTTTAAGAGCTGTCTTCTGGACAACTCTCAGTTTCATGGCATCCTATGAAGTCCCTACCACCTGCTTAAGAAACTTCAAGCTTTGTCTCATACTGTCTAAGCTGATTTTTTTTCATATTTCTTTGCTCAGTTCCTTTAGATGGACCTTACACTTGGATGGCTGACTAGGCTTTTGATTTGGCATATTTCTTCTCAGTTTTTCATTCTAGCACCGCAGTGCTTGCTGTGGATGACTGATACTCAGCCCTCTGCACTGGACCAGGCATCCCAGATTCTGCCCAGGCCCCAGGTCTGGAAGCCTCACTTTTCCCCTTGGGATGATCACACAGCCTCCAAACTAGATTTCCTTCTAGACAACCACTGCTTAAAGGATCAAGGACCCTCTGGTTTTCTTATTCCCCACATTCACCCAATCTCCTTTTCCTCCATGATTTCAACATTCATAAATAGGCTAATGGAAATAATAATTTAAGGTTGATTGAGTGCTAACATGTACCAAGCACTGTATTGAGATAGATAGTATTATTTCCCTCAGTTTGCAAATGAGGAAACTGAGGCACAGAAGTGGTGGGTAATATAATCAAGTCACAAAGCAAAGGAAAGACTGACAGTCCCAGTCCCTATACTGGTGTATACTGAGTACGAATTTTAGAAGCAGAGTCACTGGGTGGGAATCCTGCTTGGTTTGAGATCTGCACGACCTAAGGTAAACTAGGAGGTCTGTGGCTTGGTTTCTAGTTTGTAAAATGGGGATAATTATGCACATCTCCAAAAGTTTGTTTATGTGAGTATTAAGGGTACTAGCATGTGCTGAGCAATTAGTACCCAGCACTTAGAAAGTGCTTTAATAGTTATTATTATTATTATTATTTTGTTTTGTTTTGTTTTTTTGAGATAGGATCTCCCTCTGTCACCCAGGCTGGAGTGCAGTGGCATGATGTGAGCTCACTGCAGCCTCAACCTCCCAGGCTCAAGCGATTCTCCCACTTCAGCCTCCCAAGTAGCTGGGACCACAGGCGCATGCCACCATGCCTGGCTAATTTTTTGTATTTTTCGTAGAGAATGGGTTTTGCAATGTTTCCCAGGCTTGTCTTGAACTCCTGAGCTCAGGCAATCCACCTGCCTCGGCCTCTCAAAGTGCTGGGATTACAGGCGTGAGCCACCACGTCCAGTCTATTTATTATTATTATTACTGTATACTGCCTCTCATGATGTCCAAATCACTATCTTTGTTCTGAATTTCTCAAGCTCCAGGCCTATTTATCCAACTCTACTAGACACCTGCATATTTCATAAATGTCTCAACTCACTATTATCTCCCTAACTTATTATTCTAGTATAACTTACCTTGGTGAATATCACCATCACACCAAGCACAGAAGTCACTCAAGGCTCCTCCTTTTTAATCAATTAACCTCAGACATGGATTTTCCCCATATTTTCCCAGCCTTATATCTTATCCATCTTCCTTCTGCTCACCGTTACCTAAAGCACACTAAATTCCAGTAATTTTGAAATACTGAATGTTAGTTCATTTCATAAAAAAAGGAACCCCAAGGGAACCCTACTATATGCTAGGCAAGACACTGATCATGCAAAGATGAACAGGACCTAATCTCTGCCTTCAAGAATTTCACAGTCTAATTAGGAAGACAAACACATTAACAAACAATTGAATACAATGTGGCGAGGGCTTACAAAACATACGCCAGTGTATTAAAGGAAAGTAGAAGAGAGTATGGACCACCTGGTGAAAAAGGCAATATCAGAGCTCAGTCTAATTTGACAAACAACATGGTACCAGGCTCTGTGCTAGGTGCTGGGGGTATTGTTTATGACTTGGAGAATCTATGGGAAAGGAAAGCATCAAAATATATTTTAATATAAAGTAGTGACTGCTAAGACAGAGGGAGGCACAGCATGTTCTCAGAATGCAATCAAGATATTTGTAGTTTAGGAATAAGAAACTTGGAGAATAAGTCAGGAAGTTTAGTGATTGTTCATACAACTTCCTCTGCTTGATCTGACTTCTCTCATTTTGTTTTCCTGGAAAAACCCGTGTCTAAGACTCCAGTTATTACCTTCAGTTTGAAGCTGATCCCAAGTGCTTTTGATCCTCAATGTCCTGTCCACCCCACCCCACCCTCAGCATTTTGTCTCTCTTTGACCACTGATCTGTGAGAGCAAATGTAACTTATTTTCTCAGCTTAATTATTTACACAGCCATTTCCTCTCAATCTATTATCAAGTGTGTTGTGGAGAGTTTGCCGTAAAAAAACTCATATTTCTTAGAGTAATCCAATGAATTATCACATTATTGTTAAATCACTTGTTACGCATATTTTCTTCATTGAACATATGAGCATTTCCCCAGTGTTTCCTATATGCTGAACACTGAACAATCATACCTACTAGAGCTGGTGAGCTCTGATTCATGTGGCATTTTTGTACAATCTGGAAAGGAACTGTATTAGTCAGCTCAGCACAAAATACTGTAGACTAGGTAGCATAAACAACAGAAATTTATTTTCTCACAGTTTCGGAGGGTGGAAGTTTGAGATTGGGGTGCCAGCTTGATTGGGTTCTCGTGAGCCCTCTTCCTGGCTTGCAGAGGCTGCCTTTGTGCTGTGTTTCCACATGACGCGCGCGTGTGCGCGCGCACACACACACACACACACACACACGGGGAGAGAGAGAGAGAAAGAAAAAGAAAGAGAGAGAGAGAGAACTCGCAAGCTTTCCGAGGTTTCTTATAAGGGCACTAATCCTGAGGGCCTCACTCTCATGATCTCATCTAAACCCAATTATCTTACAAAGACCCCATCTCCAAATACCGTAACACTGGAGGTAAGGGCTTCAACACAGAATCTGAGCAGGGGATGGGAGGACAGTTCAGTCCAGAGCATTCCACCCAAGACATCACCCACATGGATTTGCAGGATAGCCCCATCCTTTCCACCCTGTGGGATTGCCAGCCCCACCCCCTAGCTCTGACAGGCTTGAGTCCTCTGAGTGGTTCTGCCTCCAAAGAGCTGAGTGGAGACTGTCCAGCCTGTTGAAACTGAGGCTGTGGCTCTGGCTATCTCTGAATTGCCTTTGGGGCCATTTTTTCCTCTCCTTGAAAAATAGTGCAGGTTCACAGCCAAATAAGCAAATCAGCCCATCATGTCTAACCCAAGAAGTCTCGAAGCCTTCATTCTTTTTGTCCCATCTTCATCCCCTTCAGTTCAAACTGGCAGAATTTCTGCTCACATAATCTCATAAACTCTTATCAAATGGTTGTCCAGTCACACTCCTAGTGTTATTTTCAGAGCAAGTTTTTGTCATTTTTTAATAATGTGGATAAGCTGAGAATTTCCCAAATCTTCAAGTTCTGGTTCCTTTTTGCTGAACAATTTCTTCTTCAACTTATCTTTTTTTTTTTCATTTCAGCAGAAATGGTCAGGAGGAAACCAGCTGCTCCTTCATCATATTGCTTAGAAATGTCAAATATTTAATTTCATCACTCACAAGTTCTACCTTCCTCAAAACACTAGAATACAGTTCACCTAAGTTTTTTGCCACTTTGTAACAAGGATCACCGTCCTTCCAGTTTCCAATAACATATTCCTCAATTCCATCTGAGGTCTCACCAGAATCACCTTTACTGTTTGTTCATATGTTTAGGATGCACCTGAAAATTCTTGAGCCTCTACTCACTATCCAATTCCAAAGTCATTTCCCCATGTTTAGGTATTAGTTACAGTAGCACCCCCATTTCTTGGTACCAAAATTTGTCTTAGTTCAGGGTGCCATAACAAAATACCATAGACTGGGTGGCTTAAATAAGATAAATTTATTATCTCACAGTTCTAGAGAATAATGTCCAAGATTACAGTACCAGCAAAGTAGATTTCACTCTGAAGCCTCTTCTGTTTTCTCATAGGTGGTTGTTATCTCACTGTGTACTCACATGACCTCTTTGTGTGCCTGTGGGGTAAGAGGGAGAGAGGGCAAGCTCTCTGGTGTTTTCTCTTTTCAGGGTACTAATCAGGAAGGCCCCACACTCTTGACCTCATCTAAACCTAGTTATCTCCCAAAGGCCCCATCTCCAAATACCATCATATTAGAGATTAGGCTTCAACATTTGATTTTGGGGGGACACGATTCAGTCCAAAGCAGGTGCCCTTCCTCAAGACAGTTTATGTCCATCTGTAGGCAATTTGTCATAATAAACTAATTTTAACAGAACAGGGTGTTCCACTGTTATCTGCCAGAAAATGGTTGTAATAAATACTTAAATCTGCAAATTGTACCATGTGAATGCTCCTCTGGAGTTACACAGTAAGCAACCTGAACAATTATTCACCGTAGTCCAGGTTAATCCTTCCTTGTCCTCAACTGACAATTTTTATGTATGGTAAGGAAAATAAATGCTTCAAAAATCTGTTAAATCAGAAATCAGAGGTTTAGATAAGTAAACTATTTACTCCAAAATTATTACAAAGAAAGACCATCTTAATAAGTAAAGAATGTAGTATATGGTTTCAATTTGACAAGACACAATAGTGTGTGACTAAAAAACTGGGCTATAAATAGAGCTTTTTGCTAAGTTTGAGTACAGTAATTATTAAGAAAATCCGTTATTTAATAAAAGCAGCTGAGAACCTGTCAGATTCAAAATCACAAGGTTGAAATTGACTAAATAGGTCCATATGTTTGTAATCCTGTTTCCAGAAAGGACCTTCCTTAAATCGCCCAAAATAAATGAATACCTTGTTAAATACAGATGAACAATTCATACTATAAAATATCTTCCCTAAATTTAATTTCAATCCATGGTACTTAAAATTTAACTTCGTTTCTCTTGTTCTGTCAATGTCTGAATAAATGTTGCAGCAAATATGAAGTGCCTAGAATGTGGCAGGAACTCTGTAGATGGCAAAACAAAAATTAATTCATGTAGAACCCTTCTTATTAATGTATTTAGAATACTTTTCAGGCTTCCTTCTTTTCTGGCAAGTTACACTTTTAACTTTGTACAAGCAAATATGAATCATCAACTAGTTGATTATACAGTCTGAAATTTTCTTCTTCAAATATGAATACAGCAGATCATAATCTTAGGTTTCTATTACAACACATACTGCAGACATGCAAGATTTAACAAGAAAGTAGTAACAATGTAAATAGCATTGCTTTCAAATCTACAGAAAATGGCTTTCTAAGATTTGTGCCAATCATTCATTTTTAAAAATTGGGAATGCTGGCCAGGCGTGGTGGCTCACGCCTATAATCCCAGCATTTTGGGAGGCTGAGGCAGGGGAATAGCTTGAATCCTGGATGCAGAGGCTGTGGTGAGTCAAGATCACGTCATTGCACTCCAGCCTGGGCAATAAGAGCGAAACACCATCTAAAAAAAAAAAAAAAAAGTTGGGAATGCCTAGATTTAATAATTTGAGGAAATTTTTTAAAAAGAAAATGAGCAGTGCCTTTTCATCACCATGGGCTCCTTTTACCTATTCTCTTTTTCTTAATTATTTCATATCTTCTAATCTTTTCTCAATATTTTACAATAATTCTTTTTCCATTCAGCTTATCTACACATAAAAGTATAACACATAAGAATTTCCCACAATTATCTTTTCTTTCTTTCCTTCAGATTATTTCCTTTGTCATAGATTATTTTAGATATATTAGAGAACTTAATGTGTTTGGATTACTTCAAGAATAATTGTACATTGGCCCAATTCTGTATTGACTGGTTTTCTTCAGTTTTATGTAGTCCTACTAAAAGCAGATTTTTAAATTTTAGTTCTTAACATTTCATGTGCAGAATATTTGTGCTATTTCATGGTAGTTTTATTTTTAATTATGTTGGCGTATTTTGTGTATTTCCAGTTTTAAAATTGTATAGAAAAAAGGATCCTCAACCACTGCACTATGAGAGTAGGAGGGGTGCTCTTATTTTCCTGGCTCTTCGTCACAGCCTTCCCTCAGGAATGGAAATCATGGTGGCATAACTGGAGAGCAGCTCATCAGGCACACAAGCTTAGGGAATCCAAGGGAAGAATGCACTGGTTAATTGTGGGTCAGCATAGAAAAGAACATGATCATGTCCTTTGCAGGGACATGGATGGAACTGGAGGCTATTATCCTTAGCAAACAAACTCAGGAACAGAAAACCAAAAGCCACATGTTCTCTCTTATAAGTGGGAGCTAAATGCTGAGAACACATGGACACGTAGAGAGGAACACACACTGGGGCCTTTAAGAGGGTGGAGGGTGGGAGGAGGCAGAGGATCAGGAAAAATAACTCATGGGTACTCGACTTAATACCTGGGTGATGAAATAATCTGTACAACAAGCCCTCATGAAACAAGTTTACCTATGCAAAACAAACCTGTACTTGTACCCCTGAACTTAAAATAAAAGTTAAAAAAAGAAATATGATAATTTTCTTAATTGCATGGAAATGTAGTAAGAACAAAAATTCTTAAAAACGACTAAAATTTATACTTCTATAGCAATTAACATAAACATTTTTTAAACCATTCATCAGTTTATTTTCACATACCCCCAAAAGATTCAAAAAGCGTTAGTCACACTTAAATGATTTGATTTTTTTAAGTGAATCAAACAACTTTTTTTTTTTTCCTGATTGCATGAACTGACCAGGTGTTTGATGACTTTTAGCAGATGTTGACAATATATTGATATTACTAATGCCAACACTTTTTTTTATTTTTTATTTTTTTGAGATGGAGTCTTGCTCTGTTGCCCAGGCTGGAGTGCAGTGGTGTGATTTTGGCTCACTGCAAGCTCCGCCTCCCGGGTTCACGCCATTCTCCTACCTCAGCCTCCCGAGTAGCTGGGACTACAGGTGCCCACCACCACGCCCAGCTAATTTTTTGTATTTTTAGTAGAGACGGGGTTTCACTGTGTTAGCCAGGATGGTCTCGATCTCCTGACCTCGTGATCCACCCTCCTCAGCCTCCCAAAGTGCTGGGATTACAGGCGTGAGCCACCGCGCCCAGCCTACTAATGCCAACACTTTTGATAAAATGTTGAACTGAGGTTATTATAAACTCACCTTTCAATTTCTCATTAAATATGAAAGTTCATACTTATTTCCTTGTTTCTTGAAAATATTCTTTCAAACTATGCCAACTCTCTCGAAGTGGAAGAAAAAAGCAAATTTACTTCCTTGACTTTACCAGATGCCATGTTATTCAAAAGTTGTTTTTCTTTTTGTTTTATTTTGTTTTCAGGGAAAAACCCATCAATCTAAGCAGTGAAAAAATGGAAAGACTCCATGATGTTTTTTAAGTATAGCTACAACATAAATGAGAGTTATTAATCTGCAGCACACCAATCCAACTCCTAAATTACATAATAAACAGGTTTTCTGTCACATATAGCCTCTTCTCTTTGTTAACACCATTATAATACTGCTAATATCTATAACTTGGAAAACGAGGCATACAAGGTTAGGATGTCTCTGATAAACAAAAAAGCTTTTAAGATGGGGCCTTCATTGTTTGTGAAGAGCTAATCATTCAACAATTAAATGTTTGACAAGTTTGACAACCTAAAACTAGACAACGAAATTGCTGCTTAAAATAATAGAAAACATCCTTTTAGGGGAAATTGGTAAACCTCTTCTAGGGGAAATAAGACCCATTTTCATGTCAGCTGAGTTTTAAGTTGCCATTAAAGTGATAATATAAAGGGAAAATAAACGGATTTTGATTACATATTTAACGTTAATTCAAGTGCCTCTTGATATCTCCCCAAATTAGTTTGTTAAAAATAAAATTGCCTGTTGACAATCTATTTTTATAAACATTTAGGTTATCTGTAACTTAATTGTAGTTTTTACTTAAGCCATAACAAATAGTGTTTGTAGTACAAATGTCATTTATATCCCAAAATTTACTTAGATTTAAAAATATTTTTTACCGATTTATTTGCTGTTTCTTCCTGAATCATATTCCTTCTTTCTTGATTTATTTATTTCTTAATGAAATATGTCCTTTAGTATTTTTTCAAGTGAAAGTAGGAAATTCTGTGTCATTGTGCATCTTTAAACTTCTTTATTCCACCTTCTCTCTTAAATGTTTAACTTTTCACTGAGATTTATCTTGTCAGCACATTGAAGTTACTCCTTCATTCTCTTTTGGTCTTTCCTAATGCTGATGAGGTCTTCTATCCACCTGATTGTTCCTTTGTAAATTACCTTTTATCTCTATTTGATTTCAAAATTCTCTCTTTGTCCTTGATGTTCTGCAATTCCACTACAAAGTGACTAGGTATAATTTGGGGGTTTTTGTCTATTTAAATTTTCAAAATAATTACTCATTGCTTTCTTCAGTTTTCAAGAAAGGTTTCAGCCATCATTTCAAATATTTCCTCTTCCCTATCAATAATATTATTTGTTACTGGAATTATTAGACATATGCCAGGGCTTCTTGATATTTTTTTCCATGCCTTTTAAATTTCCTTTAATATTTTTCTTTTCTTTTTCTCTCTCTGTTGCATTTTTGTATGCTTTGATCTACCTATTCACTTATTTTTCTCTTCATCTACATCTAGTCTACATACTCTCTATTATTGTTTTATTTCAATTATTTGTGATTTTATTTGACTGAAATCTCTTTTTGGCTTACACTAGTGGGAGCAGGGAACACAGGATTCTATAGTGTTCTGAAGAGATAATGCTATAAGTGATTCGAAAGAGCAAATGCCTCTGATAAGACTGTAAGATGCACGAGAGAAAGGATGTTTCATTATCTAGGTAGCCCTACTACCCAGTAAACAGCCTGGAAAATAGTATGTTCTCAATAAATGTTTACAGTAATGGATTAAATATAAACCAAGTAAATGTTAAACTTCACAACGATATACCTTAATATTAATATGTTGTCTTTAGTAATTGTCAGTAGTTCAAGTACAGTAATTCTCAAACCAGAGATATTAAAAATCACCTCCGGAGAACACTAAAGTGTAGATCCATAGGTCCCACCATAGAGTTTCTGATTAATTAGGTCTGAGATCTAAATATCCGTATTTTCACAACATGTGAAGTCACATAAACTATAAATTTTGATTCTGAGAGCCAAAGAAGTACCTTGAAAGAAATACTGTCTGAGTGCAATCAGATTTAGAAATGGCAATGATAGAAAGGTAAAGCAAAGATTCCTCTACATGACTTGGTCAGCAGATGGGACAGGAAGAGACTGACAGGAAGGAAAAGCTATGGAATGAAGGAGCAAAAGTTAAATAATAGGAGGGAAGTTTGAGAAGTTCTGATGCTGTCTTGGAATCCTCCTGTTCTAAAACAAAGCTACCTTGTTTTAAAAATACACAAGTAATAAATATTTAGTCATTTGCTCTAGTAAATTATATGCATTTTGCAGCATATACTTTTTTAACTTCTTCACATGGGTTCTTTTACTAATTAAAGCTAATTGGAAATAGGTAGAAAAGGTTAATATTGGGTCTGTTTCCTTGTGGATCTATTTTTTAAGATTTGCATTTAATTCTGTGGGATGATAGAATGATAATGTAATGTAATTTAGCTTAATATCTATTTTGTGTTAGATGACAGTTTTATTAAGCAGAACCAATAATCATCGTTATTCAGAGTCATAATGGCCCATTATAAATGGTCTCATTTTCCCTAATTTTAATTTTACCTCTTAGAGTATGCCTAGAATTGTTAAAATGGTTACGCTTGGTTTCTTTCATAAATATCATTTTAACAATCAGTATGGAAACATAAGTCATCTAGTAGTTAAGTCCCACTATTCTACAGATTTGATACAAAACTATTTTAGTGTCTTGGTTTCTCTTAATTAAACTTTCAGACTAACAAATTTCAGGAAATTAAATTACCATCCTTTATGTATCAGAGCCTTAACATCGAGATGAATAGGCTTTTGTTTCTGGGATACCACCTTTCTGACTCTTGTGTTTCTTAGGATAGTGATGAACAGAGTAGACAAAAGAAGGACTTGTCCCCAACAGGCTGCAGAATAATTAGATTCACAATTCTCTCTTAAAAAAATCTCAACAAACTAAGGTGGTTTTATGTTCATAAGGCATTTTTTCTTTTCTTTTCTTTTCTTTTCTTTTTTTTTCTGAGATGGGGCCTCTTTCTGTTGCCTGGGCTAGAGAGAAGTGGCGTGATCTCTGTTCACTGCAACCTCTGCCTCCCAGGTTTAAGCGATCCTCCCACCTCAGCATCCCAAGTAGCTGGGACTACAGGCGTGCAACACCATGCCCTGCTAATGTTTGTAGTTTTTTGTAGAGACAGGGTTTCACCACATTGCCCAGGCTGAACTCAAACTCCTGAGCTCAGGCCATCAGCCTGCCTTTGCTGGGATTACAGGCATCAGCCAACACACCTGGCCTTATCAGGCATTTTTTTCTTAAGGTGAATAAATTTAGGGAACAGTCAGATTATTTTCTGTCCCAACAATTGCAACAAGAGACGGGAATTTATAGAAGGGAGTAAATGGAGTTATTTGGGTCATAAATACATCAGTGGAGAGAGGGCCTTAGAAGTTCCCTCATTTTAAGGCTCTTTTGAGTGACATCAAATATCTGTTTAAGGTTGCACAGTTTATTGAGCATTCTCACTTACATCCTTTCATATAGGCCTACACCATTCCTTTCAGGGGAAGATCACTATTATTCTAAACTTACACCGAGAGGACTAAGTGTAGAGAAATTAACTCACATCCAAGCCAGTTACCTGGTTTGAGTGGAGGCAAAGCGTAAGCTTTTTTCACAACATCAGAGTTTTTACAGTCAGAACACATCCCAGAGGCTTTGGATGCCTGGGAAAAGAGGCAAAAGGTCAAACAAGTTCAAAAAATGGAGGTTGAAGGTCATCTCAAATACAAACTTTACCAGCTTTATATTATTGTCCAGGGACCAGCATGCAACAATTGCTTAGAATTCAAGGAAAGTCAACTCCTTTCAGCTTCTGTCATGGGCACTATAGGTGGCTCCTGTTGCTTTTGAGTAATAATTCTATTTCATCTATACATGATTAAATAGAACTCTCTTCTATAAAATTTGTGCCTGGATGAACCAAAGATGCATTTTCAAGCATTCAAGAATATGCAGGAAAAAATCAGATCCACTCATGGATACGAACGTGAATTATAACCTATGATGCTATTATGTAATTTGATATTTTACTTTACACCATTCAATTATTTATTCAATAAGTAATCAGTAAGTGCCAGAACTGTGTTATGCACTGATATCACTGAGAAAAAATATATAGTCTCTGCCCATATAAAGCTCATACTCTGGTTGGGCAAGAAAGCATTGACAATACAACATGGTCAATAAGATAGAATTTTTAGTAGGCCATGGGAATGTGGAAGAAAAGACTTTAAGGCAAGCTTTCGTTATCTTTTGAAATGATTGTTTCACCATGATTCATTTACATGCATGCATATCAGTGATTGAAAGTATCTATGTATGTATGCAGCTGTACTCGCACACTTTTTAAAATAACATTCCCAAGTTAAACAGAGAATCCCCATAAAGAATAGTAAATTAGAAGTGCTTTGATTGGCCTTGGAGTATGTAGTTTAACTTCATAGATATTGGACTATCTTTAATATAGGGATCATGATAAGCCACGCTGAGAATCGCATTTAAAAAGTCTTGGATAAATTAATGAAAGAAATACTTTAATTTTTAACCCAACAGATGTTTACTTTCTGGGTTATAACCATCTCTTAAAACCTTAGCATGACTGGAAAGCTGTAACTACCCATGAATTCTGCCAGTTTAGTAAAGTCTTTAAGATAAAGCTAAAATAACTGAGAAAATAGAATATTTCTGACAATATGTTCTGAATATATAAAGCTCTTGGTCAAAAATCATGGTCATATAAAAATCCATGTTCTGCCCCTTGAGTTTTTAGGTCAAGTATTTATACCCATTTATTAATATAAATAATACAAATTACATAAATTCTAGCCAAGCTGTTTGGTTATATTTTTGTTATCTTTATTTTAAATAAAAAAGATCATGGACTTAAGAGTAAGTCTTTGCAACCAAATTCAATCTTTGCCATCTTTGACGCCGGACAAATTTTTACTCCAAGATTTAATTTGTTATCTAGAAAATAAAGAAAATACTACCACATAGTTCTACTGTTAGAACTGAGTCCAACATGAGGAGTGGTATAGTACCTGACACAGCATAACTTCAATATCATTGATAGTTCCTCTTCATGATTGACTACAAAGCCTATGCTAGGTCATGCTTTCGTCATTTAAAAGCATTAAACACTAAAAAACATCTTTTCACGACATTCCACCAGAGGCATTGAGTCAAAAAGCTTAATGATTTCTATTCAACTTACTTATCTTGTGGGGAAATCAAACTCACCTGCCAGCAATTGGGCTGGTCCATGTGAAGAGACCACTCAAAATATTACGTGGATTGTGTTTTTCCATGAAGAGTTGAGACTGACCACGCATTTTTACATATTTTCTCATAGTTATAGTACTGAGTGATGTCTCACATTCTATTTGTAATGCACATGCTGGAGTCAGTACATTAAGCAGGAATTGGGGACGTTTTCTCAAATTCATTAAATTATAAAAGCATCTGATGTTAAAAATTGATTAAATATAGATTCATGGATATCACATGGATAGCTTAGATTAGTTTGTCAGAGATTGGTGTCGATATATCAGGCCTGAGATTCACTCTCCCCCATTCACCAATTACAATCTAATTGGTTTTTCACTCACTGGGTTTTTTGTTTTGTTTTGTTTTAGGCTCACTGACTGACTGCAGCTGTAACTTCAACTTGCCAATGTACACCATTGCTCACAAGAGGACCAGCTGAGAGTGTGAATGAATTTATTGCCAGCCTTTTCCTACTCCTAAAACAAAGCAATTCTGTAGATTTGTTACTGATGAGTCATAGCACCATCTTCATATACAAATAACAACATTTCATATGGCACTATTTTCAATGTAAATGATAGCAGAGATCATGAGGAGATAGTACAAATTATCTTGGGCCATTGTCTTATTTATAGATTAAAGTACAATTATGTTTTTCACTGATTTACCTTCTGACATCTTAGTTAATTAAGTTACTTGTTTCTTTTATGTTCATTCTCCCCTTAGATCTGGCACGACTATTCTTTTCTTTAATATTCTTTCCCTTGTTAAATTGTTAATTTTTTCTGAGGGGCAGAATACCTTTTTATCATTATTTTGAGAATGCTAAGTATTTACATAATTATCCTTCAGAGAACATTGGAAGACAATACTGTTGAACAAATGGATAAATATTAGAAAAGGATTACTGGATAATTCTGTCATTTCTGGAAGCCTCAGTGATTGATTTATTCTCTTTTTACCTTAACATATTTTTCCTCTAGGTTACTATTTTTTTCCTGACAGGTTTTCAAGCTTATAATTGGTCATTTTCTCTGTTTAAAAAAATATTCTGGGAGTGCGCAAGCGCTCAGAAAAATATTATCTATTAGCAAACTCATTAATTTAAGAACCTATTAATAAATTTGCTCATTCATTTAGAATGAAAAATATCTAATACAGTATTTATATTTATATTTATTTTTTATATTTATATTTACATTTATTTTATATTTTATATTTATGGCTTTTAGTCAATATATAACTTCAAAAGAGAATTTCAAATCAAATCTTATGCCAGTCCAAAAATCAAATAACTGATATAAACAAAAGAGTATAGGCCCAACACAAAACAGTAAGACAGAGATAATTTGTTAGTTTAGTTAGGTAGTCGATTAGTCATCTATCATACAATTACTGAAAGTCTACTTTGTGCCAGGAATTTCTTCAGATACAAAGATGAATAAGTCATAGTACATCCCCTCCAAAAACACCTATTCTAGCAAGAAAGGTGCTACGTAAATGCAGAAAAGAATATCAACAATACAATGTGGTCAGATCTATTATAGAGGTATGTAGAGTCACTGAGAGACCATCTAGCCTAATGGATAATACAATCTGGCAGACAATGTATGCTATTTCTGTTTTGATTTGGAATGCATTCTAATTGTTGCCAAGCAATTTTGTTTTATTAACTTTTGTGTTAAATTGGCTAATATTTAAATTACTTTAATTCCTCATATACATACAATTAAGAGGTAGAATGAATGATACACTTTGATGAATGAAAGGGTCACATAAGATTAACATTTGTAAAAAATTAATTTGAAAAATAGAATTCAATCCTAAAATGGAACAGTGACTGCAAAACTAGTGACTGCAAACTTAGAACCATGTTCCTGGAAACTTAGTAGCATAAGCCTGGCATTGACAATCTGATTCATGGTTCTCTTACTATCTACTCACATTGCTCCTTTAGGGGAAATTTGACAATGATGTCTGGAAAATGTATTGCTACTTTCAAAGATTCTTGCTAACATTTGAGCAAAGTGGAAAGCAGTTCTGGCATTTTGGATAAATGTTCCCCAAATCTTCCTTGCCAGATATTTCATTAAGTAGGAAACCTCACTAGGGTAATATGGGAAAGCAATTTAAATAGAAGTTTGGTTCACAACATGATGCTTTTTGTAAATAATATTCTGGGAGGTCTTCTGTGTTTTTGATTAATTTAATTTTAATTTTACTGTTGAAGTTGCGTGCCTCGTCCTGTCTTTTGTGGCCAATAATATCTCCCTGCCACCTGTAACTCATTTTCAAAAAGAAACTGTAAGTAAGTATATGAAAACATCCCATAATTTACATGAGACTTCAATAAATTACTGTTATTTCTAAAAGGATTACTTATTCATTATGTTCCCACAAAAATATTCTCTAAAACCCCCTCTCTAATTTGATGGTGCATTTTAATAGCAATATTATAGCCTTTCTTTTAAATACTATATTATTATAATTGTCCCTCTGTAATTCTAATTCTTTTGCTAAAAGTGGACCCCTAAGAGCAGGAATTGTGTCTTATTCATTGTGTACATCTTTGTATCTCTAACTCAGCACCAAACAAATACATGTGCTTGATTAATATTTTTGGAGAAGTGAATGGGATGACTGACCAATGTTTGATACTTGCTGACGTCTACTTATTTTCTAGTAAATATATATTTCAATCTAATTGTCTTAGTTTAATATCCTCATTTGTTGAAACTGGATGAAAAGGATCTTGAGTAATTCTTCTCTCTATCTCACTTGCCTTTGTTCTGGTGCATATTTTCATTCTTTCTTGGTTGGACAACAGAAATAGCCTTCTTACTAGCTACTTGACTTAAGAATCACCACCTCACTATGCCTGACATCACTCCCAAGTGATCTTTCCAGACTCAAATCTGCTTATGTCACACTCATTCTCAGAATTCTTCCATGCCTGCCCTGCCTTCCACTGTGAATCTACATTCCAATGTTATTTTGCATAGACATAGTACCATATGTTTGACAGGTCTCCCCATCTTTTCATTTCTGTCCCCCAAGTATCTTGGATAGTGTTCATTAAATAAGCTGAATAAATGCTGTTTGATTGAACGAAGGAAGGTGGCTCCAGTAGCCCACTTGTACCAAAGTATGTGCAGGAGAATTAGTTCATAGAAATTTCCATCGGAGCTCTCTGAAAATGGAGATGGGTACTGTAGAAAAGCATTTCTCACAGATGATGCCTGTGCATAAAAATTACCTGAGATGTGTTTTTAAAATAAAAGATTTTTGGAGTCAGAATTTCCAAAGTAAGACATGGGAATCTTTATTTTCTAAAGCAATTGCTATAATTTGTTCAGGGAGATTTGGGAGAGAGCTCTTAGAATAGTAGTTAATATTTGGAGGCTAGATGGCTACTCAGTGTGGGAGGCTGAACTATGTGACCCTAAATTCCCTTCCATGAAGTTTTGGGTGCTATGATTCTAGTGGAGGTCATAGTATATAAATGTGTAGAAGCAGGTGAGTGCTTTGAGACGTAACTAGTGCAGATAGGAGGGATTTGGGGGTAAATGACTGAGTCCAAGTGTCATCAGATCTAGAGAGTTATGACCAATTTTCAAGGATTCTAATAAAAATCTTGCTCTAATCCCCGAGTTTAATCTTTTAACAACTATTTACTGAATGCCTACTATGTGTCAGGTACAGTTCTAGGTGTTGGGGATATAGCAATGGCAAAACACACATACTCTCTGCTTTTGTTCAATTGGTTTGTCTAGACTCACCACACTTGTCTCTAGGACTCTCCCGTGGTTAAGAGTTATTTTCATAGCCACTTGATTCTTACGCTAACTGAAAATGATCATCCTCAAAGTCCCATCGTTATCCTTGTTAAAAAATAAGTGTCAGCCTGGGCAACATAGGAAGACCTCATCTCTAGGAAAAATAAAAATTTTAGCTGGATACATGCTGGCACATGCCTGTAGCCCCAGCTACTCAGGGGGCTGAGGCAGGAAGATCACTTGAGCCCAGGAGTTCGAGGTTACAGTGAGCTATGATTGTGCCACTGCACTTCAGTCTGGGAAACAGAGCAAGACCCTGTCTCAAAAGAAAAGAAAAAAGTGTCTGAGATTTTCAGTCTGGCTGGAAACTCCAAAAGTATCCTATGTCCTCTGAGGGTGTAATAGGTGAGTTCAGATTATCAGACACTACTTCTTATCTTGTGAGATCTATATATGTCATTGGCCAAGGTTCATTCCAGATCTAGCCTTGAGTCTCTGACCTAAATGTCCCCATCATTTTAAGTACAATGACATGTTATTTCTTATTTTCATCTTTTGAACTGGGCATTTTTGTGCTCATCTTGAGAAACCCACACATATTTCAAGCTCTGAAGGTAAGATGGTCAAGTGGGGATAATTGTGGGCTTTGGAAACCAGATTAACTAAATTTTGGCTCCACTTACTAACTATTGAACCATGAATAAATTACTTAACCTACCCGAGACTCAATTTTATCAGCTGTAAAATTGGGATAATAGTCCCTATTTCACAGGTTGTGAAATTAAATGAGATATAAGACAGTGTTATATATTATAGTGCCTGGTATTTAATACTTACACATTAAAATTACTGTGTAATTTATCTGCATAAAACAGCACACTAAGAGAGAGAGTTCTGAGGTAACTAAGATAACTTACAAATATGCACTTATGGTAATAGAGAAGTTTTTTTTAAACTTTGTTAACTTTTCAGAACACCTAATATTTTTATGAAATGTGGTGAGTGAAAATGATGACCCCAAGAAAGGCAACGTTTTCCACTACTACTTTTTATACAAAAATCCTTCATCATAGTCAAGAATTAGATTTCTTGATATTTCATTTCTATATAAAACTATTCCCATTTTAAAGAACAGATTTTGTACATACATACAATAAAATTGCCACATTTTCATAAGAAAATTCATTCAAAGACAAAGTCTACTAAATTAAATCCAAGGACAGGACAAGACCATATTGAAATAAGTTACATTTAAAAATAGAACTTTGCACATGCAAAAACTGAAAACAAAATAATAAGCATGTGTGTTAGGTTTTTTTGTTTTTTATTCTGTTTTTTCTTTTCAGTAAAAAAGTTTTATAAGTGTGAATGCATTAGAAAACTGAAGAATTTTCAAGAGCCAAGAATGTCATGGTGATTTCTGTGAACTTATTTCTAAGGACTACAAGAAACACACTGGTTGCTAAATGTGAATTAGGAAACATGAACTCTTGCATACACAACAACCCCAAAGAAAAGCAAAAGAAAAGACTATCTTAATTTTGGGTCCAAATTCCACCCATACCTATAGTTGCAAAATAAAACAGAGAAAAATGGCCTTTATTAGCAGTGGCTTAAATGTCCATGGGGTGGTGCAATTGACTTTTAAAAATAGAAAGCCAGGCTATCAAAATAAATATCCTTTTTCTCTTATTTATTGGAGTGAGGGATATTTTCACTAATCACTGTGCTATAAATTTAAGAGACTTAGAGCATTTTACAGTTTCTTTTATTCGTCACCTTTCCCTGGGATCCTTGGAAGATGACTTTATCAAACACAAACATATTTTTTAAACTGGTAGATTAAAAAGAGAAGTTATTTCTTTTGCTTCCAGGGGTTTTATGAGCCCCACATTTATGTATTTATCACTGTAATTTGGATAATTCCCAACACTACCATCAACACCACCATCCACCATGTATATTGTACAGTAGGATTTCTTAAATATTTCCATATTATGGCACTCATTGAAAATAGTATTTGTGTACACGCTGGGGTAAAAGAGAAGGGTTTGTCCAGCAGACATTGGAAGCAAAAGGCTGGGCCCCACGCCTAAGCTCTGAGAGCTGCAGGAATCACTATTGTTGGCAAACCTGCAGCCTGTTTGGAAACACTGGGGTATATTAGCATGCCAATTGGAAAGCTCTGTGTTTGATTTCAAATAATGCATATTAGTAGTAAAGAGAGAATAATACCCTTCATCCCATCCCAAAAAGAAGGCTGACAATACCAAGTGTTAGAGACAATGTGGATAAATCATTCTACTACACATTGTTAGAGGTAAATTGACACAAGTGTTTTCAAAAATAATTCAATATTATCTTGTAAAGCTGAATTTTCATGCATTCTACAATCCAGAAATTCCTCCTCAAGATATGTGCATATGTGTGTGTATGTGTATACATGTGTATGTATAAGAAGACATGCACCAGAAGATATGTACAATAATATTTTTAGCAGTACTACTTGTAATAGCAAAATAATGCCAACTCTAATTCTCATTGACAGGAAAATGGACAAGTAAATTGTGATATATTTGCACACACACGCACACACACAACGCTATATATATATATTTTTGAAGTTTCCTTGAGCCTAAAGTTTAGCAGAAAGTATTTCCGTATTTTGTATTGCATCTTAGCTTTCTATTGAAATAGATTGTTTTCAATGTCTATGTTGATCTCAGGCAAGTATTTGAGCCTTAAGTCTCAAGTAAAGGCAATTAGCAAATGTGAACCTGTTTGTACTGAATTGGGTTTTTCCTTTTCTGAAATTGTCAATGAAAAATTTGGGGTTCCAAGTAGCAAATTAAATTCCTGAGCAATTTTACCTGCGTAAGGTAATTATTCATGGTTTGAGAGAAAGGAATAAGATTGTATACCTATGTAACTGATATATTTTGTCTTAAGCATGTTTTCTTTTAGAGTTTAAAATATAATGCTTAATGTTTCTCATCTAACTTGGGTATAATAATGACAATCACTAAAACAGAATGCAGCTTGTCAAGCAATTTAACTTTAGAAAGGAATGTCTTTAAAGAAATTAGAAAAGCAGGAAGGAGAGGAAGAGATTGATTTATTAGTCTCCCTTAGTGTGTTCAAAATTTAACAATTCTTCCTGTCTAGAAATTGTTATATGTAGCTTTAATCTCTTCTACTACAATGCAACTTCATTTTCTCTTTTTATGTCTTGGAGGGCAGAGGGCCCCAAGAGTGTAAGAGAAGTTAAAGAATAACCAGCTCTACAACCACAATTGGGTAGTGTTGACACGACTATAAAATGAAAGCTATTCCACTTGTTCTATCACCCTTAAACTTTGGAAATAGTGTCCAATAGTGGAAAATTAAAAAAAGAAAAAAATAAAGCTTGCCTTGTTTTCCACAGGAAAAGGATCATGAGTCTGTCTCTCCATGATAGATTAGATCAATTGCATTTCTTTCAAAATCTTTTAAAAACAAAAGTGAAGTCTAAAAGTTTTATGTCATCATTGTGATATCAGTAACGTGTGACACTTAAGCAATTGATTCCTATGTTCATTTTGCTTTATTAATAATCCTTTGTATATTTTCTGACACATTATCCTGTTCATACTTTCATAATCACTTCAATTTTGAAGATAGTCTCATCGCAACATGTACTCATGAGGGCCAGTTTCATCTGTTGGAGATTGAGATCATGTATCAGGAATACCCTTTGAGTTTTCGTGACCTTAAAAGCAATGTGAAATTGGATCACAATTACAGAAAAATACCCAGTCTGTAACTATTTGTCTCAGACTTCTTAATGGTAGCTCTTGTACTTGAAATGAGTTAGAGAAGACTGTTCAACATTAAATCTTTTCTGTGGAACTTATTGAAGTACATTTGAAGTTTATTATTCTCTTAAAAGTCCTAGGAAGTTTTAGAGAAAATGCTGGTTCCAAGTATGTACTGTCTCTCACATGACATTTCTAATGATCCTCAATAATTGTACAGGGAATATTTTAAATATATCAATGTATTCACTATTTATGAGGCTTTTATTGCAAACAATGAATTGATTTAAACATAGTAAAATGTCTAGAAATTATTAAAAACAGGAAATATACACTATTATTATTCCAAGTTTTGGGGAAAATAAATAAGGCACATTGGTGTTATGTCACTTATTAACCGGCAATTATTATTCTTCTCAGATTTTTATGTTTTAGTTGTTGTTGTTGTTGTTTAATTTTAGAGACAGGGTCTGGCTCTGTCACCTAGGCTGGAGTACAAAGATACGATCATAGCTCACTGCAGCCTTGAACTCCTAGCCTCAAGCAATCCTCCCACCTCAGCCTCCCAGACAGTTGGAAATACAGGTGTAAACCACCAGGCCCCACAGATCTGTCCAAATTAATCATTAAATAAATCCTGAGTAGTAGAAGATTTGGGAGAAAAGCCTTTCTGCTTTTGTGTGATCCCTGAAAGTCTGTCTAGAGAATAAATTTCCAGATGCCACACATGCACAAAAAAATTTACCTATAAATAAATTTATAAGTTTTTAAATAACATTTGCAAATAATGTTTATTACCAAGCCATTTTATAATTTTGAGTTGAAATAAATTACATTGTTTACATTGTTTGTGATCTATGATTCTTTTTGCAACAATCTCTTACCAAGTAGTAATTACATACATTTTCTGAATTACAGTCTAAATTTTTTTTCAATTAGACCTTGCTAATTTTTTCTAGATTCTTGATTTCAAATATCAGCTAATTACAACACTACATTTTCCATGAACTTTGTAGGTCCAACGTTTTGTCTGTAACTTGATAACCAATTTGAATTAATTTATTTTGGCATCTTATGGAATTAGTGTAAATGATCTTTCATTAAGGTGATATCAGTTTAAATCACAAAATTTAATTTCAGGAATGTAGCTCCATTCATCTATTTAATTCACTTATGCTAATACCTCAACATATGGAATAATAAGCAAACTATTGTTCATTAAAAAGTAGAAAAGTCAAAATAATTTTCTGATCTAATGGTTAGTAATATTGCTATAAGCTTTTACTAGTTTCTACACAGAAAGTGACATAAAGCAAAGTCATATCAAGATAAGGCCTTTTCTTTTTAAACTATTGCCTGAAATTCTTTCCAAATAATTCAGCAATTAGTCAGAAAACTACTAGTTTGATGGAATGTCATGTTGCAAAGATAATTATCACTATTACATCTAAAAATTATTTCTACAGTATGAATAGATTATGTCTCTAGTTGTCTACTGAGGAATCTTCATCTATAAATTTATGAGTATATTTTAATATAATGTCTATATTTTAAAGGTATGGACAGAAAGGAATTCTGTCCTGGTCTATGCACATGGGAAGCTCTTTTTTCTATCCCCAGAGGGTTCATGGGTTTTGGAGGTCAAGTCCAAAGCATGTGCTCTGTAAAATTCCCAGACTTGCCCTGAGCTCCCTCTGGAAGTCTAGTTATACATTTATAAGTGAGAAATTATAGCCAGGCCAGGTCACCTGCAAGACCCCACCATCTACTATGAGTCCCTATCTTTAATGCAGCTCTGATTTCCTCCTTAGAATATGGGTGTTGCACATTTAAACAACACATGATTCCATTTCCCAGCTATCAAGTTAGCAATATTTTACTGAAATTGGAACACATAGTTGATATAAATACAATAGAATCAACACTTTAAAATATGAATAGTGGCAATTAATTGATAAACTCTCTAAAAATCATCTTGGCAAGATGCACTGAAAAGCTTAAAATGTTTGTATCATCTGAGACAATACATTTTATTTCTGGGAATATATCATAAAAAACTAGAGTACTGACTAAAAGTGTATTGAAAGGTGTTTATGACAGTGACATTTGCAATATTAAAATATAGGAATAACTTAAATATCCAACAAAATGGAACTGGGTAAATAAATTTTAGTATACCTGTACGAGGAAAAGATATTACAAATAATTAAAATTTATAAGATTATTCATAACATGGGAAATGCTTTTAAATCAATGAAAACTGACCATTGAAAAAAAATCTTTAAAAAAGAATCACATAACTTTAGGAAGAATTGTATCTCTGTATGTGTGCATATCTGTATTTGTAGCTATTTCTATTTTTCTATCTAACTATATTTAAAACGCATGACAGCTATCAAGGAGAGACTATGACCAGTTTGTTCTTCTAAATTTCTTTACACTTCTAAAATTTTTCAAAATTGCATAAAATTAGATTACATTATATTTACAATTACAAGAATCTTATTAAAAAATAGACTCAGCCCTTGGTAGTGGAAAAAGGAGTGTCCTTCATTAAGAAATGTATCCCTGTCTGAAATGCACCAAAAAACACTATCAAACTGCTTCCATATACTAGAACATTCCATCTCTTACTCCTGGGTGACAAATTTTGATACATTTGATAACTTGATTCATATAAGTATTATCAATAATTGAGGCACTTAGATTCATGTATAACAAAATTTCCAATACTTCATTTTTGTCAAGTGTAAAATGATATGGGTAAGCTGAGAGTTTAAAAAAACCTCAAAGAAGGTATGAAAATTATAATTAAGAAATAATTATAAAATCATGCAGAATTAGACCTTTATAATTCATCAAGTATAGTATAAACAATTTTTTTCTGTGAATTTTTTTTCAATGTACATTTTACATGCCTTCTTACAAACATTATTGACTTTGGAGGACTTGAATATGTAATGTTTGGAAACTAAACAGGAGTTTATTAGTTTCACTTAGAGTCTTTCAAACGAAGTCTTGGAGTTGTTAAAAGATCTTTGCTTTCATCCTAGAAATTATTGTGTTTTTTTTATATTGACACCAAGCTGGTAACTTTGAAAATGGAGGAATGTCTTAGGATAAGCACAACTTGGAAGCAGGCCTAACTGCTCAATTTTATCCAAATAACTAAAGTTAGTGGAAGGTAAATGGTTTCTATGGGGTGATTATGTTCATGGTAAACACCACTTCTAAGATATTTATTTCAATGCTTTATAATTGAGTAAATATAGGTATGGAAAACGTTTATCAATTAATTGTATTGACTTAATATGTATGAAGTTTGCTCAACACCAGACACATGGTAGTACAGTGTTCTGCACATAATAGGATCAAGTTGAAAAGAATGTGGAAGGAATGAGTAAATGAAAGGCCTTTAATGAACCCGTTTCCTTCCTTTTCATCTCTGTTGATTCCTTAATTGATAGCTAAATCAAAAATTCAAATCTGCACTGTGACATGGAAGATTTCATGTTTATAATAATACAAAACAAACAAACGAAATATATTTATTTTGGTTAACATAATTTAAAAACTTTCAGAGTAAAACAAATTCAGTTAGTAGGCACAATGCTGGTTTGTTAAATTCAAGTTTCAGGGGAAATGGAAATTCTTACATGTGCCTAGATAATAACCCTATAATATATATTTTCATGATTACAATAAAATTACTTATAGGCCCCTACAGTTACACTACTGAGAGCTGCAATCACAATGAATTTGCACAAAGAATGCAAATTTCATTTTTGCCAGAGTGATATGACTTACATCACATGTGGCTGTTATAGTTTTAATAGATGCTTAGCAACTGAATCTATAGCTTTTGTTTGGTAATGTCTATTTTAGGAAAAGAAGCATATTCAACCGGAACTAGGAAAAAAGCTTGTTTTTATATTGATTGATGCACATTAATTGTTTAAGAAGATATTTAAACATTCCCCAAGACCTTCTTTTGAATAAATCATTTGCTAAATCATAGGGATATAAAGCATAATAGAAGGGACTGAAATTCAACAAATGCTTATAATTTGAGTTCTATGTGCATTTTAGATATGTGTTTGTGTGGGTAACAGAAACTGAATAATATATTTATCTTGGGATAGAACTGTCATCAGTAAGCTAAGAAACTAGAAATTGATATCTCTGCTTGGGTTAATTTGAAGATGATGTTGTGTTTGTTTGCAAATAATTTTTAAAGTAATGAACTACCCACTACACTACCTATAGGCTTTATTGAAAACTAAAAATGCAAAACAATTGAGATAATGATCATTTTCTTAAGAGGGAAATGAGAAATGGTTTTACTTTTCGTCAGGATGCCATTGCAGATTAAAGAAAAATGTGATTTCATTGTATGCTACAAAGGAGGATGACATCAAAGTGTCCTCTTGGTAGCAAGCTAGCTATATAAACCACAAAAAGAGAGCTGCATTAAAAATACAATACATTGAAACAGTAATTTTTCAATGCTATGTAAATACTGTGGACATTTTAAATTCAAAGATAAGCAGAATCAGCAGATAGTGATAGTTTTAAATTTGCTAAAAATCAATAGAAGAGCAGTAAAATGCAATTTTCCTAAACCGGGCTGTAACTTCAAGTGAGCTGAACCATTCTGATGCAACTGAGAGATTTTTTTTTTTAAATAGGACTTAAGAAAATTGATTTAACATTGTTTCATTTTATTAGTGGTTGAGCAATATAAATGTGAAATGCTTTGAAGTAATCTGCATTATATTTTTATTAGCTTCAGAGCTTCTATATACGTATTTTATATTCTTTTCAAAAGCTTAAATAGTATTACATTCTAATTATTATTTGCAGATGGTATTTGTTTTTCTTGTAATGACCAGTCAGAAATCATTTGTCTGAATTGCACGAAAAAGAATAATTTCCTGTTGAGTAGCAGTTACTCAGTATGCATTCTAGCTCTTGCTATCTCAGAGGGAAAGATTTAAATAATGTATGGTGGGTTCCTTTGTAATGAGGTGCTCTTTTCTTACGTTTTGTTGTGATTTTGTCACGTTAGAGGAAATGTCATTAAAGGGACACAAATCATATCAAGGATTTTATCAATGCTATATAATTGACCTATATATCTTTTAATGGGTGGGTGAATGTCATTCAAGGCTCTTGAGCATTTAATTCAAATACTAAATTTAAGAACCACAAGCATATTGATGAGTTAGGAAAAGACAGAATTGTGTGGATAAAGCAAGACCTGGGTGAACAATCTTTCTTTCTTTCTTTCTCATTAAAGATTGATCTAAAGATTTTTTTGAGGTAGACTTATTTGATAGCCATAGTCACTTTTTGGTTCTCAGAGTGGTAATAAAGAAATCGCTCAATAAAACACAATTTCCCTTTTCTCTGTGTCTGGTATTCCGTTTCTCTTCAAATGCAGCTGTTTTCTTCATGCTTCTTTCAAATATGAAGACCATGAGAAAAACAAAACAAAACGAAACAGTTTCAGAAGAGCCCGGTAGCTTTTTAAGCCTTGAACTGAAATCTTGCTTTTAAGCATTATTTCTAAAATAGGCAATCCTGCAATAATAAAAATGAAAATAAAAAGTCTAATCAAAATTTAACAAAAGAGTAGGCTCCCTAAAGGTATCCTTCACTGTCTGTCACCTCTTTTCTTAAATGTTTCCTAAATGTGAAATCTCTTGTATCATCTAGCACACTTGATTTCTTCAGTTATCGATATTTATTTTGTGCATTTCTTTTTATTGCCTACACATTTTGCTATTATGTCATGTCAGGCACTTTGTCAATTGACAGTATACGTAGCCTTGTATTTGGATACATATCTAGGAGGCATAATAAGTAGTAGCAACCCATAGAACACAAATCAGAACTTCCTATGCCAGAAAAAAATGATTTACCAAAGTTCTATGATATTCTCTTAAGGTAAAACATTAGCATGTTAATTTTACCTGTTTTCCAAAGAGCATGCCATTATTATTGACATGCTACTGGCTTTATGGTCCCAGGATGCATGAATTATTAGTGTTGCCTGACATTTTTAAATTCCTAACTCTATAGCCTATAGCAGTACTTCCTGTTAGCTATTATGAGCTTTAAGAGTGCATGCTAGATGCTGATCAGTGATTGTTCAGTAATTCAGAGGTGTCAAATTCTCTCGTGGGTTAAAAAAAATGTTGGTTCTTTCTGGATTTTTATAAGACAATATATAAATAAAATTTTAACACACTGAATCTGATATCTAGAGGAGAGCCATCCTGATTTTTGAAAAGAAACTGCACTTTCCTACCATTATTTTTCTAAGAAATAAAACCATACTATTCAAATGCATTTATTTATTTGATTGTAGTGCCTTTTTTCTCAAAACATTACAATGAAATATTATAACAGCACTATATCACACAAAATTGAATTTATCTCATTTTTTTAATCCAAAAAGTCCACCTAAATAGGAAAAATAATGAGGATATTTAATTTATAGAAAGTTATGGTATATTTACAAGTTTTTAATGTTTCAAGAACAATATTCGGATCTTTTATTAGACTGAGTTTTTAAATGGTTGTTTGTTATAGAAAAATACAAACATTTGAAGCAATAAAATATTGAAATAGAAATATCAAAGACATATACTTTTATCTGAAACAATTTTTATCTTTTTTTATATTAACATTTTCAGTGTGAGAAGATGTTAATCTTTAAGTGAATCAATGCATTCTCAAATGCATCTGTGTTTGGAATTTTTAATTGGTAAAGAATCACAATGGAAATATCTTATTTTCATTTTTTCCCTTTAATATCTATTAAGCCTGCCCTATCAGCAGGAAGCACTTGCAATTAGGAAACCTGTAATGAAACTCAGCACAATTAATTCCCTGTTAGTCTCTCATGCTAGATTTCTACTTCTGGATATGTTGCTAAGTTTTGGGTTTAGGCACTTGCCTTATATAGACTGACACCCAGCTCGTCAAAGGACGTATTACAAAATCCCAGTGATTAGTTCCAGTGATTAGTTGAGAATCACATTTTCTAGCACTCTCCTATCGACAAACCCAATGGCTGATTTTAAGCTCTTGTCTCAACTTATCTCTCTAAAGCATTTCAATCTATAGGACCATTTCCTATATCTTGAAATACTCTTCTCCTTTGGCTTCCATTCTTCTTGTTCTCATCTCATCCCATCTGTTCAACAATCCTTTTGAACTTCCTTTCTGGGTCCCTTCCCATTTCCCATTTTTTAGGTTCTATTCTTGGTACTATTCTCATTTATCCACCTGTAGAACATTTATGAAGTATTTACTATATAGAAAATTGGCTGTGCATGGTGGCTCACGCCTGTAATCCCAGCACTTTTGGAGGCCAAGGCAGGTGGATCACGAGGTCAGTATTTCAAGACCAGCCTGACCAACATGGTGAAACCCTTTCTCTACTGAAAATAGAAAAAACAGCTGGGCGTGGTGGTGCATGCCTGTAATCCCAGCTACTCAGGAGGCTGAGGCAGGAGAATCGCTTGAACCCGGGAGGCGGAGGTTGTGGTGAGCCAAGATTACACCACTGAACTCCAGCCTGGGCAACAGAGTGAGACTCTGTCTCAAAAAATAAAAAAGAAAAAAGAAAGAAAGAAAGTTGTATAAAAAACTCTGAGAGATTCAAAACTGTATACAATAAGGATAATATCCTGAGGACTTTGACATTTAATGTGTAAATCATTCCAACTGGATATCAATGCTTGTCTTCTCTGTACTTCAATTCTACCTGGATAATCTCACTATTCTCAAGACTTCAACCACAGTAAATAGTGACCATCCCTAACACTTCTATCTAGAGCTGTGCTTTCAGCTCCTTACTGGACATCTCCGCCTGCTTGTCTTCTAGGCAGTTATAATTCATTGTGTTACACATTAAATTTTCCCTCTACCAGCGCTCTTTCACATCCCCCAAAATCCTGGTTCATCTACTGAATTCTCAGTCTTCAACGCTGCCACATGTTTTAACACTTCTCCAACCTCATACTGTCTAATTTATCCTTGAGTAGTGCCTTCTATTTCCTCTTTTATATTGAATTCATTACCCCAGTTTGCTGATTTTTCTCAAAAAATTGTTTCTGAATATCAATCCTCATCACCATCTTTTATCTCGGTCCTATATCACCTCTCATCTGGATAAATGGCAAAAGTTTCATATTCTATTTTCCTACCACATTTAGTAGTGGAAGTATAAGGGGCTTTGGAATCTTTCAAAAATGATTAAATGTACATGACTTGGTCATGTGATTTTGGATGGCTGATTGTTCTAAGCTTCAGTTTTCTCACCTATTAAATGAAGTAATCTGTGCATTTCAAATTCGTTGAAAAAATTAGGTAGTATCTTGCTAGAAAGTGATTAGCACAATTCCTGGCACATATTAAACACACACACACACACACACACACATTTGTTACTTGTTCACTGCAATTTATCCTGGACAACACTGTAAAAATTGTCTTCCTCTAAAAACTTATTTTTCTATTTAAAACCTTCAATGATTTCACATTGCCTACAACTCACAATTCACCTGGATATTCTAACACCAATTTACTTCTCTGACTTCACTTTCTACCCCTCCACTCCACGCACGATTTGATTCAGTTGCACCAACCTTCTCATCACTCAGAGCTCTCTAATCCCTGTGAACACTCTACACCTTACGCATACTGTTCCTACTCACTTCCTGGAAAGGTCTTCTCCCACTTCTCTTGGTAAAACTCCTACTCATCTCCAAGAACCAGCTCAAATGGCACATCTTTTGGAAGACTTCCCTGAATCATCCAAGAAGGAATAGTTATCCTTCCACTTGTGTTTCTGGATCACTTTCTTTGCAAACATAATAGTATACTACTTTCTTGTGACTTTCCCTATATGAGTTTCAGTTTGCTGAACAACAATAGTAATAATTAGCATTTATAGAGTGCTTACTGTATGTATGATCTTAAAGAATAAATTTATCTTGCTCATCTCATTTGGTCTTCACTACAACACAGTGAAGTAGATGCTATTTTATTCTTATTTTAAAGATAAGCAAAATGAAACTTAAAAGTTTGCAATCAATACAAAAGTACATCTATTAAATATCAACAAAAAATTTAAAGTTTGTAATTAGTCTGGGATGAATAACTTACATAGATCTGACTTCACAGTTCACATATAATCACATATAATAATAAACATATATAATCATAGATTCCAATATCTTATGTTTGTGCACAAACCCCTTTGAGAATATAATAAAAGTAAAAGAAAATGCAATTTTCAGATCATGCAGAATTTAGTATACATCAGGTAGTTCATGGATCCTCTAAAACAGTTTTATAGACACTTAGAATGCCATTGATCTAAAGATAGGACACTCTTCTTTACAGATAAAATTTTTGATTATGTAATCTGATGAAAAAGTATTCTCAAGCTTTTTTATTTGAAAATAACATTTATGGTTAATAACTAATTGCATATTTTCAAAAAGCTAAAAGAGAATTCTGAATGTTCATAACAGAAAGAAATGGTACACATTTGAGGTGATGGATGGACTAATTACCCTGATTTGATCATTATACATTGCATACGTATATCAAAATATCACTCTGTATTCCATAAATGTGTACAATTATTACATGTCAACTAAAAAAATCCACATTTCAAATACCAACCTTCAGTTATCCCCATAAAGTGGCCCATAAGGAACTTCTAACTTTTTACATTCTATGGAACAAAGCTTGAAAACCACTGGGCTAAGGTAGTGACATGTTCAATCCCTCAGAAATGTTTAATTCTCTCCAGGTTGGACAGCATCATGAACTGTGCCTGACTTACCACTGTATTCCATAATCTGCTTTTTAAAGGATGATTTACACAATCAAGCTGTTATCTGAATATTTAAATGAGGATGGGATTTAAAAGTGGAGTAAGATATATCTCCACAACTGAGGTAGATAGGGCAAATTACTTTTCGTCATGAAAACTGAGTAGCCTTGGCAAATAGCTGACACGAATGAAGATATGCTGATCTAGATTATTAAGACCACCACTGGACATATTTGGATCAGTGCTCAAGCATGTGAATTATGAGTTAATCAGTAAATAAAATGAACAAAGTTGTGATTATATGTGGGTAGCAGAGGTTGCAAATTGCCTGCCAGCAGACTCAATTTGGCCTACAAATATGTTGTTTGGCCAGCATAATATTTTTTAAAAATTTAAGCCAGTATTTAAACATCAGGATATTTGGTTTTTTTACATGAATCCCTGAGTTTCCAGCTTTCTCTTGAAAATTTGGAAGCTCTGACAATACTGGGCCCACATTCTCACATGGTGACAATTGGCTAGAACTGAAAGCAGCTGTTTCCTCTACACAAGACATGTACTTTCTAGTACAGCACAACTCCCAGTAGACCCACTTCACACATATACCTGTACCTGCTTGTCCCCCATTAGGCAGTTGTAACCCTAGAAGACTGGCCTAAAAATTTGAAGAGTTTATAGGAAACTGCTATTTTAAATAATGCATCATGTGCTGCAATGCCCCCCCACCAAAAAAAAAAAAAAAAGAAAACAAAAAAACATAAACAAACAAACAAACACCTCTTCTAGAGTGTAGGCTGGAAACATATACTTCTAGGTAGCCACTGAGGCTGTTATGACCCCCAAGAAATGTGAAAACAGAAAATTTTCACCTCTATTTATTTGGATTCATACCCGTTTTACTACGGAGAAACAAAAGGCTTGCATTTTAGCCTATCAGTCAAAGGCAAATCAGTTCTGCAGGTAGTAGTGAAACAGCATGGAAGTCAGGTACTCTATGATGTGTGTGAAATCAAATCCAGAAGCACAGTATACTTTTGGTGAATTAAGTTACAATTAGATGTAACTTTTAGTATTACACTATAAGAAAGAGGATGAGGTTGAGGTGGGGTTCAAACTTCTTCCTATTCTCTTCATATTGGTATTCTTTCATTTGTGTTATCACTGTTGAATAAGAAAATATAATATAAGCAAGCAAAGCAAATGGGAAAAGATTTTATAATTCCATGTTTTCTGGTTTCTATCTGGTGATGATGAACATGGTATCATTAAAATGGTCTAGTAGCTATAGTATTTCCAGTTATTCTAATCCTTATAATTCTACAAGGCTTTGAAGGAATTCTCTTGAGAAAAAAATAACTATATCACAGTTTAATTGTTTATAGTGACTAATCAACATAACACTAAATTTCTATTCATGGTGCTTTCTTGAATCTTAGACTAGACTATGTATTGGAGAACTGATTTGATTTAGGAGGAATCTGAGTCCTTAAATTATTATGGAAAAACCAGCTCACATTTCTTTGATGTGTCACTCATCTTTCAGTAGCCCTGCTAATATTAGAGCACTTCATTTTTTTCCAAAGCACTTTCACATACTGGAAAGTTGCCTTCAGGTATTTCAATTAAGTCAATTTTAGGATATTTAGCCTAATGGAAGTATGAACAAGGGTAGCTCAAATAGAAGGGCGACTGATTCAGGACTTTTCTTTCTGGTTCAGCAGTACTTAAGGACTGCTGAGAGATTTAATAACTCTGGTAAGTAGTGACAGGAGAAATACTATCTAGGAAGACTCCAGAAATATGAGAGTTGTCATTTATATTAGATCTTTGCCGTTTATGGATTTACCATTTGAAATCTGACTAGTCACGAGCTTTCCGAAAAGTTTATGATATTTTAAAGCTATGGTCATTTTTTCAAAACTCCAAATTTGAATTATTTTCTTTTAACTCTGGTAATGTGAAGAAGTCACTTAGCTAGTAAGTATTGTGAGTCACTGAGCATCATGCTCAATGCTGCTTGTCCTTCTCCAACCATCTCTGCCCATACAAAACATTTCTCTTAGAACTGTTTAAAGGAAACAACAAAACTCAGTTCCTTTGTGGAAAGAAAATATCCTCAAAAGAGAGAGGCAAAAGCGATTAAATTTCAGTGAAAGGATTTCTCAACTCAAACAAGCCAATGCTGCGCTAGCATTTCTATGTTTGTAAACTTGGAAATTGAAAATCTCAAAAACTGAAAATTTTAGGAGTCTACTATCCTTTATAGGTACCCTTTAATACTTGTTCTCTTATATTTCAACAATGGAAATCGTTGAGCTTGCTAAAAGGCAAATTTAATCTTCACTTAGTCAAACAAAAAATATTCATTGAGTGCTTATTTATGCATGTCATGGGATTACAGAGATTAAAACAAAGCATTATTACAAATAAGTTTCCTTCCAGAGATACTCCGCTCCCTCTTGATTTAAAGATCTCTGTATCTGATCATATATGTGATTGTCTGACTAGATTCTTTTCACCCCACGCTTTTTATGGTGACTATTATTTTTTTAAAAAAACAAGGCTGGCCCCAGTGGAGCATCCCTCTAATCCCAGTACTTTGGGGAGGCCAAGGCAGGAGGATCACTTGAGCTTAGGAGTTTGAGACCAGCCTAGGCAACATGGTGAAACTTTGTCTCTACAAAAAATACAAAAATTAGCTGGGCATGGTGGTGCATGCCTGTAGTTCCAACTACTTGGGGGGAAGAGACGGAAGGATAGCTTGGGCCAGGGAGGTTGAGGCTGCAGTGAGCCATGACCACACCACTGCACTCCAGCCTGGGTGACAAAGGGAGACCCTGTCTCAAAAATAAAATCAAACAAGCAAAACAACAACAACAACAACAACAAGTGTTTGCAAAAGTGTGGAGAAACTAGAACTCTTGTATACTGTTGGTAGGAATGCAAAATGGTGCAGCTGCCATGGAAAACAGTATGAAGGTGTTCCTCAAAGAAATTAAAAATAGAACTAATATATGATCCAGCAATTCCACTTCTGGAAATTTATCAAAAACAGTTGAAATCAGGTTCTTGAAGAGGTATGAGCACTTCCATGTTCATTGCAGATTTATTCAAAAACCCAAGATATGGAAACAACTCAAGTGTCCATCAATAGATGAATGGATAGAGAATATGGGGTATATATATGTTCAAGGGGAATATTAGCCTTAAAAAAGAAGGAAATCATGAAATATGTGACAACATGGATGAACTTCAAGGATATAAAGTGAATAACAATATCAAGTGAATAAAGTTGCTAATCAATGGGCTAAAGTTTCAGTTATGCAAGATGAATCCATTCTGGAGACCTATTGCACAACATTGTGCCTATAGCTAACAATACTGTATTATACACTGAAAAATTTGTAAGAGTTATATCTTACATTGTGTTTGTACCATAACAAAATGAAAGATAATAGATGTATATGTGTGTATTTATGTATGTATACAATGTGGATTATTTTTTAAAAATACCCAAAAGCTATTTTCTTCTGCTTTTGAAAAAAAGTTTCATTATTAGAAATAATTGGTCATTTATTTTAAATTAACACTATAGCAAAAGGGGGAAAAGTTTTTTTAATACTAGAAATCTGAAAGATTTATTGAACTTGAATTACTCTGACCAAGTATGTAATTGTAACAATTTGGGAAATGTTTCAAAATTTGAATATAAATTTTACAGTTTTTCACACTATATCTACATAAAACCAGCAGATGTTGGCTGTGTGTGTTTGTGTTTATATACTTTACAAATAAATACTTAGCATTTATATAGCACCTTACAGAGCAGTCAAGCATCATAAAGTCATTCATTTTATCATTAAAGGAAATAGATGTCAAGAATAACTTAGAGTATATTTTTTATGTCATCAAAAGTCTAATTCTATAAAAGCTTGCAATAGAGAAGTGGGAGGGAAAAGGCTGCTCAGAGAAGCAGTCTTTAGGTTTTCATAAGTTAGGGAAGTGTGACTGTTACTTACAGTTAACATAGAACATATAAGAATTTTCTCCCCTATGTGATCTTGGAGAATATTGTTTCCATGAATAATAGAAGCTTAGAAAAAGAAAGAGAAAAGTCCCTAAACACACCCATTATCTGACTTTACATGCTAAGAACAAATTTGACTGTCGGTTTATGAGGCAAGAGTCAGATCTAAGACCTCTGCCCCAACTGTACTCAGGATGTCAATTGTCAACATACACATAGTCACAAGTCGAGAAGTGGAGTACCACAGACCTTAGCATCTGCATGCAAAGTAGCTAGATATGACACAAAAGTGGTTTCTTTCTTGGTTTTTCAGCTGGTAAAGGTAGATTTTATAAATTAAAAAGCACATCCCTTCATGGTTGTAGTAGACTTTTTTTAGTTCATCAGTGTAATAATATCTCCCTATCATAAAATATTAATTTTATTCAATCCAATTCATATGTGCTTTTCTCATTCATAGCTGGAATTCAGCTCTCCAGGTGGAAAGAGTTAATATTTGAATAAGTGATTCCACCCATTTAAACATGAAGAAGTTGTCTTAATCTCTACATTTTCATGGTTGCCAATATTTTGATTAATTTCCATGACTTCTATTGACTCTGATGCTTGAATAGGTTCTCCAGATCTGTAATATAAGTTATTCATATAGACCTAGAAATTATCAGTATATCTCCTGTGAAGAAATACTTCATGTGAATGTTAAAATACCTTAGGAATGTGGCTGGTCGTGGTGGCTCATGCCTGTAATCCAAGCACTTTGGGAGGCCAAGACAGGCAGATCACCTGAGGTCAGGAGTTTGAGACCATCCTGGCCAACATGGTGAAACCCCATCTTTCCTAAAAATACAAAAAATTGGCTGGGCGTGGTAGTGGGCACCTGTGGTCCCAGCTACTCGGGAGGCTGAGGCAGGAGAATTGCTTGAACCCAGGAGAGGGAGGTTGCAGTGAGCCAAGATCACACCACTGCTCTCCAACCTGGGCGACAGAGTGAGACTCTGTCTCAAAAAAATAAAAAATAAAAAAATAAAAAAGCAAACAAAAAACAAACAAAACAAAACAAAAAATAAACAAAAATAAAACACCATAGGAATTTATTGATCAGTTTATGAGTTAAAATAACACTAAAGTTAACTTTCTTGAAAGAACAATATGATTTACATATGCCAGGAACTCTAGACACATTAATTTTTTTACCAAACTCTTAGGAGAAATCAGTTGTATAAAATTTCATACAGAAGTAACTAAATCTTAATGTTAGTTACCAAAAAGCAGACATGACTCCTTTTAAATGTGCTTTCTTCATTTTGAAAAATAATTAGCACTAGAATGTTTTAGGTGGATTATTCCAAAGGAAGCAGTATAGCATGGTGATGAAGTTCAAAAAGTGCTCTTCAGTCAGATTGCTTTTTGCAAAGCCATGCTCTGACAATTCTAATGTTTTCTCTTGGGACTGTTTTCTATATATCAAATGGAAAAAAATAATAATGCCAATCTCACAGAGTGGATTGAGAATTAAACACTCCATTTAAGCTGAGCATTGTGCCTGGCACATGGAAAATGCTCCATACATTTTTGACATTAGAATAATAACACCATTAAAATCGAGGTAGTCGTAGTATAAAAATAAATTAGACTTTATCACTTTGGGGTTTCAAATTTTTACTTACAATTGGTTTGGGGTGTTTGCTTTAAGAAATGTTGACAGTATGTGTGTGGGAGAGCATATTTCTGACTTCTTTCTTTCCTGTAAAGTTAAATGTGGGATTTCAGTTGTTTGCATAGCATTCGAACAATCATTTATACATGTTTCTAAGATACTATCTCTGAAAATTACCTCTAGAAGCTTCCTATCTGTTTCCTGTAGCTTGTAGTCTACACCAATGTAGATGAGATAAGTGTAGTATTGCATGCTAACATATTCTGCAAAAGACAGCATGGGTTTACAAAGTTTCATTGACTCAATTATTATTGGAGTTATCTCTACATATCATTTATAGTAAGCATTCCAAGCAGCTTCGTCATAAAATTCTTAGTAGGAAGAAGTAACTAACATAGATAAGGAAAAATCAAATGCTCCTATATCTTTTTTTTTTTTTAGACAGAGTCTTGCTCTGTCACCCAGGCTGGAGCATAGTGGCATGATCTCAGGTCACTGCAACCTCCACCTCCCGAGTTCAAGCGATTCTCCTGCCTCAGCCTCCCAAGTAGCTGGGACCACAGGTGTCCGTCACCACACCTGGCTAATTTTTTTGTATTTTTAGTAGAGACGGGAGTTTCAGCATGTTGGCCAGGCTGGTCTCAAACTCATGACTTCAGGTGATCCGTCTGCCTTGGCCTCCCAAAGTGCTGGGATTACAGGCTTGAGCCATTGCACCCGGCCTGTATCTTGTCTTTACGCATACATTTATTTCATATCTACTTCAGAGGTCTGCTGTCTTAGCTGAGGTTTCTAATATTTGCATGGGGTGCACAATTAGTAAAGTTGGTACTGATATATGTTTCAGAGGTTAAAATCATGCAAGAATATATCTTTATAGAGTCCCCTGTTTTGCTGGAGCCTGCCCAAGACTTTTTGTAATAAGTAGCAAATAAATAATTTGCTATATTTTACAGAGACCCCATTCTGCAAAAAAACCCATGAAAAACAAAACAAAACAAAATCTTGCCTATAGCATCTATGAGATTAGGATGTTTCTTAGTGATAGAAATAAGTGAGTGTTACATAATACTATAATCCAAATAATTCTAAATAGTGGACTTTTCAACAAATTTTGTGTTTTAGGTTGCTTTATTCCATTGAAAAATTTAAAAGTAACCATGATCTCAAATATTCTAATGTTGTGAGATTTACATTACAATTTAGAGTGTTTGCATTTTTATTAACTTTGACTTAAGAAAAATAAATTCAGTTGAAATTAACTCAATATGTTTCAAATATTTTCTAAATTACTTTTATTTTACTATTTCATGAATTATACTTTTTTAAGTTTTAGGACATTGTTGTGATTATAATATTCTAAAGTAAATTATTTTAGAAAACAGAGAACTTAACAAAATTTAAGTCAGCTACCTCCTGTCAGTTAACACAGTAGCTCTTAGTACCCTAAGATATCCCCTCTTTTGTTCTCTTAAGAAATAGGTGTCCCTCAAATATCTGCATTTATCTCTGTCCATATGGTTTTGAACAAGTGGTGAAAGTATTCACTATTTGCTGTGTACCCACACTTGTATAGTTCAGCTGGAATACCATCTGGTGTGGTACTCTTCCCATTTTCCTCATTTTGATTGCTTTCTCAATCTGGAAAATGGTAGCTTGATCGTCCAACGGGTCTCCAGATGGCTGCTGGATCATTCTATGTAGTATCCATCAACAACATTTGATGGGTTATTTAAAGTTCATCCAAGGTATTTGCAAGTTCATTATTCGGTCATAAAATATCAGAAATTTCAATTGGGGAAATAACATAATCTCAGATTTCAGGAATGAAATCTTTTGGATTAGTTTGAGGAAAGAAATAAGAAAACACATTTATATCTTTCTAAGAAGCAGATGGCTACTCTTACAGTGTTAGTTATCCAAAATTGTTTCTATTTTTACCCTTCTATATTGGCTAAGATGACATTTTAGCGGAAACAGCATCCTTGCATACAGACCATCTTTGTTCCTTGAAGGACAACTGTTGAAATTAAAAAGCATATGAGATTAAATTTCTGCAGAAAAATGAGGCAGACCAACATGGCTATAAGGATCAATTAGTGTAAATTGAATAAGATCATAATGACACCACAAGATAGATGTGATCTGAGGCAACAGTGTATAGATGTAAGACAATGGTGATGTATATCCTTATGTGAATATATAAAGCATGCTTAAAGGAAATCATGGTTTATCACCCTCTTTTTTTTGCCTCCCTACCAAAGCATGCCAAACTTTAATGAATTTTGGAGCACCAAAAATTTATAGTTTCTTAATGTATCATTTAACAGCCTCCATTTCTCCATGTTTTGGTAAATAGGATGAAAGAAAATCGTTTTTCCCCTCTACTCAGCTCCTGTTTTATGTGTAGCTGATTTTAATTTTATCTTGGTTACATTTCCTCATTTTCTCTTCTCATTGATTCATTTATCCTTTCATTTCACAGTTACCGAGTCTCTACCAGAGATTTAGAAGAGACCCTTTACAGTGTTAGTTATCCAAAATTGTGTATGCACGGAATTCTGCATGAAGAAGACATAGGTCTGGGAATCAATAATTACATTTGATGTCATAGGTACCATAAGGTCTTCATAAGGAAATATGAAACTATGGAAAGACCCCTAGTCTTCCAGGTGGGTTCCATGTCGATGACACCTTCATATTTTCCTCAGGTACTATCTGCATATAAAAATTTGCTTCATTTGATCTTTCACACAAGAATTACTAAGGTATATTCAATGACATCATTTGTTGTGTAAGTAGAAATACGTCTAGCTGGCTCAAAACCTTAACAGTAAACCTTAACTGAAACTGAAACATAATTTTCAACTTAGTTCATTTGTGTAATACCTGTATAAAGTGTATCTGAATGAATTGTTCCCTTCTTCTAAATACTATGTAAAAATGGAAGAGACATTCATGACTGTAATCTGGTGTCTATTCATTCTTTGGGCAAAGCTTTATTTTACGACCTCTAGCATGTGACCAGAATTTAGCTTTGTCTTTCAAGCTTTAGCCTTTAAGTTAAACTATTATTGCATGTCTTATTTTAGAAGCTTACTGAGAAATTCTTTTTATCTCCAACTTTTACAAAATCCTTGCTCTAGAATTTATCTTCTTCAAAGTGGATTTGGATTGTGTTACATCTATCTCAGAAGAGATGGTTTGGCTTCCTGTTAAGCTTTAAATTTATTTCAGAACTGATTGAAAATGATATTTAACTGATACTTGTGCTGTAGAGTAGTATTTGAGTGAGAATTAGAGGCCAGGCATGATACCTCATGCCTGGAATCCCAGCGCTGTTGGAGGCCAAGTCAGGAGGATTACTTATTCTCAAGAGTTGGAGGCTGCAGTGAACTATGATCACACCACTGCACTCCAGCCTGGAGGACAGAGTGAGACCTTGTCTCAATAAATAAATGAGAATTATACCTGTAGGAATCATTCTGAAGATTGAGTGGTACCCCCTCCAAGTACTAAGCTAAAGATTAATAGAATATACCAGTTTTAGTTTACATCTGGTAGCATTATCATTTAATCAGGAAATGCAAAGTTATTAAACTAATTCAATTTTTATTTAATTCTTGTCACTCAGTACCAGTCAATTAAGAATATTTGAATCAAATAAAATTTCAGAATGGCCAAAAAAAGACACATCCTTACATTATGTACATAAAATCACACAAAATTTCTTTTATTTTTTATTTGTTATGGAGTTATGTAAGTATATGATGCCATTATCATGAATTTTTGTGTCAATTGATCAAAGTATACTTTCATAAAAAAATCTAAAATGGCTTTAGAAAACATTCTTTAATTTATTTTTGCAATGTAAATATTTCAAGACAAAATAATGCACTCTCTAACTAGCACCTATGTATAACCCAATGATAGGATACTTCATTAAATCAGTCTTTGAGCTGATCCATGTACTTTTTTTTCTAAAATGATGAGTTCACATAAAAATAAGGTATTTTTGACAAATAACTTCTATTTTTTCTGACTTCCTCAAATATAGCATATATTTTGGAAATCCAACGCATTTATTGAGAATAAGAAGAAATAAATAAGAAACAGTTACTATGCTAAGGACAAAAAATCATCAGAATAAGATTCACACTGTATAAAAACACCTTGATCTTTCCCACATGCTATTACAAACACAGAAAGTTCAGAGATCATTGCTATAAGAGATTGAAGTTTCTTAAAAACATTATATCCAGTGAAGAATAATATTTTAAGTATTAAGTATTTTCCCCTCTGAAAGCTATTTTTAAAGAGTAATTTCTTTATTTTTCCAAATTACTACAGCTTTTCAAAAATGCCTGATATCTCTTTGGCAAATCTTTGCACAAAGAGTTTGAATTTTCCTGAGAATCATGCTCATTAATGAAACTGAAGGACAAAGCAGAGAATGTATTCATAAAATATTTTGATATGTTTCAATGTCTCTGTACTTGAAATTACCATGGCTTAGAACACTCTTCATCACGCATTAGTTTTATTTTTATCTTTTAGTATCTCAGAAAGATCCTCATTCTACCTTATCTAAATTGGCCTCCCTAATTTATCTCTATCTCCTTGGGTGTTAACTTCCTCTATGAAAGTTTTCTCTATTTGTAATCACTGATTCTCTTTATTGATTTGTTTTTGCATCTCTCTCATCATACTGTAAGCTTCATTTAGGTATCAACTTTGTCTTTTTTTTTTTTTAGCAACGCCATTCAGTGCCTTGCATAGTGCCCGGCAAATAGTAGAGCTCAATAAATAAATGTTCAATAAATAAATGAGTGAAATAAAACTTAACCATACTTTTTATTGCTTACTTGCTCACAATGGGCAAGTGACATATTCGTATATGTGTGGAAAAAATCCTATTTTCCAAGTGGGAGCAATTATTTATTATTATTTCAGATACAACAATTGTGAAATTTAGTCAATATTTACACAATAGCAGTATGAGAGCACAGAGTAGTAACTTTGGAAAGAAGTGATAATTCTTTCCACTTTGCCATCATTTACATTTTTGTCAACTTTAGAAAAGGAGAAAATGGTGAGAAAAATCTGTAAAAAGTTTACACACAAAAGAATATTTCAATGAAGGAAAATATGTCAGCTTACTATACCATATTTTGTTCTTTCAAAATATTACAAAATTGACATGGGACATAATGGTGTTTGATGTTCTAAGAAAAATACAATATGTTTAGGAGACTGTATATGTGATGTGGATGCATCACTATGAGAACTATATAAGGAACTGCTAACATTGCAAAAGCACAGATTTTCAGAATGGTACGTATATGTGCTTAAAATTGCTGGTGTGCTATACTTAATTTTTATTCTATTTTAAAGGGTCATTCATTTATCTTTTATAGACAATTTTCACAGCTTATCATGAATCCCTAGAGCTGCTATGATTAAGTCAATACATTTACATAAATAGTATGTAAATGTACTTAAGTATAGTGTTCTTGATATAGCCTAAGGTGTTTTATGTGAATATATCCAACATTTTGCTTTTTGAAGGAGAAAAATGTATTTTTATGCTTCATCACACATACAGTAAATATCCTTTATGCTTGTAGATTCCCACCTTGCTTCACATCATCCATTTAATTTTTTATATATGCAGCATAATAAATTCATGTTGCTAAATTCAAACTTTGTAAGAGTCTGACCCATTGTAAGTGAATTTCATATCTTTCTCTGTGCTTCACTGATCTGGTCAGAATATGGACTTCCTTTTATATTAATGAGGATTTTGTTCTGTGTTTGAAGCCATGAAATCGGATGAGAATGTGGGAAATACCAGAAAAATACTGTTCAGTGATACTGTTACTATGAATGCTTTAAAAAAGATTTTCTTTCTCAAAAAAATAATAAACTGCTTTGAGCTTTTTAAAAGTCACAGAAAGTTAAAGCTAGTTCTATGAACTAATTCTGTAGAGGAGGGAAATGAGGTACTAAGTGTTGAACCTATAGTCACATTTCAGCTAGTGGTAAAAGCAGGAATAGAACTCAAGTCTACTACTTCGCAAACTGATGTTTTTCTCAGACTCATCTCTGGGAACTCAGTTTTTAAACAAAATTTAGAAAATAATAATAATAATACCTCACATAAGATTGTTTTCAGGAGGAAATGAAACGAGATAATAGATACTATATACCATGCCTGCCCCATGGTAGGCATTCAATAAACTATAGCTGCTGTTATTACGATCATCTGCAATTGGCATTATTTTTATAGTTAATCATTACTACTACAAGCATGAATAATCTTACAGCACTTCAGTATGAGACAATCTCAGGATGGGTAGAGCTCGCCTATGATTGGAAGAATTCAGCACTGTTTTGGCAGACCCTGGCTGCACCCAGTTTAAAAGTAATTAGTCCTACTCAACCAGAGTAATCTGGAAATTGGCTCTCAAACCATATTTGCAATTTTATGTGAAAAGACATGATTCAATATACAGTAATGGTTAGGTACTTTCAGTGTTCAACCCTTAGGTCCTTGTGTAAAGAGGATTGTTGTCAAAATGGAACGAAGTTTTGCGTGCAAAATAATGGCAGGAGAAGCCCCTTAATCAGATTTACACAGAAAAGGAGGGGATTGTGACATCATGTGAATGCCAACAAGTAGATGCACTGAATGTGAAAATCAGTTATTTTTAATGTTAGTGTACATATTAGCATTAATAACTGGACATAGAGTTGTCCTTCCAGCCTCTGTGTTTCATAAAGGGAAAAAGAATTCAATGTTTGTCATGTTACATTTGAACAATATATTTACTTCAAATAAAGACATTAAAATACCTTGTAAATTAAGTGAGTTCCATAAGATATCCAGTGGTCAAGTAAATAATGGGAAAGTTAGTGATAAACTATAGGTGAGGAAGAAATATTTTCATGATAATAATCACTTTTGTAGTAACAATCATGATGGTAGTGACAAATGCTTGATAGGTCAAACCACATGTGTACTCAACTGATCCATGACTTCAGAGTTACTACTATCAGCAGGACTTTTACTGGAAAAAGAAAACTGTAATATCTCTAAGCTCAGTTTGTCATCTTTAAAATAAGTTGGATTTTACCAAATGACCACTTAAGTCTCTTCCACCACTAAACTCTCAAAACAATTATATTGCTGATTCAAAGATACCCGTTTAAAGATAGAGCCTTCATACATATGGACCCAGAATCTATCAGGACTGAGGATTGAGGGGAGATGTTCCACCCTGTGAGGTTCTATTATAATAGGTCAAATTGACACCCAGGAGTATTGGAGGATTTGGCAGTGAGCCCAGAGATACTGTTTCCATAATCACAACCTATTTTGTTCCTGACCCCCCAGGACAGCATAGACCTAGTTTTGACTTCAACAGGAAATCCCAAATTCAGAGCCTGAAGCAGAACTGCACTGTTTTGCAGAAATGGGAAATCAGTTGCAGTGTGCTGACCTATTCCCTTAGTGGAGGTGATATAAGTGGCATCACAAAATCAGCTTCCTTTTTTAATGCTCACATATCTTGACACTTATAGCTTATTACATCACATATTATCCTCCATCCAGATATTATCTGGAAGGTGGTCGAAGGTATTCCGTAGTCTTTCAGCCTCAGGATTCCAGGTTTTCAAAATTTTAAAGAGAAATCCATTCCAAATTTCCTTTGTTTAAACTATTCCAGAAACTGAAGTGCCTCTAAGTATAAATGACAGGATAATAGAACTTTAAGTCTTCCTTGCAGTGACTATTATGCTTTCATTTTGCACAGTAGAGCTCAAAATGCCTCACTTTATGCTGATGGTGAGCACTTTTAGAGTTTTTCATCTTCCTACAGTTAAAACATATGACAAAGTGGCCATTTGAAAAAGAAATGAAGGGGAAAAGTGAGCATGAAATTCACAGAAATTGAGACCATAATAAATACTAAGTAAGTACACTTCCATCTACATCTACTTGTAGATAAAATTTCAAATATGCTACACCAAGAGATTTGCATTGACAGATTACTTTTTGTTTAAAACTAGATACTCTGGGAAAAAACCAATATTCATAGTAAAGACAGATTGGAAATATAATAATCATCACAAATCAATGTAAATCAAATACATGTATGTATGTAAACATTTAATAATACATAAATAGTTCTGTAAAATATATAACTAAAGGAACTTAAATATTAAAAATTAATGTTTTTATTTCAAAATAATTTCTATATCCATTTGGGTCTGGACACAGAAAGCAAATTATTATGTATATAGCAAAATAAAAATAAAATAAAATAAATGCCCTTTCTGAATATGAACTTTAATCCTTAAATTAGTGTAATTTTATATTATAATAAAGGTAAAATAAAAATTTCATATAAATGTCCCTCTTATTAAAAAATGGAAAGAAATCAAAATGAAGCTAATTCTTTTAGAAAAAAATTATATAAACAATATAATAGATTTTTTTTTACCATAAGTGTACTTTCTACTGATAAACATGTAAAGTTAAACAGACAAAAATGAAAACAGTAATCATCATGTACCAAATATCATTTTGGGAAATCATATTAGAATTGTTTAAGGCAAACTACATTTTTAACTCTTGATTAAAAATAAATAGTGGCATCTTTGACATAAGTGGCCTAGTTTTTCAAATAAATTATTAAATATAATTAACAAGTGAAAGATTTTAAAAACGTTACATTTTAAAATGTATCTAAACACATATAACTAAAGAAATGGCATCTGTGTGAGAGATGAGGGATTCCATTTTAAAGATCAAGAAACCCACATCAACTAGGGTAAAAGCTAATGAATCAGTACAGAATTTAAAACTTGATTCAAAGTTTCTTTTAAGAAATGTATCACATAATGTCGAAATGATATAAATGATAATTCTTTATATTTTGTAATTGTTTCTACATCAGGCTAAGATGCTAAATCATCCTAAAGATTGGATATTTTGTAAGTGGTTATGTTATACTAAGAGATGTAAAAGCAAAAGCTTAATTATCATGTGATGATCTTTTATCATAGCTCAGTTTTGATTTGTAACATTTAATTTCGATTCATTTAGCTATAAAATATTTTATATTGTATTTTGATATCTTTTAAGCATTACAAACAGCATTAGTAATAGAAAGAGATTAAAGTTATTTGAATACCTGGCTTTATCATGATCTAGAAGTGCTTTGCGATTCGTTTTCCTGCTTTATTAACATTTATGGAATTCTTTGCACTAAAATGTCAGCCCCATAGTTTCATGAATCATTGCAAAAACATCAGGGAGTATCATTTATAATGTACAGCAATCCATTTTGATACATGAAAGTAGACCTGGTTGCAGTATGCCATTTTTGGATTCGATTTTCATGTAATTTGAGGTAAGTGCTAAATTATGATCTTGACTGATACTTACTAGTGAGCCAGTCGTGGCATTAAAGTCGATATGGATCAAAATGAAAGAACAGAAAAGAAAGGCATTAGAAATACTTTGATTTAATAAACAGGTTATACATAAAATTTTGTATTTTGGTATGCTAATTTTAATACCTGGACTTAATACCTGACCAAAGTGTACTTTCACTTTTATTTCCTTAGTAAGTCTTTCTTCAATTATCTTTTCCTGTATGGTCAAACATTCCAAGTTTTTTTAATGAAAATTTATATCATATAAATCTTATTTGAAAGTTTTAGAAGATGAAATATAATTCAGAATTCAGGAGAACTATGAACTCCTATGTCAAGTATCTAAAAATTAAAATAATTTTAACTTAATTATTTTATGAATATATAGATTTAGCATATAATTATAATTGCAACAGTTTTCTATTATAAATAGATATTCTGGTAATACTTCTTAACCTAATGCAATCCATCATGCATTTTTGAATGGTGATTTATTAAAAATATACTAAATATTGTCTTTTTTAAGTGTAAGATTTCACATACTACAAACTGCAAAACTTTACGTAAAAATTAGAGTTCAATAAGTATAAAAGAATACATTTTTAACTGAGTAATTTAGAATCTTTTCTATCATAAATCTACTTTTATAGGCATATTAAAAATCTAAATAGCAAAGGTAACACTCTGCAAATAAAATGGTTAAGAGATATGAATAAATCAACTGCGTAAAACATGTTGAGCTTTCCAGAAGAGAAATGTTAAACTGTTAATGTTTTATTGTGAATAACTAATAAGCTCACATCTGATAAGTTTTCCAGCTCTTAATATAATAACTTGTGTTATGGGATTATCAGTGATATAGGCCCACAACTAGACAAAAGATGTAGCCAAAAAAACAAATCTATAAATTCACTTGAGAAAGATCACAATGGGTTTTGTGATATTAAACAACTCTTTTCAAACTTTCCTTTATAAAATGTTTAAAATAACACTTGTTAATATAAAAAAGAATATGTAAACCATTAACAGCAAAACAATTACTGAGTACAATTAATCCATCATACAACTTAAGATAAACTAAAGATAAATAAACTGAAACATTTAATTACATTGCAAGAGACGAATAAGCTGGTTTTGACATTTCTGAATTTTAAGTATCTTCTCTGCCTAAATATAAGCTACTTGGTATTTTATTTGCATCTTTTTATACAGTTAAAACTCTCTTTGTTTAAGGGTTGAAGTAGTAACATTTAAATTAGTGTCTATTTAATTTAATAACTAAATCCATCAAACTATAGGCCTATTAAAACGATTTCATTTTCCTTGCTGGTTAATCTAAAGTGCTTAATCTTAAAATGTTAACTGTCAAAATAATAGACCTTTTTTCCCTCCATAAGAATAACTTGAATTTCTTACATATTTCCTGTCAATCATTCCATCTAAACTGGGTGTGCATAAATTGTTCCACCACTGTGACTCTCTCTTAAGTTTGTAAGTTTGGACAGTGTTACTCACCCCTACCACAAAAAGGAAATAAGATCATATTCTGAAATGGATTTACATTTCTATGCTTATAGTCAGAATGTATTTTTAGTGAGGGGAAGATCTGTTACACAGTCAAATAACTGTTTGAGAAAACAGAGTATTATGGAATACATCAATGTGTTAGGGATAGGAAGTAAAATACCACAGAATTTATTAATCAATGTTACACATACTTCTTCCTTAGGTGAATTTTTTGCTACTCAGGCCATTACCTTTTGTGTTCACATATTAGTAAAAGCTGCACTTTTACTTTTTTTTTTCTTTTTTGGAGCAAAAACTTTAATAGGCAAGAAAAAAGAAAGGAAGAAGAAAGCAGCTCCCTCGTACAGAGACGGGGGGGTGGATTTGAACAAAGAGAAAACCCCCCAAAGATGCACTTTTACTAAAAAATATTATCATTAATTCTTTGTTATATATCCTGGCATCCTATAATGTGTATGACTAAGTTCATGCATTGACATAAGCAAACACAGTGTTTCATTAATGAAAAGAAGACTTTGGACTGAGAAAAAGCCCACTGACATTGTCAGCCAGTTACTTCAGTGTTATATTCGAGGTGGTTTGATATTATTTTTTGTGTGTTAAACACAAAAGCCAAAATGTAAAAGTCACAGGACTACTTTAGGTCTTACAATCCAGAGTTACATGGTCTCAACAGTTGTTCTTTTCTATTTTAATTTAAAGCACTAAACAAGAAACTATTCACTAAGTTTTAGAGCTGCATTTTAAACAGGCCAGCCTTTGAATTTCTAATGTTTTTATGAAAGCTTCAATAAAAAGCTGTGGTTTGAAGTAAGAACATATTATAGTTTTGTAAGACAATTTCCAGTTGGTATAATGAGAACCCATATAATCTAATTGCTTAACCAGTAACATTCATTTTTACTATTATATAATCACCTATGTTCTAAGTAAATTTTTATTAAATACAGTTCCAATACAGATATTAGGAAACTTATTTTATGCTACTGTAATACTAGAACATTGTATAAGTGCTCAAATAGTTTTGTCAGGGCAATTCCCTTCCACGGGAATTTAAAAATTATTTGTGTCATAGATGAATGAGAAAACTTTAATAATAATCCATGAGACAATAACACATACACACACACACACACACACACACACACACACACACACACAAATGATCTAAAGGTCTTATTCAATATTGTATGCCTTTTATAAAATTAAGCTGATTCTCCTAGATTGTAAACTGGGATATAATTAAATACCAGAGTAAAAAATTGGGACAGCTACTGGAATTACAAAAATAATAATAAATTAAATAAAAGAATGGTTTAAGTCCTGGAAAAATTCAATCTAATGTTATAATTATAAAGATAGCAATGTGAGCATTATATAACACTAATAAGAATACTATGTAAGTTTTACATAAATAGAACTCAAAATAGGGGCTTAAAATATTTCCCAAATGTAGAATTTACCAGGTAAGTAAAGTGATAATTTTTAATTTAAGATATCTGGTTTAATTAATAATAATAACTTGTAACTTTAAATCTACAAGAGAGCCTAAAATGGGTCAGCACTGGATCAGTGTTGCATAGAACCTGACTTTAATTGTCATTTTAAAAAAATCAATAGAAAGCAGTGGTTCTCAAATTCTAGCAGGCATCAGAATTGGGCTTGTTGAGACTCAGATTAGGGTTCACAGTTTTTATTCAGTGGGCCTGTTATGTGGTCTGAGAACAGGCATTTTTAACAAGTTCCCAGGTGACACTCAGGCTACTGCTAAGAAGGCCCCATTTTGAGAACCACTTTCTGAAGTACAGCATAATGCGTTCAGCACTTTCTTTTATAAAGCCTATCATCACATTCTCAAAAGACACTTATTGACTCTGGAATCAAATATTAATGAATTTGGGAATTACATGCAAGCACTATCATTTTATAATCACTAAAACATATTTTCTGATAACTATGGATACACGAATAATTTGTCCTGGGATAATATAATCATGTTTCATTATAAATGGTATTATATAACTTATAATTGGTTATACAGTAACTATTGCTTTGATGTGAAAAAGTGAGTATGTTTTCCTTTTCCTAACTGGTGCTTCCTTAGTCTACTCAGTTCTGAAAGACTTTCCATACTTTAAAGGAAAAAAGAGAAGGCAAATCTACTTCTAGAAAGAACTTATTACTACATCTGTGACATGTAAGTATGTTCTGGTGAAGAGACAACAGTAAGGGCTTGTAGAAACAACCACTTTCATACAGTTTAATATTTAATATTAACAACATCCTAGTCTGCTCCTTGAAAGGAGGATGCTGCTTTACATTCCTTTGACTTCCCCACCAAGTCTCCAACAGCCTGAATTGTAAGAGGTCCCGTACATCATGGATGCTTCAAGGGCAAGGTCTGTTAATTATTCCTCAGTAGCCCCAGCAGTTAGAAGAATACCAGTTGCATAGTAGGTACTTAAGAAATGTTGACAGACCTGGACACAAACCTCATGAATAGTACATGCATAATGGATATTTAATGATTTACTCTGAAAGACATCCTAGTTCTTTTGAATATACAAGTTGCTTTTTCTCAGCAAGTTCATCCCTTGCTATAAAATAAAAGATGGGCTAGTGTAGGTGTTTGTATATTAAGGCAGATAACTTCACAAGTGTCCAACTGGCCTTATGCTACTAAGTTTGCCCACGTCTATGATACAGGAATTTTAATAAAAATGTTTTAACACTAAAACAAGTTTTATTGTGTACTTTTTAATAATTTAGATATGACTTTGTACACATAAAATATATTTTTAAAATATGCACATCATCATTGTTACTTGTAATATAAGCTATAGGTTTAATGAGAATAGAATGGTGGGAGACAAATTTTACTCTGTTATGGCTGTAAGAAGGAGCTTTATAACCCAGTACTAGGACTTCTGAGGCTTAAATCGACTTGTATATTGCCCCTAAAAATGTTTCTACTAATTTCTACTCCTAAAGTATATTAATTTAGATATTATCTTTGTTTTTTCATCAGCTCTGAGAATTGTATCCAAAAACATACGAGGGAATTAACTGCATCCATTCAGTGACAACTGCACCATTACAAAGAAAGGATAGGCATAAAACTCAATGACCAAAAAGCTATGAAGCAGTTCCCTCCTTCTCTCACTGACCGGTAACCCAAACACCCAGGAAAAAACAATTGCAGAATATAGGATATGTGACAGGGGTGAAATTGCAACAGCATCATAAGCCCAAATGTCTCGATAAAACTAAACTAATTTTTTCCTAATATAATATGAAAGACCACTAATGACAAAACACTTGAGTAATAGAAGTCATTCAGAGACTCAGAAAGAAAGAAAGAAAGAAAGAAAGAAAGAAAGAAAGAAAGAAAGAAAGAAAGAAAGAAAGAAAGAAAGAAAAAAAGAAAGAAAGAAAGAAAAGAGAAGAGAAGAAAGGAAGGGAGAAAGGGAGGCAAAAAAGGGGAAATAATAAGAGAAAAAAAAGAACAAAAAAAGAAAAAGTCCTACTGCTCTGCCTGTTTTTAATACTGACACCCCATAAACAAATCTGTCCCTGGGATATGATACAGAGGCCTGGAGTCTGTGACCTCCTTTCTGAATCTATCAGGAGACACAGCCCACACCAAAACACCAGGAGTGTTGCTTCTGCCAAATATCCTTTACTAACTTCAAAGAAAGAACGGGGAAAGAGCTGTAATAATGCTTAACACGAAATACTGCCTTTCTGCTTCCTTTCCTTTCCCCATAGACTGAATGAACTGTCATTATAAGACAACATACTGCTGAGTTAATGTAACTTAAAAATTTACAGCAGGTTGTATGCCTGGAGGCACATTATGGGGCCACCTGTAGGCATCTAATTCCAGTGAAAATAATAAATAATTGTGGAGCATTCCTCAGAGTCTAGAGAGAGTGGATAAGAATCGTGTTGCTTGTTCACTCCAACATGGATTCTGTTGTGGAGGAGGATTAGAGAACTGAACTCTCTCCAACAAATGAGTAATCCTTCTCCCCACAAAAGAGTCCGCTAAATGCTACACCAGACACCTGGGTGCCAGATCTACACAGCCATTTTTGTGCACTTCTGATAATCCACCTGCAGAAATTGCCACTTGGCAATTGCTTAATATAGCACGTTGATCCATTTGAGGACTTTTTTTAAACAGTAAAGAAAGCTATTTTGTTTGTCTCTCTGTATGCTGTTTATCTTTTTGAAACTCCTCCTCACATTTTGGCAAAGATAGTGACAGTAAGAATATCTGTGATATGCCTCCAATCACTTATTTGGGAGAAATTAGTATGTGTATTTTAGCAATGCTCAGCAACCTTGACCTTTTTTTCACTGGAAAGAAAAATAAATTTACTACAGAGCTGCTTTTTTTTTTTAAAAAAAGAAAAAAGAAAGAAAAGGCCAAAGGATTTGTTATCGTGCTTTTGCCACAAGGTAGGTGGGTTAGTATTTATCCTGTGACTACTCAGAGTATGCATGTTGTTTATTTTAGATAAGATAAAATATTCTAAGATAGAGAAATTTTACATATATGTGTGTCTATACATATATAACATGAACTTTTATTAAGCAGGTTTCAAAAGATAGTCTAATTTTTGTTCAGTTGGGTTATAAATTACTTATAAACTTTACTAATGTAGTCCTCATCTTACAGCCACTGCAAATACGGTTTGGGTTTAAAATCTATGACAACCTTTGATCATAACAATCACATGGTTTGGAATTAAGAAAACTAGATTGAAATGATCATGTAAGTAAGTAGTGAAGATTGGATGCTCGGTGGTATTCAGGTTCACATTTCCTTTCCATTTGTACTACACGAAGGGTTAATAAGGTTTGCATAACCTTATTCTTTGAAGGCTTTTTGGCAGAGGCAGACTATTTAAGGATTGCTGCCAAAACAGATTTTAACCCTTTTAATCATACTGTTAATAACCACATTGTGCACGGTACAGAGCATACTGCACATAAGGCAATATCACTCTGAACACAGTTTGACCTGATACCCAATCAAGGAAAGGTTCCTAGAGACGCTTGCCATTTTGGTTGCTATGGTGAGTTTCATATTTTGTGGAAACCACTGCTAGATGTCTTAAAATAGAACTTTGTCAAGAAAAACATTGGTCCAGTGGCATATGCTGGCAGAGCCTACCAAGGTTGCTCAAATTCCCTTCCTTTGTTTTTCACTCTCCCCACTGGGGCAACTGTTCCAAGCATCAGCCCACTAGTCTGGCAGGCAGAGAATCCAGAAACTTGCTGCTAATTACAATGTTGACAATTCCCAACCTGTTTACTGGCGCCAGCAATCAAACCGCATCCTCTCGAGTGAACCAAAAAGCACTTGCTGGCTTTAGCTTCCTGAGGTTCCAAGCTGGCTATATTAATTACTGTTAACTTAAAACTGTATGTTGTACAGAAGAAGCTTAATTAGCTGGTATGAGGATTAATATCTATCCTTTACACAATTTAAAACATTTTGTTCTTGGCCAAATTATGTGAATCCATAAAATATTTTTCTTTGGACAAAATATTGATTATTTTAGGTGTGGCTTCTCAGTGCCAATTTTTCCACTGGATTATTTTCAGTTGAGCAAGACAATAGATTTTAAAAAGTTAGTCTGTCTGTCTATCTACCTACCTATCTTGGGATTATATCTACAACCTTTTTAAAAAACTTTAGAAAGAGAATGAACATAGTTATTTACAGTTATTGTTTATAATTAATAAAATAGGAAAACCTATTAAATGGGATTAAATGGTCAAAAGGATATCAACTTTCTATCTTGATGAATTTAAAACAAAGATAGTTACACCATTTTTCTAGTGAACCCTCAATGCTATGATAGAGGAATGATTTGGTAGTCATATGGCACATAATGGTGTATGTATCAATGACAGGCTAGATATACAATGGTGATCCCATAAACTTGTAATACTGTATTCCTACTATACCTTTTCTATATTTAGAGTGTTTAGATTCACAAATACTTACCATTGTGTTACAATGGGCTACATTATTCAGTATAGTAACATGTGGCTGTACAGGTTTCCAGCCTAAGAGCAGTAGGCTGCCATACAGTCTAGGTGTATAGTAGGCTATACCATATAGGTTTCTGTAAGTACATTCTAGGTTGTTACTACAATGCCAAAATTGCCTAAGGATGTGTTTCTCAGAATGTATCCTTGTTGTTAAGCAACATATGTACGAGGAGCATGCTTCACGATTGATAAGTTGGTTGAACCCACAGTGCAAAATCACCTTCTCAAACCCCTAAATTGTTAGCATTGCAAGTAACCCAGATGTGGCAGTGGCAGACCACAATGCAATTTTCATAAATAGCACAACAGAAGTGAACAGGGTTCAATTGCAAAATTGAGAATTTTACTTTGATTCTGCCCTAATCCAAGAGCTGATCTGTCCCTGTTTATTTAACAAGATATCTTTGAACATTTAAAAAGTGAAGTAAAAGTAAATATAATTTTAAATTGTATATTAAAATGTGATTTTATTTCTGTTATTTGGTATGAGAACATCATGGGGTCACTATTATTTAACAATGTCACTTTAAATTTTTCATTGAATACACTGCATTACAAATGTTTTTGAATCCAATCTTTTAGTCAACATTTGCATTTGGAAGCTTATTAAACTGAGTTGATGTAATTGTGATTAACATTTCCCTTGTTTTACTGAAATATTTTCAACTAGGGTAAAAGGTCAAATTATTCCTTTAATTATGATTCATCTTCTGTTTCTACATTAAGATAGCCTATACCATTTTCCAAGATTTAAAAAATCATTAGTACAAGCACACTAGAGACCTTTGGAATCTGTTGATACATTCACATCTATATATACAATATAAGAATTTTTGAAAAGTTTAGATTACTTGGGTAAAATATCACTGAATAGTATGAAAAATATAAGAATTATTCTCAGATAATAGGAAGAGTAATGTGAGAAAAACTTCAACATTTAGTGAAGTTTTAGTGTGATGTATTAGAAAGAAAACACCCAACAAGGACTTAGAAAATGGGTTCCAAATATTATCTGGGTGTCCATGGAGAAGTTATTTGGATTCTCTGTGTTGTGAGGACTTCATATGGGAAACATGGGAATTGTATTACATACCAAAGAACTAGATCTGAGATAGAAATTTATAATGACAACTAACTATCATATGAGTTTACTATGAGCTTATCAAAGACTTTTGAAATTTTGTATTCCATGTGGTTATAGGAATGGAAAATAGTCATATTAAAGGCAAACCAATGATCAGGTGGAAATGTTACGTATTTGGAAATAAAGGCCAAGTTAGACAAGGACAAATGTGTCAATCTTCTCTATCTTTATCATGGTTAACTAACAAATAGATTTCCTCTCTAAAATCTAAATCAATTAAGTGAATAGGAAAAACTAAACTCTTGGTATCAGTATTTTATATCAGGAAATACTGTCTTAACAAATCCTCCTAGGTTACTTTACTTCTAGAGCATAAATTCAAGTATCACACATATGTTTTCTAATAGAAAAACTGTTAAAAAGGCTGTCTCTTTTAAGCCATATCCCCCTAGGCTCAATTTTCAGAAGTCTGTCTTTTCAGACTGATGTTCTTTCTTTTATTTGAGAAACATCCAGATTTCTTGCCTTTCTCAATTTTCTACAGATAAGCTAGGCTTACTTTATTCAGAGTTTATTGCTATTTTAATTGATTCAAATTTCTGTATCAGAGCATGACTTTGAAAGCAAGAACTCTGGGATACACTTGTCACTCATACTGTGAAAGAATCCTTCTACACAGATAAACTATATACAATCAATATTGAACACTACCCATCACAACAGGGTAAACGGTACCATATAAAGAACAAGACCTCTTCTAATGTTTCCTAAGATTTATATTTTTTCAAGGTGTACTGGTCCCAGCCACCAGGAATTTCATTATTGTTACTTTAATACATCACCAAAATCTGCACATTCTTCACTCCAGTCCACATCATTAACATTGTTACTTGCTATCATTGTCCCTTTTCTCTTGTCAAATTCAATTGTTATCTACACAAATCACCAAATGTAAATGTGAAACCGCCTCAAAAGTTTAATGTCACTCACTATTTTTAATAAACATAGCATTCACAACTAACAAAAACCTGCTTGTTTGTGATAAAGAATCTCCTTATTTTGACTCTGTTCTAATATATAATATTAAAACAATTTCAAAGCTGTTTTATGGACAACTACATCCAACAACAAAAAGGAACATGAGATATTTTAATAAAAGTGTGAATAAATGGCTTCCAAACCTCACACTCCTACCCCCAGATATATATTTGAAGGCAATTACTTTTGAAAGATTTGTAGAATTTTTATTGAACTTATTCTCAAAGTTTTTATTTTTTAATTAATTTTTCCTCCTTAAATCTCTATTCTTTTTATGCTTGCTTCCATTTAGCACACAAATCAGAGTCAAAGTTTTCAATGGACATAATGTTTTATACCCATAATTAAACTGAGAATGGATAGTATGTAAACTATCTGAATAAAGCAATAGCTGATAAACCATATTATTTTAATTTTTAGAGGATGGGTGTATTATTTTGTGATCAAAAAGTCAATTTATATTTACTATAAATTGAACCTCCCAGAGAGTCACACCTTTCAAATAAAATTGTAACTTAGTCTGTTTTCCTAGTAAATAATTTTTTAAAACTAAAAAACTTACACAGATCTTTAGCTTTGAAAGTATGCCTATCATAGTAATTATTATATTGCACAATGTGCATTTCTATTGATTACTTCTTAAAACTTTATAAATTCTTACAAATATTTATACATTTAATATTAAATAAATACATTAGGTAACATTCACATGGACTAAAATTTTCTATTTCAATAGTAGATTGAACAGATTCTTGGAGTTTCAAAAAGAATATCAGCTTGAAAGCAATGTTCCCATGGATTTTTCCGTTATTTAAAAGTTATATCAAATAATCAGAGAGAATGTATTTTCCTTCTTGGCAAAGAATAACTGCACTATTAGTAAACAATTAAAGAATTAAATTTTATGTTAACATTAAATTAAACAAATATATGCTGTATAACAATCATTTTATATAATAGTGACTTTAAATAATTATGAAAAAATGTAAAATTTATATTCACGTATGCCCCAAAAGGATATCACTGCTTTCACAAAATTCATAAATATTTTGAGCACCTACTATGTGCCAAACACTGGACTAGGTATTTTAAAAGATTAACCATTTTAGAAGAATTAAATATCCTCGACAATTATTGGTCCTTTTAACAGAATGGAAAAAAAAACCAGTAATTTTCATGCCGTTCCAAATATTGTAATTGAATTTAATAGCATAAACATTTACACAAGGAGTAAACATTTTTAGAGGCCAAGTGTTCATGTTCATTCTTTATCCACTACAATCATATACATCAACTTTGAATGGAGTTGTTTGTGATTTGGCCTCATTAGGCTAAAATGCTTATGAAGATAGATCTGCGGTTTGAGTAGCTTCAAATTTATTATACAGATGTACATATACGTGTACTCCCATGCTAACACATTAGAATGAATCTGTAAAGCATTCTTTTGGGGCTTTTTTCCCTACTAAAACTTCAAATAAAAAATGAAGCATGAAAAAGCAACAAATATTTCCATGTGTTTCATGCTTTAAGAATTTAAGTAAAAATCTTAAGGACCATTTTATTATTTAATACTAAGACAAAATGTTGGTGAATACTTTTTAAAAGCTTCTGTCTTAGTTGTGATATCAGTTGGCCCACCATCTTTACATGAAATGAAGTGTAGAATTCATACAAAAAAAAAAAAAGGCTTTCTTTGAAATGGAATCCTAAAGAGGTAAAAAGGCCTTAAGCGAATCTAAATCTAGCCCTTCTCATGGATGAGACAAGTGAAGACCAGGCAAGCTGTGTGATAGGTCCATTGTCATAGTTCACAACAGAATCTGTACTCGAAAACAGATTTTCTAGTCTTATTCCAAAGTTCTTTCTACCACAGGATATACCTCACTCCTTAAGTATCATGTAATTGAGGGACAAAATGAAATTTGAGATTTCTCCGTGTAAGAGCCTCAATTCTCAAATTTGCTTTGTCTCAGTAAACACCAAAGCCTATATAAATAACAGTTATGGAAAAAAAAACATGAAACTGGATCCATAAAGTAATCATTCTATAACTTTAATTCCTGTGTAGTTATCTGTAAAACAATCCAGGATATTTGGAAGTCTTATCATGATATATTTCTATTACAAAGGAAAAGGTCTTTTTCTTATATCTGCTTCTGACAGAATAGTAGGCATGACCTTCATTCATTCATTCATTCATTCATTCTTCTTGGAATCCAAAAACTAATGGACTATTTGGCAGATATATAAAAAACTATTTTAAATGAGTAATTTTTAGTTTATCTTGAGACTTCTTTGAAACAGTTATTGAAATTGACTACACTAGCTTAGAGAGACAAAAATAGGCTTCAATTAATACTCACTCATGTATTGAATACAAATTTTAAAAACAAAATTGCAAGAAATATCAACTTTCCAATTAAAATGTATCATTTTTATAAAAATAATCTTTTCAGAAAAAGTGTTTCCAAAAAGCACATATTTCATTCAAGTTTACAAATAGACCCTACTTTCAAATTATGCAATTATGTCACTATTGTAATATAATTTGTCAACTTTTTAAAAAGCATATTATAGTACAAATTTCATTTGAACTGGAAACATAGTATTAATAGATTCCAGCAATATGTCTTTTTTAGTTTGTAATTTAACTGAATGAGATTCAGTATTGGTTTTAAATTAATAAAGGCAATAACCCTTATTTAAAATCTTTGAACTGCATGTTTTAGAACTCGTAGGTTTTTAACATTTGGTTCTAGTTTGATCTACTATATATATATATATTTTCAAATACTATGAGTCTCAAAGGGCTTTTCCACAAATAAAGCAAATGAAGTGTTGTCTTTACCCTTGCATATGTATTATAATATTTTAATTGTGTTGGAGATCAGACTGCCTTGCTTAGCTCACATTATTATTAGCCAGGATGTAACAGAACCCAGAACTCACAAGATACAGTTGGTAATAAATTTTTAAGCTGGTCAACAATACAAACATACAGATACACTGATTTTATTGTTAGGCTGCACTCAACAAACTCAACTAATTACTGGGTAACAAACACATTTCAAGAAATTTAAAATATTATATCTTTTTAGCTTATGTTTTTTGGATGAACTGCAGTGTTTCCTCAACTAAAATGTTTATTTTATACAATCATGCAAAATGTTTTCTAGACTTAAATGCAAGACTTGTAAGTCAAGATTTAAAGTATAAGCACTAAGATAAAAATCTGAAAACATTTAAAAAACAAATTGTACTACAAAGCTATTTGCTTAAACTCTACTTACCATTTGTGTATATAGCTGTACAGCTATCAATAACTAAATTCAATAGCTAAATGATTTAAAAGTCTTTAAATATTCTGATGTCATTATTATATTTTTTCTTCTTACGGAAAATATATCCAAAAGAAATTTACTTTTAAACAGTAAGTCTCCCATGCAGAATACACTACTTTCCAACACAGTAAGAACATCATTCTGTCATTTCCGTGATACAATGGTAGCTGCACCTGTACATATTGACAAGATGGTGAACAACTGTGATGGCCTTATGCTGTCTTTCCTTCTATGTCCTTAGCACTTCTCCTCTGTCTTACATAAAACACAAAAATGTTTCCCAATATACCCATCATCTCTAATTTTGTTGTCTATTTTTAAATTTGAAAATTTCTCATGACTAATGTGGAATATAATAAGACAAAAATTGATAATAGGGTTTTTGGAATATTCCTTCCATCAAAATGCTACTTCATCGTTGCTTGCCTTTGCTTGGACTTTCACTGGGACCTCTGTTCTGGTTCTAGATTGGCATTGCTCTGACACCAAGAACCACATCATTCTAGGGCTCACAATGGCCTCAGGGAAAGTTCATGGGGTTGTCATAATGCTCTATGGATCTTTAACCACGAATACCATCACCACTCCCCACAATTTTATTCAAGCAACAACATCAGAACAGAATTCACAAATACAAAGAATAAAATAAGCAAATTTTCTGAAAAATGCAGTTTCTATCAAGCTACTTACTTGGGACTCAGTAGCAAATGACCAATCAAGATGATGTTTCTTATGCTTATTAATGAATATTATAGTATAAAATTGACCATTTATAGACATTATATAAATTTAAATGGGCGACCTAAAATATCCCACTTATATATCATAAATTGTATTCATAAATTCTGAGTATTTAAGCAGGATTTATTAAAGTAAAACTAGTGGACATAAGTAATTTTCACAATTTGTCTCCCTCCTCCTTTACTGTGCCCTCAGTATTGTCAAATGAACAGCTTAAGCTGAATCCATGTTCCTTTTTTCAGGAAAAATTTCTATCACCTTTGTAAAGCAAAAGAAATATTAGAAAAGGCTGCTTACCCTTCTAGTCTTAGGACATCAATTGAAAAGCCATCCAAAAATTATGACTACTTAACACTACTTGGATCTAGCATGAAATGCACAAACAAGCATTTTGTACTTCTTTAATCATGGCTATGGACAGTGACAGGGCAAAAGCAGTCATTGACTAGTGGTGACATAATTTAAAATTACTTTTTCTGGGAATAAAAAAGCTGTCTTTAACAATAAAAATTAACTCCAGTAATTTCAACTTAATAAAGTTTTAATTTTTCCCACTTTCTTATCTTAAAAGGTGTGATGATGGAACATTTTCACCCCTAACTTAAGTAAGAACCAGTTCAGACTGACACCTAATGGAAACTATTATAGGAAAATAATTCTGCAAAGGAAAGAAAGCAATGAGATAAGTATTTAAACAACAACAACAAAAATACTTTCAGTTAACTATGAGTAGAGGTTTCCTTTAGATTTCATCACTAGCATTTGCAATTATTCCATTCTCAACATTATTCTTCCTCTATGAAGCAACTGCAATAAATTTGCACAAAACTGAATAGAATAGCTTATTTTTCAAAAGTTCTTCCTCATCTCCTCAACAAATGCCAGAGTGTTACATCTTCTGTTTCTCACAAACTCTGTCACCAGGACTTCAGCTCTCTTTCTTCCTTTCAAATCCTAAACACTTATTATTTAGCCAACCAGCATGAGGCCAACTTTCCAGAGACCACCTAGGAACTAGAGTATGTAGCTTCTACTTTTCTAATTTCCCAAGGAAACAATGCCACCAGTAGACATATTGCATTTTGTTAAATACATAACAAGCATAATATTTAAAAGCCCTAAATCACCAACTGGTAGATCCCTAGAGAAAAAAGGTAATTCATGGAATAATGAAGGAAAGAACAGGAGTTACATATTCTCTTGCTGGTGATAGAATGTCGAATGCAAAGACAGCATCTGTGTTTTCTTTCCTACTTCAACTCATTCTTAAAATGGACTCGCCCCCGGGAGCTTCTGAGAAGGGCTCCACCCGTTCCCTGCAGACGACAATGTTCTTTGAGCGCAAAAGCTGTGAGTATAGATACCCTGGGAGTAATTGTGGGATCAGACACAATGGGGTGGGATTAGGGGTAGGCAGAGGGTGTGTGTGGAGTACCCTTCACTGGGAATCCTAAATATTAGAAGAAAGGCGAAACCCTAGGTGGGGAAGCATGAGAGTGTGCCTGCTTCCTTCAAGACACCTCGGTGTCAGCCTCTCCAGGGTTCAGACTGCTCTTGTGGGCAAGAGCCCAGTGGGGCACACGCACTTCGTGCCTGAGAAAGGCCCATCCTCCAGGGGGAGAAGGTATCTGAGATGTAGCTCAGCTTAGAGCGGTCCCAGAGCGACAAGAGGGAGAGCTTCACAGGCCTCTAAGTTTATTTGATTTTTCTCCTGCAGTTTCCATTTCTCAGGAATTCAGTCTTCGTGCGTAGCCCGTGCACAACCAACGACCACCACGCAGGGAGGAAACCTGGTCTTAGTGTTTGGCCGCGCTAGTGGAATCTTCTGGGCGCCTGGTACGTTCTTGTCCCCAGCACTCTGTCCTTCCACCTTTGAAGCGCCTTGATAGGACGGTCCCAGATGCCTCACAAGAAGGAAAGGCAAGGTGCAAAGCTGGCAAAGCTGTGTGGTCCGACGCTGGCGAGAGCTGAGACCTGGAGCCCCAGCCCACGCCTTCCACTCTGGGTCATCCTTCCCAGCTTCATCTTGGGCATGCCAACTCCTGCCACGTCCGATTGTCCCCAGGAGTGCCCAGGCATGCTTGAGGGGTGTGGTGGCGGTGGCTTCCTCTTCGCTAGGAGGTGACAAATCCGTGTTGTTTTATCGTCCATTAATATTTGAAACAAACAAACAAACAAACAAACAAAAACTCTAAGTAGAAGGAGGGAGAGGCTCTCTCTTGCTCCCACGCCTTCGCAGCTGACCTGAGAGGGGGGACGTGCCTTGCGTTTGTTGGTGTTTGAGACTCGTCCTAAAGGCAGAGGCAGGGAAGACAGCGCTGAAGAGGCGTCCCAAAGAGATTGGACGTCTGAACAGTCACTGCCTGCCCCAACCTCTTTCAGGAAGGTTCCAGGTCTGTGCCACACTGCAACCAATCCGGTTCCCATCCTGTTTCTCCACCCCTTCTCGGAGAATCCGAAAAGAAAATATGCGTTCCTGAGAGACCCGCCACACTTCCGATCTGGAAGTTCCGCGGGGACCCAGCCCCCGGGCCCCCGCCCCCTCCCCATCTCGGCCGCCAAGTCTGGTTGCGGAGCAGCGCGGCCGGCCGGGGGTGGGGCTCCGGCACCGCCCCGGGCTCGGGATTCGCGAAGTCACGCGCTTCCGCAGGCTTGCGGGGGCACCTTCGCCCACGGACACGCCCTTTCTGCGGAGGCAGCCCCCAGCGACCCTCTGCCCAGCTTCGGCGCCTCACTCGCGACGCTCCCAAACTGCTCAAGGCCTTTCAGTCGTTCCCAACTTTAGAAAATCGCCCCGTCCGCGTCTCTCCCTCCAGCCGCACCCCACCGTGGAGAGGAGAGGAGCGGACTGGGAACGCCGAACCGCCCCGCAGGCTCGGGGAAACGGACCCCCTTCCGCTCCCCGCCCATCCCCTTCACCTCGCCCCCCGCCCCCTGCGCGAACCCATTTTCCAGTCCTGGTCACCAGAGGCGCAGCGCACAGCCTTTCCGGTGGAACCAGTGCGAAAACACCCGAGGAAATGAAAAGAACAAGAAAGTGCTACCTTGGCAACCACGGGCGTTTAGTGGCCAGCTGGTGGGCTGGGGAGGGCGGCCGCTGCCCCCCTGCCGCTGGTACTCTCCTCGACTACGCGTATTCTTAAGCAATAACAACGTAATCCGTATTATCCACCCAAGAATACCCGTCACCGAAGAGAGTCAGAGGACCAAGCTGCCGCTGCCGCTGCTACCGCTGCCGCTGCTACCGCTGCCGCTGCTACTGCCGCCGCCGCCGCCACCAGAACTCTTGCTGCTCGCTGAGCCCGCCCCTGCCTGGGGATGGGCTGAGCTTGACCGGGACCATAAATCCATAACTCGATTTCCCTAAAGAAGGATCCAAAGCTGTGCTCGGCTGCTTCCTGCCCAAATCCAAATGGCCGCTCTATTTCCAATTCTGAAAGACAAATCACAAAATCAAATACTTAACACAGAAGAGTGCTGTCTTTCCAGTGAGGAGGGAAGATGTGGCAAGGCTTTTTGGGCACAAGTGGGAGTGACAAGTAACCTTCAGTTTACCTGGTGCTCTCCCAGTGCTTTCCTCTGCACTTCTCTGCTTGGTACCCAGTCTGGTCTCGGCCAGTCCACTCTAGGTGGTATGATTGAGTGCCATGGCGGCCAGAGAACCCTGTAAGAGACGTGAATAGTTACCCACACAAATACAAATATATTTGCCTAGACGGCTTTGGGAAGAAGTGAGGCTTAAATAAAGATAGGTCATGCATGGGTGAAATTTTCAGTAGTGTGTTTTGGAAATGCACTTTTCTCAAGCCCAAGATCATGGAAAATAAACACTCATTCAATTTACTACTTGAAATCAAATACTTATAGATGTACAAAAATAGGCGTCTTTCCTTTGAAGGCCTTATAGCTATACAACATAATGATTTTTAAAGAAAAAAAAAAGCTTGAAGGCACACAGTAATTAAACCCATTTTCCATAGTGTCAAAACTCACTGAGTTGACAAGCTGGTAGACTTTCTATGATTTAAGCATCATTTTATATCACTACAATGTTTAATTTCATAGCACACTTTTAAAATATATACTATAAATGCATTGCTGTACAGCTGTTGTGGACACCTCTACAGAAAAACCTTTGAAGCTCTGTGTTCATAAATATTATTTTAAGAAGAAAAAGCCAATAAAAACTCATTTGCAAAGTGACTGTAATTTTGGCATTCAGAGAGAGAATCTCTGTGATTCTTTGATGATCAATATGGCTCTTACTGGAAAAGCTTTGTCTTAAGATCCTGCAGTGGATATTCTGATAATGGGGGTTTATTGTTCACTAAATAAAATGGACAAGTGCAACGTCACTACCCAAGACATGGTGTAGCTTCCTTAGAAAGTTCTCAATTTGCTTTCCCCTTTACTCTCAAATACATGAAAGTACATCCATGTAAGGGGAATGGGGGGGAATATGGAAACATGGCAATAGACATTATGATTTCCCAAATTATGTAAGTGCAAATAGCTCTTCATCAAGGAGTAATTATATAACAGAATCTCTCCCACTACCACAACTCATCTCTAACTGACCTGGTTGCAATTTAAGGTGCTTAGGTTGTGTTTGCTCTTATTTTTTTAAAAATTATAATACTTCTCCGGGCACACCAACTCATCATTTTCTTGACATGTTACTTACAGATGGAAAAATCAACATGAATTCTAGGTTTTATGAATAGATGTTTAATATATAATGTCTGAACCTAAAATAACTAGAAAGAAAACCAATATAGCCCAACTACCAGACTGTTTTACATTATTTTCAGATAACTCTTAAGTACACCACTTACAAAAGGACAGATACCAATAAAACAAATAAATAAGCACTATTTTCTGTTGTTACCTAACATAGGTATAAAGTGGAGCTTTTCTCTGGTGCTAGACAAAAAAAAAATTCAGAAAGCTGACAGGTTCTCTTCAGCTTGAACTCCTAGAAACAAAAGCCCTTAGGGAAAGTAATGCAATAGTCTATGAGCAAAGTGTACATTTGCTTCTGCACTCTTCTATTTAAATCTCAACTAATATTAAAAGGAAAACAAGAAACACACTATACAGATAGGCTTGGATTTAGTAAATGGAACGTTATAAACTCAAAAGGATGGTCAAGGGAGGCACACACACACACACACACACACACACACACACACACCCCAATACACAGGGCATCAGAATCACAGCATAAATACCCACACAGCTTTTCAATGCTTTCCAAGTAGTCTCCTTCAGTTTTGCTTCCTCACAATTAAAATAAAATATATACACACACTGACCCACAGACTCGCACGCTTTAAGAAACTAGAACAACGCAGTTGATATGCTTTCTTTCTACCCAAGTAGCAGTGCCAGCCTTTTCCCTACCTACCCAATGTTCCACCAGCTTCAGCACCTGGACGAATGGACAGCTCAACCCGGGCCGACTGCCGGCAGCACTCGCAGCAGAACTGACGCTCTGAGCTCTAACCAAAGCTCTCTCGTGCTTGAGCGGGGCAGCCTGACTTACGAGAACACCATTTCCTACGAGACCACTGCCGCTGGGTGCATATTCAATTCAAGCCTCCTTAAGCTGTCGGATTTCCCCCACCCATCCACCCTCCCCCCCTTCTCCACCCTCCACACAAAAACAAAAAAGGGAAAAAGCCCAATACCATCAGGGCGTTTGTTGATCAACTTACACTTCGCTTTTGAATATTTAGATACTGCTAGCGGAACAATATCAGCGGAGGCTTAGGTCCGCATTAAGTACCTTTGTTCATCGACTCCTGCAAGCCATGTTTATTAGAATCTACATTTCTCTCGCGCCCCAATAACTAGAGGTGTGTTTTGCGGGCAGGGGGCTTTCAGCACCTTTTGATCTCTCAAGGCCACCGCGACTGATTGACGGTTCCCAGTACTTTCCTATGCTATCCCCCATACTCCAACACCCATCCCAGTTAATCGCTTCGCAATTTGCAACCAAAAATACATAAAGAAACGCGACAAAGCAATGGGTTTGAGGAAATAAGCCAATTAAGCTAAAGCTGAAATGCCTCTCTCTCTCTCTCTCTCTCTCTCCCCCCCTTCTCCCTCTTTCTCTTCCCCCTTGACTCCCTCCCTCTCCCTCTCTCCTTCCCTCTCAAGTAGAAAGGGGGAAACACCAAGGAGAGAGAAAAAATCGGGAGGAGGGTGGTAGTCGACTCTTACAGTCAATGGAAAAAGAGTATACACATCTTTACTGAATAATACTCTCGTTCTCAGACAAAAAGAAACACATTTTTCGATGTAAACATAGTCTGCCTCTGCCATACATCCTACATCCTTTACGTTTGCTGAGATTTGTCTTGCTGTATGGCAAAGTAACTGTCACAAATCCATCTCGATTGAAGTGCTTACCCTCTAAATCCAGGTTTCAAGCGGAACTCCAACTGTGTGTAGAAGCCAGGGAGTCATCTGATGTGCAGTGAGGTAGGCTCTGGGCAGTGTGAGCTGCTTCTTCTCTCCGAGTGCCGGGTTACAGTGTTAACAAGCCTTGGGAAGGGACCTCGGCGCCTCGCGCTGGCTGTGCCCCAGTGCCTTCGCGTGGTGGCGGCTTGCTCATGCTTCCGAGGAGTCCCAGGCGATAGCCTTCAGCTGATGCGAGCTTCCAGAAAGGAGTGGGGAAGGGAAAAAATCATCTAATGCAATCAAATCGATCTGATCTACACCATCTGTCGCCTGCCACTATACACAAACGTTAAAATAGGAAAACGGAAAACACTGACAGCCGAGAGGGTTGGTCTGCAAAGAGTTCATTTTTAGCAGAGCATAATTCGATATGGTCGGCGTACAGTTACAAAAGCTGCTGTTAACCATCCAGTAGTGGATCCCAAACATGCTAATGGTGGATTAATTGAGGAAGATCTGACGTGCAAGCTTCATAGTCTCTTATTCATGACTTCCCAATGGGAAAGGACCAATGCCTTGTGGGACTATGGTAACATACAGTCAAAAAGCTGCTAAGAAAATGGCTGTGTGTTCACAGCACCTCTCTCTGATAACAAACATATGTCGACTAAAATGGTTTAGTAGAATGGGAGGGGGTGTTGGAGAATAAAATTTTCTTTCCCCGTGTAAGCAATCCCCATTTTCTTTTCTTAAAGAAAAGCAAAAACAGATATGATCTCTTTACCATAGTGGGGGGAAAAGGATGTTTTAAAAGGTTTTTATCAAGATCAAACTCTGCCATATAAAAGAAACGGAACACTCCTGTGCAGCAATTCTTTAAAAAAAAAATCTATTCTCATTTTTTTCCTTACTGTGATCAAAGTAGATCCATAGCATGTGCAGTATACAGAAACTCAGTCCAGTTAATCCCACCAGGATTGATTCAAGGTTGTTTAATGCCAGGTACCCTTTTGACTTCTTAAAACCAGGATGCCTTTTGGGGAAGGCATTTTGTATCATTTAAAATTGACATAATGAACATTAAGTATGATTGCAGTGAGGAGATGAGAAGAGTTTTCCTTTCTAATTCTGTAATTACTCTCTCTAGCCAAAACCCCTTTTGGTCTGTTTCCAGTCTTCCCAGATCAGTTGATGGGGAAATATAGGGATGGGGGAGGGAGTGGAAATACCGAGAAGGAGGGAAAGAGAGTGTGGATTATCGATAGCCAATAAATTCTATTCCACTTGTAATAGAAAAATATATAGCAATAAAAGAGATAACTCACTAATTGTTGATCGTGATTTTAAGTTTAAACCAGTTTTAAAAAATAATGTTTGATACATGGAAAGAAGACATATTGCAAACAATGGGATGACTGCCCCCCACCCATTTATAGTTATAGGTTTAAAAAATATTGAAATAGGGTTTATTATCTAGATATGTGACTATCTTTTATTAAATATATCTCAAAATTCCATATTTCCTCTGATTTTTGTCATCCATTTGAACACTGAAAACTATGGTCACTTTGATTCTGCTGTCTTTTCTTTGGTAACATACATTACATAAATTCTGTAGTAAACAATTAGTGTTCAGGAAAATTCTAAAGATGAATGTGTCTCCTAAAACTTTGATAATCTCTTTAAGGAAAAAAAAACCTAACAGTTATGAATTAAATTAGTCTAAAAATATAGCTTGAAGACAAATCAAACAATTTACCTGATCTTTTGTTTCAATATACATTAATTAAGCACTCTTTCCAACCTACACAACATTCCAGGGTCATAGTCAGATATTCAAGTCTAATAGTTCAGCAGCCTTTGTTGTCATTCGTGTCAAGCTATTGCCCCCTGCAGGTTAGGCTGAAAGTGCAGGCAGAATTTGGCCAAGTCCTCAGGAAATTGATGGTACACAAGTTACTCAGTCTCTCCCAATATTTAACTAGAGTCAACTTTTTAAGTTTGCTTTCATTATGGTTTAAACTATTTATTTACAGATAGGTAGTACATTAAGAAAAATGCTCTTTAAAGATGTGACTTCAGTTTTTCTTCTGAGAATTTAGCTGCATTGAGTAAACCATCCACTTTGTTGTGATACAAGGAGCATTTTGACACATTTAGTATAGTTTTCTTCATCTTCCCTTATCCTTATTCCATAAGATCCAGCAAAATTAAAAAAAAAACATATGTAACAGGATTGGAATTATGAATTCTCATAATAAATATATAGCCCTGGGCAATTTGATATCAGTATGCTTTTGGTAGACTCAATGAAGTGTGTGCAAATCAAACCATTTCAGATTCTCCCTGCTCCTGATATGATGAGGTCAATTACACCATTTATCTTGATTATAAAATTAAACATTATTTCAACCTCCATATTCCTGCTATACTATCATCCTTTCCCACAATCAACTTTTCCAAATAGGGCACCTTGCCAAGATGAAATAAATTTATAATTGACAGAATAGAAATTAAATTACATCAACTCTTTCACAATATTAGAAAGTGGAGCAAGTTTATAGAAACGACTTCAGAAGGTTTATGGAAAGATTCTTTTATTCTTTGGAAGTCAACGATGTGGCTATTCACACTGAGTTGTAAAGAAACCAGCAATGGTATTTCCCTATTACATAAATATTCATCTCATTGAGCAGTGGGATATCATTATGTGAAATATAATCAATTCTAACACCAAATTAGCAATCAATAAGAATCTTACCTAGTCAAATTATAGTATTATTTCAACATTGTATGAAAGTAGCTAGAAACATGAACCGCACTTTGTTTTTTTAAAGCTATTATGAAATGCTCAATAAAGACTTAAAGTTTACTGGCAAAACTTGGGTCTTTTTTGGAGGATTTTTTGTTACCCTAACTACTGATATGTTTTCTGGATCCTCCAGAATGGACATATGGGATAGGAACTGAGGATAACTGTGTCATATTTTAAACAATATTAAAAACACAACAAGCCAACACAAACTAAAAATAACCTGAATACTTATCTCTGTTTTATTACATTTTCAAAGCTTGTTAAATTTCAAGAGGACACTACATCTATACATTAAGAGCTTTGCATCTACAGTTCATTAACACTCCTGCTCCAAGTAAAGAGGGGATTTGGACTAGGTTGTGAGACTATTAATTGCACAAATATGTTGTAGTCAGAGCAGTGACTGGTTGCCTGCAGCAGCCATTTCTAGTTGTCTTTGAGTATGCGTCTTTTTTTTAAAAAAGTCATCTCCTCTTCAAAGTCATATCTCACATATATATGATTATACTTGATTGTGTGTACTGAAGCACATTGCTATTGAGTCAGAAATTTTCAAGTATCTTGATTCAAATGACTGTCAAATACCTAAGAACAGAGTTGCTTTTAATTAGCATGCAGAAAAGAGAGATGATATTTGACCTGTGAGTCTTAATCAAGGGGAATATTTTTAAGTTCTCCCATAAACGATGTAGCAGATTGCTTGCAAGTGCCTTGAAAAACATAGTCCTACTTCTCCTCCTACTATCATTACTATTGTTCTAACAATTTCTAAAGGATCAGAACAGAGTTCTAGAAACCCTGTAATGCTGTTATTGCCCGGAATCCTGGGTTATTAAACATTCTTATCCGCAGAAGCAAAGGACCATCCAATCCTATTCATATGCATCCTATGACTCAACTCAGTTTCCACTTGGCGGGCTGTGTGTGTGTGTGTGTGTGTGTGTGTGTGTGTGTGAGAGAGAGAGAGAGAGAGAGAGACAGTGAGAGAGAGAGAGAGTGAGAGAGAGAGAGAGAGTTCATCCTGAAAGCGCTTATGTTTCCAGAGGTTTTCAAATGCAAATGGAGTGGGAGTGGTGGTGGCCGTGATGGAGCGTACTGTGTGGGTGTAGGGGGATTTGGGGAGAGGGTGTCGTGGGCAGTAAGTTTAAACAAATTCAAGGCCATTACTACCACTGCAGACCAAAATAACTTAGGTCTGAGAGACCCCCTTAGAAAGATACAATGCCTTCCTCATCTAAAGGGAGCTAATACCAGAGTGATCTCGGCGCTCGCGCAGTTTTGAGAGAGGGTCCCGAAAACCGCCGGAGGCCAGGTGTCGCGGACGGGCCCCGGGCTAAACTCTCGTCTGGCGAAGTGAAGAGCGCAAAGTCTCCAGGCCCAGCGCGCCTTCGCGGGGCAGGCCGGACACCCTAGCCCCGGGCCGGGCTCGCTCTTCTCTGAAGCCCTGGAGCGGGCAAGGGGCACCATTCTGGCCACAGGAACTCTAGTTTCAGCAGCCGCAGCCCGCCAGCGCTGGCTCGGACCGGGGCCTCCTCTGGGAGAGTAGGAGAGCGAAAAAATCAACCACCACCTTGGATTTCAGATCGAGGAAAGGAAGCCAAAGCAAAGGTGTGGTTACACAGGACATCCATAGACAAATCGTTGCCTCTCTAAGTGGGCCTGAGCTTTGCGGCTCCAGAAGCGCGAGGCGCGGTTGGTGCGGACGCGGGGGCGTGGGAGTCATCGCTCTCCCCGCAGCCCTGGCCGAGCTCTCTGCTGTCCTCCCGAGTTTGGGCCAGAGACCACGGCTCACTCCCTAACGCCCTCGCAAGGACGGCTGCCCGTCGGGCCAAGGGCGCCCCGGGCTGGAGGCCGGAGCAAGACGGCCCCGCGGGACTCGGGAGCCTTGGTAAGGCGGAGGCTCAGACCCCGTTCACGAAAACGCCTGGCTCCTCCAGGATTTGTCAGGTCTTAAGCAGCTCCGAGAAGGCTCCGCTGGCTCTTGGGGAACCCCGCTGTGCGGCTCACCCCCGTTTGTCTCTCTCAAGCTCTCGCCCTCCTCCCCTGGTCCTCCCTTCTCCAGATCCCCTGCCCTGCCCGAGGTCCGGGCCGCGCGGGCTGAGCCCAATACGCCCGGAGAAGAGCGCCGGAGCCCCCTGCTGGCCGGACGCGGCAGGCGCGGCGGCCCGCTCGGTCCCCTCCGCCCCGCGGGCTCTGCCCAGCCCGGACCCGCCTCCACCCTCCAGTGCCCTGGCGCTGGGGGCGTGCTAAAAGCAACAGAAAACAAAACAAAAACAAACAAAGCGCCAAACCCCACTCTCACCTCTTCTACTGGTCAAAGGTAAGTGTGAGTTCAGCCTCTCCCTCGTGCGTCTCTGACCCTTCTCTGGTTCTCTGGGCTGAGGTCTGAAGGAGCCAAAAGGGGCCCCCCTGAAAAAGAAATTATGGCCGCTTTTTAGAATATGTTTTCCAAGCATCAAAATCTCTCTCTCTCTCTCTCTCACACACACACATATATATACACACACACACGCACACACTTCAAACCCACACTTGCCAGTCTGGAAGAGCACTACCGATGTGCATGTTTCTGGAAGCATTTCCTTAGCTATTGGAGGAAATGTTTACTAATATTTCAGGTTGTAGACACCAATAATTATTCTGTGAATTGGGGAGAGGGAGGGTAAAGGAAGACAGATTCCTCTTAATTTAACCCTTCCTCCCGTATCTGAGTGTGAATCCTACTTTCAGTCCCAAGTCCTAGCATGGGCCGAAAAGTTTTCATTCTTATACTGAGGAGGAGAGAGAGAGAGTTATCCATTTCTGCGAGGTTTCCTGTGTTCCCACCCCTCACTATGGAACTGGGGAAGTGATTGTTTTGTTTATCTAGACAATTCATGACTTAGTTTTGTATGGCGTTTTGAAACTAGTTTAACCTTGAAATAGGCTATATGCTTTGAGTGGTACAGTGAAATAGGCTGTGTGCTTCTCTGTTCTCAGGAAAAGGTTGTTAGAAATCACAATGTTTCTTTCTATTCAGGCAGCCTTGAGTTAGAGATGGGCATAGTATGCTATGATTATTGTGACTTTTAGTAAAGTCTGTTGCCTCTGGATGTTTACTGTCTTTGGAGAATGATAGTTTTTTAAGAAAAAAATTCAAAAGCTTAGGCAAAAAATAAGTATAGATAGGTCTAGTAAGTGATCAGTACTATTAATATTTGCTTCTACTTTCTTCACACACTCTTCTGGGGAAAGAAGCCAAAGGACTTTTTTTTTACTGTCCCCGGAATTAGTTTGTTCTATCTAGGCAGGATCCACGAGACAATCTTTTAAAATGGCGTCTGTTTTCTTATTTGGTATTTTCAGGTGGATGGCAGAATCTTTGAACTGCTAATAAGTAAGGGGATGGGGCTGAAATGAAGAGGGATCTGGTATCTTTCCTCTGTGTTCATCAATCCAGGAGATCTGAACAGGTCGTAAAGAGTTGCAGCTCCTCCTGAGGATAAAATCGCAATTATAACAATAAAAACTAACATGTGTTGAGTGCTTATTCGTTGCCAGGTGCTGTGTTGCAACCTTTATCGTCATTTTCTCATTTAATTTCCACTGCAATCCTGTGGATTAGGTACTACGATAGTTTCTCATTTTACAGAGAAGGAAAGTAAGGATTGGGAAGATTTATTTACTTGACCAAGGTTATAACAGTTGGTAAGCAGAAGAGCAAGGATCTGAAAGCAGGCAGTAAAAGAGATATCTTGAGAACTCAGGTTTATTGTATTGGATTCAGACTGGTAGTAACTAAGCTAATATTTCAGGTCTCAGTCTTGTTTTTCATAAAGAAAAGAAGAAAATATTTTCTTTTCCTGAAATGAAAGCATTTGATCAAAGGGAGATATTTGCTTTTTAAAATGTTTGTTATGAACTCCCTACCCCCATTTCGCAGATGAGAAAACTGAGAGAATGAATCCATTTAGCTACCATAGCAAAGTGCATAGCCAGGCCTTAAAACCAGAGTTGCAGATCCAGGTTCTATATCCATTCCAGTTAACCATACTGCTGAAACACAAAAAGATCCTTGGTTTTTCTGAAAATGCTAAGCAGTAGATCATTAACAGCCCGAATCCCATATTTCTCAGTGAGGAAGCTTTCTTTCACCTTAATTGTGAATACCTTTTTATACTGAAAGGATGCAAATGTGGAAATAGGGCTATTCTCAGTGGTGAATTAAATGACAAAAATGGCAAAAGACTAAAATAACTACATCAGCTTTGCTTGAAAAGCAGTTAAAGCAGTTAAAAAGATATCTGAAAGGCTCGTCTCAGTACCAATTTAGTCTTCTCCACCCCCCAAGACCCATCCTACCCTACTCCAGGAAAGCCATTCCACATTACATTTATTTCTGCTAGCTTTTGTTCACAAAGGAGTTTAACACTAACAAGATTTTGGTGCTTTTCATCTCCATTCATATATTTCTTCTTTGCAACGGTGAATGGTTACAGTAAAAATGTCAAAACAAACCTCTGGAATGAACACTTTAACAGAAAAAAATATATACAATATTAATTGACCAAAGATTTTTGACTGGCATTCACATTTTAAGACACACTTATGATGTACTGAAGTAAATTGTGGAAATTGATTTACCCTTTATGTTAAAGGTAGTTCAGGTCCAGAATATGTTTCAAAAAACGATTTTAGGGTTCCTCCATTTTCAGTAAGGCTCAAAGTATCAGAGAAAACCAGATGAACTGCCTTAAGTCACTGATTGGGCTGCAGCCCATGTCTTAGCTTTCTGGGTCATTTGTGTGCAAATTATTTGGCCACATGGCCTCCTGTCATGCTGGGGATCTGCGATTTTTCCAAAGGTTTAATTTACTTAAATATGATTGTTATTGTCAAGTTGGGATTTTTTTTTCTTCTCACCTCTCATTAAAACCCTTAGTATCAATATCAGTTTTGAACTATTATGTTATATAATGAAGCTTGCTTGTCTGTGTGAATTTATACCATAAATGCGTTCACAGATTTTTAGACCCGAAGAAGGGCTTTTTGAAATGATCTAGTCTAACCCTGTTATTTTACTGATGAATAAGTTGATGTCCTGAGAGGTAATACAGAATTCTCAAGGTCACCCATCTAGTAAGAGGAAGAATGGGAACTGGAACCCAGATTTTCTGTATTCAAGCTCTAAGACCCATGCATTCTCACAGCATCACGTCCCTACTTCTTTCATTGTGAGAGATTCAGTCACTCATTCAACAACTAGTTATTGTCATGAACTTGGCAACTGTTCTAGGCATTAGGAATTCAACAGAGGGAAAAATAAAACAATCCTGAAAAAAGGCCTTCATTTGTTGAAACATATTCTGGTGGTGGAGTGGGACAGAATCAAATGGCAGTCTTAACAGTGGCTATAAAGACATTTTATAAAGACATTTTTCTTAAAAATTACCTTTAATAGGTTATAAAATTCAAAGCAGACAAAAATATGCTGATATTCTTCTGCTTTTTCTGTTAAAGAAATTTGAGGAACTTATAATGAAACCAAGTAATGAATCACTAAATAATGAAATCGCCAAATAATGAAATCACCAACTGGAAATTAGAAGTAAATGGTCATAGCAAACCCTAACCAGGTAAGTAGAGCCCTCTCAGATGATCCATCCATGGACCAAGGAAGACTGTTTCCCAGAGTCTTCACAGGGTCTTTCTGTGAATTGGGGATTAAATGCCTTTGAGAAAACATAGACTTGTACAGGAGCTGGGATAAAGATATAAAAAAGAGATCGAAGAGGAAATTATTTAACAAGATGTTTGACATATTTTCAAATGTATATTAGACTGTCCTAGCAGATGAACCAAAGAGCAAGAGAGCACTATCTTGAGTTTAAGGCAGAAGCTTCAAGGCTTACTATAATTGGTTTTTGTGATTAACTCAACTTTTCCCTTTTAGAATATGATATACGGTAGTCTTCCCTCATCAATGGAATAATTGGTGAGGGAAAGGTATAAATAATTCAATTCTGTAAAATCTTGGGTTTTGTGATTGTGAGATGCATTAAAAACGGTGTTTTTTAAGAAAATAGAACTGGTTATTACAAAGAGAACATACACTGGGCATTGAAATGAAAAATTATCAAATGAATAGGATGTAGTAACTTCCTTAAAACTGCCACTTTCCTCACAAGAATTTTTGCCTATCAAGGTTTGGACCAATTGCCAATTGTCTTATATCCATATTTGCCACTTGAGAGGAGCACTTTTTTTTCCTAGTGTTTTACTGTATTTGACTTGGCAATGAAATGAAGCTCCCTCTCGGCAAATATACAGAATGAAACTTTTGTTAATTTGGGACAGGGGAGAGGAGGGTTTTGTCTGATATTACAAGGGGGAAAAGTGCATTTACTCCACTGAAGTTTCTTTTGTACTGTTTTCTGCCAGTTTAATTTTTATTTTCTTTGGAGTTCTGATGATATATTAATGTAACAGATATAGTTTATAATATAATGTGTTAATAGTATAATAGTTTGGCTATTTCATATTTTAGTATTTTACATGTTAGTCATGTAACACAAAACATGTAGGCAGGACTGGTTGAAAGAAACTATTAGATGATTACTACATAGCGAGGGCCACCCAAGTCCAATTCACTGCATGTGAACTGTTGAAGAAGTTTTGCAGAATTTCTCTTTCATGTTGTCAGATGTCATGTGGTGGTATCAACCAGGTAAATGATTAAGTTGGATTCTCTGGAGAGTCACTGGTATATTTCCTGCCTCCAAGCATATCTGAAACCAAGCTACAACTATAGGAAGTGTTGAATTGCAGAAATGTGGTCGAATTGTTATCTCTACTACCTGTATTATGGAGATTAGAAGTTGTAAGTAAAGAAGTCTGGGTCTTTTTCAACTTTTTTTTGCCCTGAGGCCGGCTGAAGAACTAATAGCATCCTCTCCCACCATGGTCACTGAAAAAAGTAGCAAATCTTAAATAAAGGAAAACATGAGATCTGAGATCTTTTCGATCTGCCTTAAGATTGGACAGAGTTTACGGAATAATTATGTTGAAGCTCCCAAATAATGTGAATGAGGTTATCTTTCTGAAGGGGTGAAAGGGTCTTTGTGACCCACATTCCTTTTGGAGCTAACCTGCTAAAAAAAGAAAAGCAGACAGACAGAAAGAGGAAAACAAATCCTATTTGAGATGGAGGTTGAGTGACAAGAGAAACTTTTAGCCTTCAGATATGTTTGCTCTGCACCAGGTACATAATAATATGGTTTTTGGATCTTTGAATCCATACTTAGCTAGGCATTAAATTCTAGGAATAATCTGTTTATGGAAAATAAAGCCATTTCTATTTGAAAACAAATGGAACAAAATAATTATTTTTCCCCAAATGTGTACCCTTTTAATTGATCAAATGCATCCAGGAAATTCTGCTGGCAATTTGAACACTGTAGGTGTTGTTGCAGCTCTAAATTTGTCTGCAAGAGGAATTGTAAATGGTATTTACCTTTTAATTAAACAAAGCATCTTGCAAATTAAACACATGTTCTTGCACATCAAAATTTAGTTAACATCCTTTTCATTGTTCATCCTGCTGACACTCTGACAGCATCGTGAGTCCACACACAATATAGAGTCATGCTGCTCCCCCCTTCCCTGCACTTTGCATTCCTCAGAGTAGATGATATCACATGCTAGAGTACCCTCTGTAACTGACTTCTAATAACTGAGCAGCTTTTCCCATTTAATATACTTAATATTGTGTAAAATATGGGACTGCATTGGTGTGTCCAGAACCTGGAAAGCTTTGGACACTGATCTGACATATGTCTTATAATCTTACACTGAAAATTTGACAGTGAATGACAGAACACCTTAGAGGAATATAAGAAACTGATAAAGGCAGAAGCACTGCACGTGAATGCAGAGTATGGTTTCTAATAGCTACATACTTTTTTACATGCATACCAGTAATTTGACATTTATAATTCACGGTGGAGCTGAATTTCTGTCATTTTCTTACTGTCAAGTCCTCCACATTTTGAAATAAATGTCCCTTCTAATTATTATACGAATTTGAACTCCAACATTCAATTTTTTCCCCTGTCCCTTATAATGGAGTACTACATTTAGCTGAAGTCTGATTTGCAAGACCAGTTAGGAAGTGTGATCATTTCAAACGTATTCCCACAAACTATACATGGGAACCCCTTTCTTGATTGTAGTCTGTCTTACTTATAAAAGTACAGTTTAAAACCCATCTATCAGTACTATTTCTAAGAAAATAAGGTTGCTAATGGCAGAATGAAACTGAGATAATTGGGATATGGTCTTAATGGAACAAAAGTCAGAGAGAGGTTTTTCAATAAAGCAAAATTGTCGTTAACGACTGTCATTCAGTTGCACCGGTGCTCATTAATCTCTTTTATTTCTGTTTATTTATGGTTTATATAATTGAAATAAAGTCATTTGCTTAGAACATTGCCAAAGGAGAAATGTTTCCTGCTTTGAAAAGAGACAACTCAGAATAATAGTTAAATAAAATCCAGGGTGAAATGAAGTCTTCCTTAGCATTATGGTACCTCTGAGATTTTCCTTTTAAAAGTTGAGGGATTATTTTCACTGTTAGTGTTTACTTTTAAGGTTCAGGCAGCTAGCATGTTGAAGAGATGCTACTCATGTCAGAAATTGCTTTGAGGCACAGAAATGATTGGTATGGATATGGGTGGAAGAGAGGGAGGGCAGCCCTTTAGTGTCATCTGAAAAAAGCTTTCGTTCAAAAAAATAAAATACCTCATCCTAACCAAACTTTAAAAAACAGAAGTAAATGATAAAAGTACACTTTTTGAAAATACTGACTTTTATGTTTTAAATAGGTATTTAATTATTTTCAGTGGGATGATTGTTGTTTGTTGATTAAAATAAGCTTTTATGCAAAAAAATAGGATGTCCCTTTTTGATTTCAAAAAATGAACAGAATGTGGATGATGAACACACAAATAGGACTTAGAATCATCAAACTAATTTCCCTAGATTTAGATAAGACCAAAGATTAGAGACTTTGGTTAGTCACTAAATTTTAAAATATTATTTGCATTTATACCAGCATAACTTCTGTTGCCTTGTTTAAACATTTCACAATTTAACTGGATACAATTTTCCAACTATATAGAAAATCTATGCCAGCCAACAAGTTTCAGAAATATCGATTGGAATTTTCACTGATGTGTAAAATGTGCCTGAACTCTAGATGTAAGATTTTCCTTTTGAAAAAAAAATTTGAAGTTTGATATTGATCCTTGTGCCACTTGGTTTTCTCTAGGCTTATACAAGATAAAGCAATGATTAAACTCTTTGTAGAACCATCCAATGTGTATAATTTTTACAGTTGATATGTAAGACTTCTTTTAGAGTAATTTTTATGATATATTTAATAATGTGATCCCAAGATATTTTGTATATCAATTTCCAGAAAGATAAATGAGAATGTTTTTTAAAAATAAGCAGAACTTTCATCATTGCTGACAAAATGGCCGGTGCCTCTTTAGTTCTTGCTAAATGCCAGTCACTGTGCTGAATATAGGACACATCTTATCCCGTTGCATCTTACAGCAACCCCACATGAAATTACTCTGAGAGAACTAAGACTACAGAGACTGAAATGCCTTGTTCAAAGTCTCCCATCTAGTAAAAAAAAGTAGAGACTGGTTTCAAATCAAGTTCTGATTTATGAGGGAAGGCTCTTATATACAACGCAGTGTGGCTTTTTCACAATTCTCATTTATGGAACACTTACCATGTGTCAGATGCTGTACTTAATACTTTACAGGTTGAAAATGTATCTTGTTTAGCACCAAATCTAAATCATAGATCTAAGACAAAGATTTTGACTAAAAGGCACTTCTGAGCTTAGGCTAAGTGTAGAAGTGGAAGGGTGTACAGGTAGGTTCAACCTAAAATGAAACAGCAAAGTGGGCCAATGTGTCATCAACTCCTTTTCCTATCTACTTCCATTCTTTTCCTCAAGTTTGCTTCTCATTTCTATAGAACCAACTCATGGAAGAAGGGACTCCTGGCAAAATTTGTGTCTGACTAGGCATGTCTGAAAAACTAAACAGAAGTCAAGCTTTAAAGAACAAGATTCATTTGTGCATTCATTCATTCCTTTATTTTATTTTATTTTTGAGATGGAGTCTTGCTTTGTCACCAGGCTGGAGTGCAGTGGCGTGATATTGGCTCACTGCAATCTTCGCTTCCCGGGTTCAAGCAATTCTCCTGCCTCAGCCTCCCAAGTAGCTGGGACTACAGGTGCGCACCACCATGCCCAGCTAATTTTTGTATTTTTAGTAGAGACGGGGTTTCACCATGTTGGCCAGGATGGTCTCAATCTCTTGACCTCATGATCTTCCCACCTCAGCCTCCCAAAGTGCTGGGGTTACACATGTGAGCCACTGGGCCTGGCCTCATTCCTTCATTTTAAAGTATGAAAGTGATGTGAGGAACAGAGAAAATCCTATAAATTACATAGTTCAAGGATGGGAAATTGGAAGCCCTCCAAATTGGGCTCACATATGTGGTTCCCCCCCACCAATATATTATATTTCAAAAAATTGAATTTGAATGCCTTTAGCTGGGGCATAGAGTATCCAGTACAGCATGATCCCTCACCACTCTTAGCAATTCTCATCCTCGTTTCACATATTCTCCACTTGGTTCTTAAAATCATCCGGAGTTCATGACTATGTTGGAGATATCCCAATACTGAAAGTTTTTGAGAAGGTTAACTCAGAATAAGATTATTTCTCCAAGTCAATGCTGTCTTTTTCTTTTCAATGCCTAGTTCAGTGCTTGGTGGATAGGAAGCTCAATAACTAGTTATTGAATGAATGAATGAATGAATGAGACAGATTGACTCCTAGCATCCAAGTGTCCTCTATCCCAATCCAGTGTTTGTTTCATTTTGTCACTTAATCCTCAGGAGGAGTGGGGCAACGTCTCTACTTTTTTGTGCAGGAAATTTAGCTCTATCTTTCAGCACATGATTGTACTCTTTTTGCCTAAATCAAATGAGGCCGAAACTAACAGCAGTTCAGCCAAAGGAGATTCATTCAAAGGTTGGCTTCAAATTGAAATCATGTAAAAACATAACAACCAAATGTACAGTACTTTCCAGAAGACCTAGAAAATCACACTTACTTCCAATCAAGTCATAATTCTTGATGTAGTACATTATCTTCATCCCTGTGATTGAAAGGGACAGAGACGCGTCAGACAAAGTAGATATCTCTGCCAGACATATGGAGAATGTTTCTGGAGTTTGTAGAAACCTTTAGATTGAACCAATTTTATGTCCAAACATTCAGAAGAAAAAAGTGAATAACTGGGCCATTTATCTTTCTCTATGATTAATCATGCTATACCCATATCTGGCCATTTAGAAGAAAAACTATTTCTTTATTCAGCATTCATGTGTATATATACTGTGATATAGCTTAGGGCTGATTCTTCTGTTATTGTTATTGTGTGTCAGCCATATGACTACTCTAGAGAACCTTGGGTTGCTCATTAGGATAATTGTGTAGAGTAATAGAAAGTTGGTAATTTTGATCAGGAAATCAAGTGTTTTTAAGGCAGAAACCATGTTGCCACAGGAATGATAGATAAACTTGTTGGGCATGTCAGTTGTACAAAGTCAAGGCAGACTATTATGTCTAGTGTTGGACCAAGACAGACCCTCATATGCCACTAACCATTTGCATGATCACCACATTCCATACTTCTTCAAAGCCTTCAAGACTCTGTATTTTCTGAGGACCAATTTCAAAATCCTGAGCATATCAGCCAAGTCTCCCCATGGTAGTGCTCAATAAGTATTATTATTATTATTATTATTATTATTATTATTATTTTTGAGACAGAGTCTTGCTCTGTCGCCCAGGCTGGAGTGCAGTGGCATGATCTCGGCTCACTGCAACCTCCGTCCTCTGGGTTCAAGCAATTCACCTGCCTCAGCCTCCCGAGTAGCTGGGATTACACGCATGCGCCACCACGCCCAGCTAATTTTCTTTTTTTTTTTTTTTAGTAGAGATAGGGTTTCTCTATGTTGGCCAGGCTGGTCTTGAATTCCTAACCTCAGGTGATCCACCCGACTCGGCCTCCCAAAGTGCTGGGATTACAGGCGTGAGCCACTGTGCCCAGCCTCAATAAGTATCTTTTGAATGAGCTCATGGATATTTGCTGTCATACATTGTATCCTGCATTTATCCAGTAATTCTCAAAGATCTCTAAATCTTGTTTTTGTTTTTTTTTTCTGACTACAAGACTTTTCCCATAATTCTCTGGGGAAGCCTTTTCTCACTTGAGTCATGGCCTATGCATCTGTGTAACTTTCTGTTACTGTTCTTGGGCATCCTCTGAAAAATTTGAACCAAGCACCATCTCGTCTCTATTATGCTGCACTGCACTTTCTCTGCCTCTGCTATGGCACATATCAGATTGCTCTTTACCTGTTTTATAACTGTTATTTGTATGCCTGTATTACCTACATTATATATGCTAGGTGCATGCTTGTGTTACCATATTATAGCTCTTAGGTACATACCTGTACCCTAAAAACATGTGAGTGGTACGAGAAAAGGGATCATATATTTATGCTTTCCATGGTACATTTTCAATGAATGTTCGAGCAGTCCGCCAACTAATCACACTAGACTGCTTGTATAAGAAAACAAAAGAAAAAAAAAGAAGAGAAGAAAGAAAGAAAGATCGATTGATCAAGGGAAAGTGGTACTATCTTTTGAGATATATCCATAGCCCTACAATTTTTTTTCAGTGTGACTATAAAGTAATACATTTTCTCTTTTTTCTTCTACTTTTTAATTTTACTTATTTTCAAGGTTCTTTTTTGAAACAAACTATGAAATTTACACAGCAAATGTCATTTCACCTTTCAAAATGATTATATTTATTCTGTTCATGTTGACATTGCTAAGACTTTTTTTAAGATTGTCTTCTGGAATCATTTCGAAAGTCAGTCTCATTATTTTGTTGCCAGGTTACTTTTTGTTCTCATTTTGGTTCATTAAAAAAAATTTAACCCATGTTCAAAATTTGAAGATTTCTAATAATTGAAGCAAATCCTAAATGCCAAAGAAGGGTTTATTGGTTTAAAAAATGGCATAAAATTCTTACAGAGAACATTATGCAGCCAAAAATATTATGACATTATGATAGGAAATTAGGAAATAATTTACATAAACATTGCTCATTATCTTTTTTGTATGTGTTGCTTGTGATAATTTTTCTGCTTTTATTTTAAAAATTAAGCCTACAAAGAAGTTGAAAGAATAATTCAATGGACACTCAGATACCATTCACCTTGATTTATCAATGTTACATTTTATAGACATTTTATCTGCTTGTCTGTTTCTCTTTCTGTTTAGATTGATAGAGCTGATGTGTGTGTGTGTGTGTGTGTGTGTGTGTGTGTGTGTGTTGAGTAAACCAACAAGATTTTTCTTCACCTTTACAGTCTAATGGCTAAAAAAAAAATACTAGTTTTATTAGAGTTTGTCTAGGTGATTTCTTCAGGTACATATGGGCCTTTTAAAATATGGGAGTCATGTCTTTATCTATTTTCAGGATGTTTTTCTCTGATTTTAATTTTATATATTAATTCTATTTCATTGTTTTGCTTTTTTATTTTTCAGGGGATTATATTATTTCTATAGTAGATGTTCTATATTTACTTTCTATGTCAACTACATTTCTCTGATTTTTCTCTTTGTTTTCATTGGCATAATGCTATACTTGCATTTTTTTCAGCATTTCTTATAATCTATTTTTGTTGTTGTTGAATTAATTCTCGCTTGAGCATTTTGTTAGTTTTTATTTCCAAGATGATTTTTGTCTTTTTAAGAATGGCTTTTGTTCTGAATGTCAATTCTTATTTCATATCTTCATGCTTTTTTGCCTGTTTCTGTTTTGAAGTTTATAAACTTATGATTTAAGTTTTTCTAAAAAAAATTCTGTAAATTATTTTTTAAGGATATTTAATTCAGTTTCCTTATGCTTTATTGTCATTTTATTAAGGAGAATATATGCTGAACTATTTTGATTTGAATTTTCCATTTTTCTTGTAAAATAGTTTTGTATGAATGTTGTTTGACATTATCTTTCTAAAAAATTTTAAACATGTTAATTTTCTTAGACTAGAAATAAGTTTTATGTAGACAAAGGAGATGTGCTTGCATGGCTCATTAGGTTTCTTAGGCCAAGAGTCTTTCTTGTAATATGGTGAAATTGATTTTCTTTGATTGCATTTATTTTTCTCTTGGGTAGGGGGATAGTGGAGGGCTGTGTGTTTTGATTTTGTGACTCTTTTTTTGTTTGTGCAGACTCCTTAAGTTTCATCTCTTTTTTCCATATTTTCCTGCACTCTCAAGCTTCCAAGAGCATCCTCTGCAAGTTGGTATTTTCCTTGCAGAAGTGGTGCTTTCCTAGGGACCTACTTCTTGTTTCATGCACTTTATCCCTTTCCTGTTGATTTCCCAGTCTATGGTGCTCTGATCTATCAGATCTCAGACTTGTTCTTATATTTCCTCATCTCAAGGTTGGACTTTCTTTTTCTGGGCCAGGGGATGGGGGGTAAGAGCATTTTAACTGTGTACCACACTGGTTAGCTAATGCTCCCTCTGGGTATTCATGTGTAGAATCTGTGCTTGATGTGGGCTCAGGAGCTTCCTCTGCTAGATTTGGGCATTTATTTTCATATTTACACAGAATTGGAAACTTGTAGTGGTCCTTCTATCCTAGTTATTCTGCAGGCTGGGGGATAAGTGGTTTTACTTACTTTCTTTGTTGTTCTATATGACCCTTTGGACATAGTGTGGAGAAATGAAGATTTACTTTACTACATTATACTACAGGAACTGAGAATGCCTCTTGTGACACATTTGTTCTTTTTTGTTTGTTTTGGAATCTATCAGTGGTTGTTATTGGAAATTTTCTTGAAAAGGAAATGAAGAGATAATATTGGATACATAGAGCAAAACTTGATACAGATCCTCATGACTCATCTGTCTCACCTGAACATGTGAATTTTTTTTTTTAAGACGGAGTCTTACTCTGTCGCCCAGGCTGGAGTGCAGTGGTGTGATCTCGACTCACTGCAACCTCCACCTCCCAGGTTCAAGCGATTCTCCTGCCTCAGCCTCCTAAGTAGCTGGGATAACAGGTGCTGCCACCGCGCCTGGCTAATTTTTGTATTTTTTTTAGGAGAGACGGGGTTTCACCATCTTGGCCAGGCTGGTCTCGAACTCCTGACCTCGTGATCCACCACCTCTGCCTCCCAAAGTGCTGGGATTACAGGCGTGAGCCACGGTGCCCGGCCAATATTTTTTAATTGTAAAAGAAAGCAACAGAATGGTATAAATAGAACACTCTTTTTTATTAAAAATGTGTATATTTGCATCAAAAATTGTCAAGAAACCAGAGTACATTAATTTATTCACTCTAGTTATAACTGGATGGGGGATTATATGTGACTTTTTAACCTTTTGTATAATAAACATTAGATTACTTAATCACAAAAAATAGAGAAAAACATTTCTACTTTAGAATATTAAAAAAAATTTGTCATAATTCAATGAAATTCAACAGAGGTTTTGCATTTCTACCATAACAGAAATCACACTAGATACTGCATTATGTTCTAAATGAATTTAGAATATGTTAATTAAGTGAATTATAATTATAATTAAGTGAACTCTTCATGCATACATATACATTTGTATACACATTCAGGAATATTTGTGTAAAAAGTTAGGCACATCACACTTGAGGAGGGAGACAAAAAGCAATGGTAGGAGGCACAGAGAGTGAGTCCCCAGCTAGGAGTAGCTGGCCTGGGAACAGCCTGTGAGACTGCACTCCCTGGCAGAATATGGTCACCAGGTCTGGGTATGACCAGGTCCTGATTCAGCAGTAATGGGTGTACTCAAACATTCCCAAGTAATCTGTGACCTTTTCCTTTTCTTAAGTAGTTCTGATCAAGGTAAAGACATGGAATTTGGAAGGAAGAGAATAAAAACTGGGCTGAAGGTAGATAGTGATATATTGTGAAATACTTGTGCAACATGATGTTTAAAATATTTGGATAATCACTGCAATTATGTCACAGGCATTATAACATTGTTCTCTGGCAAGAGCACAATGGAAGTGCATTGAAAGCAAATGAAAAAGGCAACATAATCCAAGTGATATCAACCTTTATTTGCTAGTCTTGAAAGTTGTGGTTGAAAGTATGGAAACAGGGGTAGTGCAGAAGTTTTTTGTTTGTTAATCCAAAAGGCACTGATACCAATTATTATCATTATTTTACTTTATTGAGGGCTTATCAATTTCCAACAAGAAGATGTGGTCATGTATTTTCCATTTCATAATGCCAATGGAGTATACTATTACAATTATGCAAATATTCATTAAGAGGTCTCCATATGATTATGCTAGAAATGCCAGTACATTTTCAATTCTGAGTGACACCATACATCTGGGCAAAACAAATGTCAGTTTAATAATAATAAATATTATTACAAAAGCTCTATGCACTTATAATATCTAAATATATGGTTTGAAAAGTTTCTGGATTATTTTGTTTTTAAAAAAGTGTCTATAAAATTGTTTAGAGTATTCAACTGATTTGGCTCCACTGGGGCTAATGCCAGTCCCAATCTTCAGCGCTTATAATTTGTACTGTTGTTTTTTGTTAAGGACCATAAATGCTTTTAGTCACATGGTTTTGGAATATAGTTAATGCTATGACTATAAATGCCTTATGTAACAGCACTTTTAGAGAAGTTGCTGTTTCTATGATTCCATACTATCACAATAGAGACATAAGAAAAGAATGTGGTTAAAGAGTAATTTCAGAAGCAACTAGAACATTGAATTTGGAGTTAAAGTACTTACGGAGAATAAGCCTTTTATATGCAATTAAAATAATAATAATTGCCAGTGACTTATGGGTTAGATTCAGTTAAGAAATCTTTAATCCAATAATTCAGATATAACAATGTGCACACACACACACACACACACACACACACACACACACACACCGTTTCAGCTAGTTTAAGCACAGAATACTTTACTAGAGAATATGGATAGATCACAGAAGTGTTTGCAGGGCTGAAAAATCAGTGTCTATTCCCAGCTTTCAGAAATGACTACAAAGCACAGCAGAAGCCAGAGGACTACTGTGTCTGCCACTCACAGGAATTAGCAAAATTAAGAAGCCTCCCCTCATGACTGCTGGGTCCAGCACCTCACTGTTACTGCCTTGATCCACACAAACAACCTGGATAGGTGCCTTGCATCCTGCTTCTCTCCTTGTTTCCCTGCATAACTCCCACCCAAATCAAAGGGGAATCCAAATCACATCTGGAGCACTAGCTACAAGGGGATATACAATAAGCCATTTTTAGTTTCTGAGCCTCTGATGCTGCAGGGGAGTGGAATGGGGTGTGAAAAAGCCTATGCAACTCTTATAACGTCAAACAAAATTAGGATTATGCTATATAGATAGTGTTACGTCTGGCATTTTTCAGTTTAAATATCACACTCATTTCTCACATCGTTAAATAAGTTATGAAATCACATATTTGAATGGCATGATTGAATTTATTGAAATAACATTTAAATCATTTTGATAAAATAGGTCCAGTTTTGTAAATTATTAGAACCATATAGTACCTAGTGCCTAGCAACGTATGATGCACTCAATATATATTTGTTGAATGAATGAATATCATTTGAGGACCTGGGTTGACAAGAACTATACCATCTTAAACACATCATTCTTACTCATATTAAGGAGAGAAGAACCTGAAGGGATGTTTAGGGAGCTTCATGGGCCAACCTTGTAAGTAACAGAACTTATGCATAACAATAGCTTCGGCTGGAAGAGAAGCTATTGTTGGAGAGAAAAATCATGAAGCCACATTGAAAGGCAAGGAAAGGGAGGCTACAAAATAGTGTTGCTGGGCCTTGTTACAATTCTGTTTCTGGGATACAAATTTTATAGGACAGTCTTCACCACAGCATGAGAAGGAATAAAAATCAATTTTTCTCCTTGTCTTTAGGGCCCTTTGCAATTGGATTTTCATTGGTTAATATTATTTTTGAACCTTCTAATTGTTCACAATGTATACTATTATTTTTAAATTTAACAACATTTTTTTTCCAGAATGAATGAACAAACATCAAGTGGGGACATGATGTATTTGAAATATTTTCATTACAGCAATTGGTCATACAGTTTAACTAAATGAGATCCCTTTCAGCCATCATGATATGTGCTTTTCAACAGACGCACAATTCTGTTGAGACAGCTGAAATAAGACTAGGTCTGTGAGCATCCAGATAGTCCCTGTTCTGTTTGATATATAGAACTGGAGTAAAAATATTCTTTCTAAATTTCCTATAAGGAGTCCCCTAAAATGCAGCTGACTGGTTTATGGTCCTCTCATTTCACTTACCTTGCAATCTGATCCAGATTGCCTCACCAACTGCTAGTAGCACACCTGACCAACCCATTGCCTTTCCAGTTCTTCCTAAGACATAGGCAACACTCCTTCCCTGTTGTTTTTACTGTTTATATCTCTTATCATTAGAAAACTTGTAAGTCCTGTTTAATATATCACTAACTATATTATTGCTCAGAAAATGACTCCTATTTCTATGCCTCTGAAATACACACACAAAATAAGACAAGGTACGTAAGCTTGACAAATGTTGACTTTGACTAGAGAGAATTTATGTCTACTGCATTGGTTGAGATAAATTAGACCTAATCACACCATCATCGTTAATTTTCTTCCTAAAGTTTTAAATGATAACAAATCAGTTAAAATGTGTACCTACTCTAAAGTAAGCAACTCAGTCTTGGGGCTATTTACACTGTCAAAGGGATAGACTTTTCAAATTATTTATTTTTATGAACTAAGAATAGATCTTACAGAAATAAAGATGTATATGGAATCCATGGCAAAATTAGATTCATCTTAGCAAATGATCACTTGATTGATAATTATTTGTTTGATTTAGCAACTAAACTGGTTGACCAAATAATCTATTGGATTAATTTGTATTCAATTGGCCACAGATTATAGTTACTTGGAAGATTAGATGTTTAGATCTCTTTCTAGTGATCGATCTAGGCAAAATTAGGTTCTTTTCCCCAAAGACAATAAGGCAGATCATTATTTCCATTATCAGCAGCTTCAGGAAGACCTTAATTTTAAATTCTCTGAGAAAAAATTAAAAAAAATTAATAACAAATATTCTTCACTGTGTATTTACTAGAAGCCAAACACCATGCAGAATCTTTATTGTTTCAATATAAAAAGTAGTTGCTGAGGAAAAAACAGTGAAGACAAAAATGCAAGTCTTTGGAGTATACATCTTAGCAGGTAGAAGCAGACACAAAATAACAATAATAAGTGAATTATGTATCAAATTTCAATGTAATAAGTGCTATGAATAAAATAGAGCAAAGTAAGGGGGAATAGATGTGTCTTGAATGGGGCTGAAATTTTATCATTGAATGGTCAAGATAATATTAAATCTATTGGTAGAGGATGACAATTAAAGATCCACAGACTCTCTCCATCTTTCTTGGGTTCTCGTTTACCTTGCCAGCTCCAAAGTTTGGTATCACTGGGTTTGCTTTTACTGTTTACCATCTAGTTTGATTAGAGTGCCTTCCTCTGTCTCAGGATAAGCATGTCCTTTCCATCTGGCATACAGCTTTACCCTTGAAGCTCAGATTGAAGCCATTCTTCTCAAAGCCAACTGAGTCTTGGCTCAAACACCATCTCCTATGGTCTGTCCAGAGAAATTTCCTTCCAGCCTATCCTTGGTTCAGAGCATACAGCTAAAAGACCAAATTCATCTGAACATCTTACTTTCTCTTTAGCCCTCTCTTTACTTTCTCAAGTCAATAAAGTTTTAAAATGAAGGACGGGAATTAAGTAAACTACTTTTATTGGCAACTCTTCTGTGTCACAGGATATGATGACTACTTTATATTTACTCCGTGGAAAAATACAAAGAAGTAGGTAGTATTATTTCCATATGTAGCTGAGCAAAATGAGGCTCAGTAAGATATTGATTCAAGGACTTAAACCCAGGCCAGACATTTTTTTTTTAAATGAAAAAAGTTGCTTTTACAAAATCCTTTTTTCCAAGCTCATCATCCCAATTCCTAGACACCCATTTTACCTCTGCAGCTTCTTGAGAAAATACAGAAATCAGATATTTGTAGGACCTGTATTGTTTGTAACTTTTCATTTCAGGGTTAGATTTGATATTTTTAACAAAATGCATCTGAATGTAGAATTGTAATTTTTAAAGATTATGAAGGTTTTTATCAAGCTGGCATTTTCTGATTTTATATTCCCCAAAATATTTTAATAATGGTATTATTATAATCTCCAGTTTACAGTGAAGGAAAGTCAGGTTTTCAAGGTTACAGATAATGCCCAGGTGACATGTCTGAAAGTGGTTCTGCTAAGATGATGAATAAGTAAAACTTTATTTTAACAAAGTGTTAACCAAAACATAGCCTCCCCAAATTGACCACGCAGAGAAATGTTATTGTTTAGATTTTGATAAAACATAATGGCTACAACTAAAGAAGAATTTTAAATGAAAACCTAATGAGAAACCACATTTGGCTTTCATTTTTATTATAAAACTTTGGAAAATTAATATATTTGTATTGTTTCAAGTGAAATGGAATCTTAAAAAATTAACAATCTCATAACCACAGGTGTCAACTAACATACCCCTGCTATTCCATGGTTCTTTTCCTCTTTACACTTAAATATTATTTTTGGCAAACACAAGCACACAGACACGGATACAACACACATCAAAAAAGAAACAGCTTTTAATATAAATTAAACTCAAATATAAAATATGCCCTTGTCTAATGAAAAATGAAATGACATATTTTAAAAACTCTTCTTTTAATACTTTAAAAATGTGAGGTTTGAGCATGAATGTTGCTTTAAGAAAAGTACTCATGTTATTACAAAAATAGAACTTGTGCCTGTGATGTTGCAGTTGCCATGGTTACTACAAATTTGTTACTTAATAGCAGAGCAAATAGATTCATAAACATGCTAATTATATCTGATACATTTTTCAAACTGTTTTATATGAATATGCATATAGTTTGCATAAAAATGAATGTCCCCATCCAATAATTTTGCATGTTTGGGAACGTTTTGCTGTGTTCTCGATAATATGATATATGACCATCTCGATACAGGAAAAAAAGAAAATACAATTTTCAGGCAAATGATTTTATGATTCACAGGGTGAGTGACTGTTATTGTTAATATAAATAATGTAACAATTTATAAATGCTAAATACTTTAATATTCACTTAGTCCTTGGAAGGGTTAAAGTTTGGGATTTATAATAAAGCTCTTTTTAATCTGTAATTCCTTTTTAAAAATATCAAAAAAGAGGCAGGTATGACAAAGGGATGAATATAGTGCTGAGTTTTTGACATGAATCAGCATGCTGTAAAATTTGCATATGAAGATGAACAAATGATTTTCCAACTAAAATGTTTTCCTCTCTATAGCTTCAGTATTTGAGAGAGCTGGATGCACATTGAACATTGCAAAAACTCAAGGACTCTGCTCTCTTTATCTAAAAAGCAAAGCCACCACCATAATGAGAAGGAAGGAAAAGTCCTATGCAGTTACATGACCATGACGGGGGAAAACTTGGCCTAGATTACCCATTGAGTGAGCCTAGGATATTATTCAAAATCGACGCAAGAAAGAGGGTGTGACCTTTCCTGAGAAAGATTTGCTTGGGAGATTTGTGACTTCAGTCAGGGCCTTATATAGCTCTCTGATGAAAGAGAGGGAATATATATTTCTCTAGAGAGTTACAGTAGAAGGGGGCTTTGCCCTAATCTTGTGATTGAGGATGTTTCCACCATCCATTTAAAACAATGTTCCACTTTTCCTTTTATTGACGCTGTCTTTTCTCTCTTTTAATGAGGCTCTTAGTAAGAATACTATCAATTGGTTTCACTCAGAAGCCAAGTGATATTTAGCAACATGTATGATATTAGCAATCAGCCACTTATTTGTTTACACTACATTTTTCACTTTCACAACCAATGCACATAGGATTTGGTTGCTATATTTCAGAGGTTTGAGCATGTCAGGGATACTGACTGAAAAATCTCCTCTGCAGCTCACTGTTGCCTAGTGATTGATATCAGCTGTAACAAGATAAAATGTTATGGCATCATAATTCTGTTTGATGCAAGGTAATCTTTGATCTTTTACTATCAACAGAAGATTATAATATATACTTAGTGTGATAAATAATACCCTTTCACTGATGTCAAAGAAAGTGCAAGTTAAATTGTTAATGATTCCAATAGCTAGCATTTTAGTTGCAATTTTTTAAAAGATTGAACACCTTGTAAACAGAAAGACTAGAGTCCTGAATGTATTATTGTTAAGCTATTACAACTTCTACTTCTTAATCATTAATTATTTTCTCTTCAAAACTGAACCAAAGGGTATATTTTAAAAACTGCTAAATGCATAGCCTTGAGGTAAATTTTCATTGGAGGGCATCATGTCACCGAGGCGCCAATTAGAGACATTAATTCACCAAAAGATTATGTAAATTAAAAAAATCAGGAATTGAACATTTGCTATGTGAAATACTCTAAGTGTGAAAAATATCTTCCTATCTTCCTTCTACTTTAAAAATATAGTCTAAACTCATTTCTTACCACATAGCAAATGCATGCTAGATGTTAACTCTTAATATTATTTTTATCATTATTTATTGAAGGGCTTTACATATGCTGTGATCTTATGATTTACTTCAGATGCCCCTTGTTTACCTAGAAAAATTCTCATGTTTCAAGATACTGCTCAAATGCCAATCACTTCCTTTGGAGAGGCCACTCAGTGTATCTTTCTCTCTCCTTCAGAAAAGAGAGTCGTTCCTCCTTTCTGCTTCCTTGGCACCTTGGCTGTGATTTCATTACTACTGTTTCTCCTTGCCTTGGAATGACTTGTTGCTTTATGACTTTGGGCCCCTCAGGCCAGGGAGCAGGTCTAGATCATCTGTGTCTTCCACATTCTCTAGGAACTCAATGAGTGTTTGTTAGTTGAGTTACTGAACATATGAATGAGAATAGCATGGGGTACAAAAAGTAAAAGGCCTGAAAAAAGAAAAAAATGGAAAAGTTTTCAACTGACAAAAGTAAATGATCCTAAAAAGAAAACACAAAGTCTATTTCTGGTGTTAATCATTTCTGTCTCAAACATTACAGCTTTATGGACATACAGCCAACTTTCAGGCATTGCATTGGTTTGAGAATTATCCAGGCCCCTCACTTTTCCTTTCCTCTGGATATTACCAGTTGAGCATTTGTAAAAACCTTTCCATTGATTCCTCCAACTTGATCCTCACAATATCATTGTGAAATAATTAGGACAGATATCCTCATCCCTTTTTTTTAGAGTAGGAAACTGCAGCTCAGAGAGGTTAGTGGTTTGCCCAGGGTCACATGGCTAGGAAGCCAACTGCAAATGCTCTGGATATCAGACTCCAGATAGAGGGCACTTTCTCAGAGCCCACAAACATTTCCTGAGGCTAATTACAAATATTTTGATTGTTCAGGAAATGTTTATATTCAAAATCCTTGGTTAACATTTGGGTAGCTACAAAATAAGTAGATTCAATGATGTCTATGGTAGAATGGAATATTAGACAACACGTTTCATTTTTAGTTCTTGCTACTTAAAATGATATGAAGACATTAGGAAATGGAAATTCTGAAAACTTGGTGCAACACTTTCCGTCTGTATTTCTGCAGATTCCTTTATTTGGATTTATTGTCATGGCTAGGGATTTTTACAAATAATATTCTCTCAAATAGGGGAAAGTTTAAAAATTCTCTAAGTTCATCTTTTGTGTTAGGTTTGTACATACAAGCCAGTACTATTCACCTGATCATATTGTATTAATTCAGCTTGTAAAAGAAAAGTATCTTTCAAACTAGCAGTTTCCCTTATATGTTTTCCAGAATCATTGTTCTGAGAAAGATAAGAGGTATCATTGTTTTTAGCAGGTGAGAATCCAGGCTTTCTAGACAGTTATGACCCATATTCTAAAACTAAAGCTCAATTAATTTGGATCTACAATTGCTGTCAGCTATAGTAAGTTAGAAGCATAAACTTTATAGCTGAGGTGACTTAAAAGATTGTACCCTAAAACTTAAAGTATAATAATAATAATAAAAAGATTGTCCAATGAAACTTTCTCTGTTTGCACAAGAAGAAATTGTGGACTAGACAGCTTAAGAGGTTCATCCAATTTCACATGGTTAATCTGTTGGTGTAATTAGGACTTGAACCCAGATTACCATCTGCCTTTTCAGTATTCTTTTTACCAAAACATACTGTCTTTTTTGGTGGATGTATTAGTTATCTACTGCTGGGTAACAAATCACCTCATATGATAGTGGCTGGAGAAAACTGTAGCCATTGCTGTAGAGCCTTGCTAGTGATTCTGTTAAATATGATAAATCTGCATATCTCTAAGAAACAGCCTCTTTATCAACATGTATTAAGACCACTTTTCCAACTGCCTGCCTGGTCACTATGTCACAAACTGATACATGTATAGGACAATGATGTAGTAAAATGTATAGTTATTTAGTTTCAATTTCTGTTTCACCAGAAATTATCACTTAGTTGTAACTGCATATAAAATAAGTTTAGTTAAACATAACATACCCCAAATCCCAACAGTTTGAAGTTTATTAGAGGAAAACCAATTTTAGAGACAAGGACCATAGATTTTCCCACACCAGCTGCAGCATTTTACTCCCTTCTGGCAAAGCAGTTATTTAGGATGGAAGGAGTCAAAAATGTCTTCTTTAGCCCAGATTTCATTGCTTTCACAAGTGAAAGTGAAGATGTAGACTGACATTTAATGAAGCCAGATATTTATGCAACAATTTTGGACTTCTTTGCACCTGGTTTATCCTTAGTTTCTGAGGAAGCATCTTCAGGAGAAGAAGGATCTGGAAAAAAACTTATGGTAAAAATAAGAAATTGTTAGAAACTAGAATATGGCCAACTCTGGAGAAGATAAAGGAGAAATGGCCTGTAGAGGATTTGAGAATGGTGTTGTACAGCTGAAATGCCAAGGTTCTTTACTAGCTGTCCTGGTCCAATCATTGCTTTGAAATATGAAATTCAAAACATGCTCCAGCAGAGGCAGGAGATGTAGAGAATGAATGAATCAGATGAAACGAAGTGAACTCATCTTGGTTTAACCTGTGCTTTCTTTGGGCCCAGCAGTTGCAATTTCTGAGAATGTATTTTAAACTGTTATTATTAATCTTCTAATCTTCTGAAAAACTTTGTTGAGCACCAATAAAATATGCCACTTTTTTCAGAAAAAAATATTTCAGTGGCTTAAAATAAATAATTTTATTTTCTCCTAATTCTGTTGAATTCTCTTGAATAGTAGAATTTCTCCTAATTCTGCTTCAGCTGGGATCAGTGGATATTTTTTCTGCGAGTCTCACATGAGGTCACTTATGTGACTGCAGCAACTTGGAGGCTTAATGGATGAAATAATCTAAGATGACCTCGCTCACATGTCTGGCTGTTGGCAAAACCCACACCCCTCACCAATTGTCAAGAAGGCTAGCTCATGCTTCTTTAGAAAGTGTTACTTGGTTTCCAAGGGGTTGACAATAGAAGCTACAAGGCCTCTAAGGCATAGACCTGGAACTCTGATAACATAACACCCATCACATCCCATTGATCACAGGGAGTTACAAGGCAGACCCAAACATAAGTAGGTAAAGAAACTGCCTCTGCCTCTTGATGAAAGGAACATTAATGTCACACTGCAAAGAAGTGTGCACACAGACATGAGAGCATTTATGCCTCTTCCCCCTGTTTTTGGAATCAGTATTAGTGGTTATGCTAAAAGTTCTTGCCATTCTTTTGCATCGGTGTTTACACAATATAATACTTTGTTAAGATGCAGAGAATCTAATTTCTATTTTACTGCAGGTAACTCACTCCTACGGTTACATACTATAGAGACAATGCTTTTCTGATTCAAATGAATGGCAATATTGATATTTTTAAGATTTTTTTCTTTTATTACAAGTCAATGGAGAAGGCTGACAATTATATGTGTATATATACATGTATACATATATGTATATACATATATCATATATGCGTGTGTATGTGTGTGTGTGTGTGTGTGTGTGTGTATATATTCTCTCAGAAAGAGGTTGAGGGCAAAATTAGTCCTGTAGTGTGCGTGTGTTTTGGTTTCTGTTAAATGATGATCTATAATTGATTTGTGTGCCAACTAGAACTGCCTCAGACTGTTTTCAGCTATTTTGTTCTCAATTCAATATGTAGCATTATTCACAAAGAGCATTACCGCCCTTTCCCAGATAATCAATCATAAACTAAAGAGAAAAAGACTGTTTTTAATGGGATATTGAGAAAAAGAGGAAGTGACTAAATGACTTGGGTGAGGGGGAGTGATCTTAGTAAGTATGAACTGTTTTGTAATAGGTCCAGCTTTCTTAGCATTCCCTTTTTATTTAACCTTATACTGTTAGAGATGTCAGGGCAGAAATCAATGTAGGGGGTTAGGGACAAGCATTCAAGCCTCATGTATCTAGGCACTTTATAGACAGTATGTTATTTAAACTTCCGAACAATTCTATTAAATGGTATGTATTTTTACCTATTAGATTGTACCTATTTTTCAAATTAGAAAACAGGTTTGAGAAGGTTAGTAATTTATCCAAATTCATACAGAGAGAAAGTAACAGAGGTGGGAGAAGGCAACACATGAGCTTAAATCCAAATCAATATTCTTTCTCCTATTATACATAGTCTTTTGATTTAGGGATGTTAACATCATTATCCCTAATTTTTCTGCATTTCTAAAGGGTCATAAGTAAACAGGTACAATAACCTGCAGTTATTAAATAAACACAAAGAATATAGGGCACATTGTATCTGATAACTGTTCTACTAGAAACATTTATCAATAAGCATTGCTTAAAGAAGCCACAAAAATATCTTACCCCCCTTTTCAGGATGATTACAATTTGGGCTGGTTTATTTCACTGTTTTAGAGGAACCACTGGGAGAAATGTGGGTTGGTAATGAACATTAATGGGCTGTAACTTTGTTATATTAAATCTTTAATCTGGCCTTTAAAATATTAATTTAGAAGTCCTAGGTTCTATGGTGAAGGAGCAAACTAATTCAATAAGAATCAAATCCAATGTGTGTATTTGTTTTTACATTATAACATCTCTGAAATCAGAATTTCTCTTACAGCCAGTAATAAGAAAGCATTTGTCATATTTTAATTGTTTGAGAGTGTCCTCAACTCAAAATGACAAGCTAAGGCAGGCGGCACCACTCTTTTCTCTCTTTTATAGATGTGGTAACTGAAGCACGTAAATTTAAGTAGCTTGTCCAATGCCACACAGGTAGTAAGCGGTAGAACCAAGATTTGAAGCAAGGAAGTCTGAGTAGCAAGAAAGTCTGAGATAACAAAAATAATCTGACTTTGGGGTACAAAATGCAAAATCTGGAGAAATTTGGAGAATGGAAAACTCACAACGAATGGCATGTCATTGGGAAAATTTCTGTACCCTAGTCTTTATCCTAATCTTTATCTTGCGGCTAATTCATTCAGTGATGTCATTGGCCCATTGCTTTCTCCTCTCTGATACTCCTTCTGCTCATCTTCACTCTCCACTCCTCATCATTAAGCTGATATTCTCTGGTCCAAAGCCTCAGCCTGTCTCTAATCAAATCCTATACTCCCTTTTCCTGTGATAGTTCCTGTTTCTTTCAATAGGAAGCTCAACAATGAATGAACCCATCTGTGGGTTCAAACATAGATGAAACAAACACAGAGAGAAATCATACAACTGGGTAGATTCTTGATCACTTCCCTCAGCTGGACCCTCAAAACTTTAGCAAAATCTGCTCTTTTTCCCTTTAACTGTCTCCCACTTTTTTCACACCGACTCTTTCAAGTATCCTTCACCTGCTTCAAGTCTTCCTTCTCATTTTTTCTCCAATTCCAATTTACTCTAAAATATCTAACTTTATCTTGAATTATAATCTAACTAAAATGTTAAAATGTCATTATAATAACCATGCTGAAAGATGTTCATTCATTTTTATGGAACAAAAGTAAAAATTAAAGGCAATGTAATAGCCTAATTTTAGAAGAGCCAGACTTAGAACTAGTCTCTTGATTACCAATAATGATCTCCATTTCCCGTTGTCTCAAAAAGTGGTTCATGCACATACACACACACATGCAAAAATACACACAAGCACATATATATTTGACCTTATGTTCTCTTCCTGTGAATTGGTAATTCATTCATGTGGTTTGAAATCAAAATCACAACACTTTCCCTCTTATCCACCCCATTTCCTCCTACCCACTGTAGGTGGACAGCATTCCAGTGTTTCTTTGTGCAAATATATATGAATAAAAAACAAGTATTTTATATTTCTACTTTTCATATTAAAATCAGCATTATTTGTATATATGTATTTATTTTTCACTAAAATATTTTTATCATTTTCTGTTTATTTGCTATTTTAGTACAGTTGACCCTTGAACAACGTGGGAGTTAAGGGTGCTGACTTCTGCACAGTCAAAAATCCATGTATAACTTTTGACTCCCCAAAACTTAACTACTAATAGCCCACTACTGACTGAAAGCCTTACTGATAACATAAAGTTGATTAACATGTATTTTATATGTTATATTTATTATACACTGTATTCTTACAATAAAATATGCTAGAGAAAAGAAAATGTAATTAGAAATCATAAGGAAGATAAGATATATTTACTATTCATTAAGTAGAAGTGGATCCTCATAAAAGCCATCATCTTCATGTTGAGTAGGCTGAGGAGAAGGAAGAAGAGAAAGGGTTGGTCTTGATTGTCTTGGAGAGGGCACTGGTGGAAAAGGTGGAGAAGGTGGAAGGGGAAGCAGAAGAGGCAGGTGCACATGCTGTAACTTTTATTGAAAAAAAAATCTGTGTATAAAGTCTTCACAGTTAAAACCTATATTGTTCAAGGATCAACCACAGTTGCATAGCATGCTAATATATGTATGCACTATAGTTTATGTTCAACTGTTCTCTATTGTAGGCCTCTTGTCTGTGTCCAACTTTTTGCTTTTATGAGGAGTGCCACAATGAAACGCTGGTATACTTGTCATTTTGTTCATGTGAAAGTATATCTAAGTCAGTTCCTAAAAGTGGGTTAAAGAAGAAAGAAAATTAATAATTTTGATGCCTATTTTCCCATAGGTTTGACAACAGAGTATATTTATCACATTTTGCTTTTTTTGTCAATATGATAGGTGAGAAATGATAGCTGAGAAATTTTCATGTTTAAAAACTGCTTGTATTTTTATTACTGAGAATTACTCACATCCTTTTCTAATTGCTTATTGTATTGGTGGTCTTTTTCTTCTCCATATCTTAAAGCTTGTTATTTATGTAGGGGTTTAGTTTTAAGTTTCTGACATCAATTAACAATTTTTTCCGCTTTGCCCTTTTTATGTGTGTACATTTTATTTTGATGTGTTTTGCCTTGTGGACTTCTTTAAAAAATGTAATGCAACTTCTTAGTCTTTTTCCCTCATAGTTTCTGGATTTTTGAGTTACAAATAGAATCTGCTCTTCCAAGGCTATGAAGAAATGTGTCTATTTTTTTTCTAGTACTTTTATGGTTTCCCTTTTACATTTATGTCTTTGGTCCACTTAGTGTTTACTGATAAGGATCAGAATTTGTCTTTTGATGCTTATCCATTTGTTATAGCACCATTACTAAAAACTTTGTCCTTGACTCACTGATTTGAGATACTACCTTATCATATAATAAATTGACGTTTCTACTTGAATCTATTTTTTATTTGGTTTCATTCACATGTCTGCTTATTCCAGTGCCAATAATTTACTGTTTTAGTTGTTAGAGCTAGGCTGTCTAATACATAGGTTATTGAGCACTTGAAATGTGACTGGTATGAGATGAGATGTGCTGTAATTGTAAACTATACACTGGATTTTAAAGATGTAGTTTAAATAAAGAATTTTAAATATATTAATAATAACTTATTTTGATTACATGTTGAAATAACGTTTTGATATATTGGCTTAAATAAAATATATTTTAAATTAATTCTACCTTTTAAAAAATTTTTATATTGTAGCTACTAAATGTTTTAAAATTATATAGGTGGCTTTCGTTAATATTTTTATTAGATAGCACTGCTTTTGAGTATGATTAATACCTAGTAGAATTATTCCTACATCAGTGTTCTTTAAAAAAAAAAAAGTTTTCCTGGTAATTTACTCTTTTTTATTTTTTCCGTATACACTTAGAATTAGCTTGTATATTTCTACAACAAATCTATTGATATTTTTATTGGAATTGTGTATAATGTGTAAATTAACTTATAGTTTATATTTTCATTATGTTGCACCTTCCTATCCAACAACATGATATGTCTTTCTATTTCTTCAGTCACGCTTAGGTGTATTTTAGGAGTATTTTCAGGTTTTGCTTATATAGGTTTGGCACATTTTTCAAAGTTTATTTCATAATATTTTATCTTTCTGTGGCTATTGTAAATGTATATTATTTTCCATTTATCTTCTCACTTGCTGTATCTACGTATGATTGATACTAATTTTTATGAATTAATTATTTTCCTTGCTATCTTAATTCATTCTCAATTATCTTGCTTTTGTAGTGTTTTTCTCCATTTTATTCTTTTGTGTTTTCCAATAACAAAATTTTCTGCAAATAGGAAGAGTTTTCCCACCCCCTTTAAGTGTTATATCTCTAATTATTTTCTCTTGTCAGTACAAAATGAAATAGCAGTGGTGAGTGTGACTATCCTTTTCTTGTTTAAACTTCAGCAAGAATGTCTCCATTAGGTTGAATGCCAGTTTGTGGGCTGATATTTCTCTCGTCTCTCTGACACATACACACAACGCACACACGCGCGCGCGTGCACACACACACATACACACATGCACTGTTAAGAAAGTATTCATATATACTTATTTTGATGAATGTTTAAAAAAATCTAGAATGGATGTTTAATGTTGTCATGTCTTTTCTGATCCAAGGAATGACTATATAATTTTTTTCTGTCAATTAGGTGAATTAGATTAATAGATTTGATGGTTTTACTTGTGATGTACTATAATTTTAAAGTAGTTCTTTTTTTAGTTTTAATTTTTTTACAGCAGCATCAATTTATACTTTGATTTGCAAATGTAAATTAAGATACAGTAAAGAGTAAAATACAAAGAAATGAATGCATGCTGTGCATAGATTATTGATGAGTATTCGCAAGCCATTCTCAATCCCAAGCTCCCTTGCTGCTTCTACACTGAGTTTGGAGGTAATTGCTCACCACACACCCTCATTTTTAGTTACGAGAGGCCAAGTGACTCAATTATGGCCCATATGACAAACAGCAGACTTCCAGGGAAACTTAGAAGAATATTTGCTTTCCTAACAAGAAGAGGAATACCTGGCATAGATTTCCTTCCTCTTCCGTCTTCCCCCTTCTTCCTATTAAATGCCAACAGTGACTGGCATTCAACTCCCATCTTGGCATTCCTGAAGATGTTCAGCTACTACACCTCTTTTCTTCTTGTTATGTTAAACCATTTCTTGATTTTGCTTTTTAACATCTCACTTAGGATATTTGCACTGATATTCACAAGTGAGATTTTTCTGTAGATGCTTTTGAATTTTTTTCATGTTTTAGTATGAATGCTTTCATTGCTTTTTAATTTTTTTAAAAAATTTATTGTCCTTACTGTTTTCTGGAATAGTTAAAATTGCATTGGAATAAGCTATTATTTGACAGTCGTTTCCATCCTACTAAGATTGAGAAGGAACTTCCCTTACATAAAGGTTTTTAAAGGCTCCAATTCTTTTCTGGATCTCACCCTCTCTTAATGTCTCATAGACTTTGAGCCATGGTTATACATACTGTCTCCTCATGATTTTCAGTGTTTCTCTTTATGCTGGCCCTTTCCTTCAGAATGTAAACATATGCCTACTTATCAAATTTAAAACTAAACAAAACTCCTACCAAACTCATTGACCCAAGGAAAACAAACCATCGTAAAGTGCAGCACTTCCTCTGATTATTTCAAAATCTTTCTTTTCTTCCCTGATCAGACTTTTGGGAGAGTTTTCAACACTGACTGTCCATTTTCTCCCTTCATTATCACTCTTCAGCACACTCTACTCTGCCTTCCCCCTTAGGTTACTAATAACTGATGGGTCTGCGAATCTAATAAGCCCCTTCCTGCAACATTCACTACCTTTCCTCCTTTCCTTTGGCATCTGTGGCCACTCCTGATTGTTGTCCCACCACTCTGATATCCATTCACTCAGAGCCAACTTGTTTTTAAGAAACTTCAAACTTAAAATATCTGAAAGTGAGTTAATTACGTTTCTCCACCCGACAACACAGAAAATACTGTTTTGCTGGCAATATTCTTTGCTTCAGTAAATCATGCTTCCATTCACCAACTTTTCCAAACCAGTAATATGGGAGTCATCCCTAGTATCACTCTGTTCCTTATATTCGCTGTCACCAAGGACTGTTGACTCTAAATCTGAACTCCTTCCCAATCCATCTAATTTTCTTTAATCCAAACCATCCATTCCCTATCTCTTTCATTATTACTGCAAGTCTCTCACATGTCCTCTCCAACTCTAATTTTGCTTCCCCTTCATCTGTTCCTTGCATTGCTGCTGGAGTGATCTTTCAAAAACACAAACTTGCAAATGACTCCCTGCATAAAAGTACTCAGTGATTTTCCATTTCCTTCAGAATAAAGTCCAGACTCCTTAGCTGCATTATAAGGGCCTGTGTGGTCTGGCCTCACTCATATCTAACAGTTCTCCTTACAAATTACCCCCCTTAGAAATGAAACTATTTCCACATTTCAAAAGTGGTGAGGTATCTCTCTCACTTAACCACCATATGCTGCTTATGCTGGCCTACCTTTTGGAAATCGTCCCTTTCCCTCTCCATTTTACCTGATAAATTTTTGATGATGTTTCAATTTAAAGCGTAGCGGATCATCTTTGACAACTAAGCTAACTTCTCTTGTTATGGGTTTCTTTAGAGTCTAGTATTTCCTTGTCTTAAGACTGATCACACTTAATTGTGGTTATATAGTGTCTGTCTTTTTTGTTGGAATGAAGACTGTGAGGAGTTGAGAACTATCAGTTCCCTGAGCCTAACATTTAGATACTGAATAACAGCTGATTACATGAATGAATGAAGAATATTTGTTAGAAGACAGAATTTTTTTAGAATTTTAAATTGCAGAGATCAAGTGAGAAGGTTCCAGTTGTATTAGATCTGAGAAATGTGATTAAAGCAGTGTTTTTGCAAGATTAATTTGACATTTTTCTGTTGAAACAGATTAGGGACAGATTAGATGGAGGTTTGTAGTGATGAGAACATAGACAAGTGGCTTCATATTAGAGTCACCTGGTGATATTAAAAAAAATACCTGTTTCCCAAGCTGCCCCAGACTGATTAAATTCACTGATTGCAAGAAAACCTAGGATTTGTACTTTTTTAAGTCAAACGCTCACACCCATCCAGGATTTTCTGAAGTTAAAATGGTAACAGTATAATTGGTATGGGCAAAATATATTTTTCCTAAGAATGATAGAATGTGAATGTGGGCTTTTCAAGTCTAGTGGACCAGAGAGCCCCATTGCAGTGTTAAAGAAATGGCGAAGTAGAAGAGGGGAGTTGTTTTAAAGAAAGAGAGAGTGACCAGGCCAAAAGTGGCTCAGTACTTTGGGAGGCTGGGGGGACAGATCACCTGAGCCCAGGAGTTTGAGACCAGCCTGGGCAACATGGCAAAACCCTGTCTCTACCAAAAATTCAAAAAATTAGCCAGGCATGGTGGCATGCATCTGTGGTCACAGCTACTCAGGAGTTTGAGGCGTGAGAATCTCTTGAGCCCAGGAGGTGGAGGTTGCAGTGAGTCAGGATCATGCACTCCAGACTGGGTGACAGAGGGAAACCCCATCTCACTATCTCCAAAAAAAAAAAAAAAAAAAAAAAGGAGGAGTAAGTTTTAGGCATGTGGGACACATATGTGTATATATACACATATATACACATACAATATATACACATATATGTGTGTATATATACACATACAATATATACACATATATGTGTGTATATATACACACATTTACACATACAATATATACACATATATACATATATAATATATAATATTATGTGTATATATAATATTATGTAAACATATATCACATATTAAATATGTATATAGGTATATATGTATATATATGTTTAAATACCTGACCATCTTCTACTAAGTTATGATTCAAATGTTCCGTTATCTAGGAGGCTTCCTCTCCTCTGCAGGGCCCATTGTCCTAGCTACACCTCAATAACTGCTTTCTTTTCTTTTTTTTTTTTGTCTTTTCCTCAACTCAATTCTAAGCTCTCTAAGGACAAGTATGTTGCCTTACTCATACTTGTGAACTCAGTGCTCAGGACACTGGCATGCATAGAATAAACACCCTCTGAATGTTTGCAGAATGAGTCAGTGATTAGATATGAGACTGGATGAATTCTCCTGAAGAGTAAATGCTAAGGAGAAAAGAGTGTCTTGTAGGAGGCATTTGCAGACAGACGAAGCTATAGAGAGGGACAATGCAAGTAACCTCAAATGAGAGTGTGGAAAGGCGGGAAAGCAGCCAGAGCTTCATTGTTATGAAAAAAGAGTGAAATGTGCTCTGTTGAAGAGTTGAAGAATGAACAAAGGATATTTAGTTTGAATGGAAGCTCAGTAATGAGAAATGAGAATGGTTGAGTTCTTAAAAGAAGCAAGTAAAGAAGAGGATTTGTGGGCTACTAATCTCATTCAGTGAATCTCATACGACCCTTGCCTAGTGTTAAATATGTTAATGAATTCATGTCATGCTGCTCAGTCTTACTAGCCTTCATCATCCAGAGTAAAATGCATATGATTCCTATGAAAATTTGTGGAAAGGAATATATTAATAGGTTAGAAGAATTAGAAGAATGAAAAGAAATAATTTTTGCTTTTTAAATGGAGAATCATGCATATTTGGAGACACAAGGGAAGAAGCCCATGGAGAAGGAGAGATGAAGCTGTAAAAGAAAGATGCTATGAATGTGCTCTCGACAGGTGAGAAGATGCCTCGACAGGTGAGGAGAGAGTATTGTGAGCCCAAGTAGAGGAGATGGCTTTGAGATGCAGAAAAATATCTCTTTCTCAAGACCCCATTTATTTTAGACGGTTCGCGGAGCAATGGTGCTCAATCAATCTTTACCATAGTTATTACATAAACCCTTTATACATTTCATCATTAATATTCTTTTCTACTATGGTTTGAGATGCAGAATAAGGAAGATAAACCTATTTGTCAGTATTTGACCATAATCAAAATCAATTTTTATCTGGAGTCTTTATGTTTGTTGCATGTGTATATGTGTTTAAAAACTAAGTTCTGGGAAGATAGCATTACACTTAATTCCGTTGGATTACTTTTGGATCATGTAAGCATACTGATTTCTAACTTGTTTAAATATTTGAATTATTTGATTCTCTACCAGAGATTAATAACTCTAAAAAAATTTACTGGTTGGATTAAAAGTGCCTGTAGTTTATCCCTATATTTCATAGAGTACAGAGCGAGATAGCACATTTGTCTGACAAATTTATATTTATGTCAGATAATATCAGTTTTGTTATCACCATCTGCATTCTGCTATATTTTAACAACAATGTGAACAGTATACATATAAAATTGTGGATTTACATGAGATATCATCATTAATTTTCAAATAACTAAACGTTATTTTGTTAGTTTAAAAACTTTAGAGTATTAAGTTAAATAGCAACTGCAGTTCTATTTTGTGTTCTTGGAAATATTACACTTTATAGAGGAGTCTATTAAGGGAAGAAGAAAACCATGCCAAATTAAAGATAGTTTAAATGATAATATAAGTGATAAAAAAACTGTTTTGATATGAAAGGAAGTTATTACATGGTATCGTGGTTATTTACTGAAGATTTATATAGTGTTTATATAGTACATGACCTACTTTTTTTAAAGTTGCTAATTGTCAGGTATCCCAAGCCAATATCTACTGCATATTTTCTGTAACAATATATGCAATGAAATTGTGTGTTATGTTTACATTATGATTTCAACGTTTGTTCTTTTCTTCAAAAATTACAGGATATCATAGAGACTGCTAGTCAGCGGAACATGTTATCCTAATATAGGTATATTTATACAAGATTTAAAATAAAGATTTTTCTATTTTCTTAATATGTGTCTAGAAGTTAAATAAACATTATAATCACAGAAGTCAGATAAAAAGAAATTCATAGTCCTCTAGACAAAAAATGTAAATCTTTTAGTTTATTAATCATTTGTAATCATAATCTAGATGTACATTTTAATATCAGAAGAATTTCCCATGTAACCACATAGTCTCTATAATGTTCATTTTAATGGACTCATAATAATAAAGTTAATATTTATTTATTTAAACACTCCTTACTGTAGGACAATTACGTTGTTTACAGTTTTCCAAATGTAGATAATATTGAACTACACTTCTTTGCAACTGTCATTTTTTCTTTCTCCTAGCTTTGGATTCACCAGACCTAGGTTTAATCTTAGCCTCTACCACTTACTAGCAGTGATTTTGGAAAATTATGTAACTACTAAATTTTAGTGCCCTCAACTATAAAATGTGATTACTATTTATTACTTTGCAAGGTTTTGTGGAAGTTAAATTCTGCAAATATTACATTCTTTTCATGCATATTTATTGAACATATATTCTGTGACAGGTGCTATTCTGGATTCTAGGGATATTCTACTGGAGAAAACAAAAGCTGAGCTGTGAGGGCATGCCACATTTAGAGGTTGGGTCATAGAAAGAAGTCAGAAAAAGAGAGAATCATTAGCCTAAGGAGAGAATCAAGAGAGAAATTGTCTTCTGGAAGCCTAGTGAAAACAGTATATTTGACAAGCATGGAGTGATTTAGAATAAGAGCAATGCAAAATAAAACTACTGTCTCTCATGTATTACACTGGACAGCAACTTGATAATACCTATAAAAATTGTAAGTGAATTTACCTTATAATTCAGTAATCCCACTTCCAGGAACTTCTACTATATACATAATGCATATAAAAGGCACTAATATGAAGTTATGACTGAATATCACTATTCATTGAAACATTTTATATAGCAGCAAAAAATTGGATATAACCTGATGTTCATCTATAGGAAGCTGATTATTCAAACTCAAGTGCATCCACATGATGGAATATTATGCAGTTTTAGAAAAGGATAAGGAATCTCTTTACAGAGCTAATATGAAAAATCTCCATGTTGTATTATTAAGTAAAAAATACTTATCTATACCTTATCTATAATAAAGGGAGGGGCTAATGATACATATCCATAGTTGTGTGTGTGTGTTTGTGTATGTACACTTTAAAAATCATTTTGAGGCCAGGCATGATGGCTCACACCTGTAATCCCAGCACTTTGGGAGTCTGAGGTGGGTGGATCACAAGGTCAGGCGTTCAAGATCAGCCTTGCCAAGATAGTGAAACCCCGTCTCTACTAAAAATACAAAAAAAAAAAAAAAAAAAATTAGCCAGGTGTGGTGGTAGGCGCCTGTAATCCCAGCTACTTGGGAGGCTGAGGCAGAGAACTGCTTGACCCCGGGAGGCTGAGATCGCAACACTGCACTCCAGCCTGGGTGACAGAGTGAAACTCTGTCTAAAAAAAAAAAATAGTAACAATTATTTTGATATTTGGGTAACTTTTTTTTTGATAAAGGGTGCAAGAAGGAGAGTAAGATCAACTCTTTCAAATGCTGCTAATAGGTTACTAAGATGAGCTCTAAAATTGCCCATTAGGTTTGGCAAAGGAGATATTTTAAAAAATACAACATCTTCTAGAAGCTGTGTTGAAAGGGGAGGAGATACATGGAATGGTAGCTAGAAGATGATGTGAGGCCAATGGAAAAAATATTGTTAGGGTATATAGTGAGGTGACTAATTCACCACACACTGATGTTAATAATTCACTCACAGATTATAGAGGGGAATATTGATGATGCAAAGACAGTGAGAGAATTACTTGTGTGGGTAAAAAACCTAACAATGATGATGCATCTGGTCCTCAATTCCTTTTGGATTCCCATTTTCATACTTCAGAGTAATGTCAAGCTACACTCAACAGAAATATTTAACCACCTTCTTCATTCCCTTACATGTGTTCCCTTTTAAACTATTTCTCTACTGTGTGGAAGTACTGATAGATTAGAACAGATAGACCAGATCAGAATTCTTAGAGTTCTAAATAAGACCGTATATGTAGCTATCTAATTTAATATTAAAACCATCCTGTGAACTTTATGTTATGATTTCCACTTTACAGATAAGGAAACAGGTCTTCAGGTTATCTTGTCCATGCTTTAAAAATGGCTAATGGCACATTTCAAATTCAAATGTCATTCACCAGATATTTATTGAGCACCTATCTTGCATTAGGCATTTATCTAGGTATGGAAATAAAAGGATGAATTAGATTGATATGACCTCTGGCCTCATAATGGCTGTAGTCTTTTGAGGGAAAGAGATTCAGTAAATCATTATGATTACAAGAGATGTTACAACAGGCAAATGCTATGTACAAGTAGAAACAAAATTCTATACTGAGAAAATAAGCTATAATCAAATGTGCTATGGGCCATCCTGTGGTTTGAATGTGTCACTCAAAGTTCATATATTGGAAACTTAATCTACAATCCCACAGTGTTGGGAGGTGGGACTTAATAAAAGGACATTAGGTCATGAGGTTTCTGCCCTCATCAATGGATTAATGTCATTAACTAGGGAGTGGGTTTGTTATCATGAGCATGAGCTTGTTTTAAATATGAGGTCACCTCCCTCTTGCTCTCTTGCCCTTGTGACCTCTCTTGCACTTCCTCCTTCCACCATGGAATTATGCAGCATGAAGATCCTCACCAGATGTGGCGCCATGCTCTTTGACTTTCCAGCTTACAGAACTATAAGAAATAAATTTCTATTCTTTATAAATTACTCAATCTCATGTATAGGGACAAAAATTGGGACTATGAAAGGCTATAAGTAGAATAGAATAAAGTATTTACTTGTGATTCACATAAATTAATCAGTTAAAATGATTATAAATAATATTTATAACAATAATATTTATAATTATATAATCTGTCAAGGATCACAGAATAAAATATCTTTTAAATATATAATAGGACTAAAAATCCCACAATATTTTGTGATACTAGTTATGTAATAAAACAGTTTACCTTATTCTTCATTTAAATCTTAACATTCTTAAACTCAATCATAGTTTTAGAAAACTTGAAAATAAAACTCAAACATCTAAGTTTTTTGTTGCTTTTTTGATGCTCACCTCTCAAGAGTTTCATGAAGAAATAATAAATATAATCTTTATTTTATTTTATTTTGAGACAGGGTCTTGTTCTATTGCCCCATGCTAGAGTGCAGTGGCGCAATCTTGGCTCACTGCAACCTCTACCGCCCGGGTTAAGGTGATTCTCCAGTCTCAGCCTCCCAAATAGCTGGGACTACAGGCACTTGCCACTGCACCTGGCTAATTTTTGTTTTTTGTAATAGAGACGAGGTTTTGCCATGTTGGCTAGGCTGGTCTTGAACTCCTGGCCTCAAGTGATCCACCCACCTCCGCCTCCCAAACTTCTGGGATTACAGTCATGAGCCACTGTGTTTGGCCTTATCTTTAATTTTTAAAACCATGTTCTTTGATTCTCTGGAGGAAACAGTGTTGGAATAAATAATAAATTTGTAAACCCAGAGTAGCATATAATCTTGACTTCATTCACAATAATTGACATTAAAAACAGCAAAGTACATCTCATAGTACCAAAATGCAAGAGGTGTGGGGAGAGACACAAACTGAAGGAAACACAATAAAAAAAGAAAAGCACATGTCATAAGTCAGTTAAATTTTTGAACAGATTATTATCACATACAAAAAGTTGTCAACAATTTTATATATCTGATTCAATACCTTGTCTCAGTGTCATGAGAACGCTAAGGAGTAACACAGGGTTACCTTTTTAAAAGACTTTATTCTTTTAGCGGTATGATGCATCTATCTTCTTTTGCATTTAATTCAGAAACCGGAAGAATTTTCTCTGAGTTAAATTTGAGGTGGATGCCACTGTGCAGTTTCACTAAAATACCCAGACAGTTTGATATGATGTGCACAATCTGTTAGCTCAGGAAGAACAAGAGAAAGATGTGGTTCTTGTGTATGTATGGAAAGTCATCATAACTTCCTTCACTCAGTTTCTGTCTTCTTCCAGTCAGGGATCTAGTAGCTTGACTATTCTTCATTGGTTCCCTTTCATTTACAGGTCACCCAACAAGACAAACCACACAGGTAATCTCTTCTGATCCCTGCCATCGCCAAGAGTCATTTCCTGCCCTCATCACTTTCTAAATTCTATCCAATTCCCAGAATATCCATGCTCCTTCTCACTGTCCCTCATTCACATAATGCCTAAAACACTATTCCTGCTCTTTGCCTGATGAGCCCTTACTCACTTGTCAAGACTCAGATCAAATTGTCAAGACTCAGATCAAATTGTCACCTCTTCTGGGAGGGCTTCCTCAACCTCTCTAAGTGGAGTTAATCATCTCTGCTCCCACAGTGTATTTTTTTGTTCTCTGTTAGTGATTTTCTTATTTAACTGTCTAGCTCCATTTCTACATTGGTAGTCCTGGGATGGCAGATTTTAGTCATCTTAGTATCACTACCTGGAGCCTGGTCTATACTTGATGTTTAAGAAATATAAGTCTGGGTGCGGGTGCAGTGACTCATTCCTGTAATCCCAGAACTTTGGGAGGTAGAGGCAGGTGGACCATCTGAGGTCAGGAGTTCAAGAGCAGCCTGGCGAACATGGCGAAACCCTATCTCTACTAAAAATACAAAAAAAAATTAGCCAGGTGTGTTGGCGCACACTTGCAATCCCAGCTACCTGGGAGGCTGAGGCATGAGAATCACTTGAACCTAGGAGGTGGAGGCTGCAGTTAGCCAAGACCACACCACTGCACTCCAGTCTGGGTGACATAGTGAGACTCCGTCTCAAAAAAAAAAAAGAAAGATAAGAAAAGAAATAAAAGCTGGGTGTGGTGGCTCATGCCTGTAGTCCCAGGTACTCAGGAGGCAGAGGTGGAGGATCCTTATAGCCCAGGAGTTTGAGTCTAGCCTGGGCCAAAAGAGTGAGACCCTATATATAAAAAAAATGTGCTTAATAAGTCATTTTGGGGAAAGAATGGTGGAGATGAACATCAGAGAATGCTTAGTGGCCCTAAATTTGAGCATGAAGACTTCTTGCTACTGGTGAGGGGGAAAGAGACAGATCATGCACACGCACTGAAAAAACAAAGGGCAACAAGAGTTGGACAAATTTTCAAAGAACTGCATTTCATCTATTTCAAGCGATCGTTTCTAAAGGGCACTGCTTCAAGAGTGTTTCATTGGAGTGTGGTTTTAATAAAGTCTAGAGCCATTTGCTTGTCCTCAAGATGTTCCTTGTAACTCTAAGGCTATATCTAAATTAAAGCTAATGACCAAACAGAGATATTTTTTTCTCTTTTAATGTCTAGCAGGAAAGAGCCGTTAGCAAATTTATGAATTAGAGTCTGTTTATAAGTTGCTGAGAAGAATCATCGTGTATTCCCTTAAGCAATTCCCTCTATCTTAAGAAGTTTAACTGATATGCTCAATGAGCAAGACTCATGGGATGTAATCAAAAGCAACTTTATTTTTTCTCCCATATTCTAATGAAATTTATTCAGTGGGGAGAAGTTCCTCCTCTGACCCTGGGTAAAAACTCACACAGGCTAAAATTTTGTTTATTCTTGAGTAATAAAAAGCCCTACAGCCATTTTAAGTCGCAAACGTAGTCTTCACTGAATAATTAGAAATGTGTAGGGTCCTATGTAATAACCAAAACTTGTAATTTCATTCGCAGTTGGAGGAATTCTTTGTCCTTACAGAGGGCTGGATGCACAGCAGTACTTTCTCTTGTCTTTCTTCCTTCCTTCTCTCTGGCAAGTTGTTCTATTTGATACTGCCAGTGTTGAAATTCCAGAAGGGACGGTGGCGAAGAGGCCCAGGTTTTACTTGGCTGACACTGCTGTGCAGTGGCATTGGAGGTTTAAATCTGTTCTTTCCCTCATGAGCTTTTTGCCGTTTCTTCAGAGACCCTCACTGGAAGCCTCTCTGACCCCACTTCCCTAGAGGAGGGTAATTTGGAACTCATATGGGGCATTTTCCTCTGCCTGGCTGTTCCCTTATCAGCCCCACATGGATCTACCCCGTTGGGCTTACCTTGCCCACCAGATCGTCCTCTTTATCCAGTTTTTCCATAGACTCCAGGCTGGCCCTTGCTTCCCTGGGCCACACTTTTGAATCCCGATAGCCACACTGGTGTAGCCCATGTCAATCTATTTCACTGCCTGCTACCTCAGATTGACAGCAGAGCATTTTTCCTTTAGATTTCTCAGGTGTATGCCAGACACCAGTCCACTGTGCCCCCCGAAATCCAGGTAGCACATATCGGGGCATACATTTGGCCCTATTGTCTAAGCTTGAGCTGAGAGGAAGATATCTCCTTCCCTGTCTACTCACAGCACACTGAAGGCTGTCTCTAAAGAATGGCTTTCCTTACAAATCCTCTTTTAGTTTTCAAAATCTTGGCCATTTTATATCTTTGGTGGGGGTGAGGGTTTTCAAGAGTCCAATAACCACTTTTCACCCATTCATTTTTAAATTCTGGGCGTGAAATTCACCCTTTATGGTATCTTAGTATCTGACTTGGTGAAACTTCCACTTTAAATTCCTGCTACCAAAGTAAATATTTACAAAATGGTTATATTAAGAGACTTGAATGTGTTATCTTTCACTGATAGACATTATTGACTTTTACATATGAATTTAGCATTAATGATCTGTGTAGAGCCCCCTAAGTAACAAATAAATTAATTGTTTTTTATGCTTATAATATAGATCTTATCTTGAACCACTCACAGGCCTAGTGAGTGAAGAAGTGAACGTGTGAATTTTAATTATTCTTCAAAAATCCTCCAGATAGTAAGTGGATTGGATTCTAACATATACATGTATGTGTTTATTTGGAACCAGGAAGGCATTTACTTATAGAGTGCTATAAATAGTTGCTTTGTCCGTATTGTGCTGCAATAACAGAATAAATGAGACTGGGTAACTTACAAAGAACAGAGATTTATTTCTTATTGTTCTGGAGTCTGGGAAGTCCAAGTTTGATGGACTTGCATCTGGTGAGGGCTTTCATAAAGCATCATCACGTGGTGGAAGGCAGAAAGGCAAGAGATAGGGTGAGAGCAAGAGAGGTGCAAACTAGCTTTTATAACAAGTTCCCTCTTGCAATAACTAACCCACTCCTGTATTAATCTATTTATGAGAGGAGAGCCCTCATCAGCTAATCACCTCTTATTAGGCTCCACTTTCTGGCACTATTGTATTGGGAATCAGGTTTTATTGGCAGACACAGTCAAACCATAGCAGTAGTTCACAATAGATTTATAGTTGAATTAAACCACAATCAGATATCTAGGTTAGCTCTAGAGGAACTCCATAATGTCCCTCAAAGCACTAGCCTATGATCTGAATCCCAAGAGCACAAAGGGGACATATGGCCTTGGTGGGAAAAGTGAGGGTTTGTTTTTGTTATTTTTTTTTCTTTTCTGTGAGATGGTTTCACTCTTGTTTCCCAGGCTGGAATGCAGTGGCACAATCTTGGCTCACTGCAACCTCTGCCTCCCGGGTTCAAGTGATCCTTCTGCCTCAGCCTCCCGAGTAGCTGGGATTACAGGCACCCACCACCATGCCTGGCTAATTTTTTGTATTTTTAGTAGAGACAGGGTTTTATCATACTGGCCAGGCTGGCCTCAAACTCCTGGCCTTAGTTGGTCCACCCACCTCGGCCTCCCAAAGTGCTGGAATTACAAGCATGAGCCACCATGCCCGGCTTTGTTTTTTTAATGAGACAGAGTCTCCCTCTGCTGCCCAGACTGGAGTGCAGTGGGGCAATCTCAGCTCACTGCAGCCTCTGCCTCTGGGGTTCAAGTGATCCTTGTGCCTCATCTCCCCTAGTAGTTGAGATTACAGGGTATGCCACCATGCCCGGCTAATTTTTGTATTCTTAGTAAAAATGGGATTTCACCATGTTGGCCAGGCTGGTCTTGAACGCTTGGCCTCAAGTGGTCTGCCAGCCTCCACTTCCTAAAGTGCTGAAATTACAGCTGTGATCCTGGCAGAAGTGAGGGATTTTAAAATCTCTATCTTATACTGAATTGGATAAAATGTTTAAATAGCTATTATAGGCTAGAGGATACAAAGTAGGAGACGTGGGCTGAACGAGTCTAGAGATCTAATGATGAACATGAGGACTAGAGGGTAATACAATTGTATTATATTTGGGATTCATGCTAAATGAGTAGATTAGATTTTAGCCATTCTTGCAACGAAAATTAAAAAAATGTATAGCTATATGAGATGATGGATATATTTGCTTCATATAGTAACCTTTTTACTATTTTTACTGTAGAGCAGACATTTGTTGACCCTGTGTTCTAATATTTCTCTCTGTCCAAAGCCAAGCTTTCTGTTCTGAGTTTCCTACATTCCTAATTCACCTTCCCTTTTCATAACCGCAATTCACATCAATACCACGGATCTAAGCTGTTGATAGTAGAAAGTGTTCTGATTGAATTAATTCACACCAGTGTTTAAATGGCTGGAAAATAGTTCATCCCGGCCAGGGATCCAATATTTTCATCCTTAAAAAGAAGGTTTATTATTTCAAATTAATTTCATGTGTAAAGGTATAAGAGCACCTCACATAGGGCTTGGCATATGTTAAGCTTTCAGTATTATTTGTTGAATGAATGAATGAATGAATGTTGGGCTTTCAGGCAGTATGAAGAATGAAGTAAACTTTTTTTGTGATTTAGAGAAGATATTTTTAAATAGAGGTGGCACTTCCTGAGGTAGATAGCTTTAGCTTTAGAGTTAGCTCCTTAGACTATTTTAACTTCAAAGTTGTAAAGATGAAACCCATAGAGTATTTACAAATTTTTAAATTTTCACAGCTCTATACCTAGAAGTAGAAAAGATAGGCAGTGGAAGATTGGGAAGTTTGGGGATTAGGATAGGGACTATGATGACAAAAGTCAAGTTTGTAAATTGAGGTGATCTGAACTGAAATACAATATGGATAGAGTATAAAAACTGGGTTTTGCCTCAGGTTTCCTTAGCTTTTTGGTCCAATTTATCTGGATCCTTCTATGAAGTCCATATAAAATGTGCTCCCTGATTTCTTCCACAATTATTTTGCTTCTCTAAAAAAACTGTGCCAAAGGCTGGGCCCAATAGGGAAAGAAAAAAAAAAAAAGAAAAGAAAACTGCATTGTGTCTACCAGCAGTGATGATCAATATCTAAAGAGGAGGCTGATGAACTTGTTTGAGCTACATCCTAAATTGAGTCAGGGCTGGTGCTCTTGAACTGTTTTCTCCAGCCTAGGCAATGGGTAATTTGGTCTGCAAAACAATGAGAAAGGCAATATTGAATTATGCATGCTCATAAAGTTCCTGAAATTACCATATAATTAATGCTAGATAAAACTACCCTTTACTACCATAAGGAGCAAGTGGGCACAGGTAAACTGGGGCATTTTCCAAATAAATACTGATATAAAGCACCAGGAGGAAAAATGGTTTGACAAACTCAATGTATGTTTCACATAGAGTAAGGCTGTAGGGTTAAAAATAAAAGACGGGTGGGGGAAGAAATGATCGATATGCAAATAATCTGAGGCTAATTGAACTTCCTAAGGGAGTCGAGTTTGGGAACCTGCTGGTTGTTTAAGAGCAATGAATTCTGAACCTGTACAACTGCACATTGAAGAAGATTATTCATGTACTTAAAGAGGTCATGGTACCTTTTAATGCAGCTGCAGGAATACTGCTATAAACACTGCACAGATAGTAATCTTTGAGCCTCAGATAGGAGCCAGAGTTAGCTTTGCAATGCTGCCTGCAGAAAGAAAGATCTCATTTGTGAAAATAACCACTATGTTTTCATATTGCCAGACATCTGCTCTTGGCTAAGAACAACATGAAAGGGGATTTGTTTTCTGGTAGGGTTCTGTCTTTCTGCAAAAGAAGATCTTCTTTTGAATTAATTGACCATCTCAACAGAATGGCCTACATTCATATCTACAAATTAATCTAATTAGGGCCTCCTCCTTGGGTTAAAATTGCTATTTAACTCTTGTGGATGCCTAATAGCATTCTTGTTCCTTTGCTTTACATCAAGGTCAGCAATTACAAATGCAGAGTGCAAGGTATCTTGGGATACAAAAATACATGATGTAAGAAAGTAGGAAGATTAACATTCTGTGGCACTTCTGGTTTGTGTATATCCAGCATGACACTCTCCTGTCTACACCTTTGAAGATGAAGTACCTGAGCACAGAGAGGTTAAATAAATTGCTTAAGATTCCTCAGCATATAAAGTGGAAACCAGGTTTCAAATCTAGAGCTGTCCAACCCTATAACATAGGATCTTCCCCCCTGGGTTATACTGGTTCCCTTAAGGAATTTCCTGGCTGCAGGAAAAGCAAGAATTATTAACAAAATATACCTTGAAATAGGAAGCACCTATGCTGGGGAGTAGGGGTGGGACATTTCTAGACATTTCATCAAATGGCTACTAACTTGACAGCATCTTCTGAGTACACTTAGTGTTTCAATGTTTTCTTCCCAGTGACACTGCAGTTTCTTTCAGGTCAAGATTTTTGACCTTAATCTTATTTCCCCCTATCGTGCCTAGCAAAGTATTGGTAACAAAGGGAAGAGTTCTGTTAACAAGTGCTGTCTCACTTTGAAAGGAACAAAGGGGTCCAAATAGAACCCCCACTTTGTCATAAAGGTGAACTACTTGCATATTTCACAGCCATGCATTTTGATGTTCAAAATTCAGAAGCCTATCATGTCTTTCTGACTACGAATTGTAGATATTTAGGCAAAGTACACATTTGTCTAAGAAGCCCTCTCCTGATTTAAGTAGCAAAGGGCCAGAAAACTGTTTTCTTCAGAAGGATTTTTTATGATGTGGTCAAAATGACATGGTTGCCTAATAAATAGCAGGTCATGCTAATCGGTCCCTTATGGGTTCACTGTGATTTCACAGCAGACTCCACACACCAGCAACTTGAATGATGTTGACATTCTAGCTCTGAACAAGGTAAATACAGTTCAGGCTGGGCTATGAAATAAGTGGAAGTATCTATTTGGGGATGCTAATCAGATTTGGATACCGGCCCTTAAGTATTCTCATGATTGTGTTTTGGTTTTAGTTTTTAAAAAAAATCTATGGGATTTTATTGAAAGTGAGAAAAATGAAATCTCCCAAATAAACATGGGAAGGATATTAAGTGGCCTGTGTACTGATAGAAACTGAAATGTACTGCAGAAAAAAAAAAGAGCTATGCAAAATCCGCATTGTGTCCAGTTTCCTTGCTCTTTGATGAATACCAGACTTTGACATATCTGAAATGGCTTGGAATTAAGTCAAAATGTCAATGGAGTTCCCAAACATATTTGTATATTCGCTAAAGAAGGAGCATTGGACTTCGAGTCAGGAGATGAGTTCTAGTCCTGAGTCAGTCATAGTCTGTGTGATGGCACAGAAGTCTCTTAGCTTTTTGTCTGTTTCAATGACCTCATGTGGAAAATGGGGAAAATAAGTCTTTCCTTGGCCAACCTGAAGATATTGTAAATATCAAAGATAATTGATGTATACTAGTAGTGAGAAGAATTTTGAAATGCTACAAAATGTGTATTATTATTATTACTATCCAGAGATAAAGGTGTTAAAATGAAGATCAAATTTGATGTATCTAAAAGAGTTAAGCAATAAAATACTGTCTCAGCCAGATCTAGGCGATGTCTTTTGTTGATGACAGGAAAATATATGAGCATAAATTGGCTTTACTACCAACTGTTCCCTACTGTTTCCCAAGGAACATTCCCTTTCACCCCCCAAACAACAATTAAGCTGTAGAAATCTGTTATTGTGACATTTAACCATCAGACACTTACTTTACCATTTCACTACTTTCTTTTTTACTGTCCCTGGTGGTAAATTCACTGGAGATGGAAGTACTGGTAGCATGCAGGTTGGGCCTTTGGATTTCCAGCAGCAATAATTGCCTAACTGCTTGAATGTCAGTGGTTGGTGTTCAAAAGGACTCCACTAACTGAGATTTACAAGTAGCCCCCTTTGATATTCCATTAAAAATATTGTAGAGGCAAAGTGTGCTCTGAGAAATTGTTAGGAAAACGTGTGAGTCAGGTTTCTAGAGTTCTGCCACATGCAGCTCTAGGTTCAACAAGGCAGCGAGTGCAGGGAAATGAGCGTGAGCTCCGATAGTGAAAACCAGTCTCCACATCTTAGCTCCTCCATTTGCTAGTTGAACTGATTTGATTTTAAGTAATTTACTGAATTATTCAGGGCCTCACTTTCCTTATCTGTAAATAAAGCACAATGATGCACTCATTTATTTAACTGCGTGTGTTGAACACTTGCCACGTGACAGATAAGTGCTAGATTTGGAGGAGCCAGTGAAGATCAAGACATACCCATGAAGGGTTTACATATAGTGGGGAAACCAGAGAATAAACAGATCAACCAGTTCAAAAATAAGATCATAAGCCCCTCATTACAAAGTTTAGTGAGCAATCAATGAGGAAGGGGTATAGACTATGAGAAGTGTGATGTAATTATGGGATGAAAATAATAAAAATGGGGACAAGCAAGAAATCGAGCTGAAGGAATATACGTAGAGGACTATATCTGATAACAACTATAGCTATCAGTGCATTCAGTAATAAAATAGCTATCATTGTTGAGCAATTATTATGTGTTTCATGCCATAAAGTTATTTATACATCTCATATTGTTCACTTTATATACCAATGAGGTCATTAGTATTGTCTCCTTTCACAGAGCAGGAAATTTAAGCACAGTGAGGTGAAGTTATTTTCTTAGGTCACACAGATTGTGAGTGATGGAGTTGGAACCTGATCCCAGGTGTTTTAATACTAAACATTCATGCACTTAGCCACTATGCTATACCACCATAACAAAACCTATATCTAAATTTTATGGAAATATTAACTAAGTATCTGCTTCTCTGTCTACCTACCACAACCACCAATTATAAAGAAGCCTCTACAATTCAGGAGTGTGACCCATGAAAACATTTCATATTGTAATTTAAATGTCTGCTTCTCTTGTGGGGTTTCCAACTTCCACAGTAGAAAGTTCCCACTAATATATTTCCTTGACAAATAAAATAAAGCAAGTGTGTTGTTCTACCTGGAAATCTTTAAATTATCTCTTTAGGCTTTCAGCATACAATTTACAAGTGACAGGCAGCATATTTCATTATCTTTATGTTTGAAATAACTTTCAAAGAGAGTGGAGAGGGGCGTTTGACATTATTGTAATCAATTCTGTCAGAAATATTATTGGATTTACTTGATTTTGTGAACACAATCTTTTTTATTGTTATTCTGAATTTTCTCAGATGTTTTACAGGAGGCTAACATAAATAGTAAAATATGCTTCACCAAGACATCTGTTGAAAAAATAATGAGGAGGTGTTCTTCTGAGCAGAGGCACTGTGTAAGCTGTGATGGCCTCTTTTTATAGCAAAAAGGCATATCCTCAGTGTCCTTGGGATAGCGCAAACTCCATTCTCCTCCATCAGGAAAGGCAGTACAGTTTTCCACAGCCTGAATGTCAGCTGGATGTTGTGAGGTTCAGCAGGAAGGAATAGCATAGAGAGGCGCTAAAAAGGTTTAACTTGCACAGCTGGGAGAAGTCCCAAGCCCTGACGAATTTATGAATTAGTCTATGTTGGCACCTATCCAAGAAGACTTGCCCAAATCTGGTGCTTTATTGGCTGAAAATCTTTGTGCAAGCTTCACTCTTTTGCCTGGTTACCATTTAAATATTGGGTCCTTCTCACTGGGACTTAAGGTTGAGGAAGGCACAGGGCAGACATCCCTGTTGTTGGTAACTCTATATGACTCATGTCCAACAATCTTTTGGAATATTATGAGGAAAAGTCTACCTGTGTCTCCGTTTACGTAGTTAAGGGGAATCTGATTGCATTCCTGGGCACAATTTAAGACTGGAGTAGAACTATGCATTTTAAGTAAAAAATCTAAAAGCTTAAAATTATTACCATGTGTTCTAGTTTACTCTTAACTGCTTTGTAACTGTTGTTATCTAAGTTTCCTAAACAAGTGATTCATTGATTTTATATGTAGACTCTGAGAGAGTATTTGGCAGAGGCCTTTGACATAAATCAAGGAAGGCATTGTTATCCTCATTTTCTATATAAGGGATTTGAATATCTGAGAACCTAATAAAATTATCTAATGACTCTTGGCTGTTAAATGGCAAAGCAGAGGGTGCTTAGAATCTAGATACTTTTCCTGTGATACCAAAATCTTGCATTTGGAAATACTTTTGCCATGTATTTATAGTAGAGATGAGAACCTTGATTTTGCTTTTTCTAACTGTTCTACTCCCATGAATTAGTTTTTAAATCCTTTGGCTTGTAGTACTATGTGTGACTTGTATGTATGTCTGATGTGAGTATGTATTTATATAAAATGAGAAATATTCTCAAAAGCCTAGAGGAGATATCTTTAAAGAAAATTTTCTTCAATCAACATTTAAAAATGGTGAGTTATTTATTTTTATTCCTCAAATAACATTGGGTTATTTTTGGTTATTTAAATAATATTTTGACATTTTCCAGCATGTTTTTTTGAGGGGAGGGGAGTAGGGCAGTGAAGAATAAGGCAGTGTCTTTCCCATTTTTGTATTCCAAGAGCCTAGCAAAGTAGCACGTAGTTCAGACTCAATAAAGGATTACTGAATGTTTAAAATTTTCAATTAGAATTCTGCAGAAAAGCAGTTTGATTCCTTTCAAACATATGTACCTACTCAAATTTAGCTAACATAAGCTAAAATTACCTGGGAAAGTATCTGAAATGACCTATTTTGGTGAATAACTGAGTATACCTTCCAGTTAGCATATCAGATATCAGTATGTAAATGAGTACTTACAAACCATTTGAAAATCTATAATTTGTGCCCTAAAGAGTCATAAGTACAGTATTGTATGCAGTTTCTTGTTAGAAATTCTGTGAGTTATGCAGTCAGATCCTGCCCCCAAGGGGTTAGTAGGCTTATTGGGGAAGGAAGGACTTAAGGTAGTTGAACTGCCTGGGGAACAATGCTAGTAATAAGGAATAGTATCAAGGGCCAAATAAGGCTTTAGGCAATACAGGTTTAAAACAAAAGTAACTTAAGAAGGCAGGACAAGAATAATGGGAAGGTGGAAGAGGGAAGTCTTCCTACAGAAAGTGGAATTTGAGCTAGAGTTATAAAGATTTGCATCAGCAAAGGCAGGGGAGGTTAGACCTAGACTGCCAAAGAGCTGGAAGGAAGAGACGAATGGGCACGGGAATGACGCCATCAATGTGGATAGCAAGGCACAGTCGGGGGACTAATACGAATGAAACATGGTTTGTCCATCAAAGGTAATTCTGCCTTTGTTTTGCTGCCTGATATTTCACAGATTTGTATCCAAATTGATGAAGTTACACTGTATGTCCTGTTGTAAATTTCTGTCTCTGTTTATCAGGCAACTTTCTCTCAGAAGCTCACTTGGAAATCAAGGGAAATAATACACCGTGCAGAGGAAAGAGAATCTGGTCCCTTGTGCCTCCCTGCTGTGGTGCAGCATGGTCTGATGACCAAGGGCACAGGATCCTATTTCTAGGATTAGTCAGAAAGAATTGAGCACATGTCTGTAGACTTTTGCCTCAGTATTATATTTTAGATGGTTTAGTCGGAGCTGTTACATTTGGCAGCATTCCTTGTTAGCATTTGATAAACAATTATTGCCAAATGTTAGCAAGGAAACCTGCCAAATGTTACAGCTCAGATTTAACTGCTGAAAAAAATGCAGTTTGAAAAAGCCTTTTGCTACAGAGCTGTTGCCTGGTGTGCCAGTTCTGAAGCTGCAGGGGACCCCGGTTGGGAAAAATTGTGACTCTAAAGGTATAGGGCCTTTTGCCAGCAGTTCTGGGTTCCTCTCTGAAGTTATGAATTAATTGACACCTGTTGGTTTTCAAAGCAATAAGTTTGGGGCCAATTATTTATGGTGAACATTTTGTTGCATGGCTTCTAGTCACATTTTATATTTGACACATTCTCTTTCATAGCACTTTTCACCAATAGGTAAACTGAAAGATCATCAATCATACAGTCTCATCTTGCTTATCTTTTGGTGGATTACCCAATTTCTTTCAGAGTCTAATGTTCTTTAATAGCTCCTCTGGGACTGTTCTTATTTCCCACTTCACCCAGGAGACATTTCTCCATCTTTTCATTCTTATTTTCCATCTTTGGTTTACCAATTAAAAAAAATACCAAGATAAAATGACCCCCTCCCCGTTTTTGATAGTTTTACCACCCTGGTAATTCAAGAGAATACTGTGGACATAGTGCATTTAGATTATAGTTGGCTACCATGTCAGAAGAATTCTGGTTATGTGATTAGGAACAACATAAAAAATGGAAAGCACAGTTAAGCATCTTTATAGCCCATTGAACAGGTCTCTCAGTGGGAGCTGATTAGCTTCAAATTTGAAGGTCTTTATCTTGGTGTTTCACAGACCTTTGCTCTGGTCCCTGCCCTACACAATTTCACCAGAGGCTTGTGTTAGGATAGGCATTTTTATTGAATCTGTAACTGGTTTAAATCTTGGGGGATAACTAAAATGTTGGGAGATATTTAAGGTGAAGAAAGATAAAGAGGTTAAAACAGGGTAAAATACTGGAAAATCTGCTGAATAGGAATTGATTGAAAAAATTACCTTTATGTTCAAAAAGCCCTGGCATGGGTATAATTCACATTTGTATTTTCTCCCTGAGATCTAATCCCTCTCCCAAAATGGTGAGCTCGTTTTCTTCCAAACAGAAGCTCATAATACCAAATAACTTGCTTTCCTGGGGCAATGTTCCTAAGCAGCTCGAAAATAGATATATGACCTTGCCTTGGCCAATCAGATGTGCTAGTATAAGACTTTAAATCTGAAGTTAGTGACTCAGGAATGAAAGAGAATGAAGTATTAATCTTGCAGGGGGTATGGTGGTATCTCAAACAATTAGCATCAGTGGTTTTAGTAGGAGCCATTCACTTTCGGTGGCAGTGACAGCATGTACTTCTTATAATGTGTAATAATATTAATCACTATACTGACTTTATCTCCTAATTATTTATTGAACTTTTCTAACCTCCCTATCACTACTACTGTTTTCTTGTTCATATCTTTATGATTTCTTCCCAAAGCAATATAAATGTCCCTTACCTGTATTGTTATATCTCCAAGTCTATTCTCTTCATAATGGGTAACATATTAAGATATCTATATAAAAATGAAAAAAAAATGCTAGAGTATTTCTCAACCCAGAGGAAAGAGAAGATATAGTAGGGAGATGTTAGTTAATGATTCAAGATTCATAATGACATGGGACATGGGAGGGAATTAAGAGCATATTTAAAGGGAATAGCCTAGTCAAAAATGCAAAGAGGAAGAATGAAGATGAATACAAATAATTTTAAAAGTTGGGGTAAGAAAATGAGGGGTACTAGATGCTTTCACACTTGTCTGTGAGGTAGAAGGCAAGATAATCTGGTAAGATTTGAAATCATCTTGGGGAGATAGAAGTTTTGGAATATCCACTGAGGGAACTATGAGCTGGCTAAGGAAAATGAAGTAATTACCATGATGAGGACTCAGCCAAGATTGACAACTACAGAAAGTGTTGCAGCATTAGCTGATATGCTTGTGAAAAGAAACTCTGGACAAAAATTGAAGGGGGATAAAGGAACTTACTTTGTGGTGGAAAAAGTAACTATGGACAGGCACCAACATATGGATTTTTATTCCCTCAAAGTTAGAATAATTATGGAAAATGGCAAGATAGAAAGGAGTTGATTATTAAAATACAATGAAGGTAAAAATCACTGGAGTAATATTTGATCTAAAATCCTGATTGCAAATCTGTATTCTTTTCTGAGACCTAAACATATTTTCCTTAAAAGAGAGAGGAGTGGTAGTTTCACTGGCTGCTGCTGCTATTGACCCAGCATCTTAAGAGACAGTGTTATACGAACAATGGAGCTTCCTACCTAAGACACAAATATGTCAGCAACAAAACTAATAGAAAGAATAGTAGAAGCCTAAATAAATAATATATATCTTAAAGTTCATATTACCTAAATTCCTACCCAGTTAATTCAATTTGTAAGTTTCTAGACCAGCTTGAATAATACTGCAAGTAACAACTTACCTCCTTTACAAGACATTCCATTCCATTATAGAGCTGTTCCAATTATTAGTAATTTCTTTTTGAATTGTGTAAACACATAGGCAAAAAGTTCGTATAACTTAACTTTTGAAAGACATATCTTCAATTGCCTGGCAACCTTTGTGTTCTCTACACTTCATTTTACAATAAAACAAACCCATTTTCTTTATTTGACCCAAAAAGGTATGGTTTTTAGGTGTTTTAAAATTTAGATTGTGAAGGCCAGTGCTTGACTTACAAACTGGCCCTTCTGGATTAGACACCACTTTTCTTTTCCATTCTTATCTTGGGGTGTCCTTGTCTCTTCTACCCTACATTCTAGTCCATCTGTCATTTCAGTCTCCTCTGAATGCCATTGATTTTGCCTAGAATGTCCACCTTTTCATTATTTTCTTGGTGAACTCTTATTTATCACTCAATATTCATGTCAAATATTACTATTCCTGTGCCTCAAAGCAGCTTTGGCTACACCTCCTCTGCACTACCAGTACTTCTTTTATATTAATACGGCACTTCACTTTATCTTTCCCAGTAGAATAAACTTCAAAAGGACAGGAATCTTACTAATCTTTTAATTTTCACTGCTTAGTATGATTTGTCATGTAGAATCCAATAAACATTGTTTAAATACATGTTTGCTTGTCTAAATGTGATACCCCAAACTGGACAAAATACTTTACTGCAGAGTAAAGTAGGAGCATCACATTATTAGATCTGAATTCTGTATGTCTACAAAGGTGCTTGTTTTGTTACTTTGTTGTTTGCTTCTTTGTTTCCGAGGTGGCTCCAGTTTACTCATGTTGTCCTTATATACAACTGCATTTCCTGTTGTTTTTCACCAGAATTGCAGCTCAGCCAAATCTCCATTCTAAGTTCCTAACAATAGAAACTGACTCTGGATAAATTTCGTCCCAAAATAAAAGTGGTTGTTGAAATGTGTTGTATAGGTCACAAATGCAACTGGAACTCTGGAATTTAGAAAACAGGCAGGAGAAGGTGGAGGCTAAGCAGCTAGAAGCACCAACAAAACTCTGGGGAACGTGGACATCTAAGTGGCAGATGGAAGAAAAGAGCACAGGAAGGAAAACTGAGAAGGAGCCATCAGAGAGGCATTAAGGAGAACCACAGACATGAAGAGACTAGAGAAGAGATTTCCAAGTGGATGTGGAACAGTGGCAAATGCAGCAGAGATTTAATAAGATAGTGGTTGTAAAATGTCCATTCCATTTGGCAATTAGTCATTGGTGAGCTTGGCAAGAGCACTTTCAGTAAAGTGGGAGGATGGAAGGTGGCTTCCAGTGAGGAGTTAAGAGAATAGGCAGGGTAGACTAAATATTTGAGTATTCCCAGTGAGAGTTGGTGAGGAAAGGAGTATATGACACTAAGGGAGAGCTTTTATTAGTTGAGTCTTGTGCATTTCTATCAGCTGTAGGAAACTGCTGGGAAAGAGACTGGAGTAAGGAAGAGGGAATAGATGGTTGGTTTAAATGTGTTTCTGAGAAGACAGGAGGGATGGGGGTAGAAGTCAGAAATGTAGTCATGACAGTGGAGGGGACACCTCATTCTCTGCGGTGGGAGGAAAGGGGAGAAGTCTGTGTGAACTTAACAATGAGTTTGCCATTCTAACTGGTGTGAGATGGTATCTCATTGTGGTTTTGATTTGCATTTCTCTGATGGCCAGTGATGATGAGCATTTTTTCATGTGTTTTTTGGCTGCATAAATGTCTTCTTTTGAGAAGTGTCTGTTCATGTCCTTTGCCCACTTTTTGATGTGGTTGTTTGTTTTTTTCTTGTAAATTTGTTGGAGTTCATTGTAGATTCTGGATATTAGCCCTTTGTCAGATGAGTAGGTTGTGAAAATTTTCTCCCATTTTGTAGGTTGCCTGTTCACTCTGATGGTAGTTTCTTTTGCTGTGCAGAAGTTCTTTAGTTTAATTAGATCCCACTTTCAATTTTGTCTTTTGTTGCCATTGCTTTTGGTGTTTTAGACATGAAGTCCTTGCCCATGCCTATGTCCTGAATGGTAATGCCTAGGTTTTCTTCTATGGTTTTTATGGTTTTCGGTCTAAGTTTAAGTCTTTAATCCATCTTGAATTGATTTTTGTATAAGGTGTAAGGAAGGGATCCAGTTTCAGCTTTCTACATATGGCTAGCCAGTTTTCCCAGCACCATTTATTAAATAGGGAATCCTTTCCCTATTGCTTGTTTTTCTCAGGTTTGTCAAAGATCAGATAGCTGTAGATATGCGGCGTTATTTCATGAGATACCATCTCACACCAATTAGAATGGCAATCATTAAAAAGTCAGGAAACAACAGGTGCTGGAGAGGATGAGGAGAAATAGGAACACTTTTACACTGTTGGTGGGACTGTAAACTAGTTCAACCATTGTGGAAGTCAGTGTGGCAATTCCTCAGTGATCTAGAACTGGAAATACCATTTGATCCAGCCATCCCATTACTGGGTATATACCCAAAGGACCATAAATCATGCTGCTATAAAGACACATGCACACGTATGTATGTTTATTGCGGCATTATTCACAATAGCAAAGACTTGGAACCAACCCAAATGTCCAACAATGATAGACTGGATTAAGAAAATGTGGCACATATACACCATGGAATACTATGCAGCCATAAAAAATGATGAGTTCATGTCCTTTGTAGGGACATGGATGAAACTGGAAACCATCATTCTCAGTAAACTATTGCAAGAACAAAAAACCAAACACCACATATTCTCACTCATAGGTGGGAATTGAACAATGAGATCACATGGACACAGGAAGGGGAATATCACACTCTGGGGACTGTTGTGGGGTGGGGGGAGGGGAGAGGGATAGCATTGGGAGATATACCTAATGCTAGATGATGAGATAGTGGGTGCAGCGCACCAGCATGGCACATGTATACATATGTAACTAACCTGAACAATGTGCACATGTACCCTAAAACTTAAAGTATAATAATAAAAAAAAATAAATAAAAAAAAGAAAAAGAAAACAATGAGTTTGATTGTGTGGGGATGAAAAGTTGATGGAAATGGCCTTTGATTGTTGGGATTTTCTCAATGATGTAGAAATAAAGGTAATCTACTGAGACTGGAGTAGGACTCTTGAGGAGTTCCTTTTTTCATAATTTTTATATGTGGTGGTGTTGAATTTTCTTCCATTATCCACCCCTTAAATTGTGATATTTGCCAAAGTTTACACTCACCCTATACAGATTAACCTAGGGGTATGTGGAGTTGCCTTCATCCCAGTGTGTAATGTATCCTGTTGTGACTATATAGGCTTCACCTCTTTCAATTGACAGCAAATTTAGAGAAAATACTTATGTCTTACTTCCATCCTTTGTCTATAAATGATCTTTGATCAGTGTTTGCTGAATGAAGAAAGGATTTTTTTTTAATTTAATCTCTTTACTCTGGTTTACCTTGAAGGGTTATATAATTGACATATTTAGAGTGCAAGGCAAAGTAGAGGTGGAAAAATGGAGTGCACTTTTGTAATACCTCACTCTTGAATTTTTACATGAATTTAATGTATGTCCCTTCATTTCTCAGTATTTCATCAGTAGGCCTCTATGCTCTGGTGTGGACATCTTATATTGCATATGCTGATGTGTTCATGCAATATCATGCACACTTGAAAGTTGAACAAATCTACTATGAAGAAGACTAAGGGCTTAATTCTTCTTCCCCTGAATCCATAACTGGGCCTATGTGAAGCTGCTTGGAGAGGGAGGCAAGAGACACAACACCCCAACCCCTCCTAGACTGGCAGGGGCAGACACACTTCTGTAAATGGCCAGTCTATTCTTGTGACTCACCAAAGCAGCAGAGGGCAGGATGCTGCTCTGACATTTGCTTAGCCATGGGTGATGACCACACCCTCCCTGCTTTACCATTTCTACTTTTATTTATGAGAGAAATGTTGTGGTTGGCAGGCCTTTGTGGGCTGCCCAGTGTGATTAAGCAGTTCTGGGTTAGAAGAGGACATAATTCTTGGGTACAGAGGCCTGGAGAGGAAAGATGTTTGCTTGGCTCTGAGGCTGTGTCAAGCAATTAGCACACCTTGTGGGGCTGGAAAGGGGCTGTAGGACAGGATGTTTTCTGTATCTTCAGAATACTTATTTTAGGTCCTCACCAAAAGGAACTTTACATCTACTTGGAAAGGAGTGGAAGAATACTGGGAGTAGCAGCTGACTCTCTTCATTGACTCTGGTGCATGGATTTTATATTTCCTTACATGGTTTGTCTTCCACCTTAATTTGGAAGACCGTAGGACCACATCTATAAAGGCAGTGTTACTATTCAGCAGTTATGCTTGAAAAGAGCGACGTGAAGGCCGGCACCTGTTCTAATTTATAGGTGCCTGTACAGTCCCTGGATGTTCCGTATTAAAACTACCAGACTTGGATAAAAAGAATCTCTAGGCAGAGGGATGCTTCAGTTTACACTCGTAAAAATATCTAATGGTTATCATTTAAAGGGTAATCTATTATGTGCCAGGCACTGTTCGACACATTTTATACACACTTGATTTTGGCAATATCTTTGAGAGATAGGTGTTATTATCCATATTTAGCAGATACATACTGAGCCTCAGAATGATTCAGTGATGTGATTAAAGTCACAATATTCGTAAATAAATAGAGAAGCAATTCAAATCAGGTTTGTTTAATTCTAAAGTCCACTCCTTTTCCACTTACTGAGCCCTGCAAACAGCCTCGGAGAGGAAAAGTAGCATTGAATAGGCAATAGAAATCCTGAAGGTTGGGTGGGTGGATGAAAATGGGTCATTTTCTTTGCAAAACTCTCCTCCCTCTTCTTCTCAACCTTTGCATTAAGGAATATTGGGGCAGGGCAGAGAAAAAAAGGGGATCATAGGCTGATATCCATTTGAATTTCTCAGGGCCTCATTGATCAAACTGGAAAGGGTGCTCTGTCTCATTTTCTCCCCACTTATTCTCCTGTTTAACTTGCTGGAACTTTAACATTTTGACCAAGAATATTCTCAAATCTCTGTGTCTTTGGAACTGTCCTACAAAAAGTTTAAAGTCATGCAGCACTAGTGTAGATATGAGAGGCAATGAAAAAGACTGAAGGGGGAAACAAAACAAAAGGCTTTTCACCTCAGGCAATTTTTTTTTCTTATGGAATTGTCCATTAGCTGCCAAGTATCTCCTGAATGTAACAGCTATGTTCTTCTTGAATATATGCAGAGATGATTGGGAAGCTTAATTTTTTTAAGCTGAGAGTTGCTTATAAAAGTGCTGATACAGGCAGGGTGCAGTGGCTCGTGCCTGTAATCCCAGCTCTTTGGGAGACCAAGGCGGGTGGATCATCTGAGGTCAGGAGTTCGTGACCAGCCTGTCCAACATGGTGAAACCCCGTCTCCACTAAAAAAAAAAAAAAAAAAAAAAAAAAAAAATTAGCAGGGCATGGTGGCGGGTGCCTATAGTCCCAGCTACTCGGGAGGCTGAGTCTGGAAAATCACTTGAACCCAGGAGGCAGAAGTTGCAGTGAGCCGAGATCGCACCATTGCAGTCCAGCCTGGGTGACAAGAGTAAAACTCTGTCTCCAAAAAAAAAAAATAAATAAATAAATTAAAAAATTTAAAAAATTAAAAAAATTAAAAAGTGCTGATATAGTGAAGGGTCTGAGGTTTTATTTTACTTAATATTAATACATGTACTAGGAGTTACAGCCCCAGGTTGATGAGGATTAGGACATCTGGTTTTCATTCCAGAATCACACACACTGTTGCTGTCATTCCTGTCACTGCCGTTAGTTAAAAGGGTAGACATATGACTAAGGCACTGGGGCAATAGAACCATGGTTAGGAGCTGGACTGCCTGGGAACAATTTTCACATGTTCCTCACACTAGTTATGGGGCCTTGGGCAAGTTACTGGAATTCACTGTATCTTGGTTTCTTCATCTGCAAAGATACTATTTTAAATAGGCTAATATATACATTGCACGTATAAAGTATCCCTATATAAAGCTTATTATTTTTTATTACACAAAATGGGATGACACTCTCTAGAAATGTAACTTAGTTAACCAAATGAAAGCTCAGACTTTCTCCTGTCCCTCACAGGAGAGTTCTAGAAGGAGAATTTCCTGATGAGGAGGAGTTCTGTGGTCCATGGATCTAACTCTTCACTGTGACATTTACCTTCCTTTTGGAGTTCCCCCTGATTGACTGTCAGCTGCATCTCACTGGCATCAGGAGACACTGCTTTTTTGATAATATTCTAAAACCCAGGCATGGGGACGAGTGAGGGTGCTATTAACTCAAGCTGAAATGGGGGTGCTACTACAACTACAATTAGATTTTACCAGTAGCTCCTGGCCAGAAGAGATACATAGGTAGTATGCTACCAATTTCTACTAGACACCTGTGGCTACTACTGAACACTTGAAATATGGCTAGTCTGAATAAAGACGTGCTATCAAAGACATAAAATTGTAACATATCCCATTCACTGTTTGGTTGAATTTCAAAGACAGAAATGTAACAAATCCTATTAATTGTTATAATGATTACATTTAGAAAGGACAGTATTTTTTATTTATTTGGTTAAATAAAATATATTATTGAAATTAATTTTTATCTTTTTTAATGCGGATGCTAGCAAATTTAAAATTACACTTGTGGCTCACATTTATGACTCACATTACATTTCTGTTGGACAGCACTGATACAGATATATAGCTTGCTCTTCTTGTTTGCTGGCCTCTTTGTTTTTCTGTGATTTCTTTGTTTCTTTTCTTCCAAGCTTGTTGTCTCCCACCATGTGATGGCCAACAGAAAACCCATTACCCACATTTCTATTTCTTGACTGCCTTGAGGTCAAGACTAGGAGAGTGTCAGAGTTAACTCTTTATCCTGCAGGAAATGTGCACCAAAACCAAACTTAGCACTTAGATTAAGATCTGTTCATTGTGCACAGAATTGTATTCTTACTCATGCCATCCTCACTGGAACCACCACATTTCAATATAACAAAAGTAACTCTGATATTTGTAGAATAAAAAATGATCATAAAAGTTACTCCTGTGTTAGTCATCTTTCCATTTATATAATTATAAATGTATTTCCTGCTTTAAGCACGCCAGGCATATACAGTTTACTTTATTTAGCTTATACTATGTGATATTAATGAAAATATTCTGAAGTAGATAATATTTACATATGAAGAAACTGAGATTTGGAAATATTAAATAATATTCTGAAGGCCATATAACTAGTGTGTTTGTTAAAGTTGGTTTAAATTGAGGTTTATCTGTCTGAAAGTCCATCTTTGAACCCATTATATGTCTAGGTGAAGTATCGTGTTTCTCCACTTAATCTCCCTCAACCAGAACTCTCAGCACAGTTCTTGGGCCCAACCACCAGGATTTTGCTGCTCTACCCCAAGTCTTCTGAATTTTCCATGTCAGAGTGCCCATCCTTTCCCTTCAGAACCCTGTAGAAAGATGTTATGAGAGACTGTTTGTTTCCAGTTTTGTAAGGGAAAGGGATGGCTTCTTCAAAGAACCAAGAATTGGGGGAACTTGGAACATGGTAAAACATAATGTAGTGATGTGATTTTTTGTTCTATTTAGGTATGAAGGTGAAGCTTACCAAATAGGGATGTGAAATTGTTCAGCAGCCTTCTCCTAGTATAACTCCTCACTCTGGAAAAGTGGAGGAAACACCATTCCCTGTACCGTTTATGTGGTTGTGTGCAGTGATTTCAAAGCCAGCTCAACTTAGAACTCTTATGCTTACTTAGACTCACATGTTTACAGGCATTCAGATCCTAGTCTAGGTCTCCGACCACTGCAAGCTGTAGATTCCTCTCTGGCAGATGACATTAATAATAGTGCCTACTTATAAGGTTGTAGGAGTAAATCAGATGATGTATATAAAGCACTTAACTAGTGTGGGAACATAGTATATATTCAATAAATGTTAGCTTTTCTTTCCATGATTTCCCAGGCATTAACTTACGGGCTCTGAGCACTCTAGAAGAACAATTGCTGTTCTCAATCCTTGCTAATGTGTCCTATGGTTTATATTTCAACCCAGTAAGGTTGTCTCGGATTTTGATGGGAAAAGTGTTAAAGTGTGCATGGTCCCCAGAAGAGAGTGAAGACGCCCTGTGCAATGCCCGTCTGCATCAGCATTACAGCGAGCAGACAGAGACATAGCACACTCCTGGGTGTGCTCTCTGTGCATCACAGAAAATTGTAAGCTCCAGTAGCTATTTAGATTGCTAACTTGGGGAAAGAATTCCTCTTCTTGCATGTGGGCAGGATACATTTGTTTCCTTCTCTTTCTGCCATTCCTGATTCTTTGATGGACAGAAATGGAAAGAGATTTGAGGCTCCAAAGGGATTGTGTGGTAGTTCTCTTTATAAGGCAATGATTGATTATTTCTTTGCACAATTTCACTTTAATTGTGTTCATTTACTACACCTGACTAACATAAATGCATATTGTGGTATATAATATATCCCCAATGTATATAAAATAAGAGCTATTATTCCTTTCTGTGTTCTGGTGCTAATAAACAAGCTATTCAAGCTTTGCTTAGGTAGTTTGCAGCATTACTAGAATGCCTTGATGGAATTACCACCTTATCCATATACAGTTGGGAGCATATGATTCCTTTTATGTAATGTAATACCCTATAACATAATGAGTATCATTAATAAAGTGACAAAATAAAACTTGAACTACCACTTCAGGATGTGCTTTATTCAACCAGTAATACACTTTTTGGTCCTTTGTAGTTTCTCTCTTTTGAATTCATGGCTTACTGCATTCAAACTGTGATATTAACACACCAACCAAGCGTACCCTGTTGTGTCATAAAGCCATGGTACTGAGGTGTCAAAGGAGAAAAAAACAACCATTATTCTAAAACAGAAACTGGGGAATGTTACTGTGATGCTTTAAAAGAAGATATGGCTCTCATGAATAAGCAAATTTATTTACTACCCAAAAGCAACATTTCTATTTTTATTTTTGGAAAGGTAAGTGTTCTTTACTCAGAAAGAAATGTTATATGAATTCTGTATTTTGAAAATGGAACTAAAAGATAAAGTCATAAATTAGTTTTTGCCAAGTTTAGACATCAAGGGGTGGCACAGAATGCGGTGAGAATACTGAACAGTATGGTAGGCAGAAAAAAAAAACCTTTGATTCTCTTTTTTTTTTTTTTGATTCCACTTGATACTACTAGTTGATTAGTTCAGAGTAATTCTTGTAAAGACAGTATCTGAGGTTTTCTCTGGATAGCTCATTCATCCTCAAAGCATAGAGGATTTAGACATTTGATGGTGGTGTCAAGGATATCAGTTAGAAAGGGTGGTTTTACTTCAGATAGAGTAAGCTCAGCACAGATTTCCACAAAATATAGTGACATATTCAGATGATGCTCAAAATTTTAGAAATTGGTTTCTAATTCTAGGTGGCGGGAAGCCTGTATGTTCACGTGAGATAGGCAATGAGAAGATTTGAGGTTTCTTGATATTCAGCAGCAGGAAGAATTACACAAGTAGGAGTATAATAATTATAAAATTAAGAAGAGGTTTCCCTACAGAAGGATCAGAAATAGGTCATAAATATGCAAAGTTACAGGAGAAAACATGTCATCCCTAGTCCAGAATCGTATTTCCCTGAACTTTCTGGTTGATACATTGAATGCAACTATGTGGCCTCAGTCTTCCTTACTACCTTTGGCATCCTTTCAGGACCAGTGCAGGACAGTTTGCAAGAGCTATATAATTAAGCATGGTTCAGTGCAAAAATATAAATAACATAATTGAAAGATGTGAAGAATTAAATGAGTTATCACAATTCAGTCAAGAAACCAGGACTAACAGTAGGTCAATAATTAGTGATAGCTTCTTCTTCCCAGATTTTCTGGCATTAATTTTGAATAATTAGATTTTTATCCATGATGTTGTTAGACTTAAGCATGGATTTTCGAGAAACATGCAATATGATATTGGAAACAATTTATAAATCACTATTCATCTTTGGAATTCTGATGTTCATTGAGAAAAAGATCTAGTGTAAATTTGGTGGCGTCAATATCAATCATAGAACTTGGATTCCTGAAATATAAATCTACAAGTGTTTAAATCCACACAGTGATATTATTTCAACACCTGCAGGCCAAAGTAATGAGCAAACTTCTAGATAAAACAAAAGAGGATTTTGAAAAGAACTGTTACTATGAAATTGATAACTAGAAGTTGATCTGTAGAATGGCTGAGTTTTGCCCACTTCACTTAGTCAACAGTATTCTCTCACCTACATTTCTTTGTGATTACATATCTTTAAATTGTGTAACTGCGATTGTCATGCAGCTCTGGAATATGTCTTTTCCCTGAATTACATCAACTGGCCCAAATGAGAAATCAAACCTACATATTTGTTCTCACTAGCACCATATGCCAACTATCTGAAAATAAATCTTGTGTTTACTGCTATGTAATTCACATGCTAGCAGGTCTGGGAGGTCCCAGCAGTAAATTATTTTTAAAAATTGTTACACTAGTGTACACTGAATATTTACTCAGTATTTCAGTTTTTTAAAAATGTGCATATAATCAATTGTAGATCCTACAGTTGACCACAATCCCATTAATTTCATAATACATAACAAATCATGTGTGAGTGAATGCACACAATACAAATCTCTCTTACATTGAGTTCAAGTTTCAAGCCTGATACTTTACCAAATTGATGGCCAGTACACTGAGCTTCATTTGTGCTCAGTTTTCTCATCTGCAAAATGGTATCAAAGCTCTCCCAGTAGTATACTGGTTGGATATCATCATCGAGTAGAAAAATTAACAATGTTGATACAAGGCACAGAGTTCGACATAAGCTATATCAATCACTATAATTATCCCAATAAAACGTAGAAGGAAGAAGATTATGTATTCCTTTTAGAAAACATGATTTTTTTTCTTCATCTCTAACCTACCACTCATCTCTGGTTTTAAAAATATTATAGGTTATACGGTGGCTCATGCCTGTAATCCCAGCACTTTGGGAGGCTGAGGTGGGCTGATCACGATGTCAGGAGTTCGAGACCAGCCTGACCAACATGGTGAAACCCTGTCTCTACTAAAAATACAAAATTTAGCTGAGGATGGTGGCACGCACCTGTAGTCCCAGCTACTCGGGAGGCTGAGGCAGGAGAATTGTTTGAAGCTGGGAGGCGGAGGTTGCAGTGAGCTGAGATTGTGCCACTGCACTCCAGCCTGGGTGATGAAGGGAGACTGCATCTCAAAAAAATTTATAGTTTATACAAAAATTAATCAATTGCCATGTGTGAAATATGAAAGTGCAAAGGTGACACTAAGTTGCCACAGTTTATTTCTGTGTCATTTGGCAAAACTGAATGAAAAGGCTTACATTCACTCAAATCGAGCTATTCCTGACAACTGTCAGGGAATTCAGGTTGAGCCAAAAGTTCCAGATACATTAGAAAATCTCTCTATGTTTACAAAAAAGAAGGTTCCTTTTGGATGAAGAACAATAATCAGTTCAAGCCTTTCTTGTACAGGAAGAGGTAAGCTACAAAGTGAGCTATAATCAAAGCTGGTCCTCAAAATTGGTTTATCCTCTCAGAGGGCTTCAGGAATTCTCAGACTGATGTGGAAATGGAGAGTGCTCTTGGAGACATTGCCAGTCTGTAATGAACTCTCCAGATTTATCCTGGGCCCAGCTTCTTCCAGTGTAGGATAGACTGTGTAAATCTGAAGATACTAGAACTAGACTGGGACAAAGGATGAGGATAGGCTCCCTCATTTAATGTTAACACCAAAGCCTGCAGAGAGCCCTCAGCCTTTTAAAAAATATTGTGGTAGATTGGCTGCCAACTCTTCAAAAAGTTAATTAATAAAATGCAAATAAATTATAAATGAAGAGAATCACTTGGTTAAATAAATTTTATTAGTTGGAAGAAATGCACACCCAATGTTATTAGGCTAAAATAGTATATTAAGTCAACCAAAGGAAGCCTTTGTTGTAACAATATTCATACAGTATAGAGTTTTCAGACAGTAATTTTTTTGTTTACAAAGCTTATATGCAGTGATTTTATATTTTCCAGGCACAGCCAGACCTGCAGAGATAAGGGACATATTGAATGAAACAACAATCCTATTGTGATTGAAGTTGTATGTTTCGAAGGCCATTCATATCCTATATTTGTTAATTAAATATGTAGGCATTCTTTTTAAAATAGAAAAAAAGAATAGCTGCTGGCCTATCTTTAGTTGCTGGATTTTGCAAAAGATTTATGGATGTTGCCTGAGAATGTTGAAATCTCTTATTTCTGACAAGGTTCAAGTTCTGTCATGAATGTAATCTGCACTGCCACCAAAACCAGCTGGCAAGTGAAGTGGTTTCTCATGCGCTCCTGAATCCATGGTGTAGGTTTTTCTAAATATGATCTGTATTAGGCAGTTTAAATAAATGAATTTGAATATTTTTAACCTTGTAATTAAATTAAGTGTTCTATACTGTGTGTTCTGAAATGCTTCTTTGCAAAGACATTGCAGAGTGAATTTAAACATAAGAAACTATTTAATCATTTCAATTAAGAGTTCCCTTTATCTGTGAAGAGCAAAATGTCTCAAATAAAAATATTATTTTTTGGTGCTGCTGGTACACTTTTCCAGAAATGCAGCTGATCTCAGGTTTTTTCCTTTAGGCTATCATAAAAAATATTATGAAAATGGAAATAAGATATAAATGTTCAGATGATTAAAAATCTTGCATTCAGAGTGTCTTTAAAGTTAACATACATTTGACAGTTGGTCTTGTCTCTTCTGGGGCCACTAACACACCATCTACAGCAATCCTAATAGACTACAAACTGCTAAATATTTGTTAAGTCAGGAGAACCATATTTTGGTGGGGCTGGGAAGTTCAGCAGTGGCAACAGCTACTGGGCAACTGTCCAAGGTTCTGAACCATCTGCCAGCTTTGACATGTTTTTCTCTCTCCTGAACCTGAGAACCTGGTGACACCCGTCTAGCTACTCCCAGATTGTATCTTATTTTTATTATATTTATCAGTAATATATAATTTAATTTTTTTATTTATCCAGAATAAACAGAGCTGGAATTTATGTTACCCAATTGAAGTGTTAATTTTATTTTCTTTAAAAAATTAACTATGCTTGGCGTATTTGCATATATTTTCCATTACTGGAAGTGGGAAGGTAGAAAAAGTTACATACTCCTCTAGTACTATACTTCTGACAATAAAGTCTTTGAAATATAAAGAAAAATCCAGTGCCAATTCTGACAACTTTAACGGCCATGCAGTGTTTACAGCTATAGACTCCTAATGATCTGCTTCCTACACAATGTCTTTGAGATGTGCTTATGCAAATAGCCAAAAGGATATTTTTTCCTGCCGTTTTCTACAAATACAAACCTAATTTTAGCTGAGCAGCACTTAGTATACATGGGTGGTGATGTCATTAATGATTTTTTGGTGTTTCTTGCTCCAAATATCACAATTTGAAAGATATATTAATCCAGCCAAAAGAATAACTCTAATAATGCTGAGAGTCCCAAAATATGATCCCTCTTGGCTTACCCATCTACAAGGGAGACTAAAGAGCATGCTATTAATCCTGTGTTAAAGGAATCTGGCAGAATTCGAATGCCTTTATAATCTATAATGAAGTATTATCACCCTAGTAATGTTGTATGACCTTTAGGGGCCTCAGCTTTTCCATCTTTAAGTGTGAAGTTTGGATTTGGTGATGTTAATGATAACTTCAGATTCTAAGCTTCCATACTCAGTAATCTTGGCAGGTGTGTTACCTCATAAACCATTCAATGTTCTAAGAAAGATACCATTCTTTGTACTACACTGGAGTTCCAGTGAGTATTATGTATATAAACGTATAAGTAATAACTGCATTTTGCTTTTCTGTTTGGTGAGCCATACAGTAAAGCAGCACTTCATTTGTTCATAAGACAAGATGTCAAAGTCTCAATAAACCTGTCCATGTGTGTGAATGTGTGTTTGCATGTGTGTGTGTAACATAGAGACAAAGATAGAGACCCTGACAGAGACTGTTCAGTGACACTGGAGAGGAATCAATTGGTTTAGGGGAAAATAAGCAAAAAATGACACAGAAGGAAGCATTTGCTGAATATAAAGAACTATTTCTATGGGGTTTCATAATGTGCCAGATTCAGGCCTATTCTTTCCCAAGTCTGAAGATTCCACACTAAACCTTCTCCCTAAGCATTATAAGAGTAAGAGACATTTCACTTTGCCTGTAGAATGAATAAAGTCCCAATGATATTTTAGAGCTGTAGTTTTGAGATATTTAGATATTTTATATATTTAAGGCATACTTTTTATCTTTATGCTTGTACTTATAGCTTTATGGTTATATTAATATCAAGAATTGCAGGCATTTACAATCCTTTTAAAAGTTACAGAATTCTTTATGGAACTTGAAAGAAACTATCTATATTTTTGTTAGAAAATATAATCTTAGATAAGAAACCAAGTCAATTTTTTGCTTTGTAAATCTGTTGTCATAGTAATATAAATGTACTTGCAACATAAGGACAGACCCAGAAAATTAAAGAATAGGAAAAAAAGTTACATTTGGTAATGAGAGGTTAGATTTCGTGAAAAAGCCAGTAAAATCCAAAGAACACTGTAAATTTTTGGCTGCAGAGTCAGCCACTGTTGGCCAGGGTCTACAGGATCAGTTTCACACTGGGCATTTGCAGACAGTTGATCTTGCATTTTATGGACACTGAATACATGGAAGTAGCATGAGATTACTGTGAGCATTCTTGCAGTTTTGCCAATTCTTTCAAGGTCATATATGTCTATGATTCACATATGCATAATGAATGAAATACCTCTAGGAGAGAAGCAAATTAGGTGTTTGTGTTTCTCTTCTTTCCAACACTATCCATTGTCTTTTCCAGTCTTTGTACCACTTACACTTTATGTGTCTTTTCATTCTCCATTCCTGTGAGAACTCATCTCCTTTGGAGTCCATGTCTCTGGCAGAAGAGGCATAACAATTTGGACCATGATTTCGGGCATTAGTAAGTCAAAAATGATTGAGTTTTCCTTAAGAGGTTAATTATGTTTAAAAAATCAGCACAAATTGTTGCTTTGATATTTTATGTCAATATTTCCTTAGAAATTTCTCCATAGACTTCCAATTATTTGGCAAAATAAGTAGGGTTTCTTTTGTTGTTGCTCTAATGTATAATATGATGGAAGGCCTAACAGCTGAAAAGTGAGTATCCATTTATTAAAGCTCTACTAAGTGCATAAAAACATGGTAAATCACAGCACATGGTGGAAAGCACTTTAGTAAGGATATAGACAAAGACCCATGGGCCGTAGAAGAAATCTGAATTATCTCTGCTTAGGTTAGTTAGTGAGGCTTTCCAGAGGAAGTGGCGTTTGAACTGCACTGTAAAGAAGGGAAAAGATTGCACCATTTTCATAGTGTTTGTGTGTTGTAATATAAATATGTATACATAGTGCTTGGCACAAAGTAGGCAATAAATAAATCATTGTTGACTGAATGAATAGATAAACAAACATGGGTGAGGATGTAGCATGCTAATTTTCTGTATCAATTATATTCAATAATTACTGAACTAAAATAGAAAAAAATTAATAACTTTTCTTATCTTCCATTTCCCTGTCTGTCTCTCCCTACCAAGATTTCAAAGCTGGAAATTATATGTAGGCCATGATCAAATTTGAAATTTTATTTGCAAGGGAGCATTTTATAAGAACCAATAACATGTTGTGTGGGGAAGAATATACTTTCTCTTCTCTTGGACTATATAATGTACTGTGAAGAGCACTGTTAAAGTGCTCTTTAAAGTAGGTAGAGCTCTGTTTCATTTGCAGTCTTAGTTTGGGGATTTGTTTAGATTTTGGGATGTCCATGGTATCTCTATGTTGCTGTTTCACAATGAATGGTTGGAAATTTAAAATTTAGTCTTTAATATGCATATTTAAAATATATACATTATATTCTCATTCCTTTCCTAAAAGGAAAACTAAATTTCACCGATTTTTTTTAATGTTGTTCCTGCCTGCTTATGCCTCCCAGCCCCAAATAAATCACTAAGTTTTTCCAGCACATTACAGCCTAATTCTAGTCCTGTTCTTGGGATCCATTAACTCCTCCTATAACTTTCTTAACTGTGTTCCTTTGTAAGGAGTCGAGATACAGAACTTTTGTTTAATCGATTTTTACGTAACTTTAGCAGGATTCAATGCATACACAGGTGGAAGTATATTATCATTTAGATTTTGTTTGTTTGTTTTGTGATAATAAGAGAACCATACGCAGAGGTGTGAATCAAGCCATATTTGGCTTTCCCTTCTTGTAAGCCATTATCATACCTTATGGCCTCATTCACAGATGGCATAATTTTTTAAAGAGTTTCCTCTACCTGAAAAACTTTCATTTTAGTAAAGTACTCTTGAAAATAAGTAGCTTTCAAAATCCAAAAGGATTAATTTATAATGATAGATTTTAGCTAGTATGAGCAATTGATGGCCAATATGTAGAGTAAGTTGAAAATTAATTGTAGAGAAAACTATAGGGAATGGAATCCACAGATTAGAGAAGCCAGCTGAAGAAGAGGTTGGAAGTGATTGTTGATAAACAGACCAAGTGGATGATACCAGGAAAAAAGAGAGGAGAATATGGTGGTTTCAGTGACTAGAAAACAATTTCAGTCAACTGAGGTCACCAGGGATTAATACAATGATACGGTTTCGCTGTGTCCCCACCCAAATCTCATCTTGAATTTCTATGTGTTGTGGGAGGGACCAGGTGGGAGGTAATTGAATCATGGGGGCAGGTCTTTCCCATATTATTCTCATGATAGTGAATATATCTCATGACATCTGATGGTTTTAAAAAGGGGAGTTTCCCCATACAAGCTCTTTTCTCTTGTCTGCCACCATGTGAGATATGCCTTTCACCTTCCACCATGATTGTGAGGCCTCCCCAGCCACATGGAACTGTAAGTCCAATAAACCTCTTTCTTTTGTAAATTTCCTAGTTTTGGGTATGTCTTTATCAGCAGCATAAAAATGGACTAATAAATACAACTACCCAAAGACTCCTGAAGTTGACAGCTATATATAAAAAAATATTGGATAGAAGGTCAGTTTTGCATTCTGCAGTCATATCTTTAAACTATACGTGCATATGCCTACCTTTACATGCATCTCATATGCATCTCTGTTGCTCTTTCTTTCTTTCTCTCTCTAACTCAATGACTAAACTAAATGGTTAAACTGTAAAATATTTATGTATGTGCCACAGGGTTAATGTTCCATGATGCTCCACAAGTAACATTAGAGAGTCTCTAATTTTTTTATTTATGTAAAAATTATTTTTAAAATTTAGACCCCATCAGGAAGAGATAAAATGAGAAAATCAGAATGTATCTGGCTAAATATAGTGGCCAGTAGCCAGGCACAAGGCCTACTCAGGGTGGGAGAGCTAGCAGGTCAGAAAAATACAGTTTGAAGTCATTCAGGGTTAGTGAGTAGAAAATAATTATAGAATGCATCTGATCACACAGACTCCTAAATAAATGTGGTTGAAGAAAGAAGGATGTCTGTCCTGAAAATGGTAAACACCCAAGAGGGCAGGCATCAAATACTTAAAGGACCATGAAGTAGAAAATGAATTACATTATCTTTTTCTGTGTTTTTGAAAAAAGTGTGGGGACTGGAGAAGAGGCTGTACTGTGGGTTCTAGAATTTTCATTTCCCACACATAAACATGGTCATTACCTAATAGAGTAGAATTAGAATTAATGGATAGAAATAACATGTTAGATATTTCTGTTAAATAAAGCAGGAACCTTCCAAAACTTTGTGCTGCTCAAGGATGGCATGTGCCACCTGTAAAAGTTGAGATTCTTCATCTGCAGAGGTTTAGCTCTTAATTGAATAATCATAGTTGGAAGGTATTGTAAAGTGATGCAAGCCATCAATTTTGATTAGACCATGTTTACTTAACTCTTTGATTCCTTCCTTCCCTCCTTCCTTCCTTCTTTCTTTCCTTCCTCCCTCCCTCCCTTCCTTTCATTCCTTTTTTTCTTTTTGTTTGTTTTCTTTCTTTTTTTTTTTGAGAGAGAGTATTACTTTATCACCCAGGATGGAGTGCAGTGGCACAATCTCAGCTCACTGCAACCTTCACCTCCTGGGTTCAAGTGATTTTCCTTCCTCAACCTCCCAAGTAGCTGGGATTACAGCTGCCCACAACTATGCCTGACTAATTTCCATATTTTTAGTAGAGACAGGGTTTCACCATGTTGGCCAGGTTGGTCTTGAACTCCTGACCTCAAGTGATCCACCTGCCTTGGCCTCCCAAAGTGCTGGGATTACAGGACTCAGCCACTGTGCCCAGCCAACTCTTTGATTTCTTATTTCCTCATCTGCAAAATGGGATAGTGCCAAAGTCACAGTTTTAGTGGGAGGTAGAGCTGATATTTGGAATCAGGATCATCCCACACTTGAGCAGAGTTCTTAACTACTATGTAATACTACGTCTTCTATCAACTATTAGAAACATGTCTTAGAACAGGGAAAGGCACATAGAAAGTGTTTAGTTTTAGCTATTGTTACTACTATTGTATATTTAAAATATTTAGAATATAGTATAGTGAGTACAGGCGGTTTTACTGGCTAAGAGTGAAGATCCTGGAGTAAAACTTTCCAATCTTGACTCTATCATTTACTAACTGTAGGACTATAACTTCAGTGTCTAACTATCTTCATCTGCTAGTTGGGGATAATCATAGTACCCACCTCAAAAGTTGGCTGTAAGTTTTCAGTGTGATAATAATATAAAGTCCTTAGACCTGTACCTAGCACATAATAAGTGCTCAATAAATGTCACTTTATTATGAGTACTAACTACATACAAATGTCCATGTTAAATAAAGGCAGAGTAGAGGAAAAGTGTCAAAGACGAATATGATACAAGAAGGCCCTCAAAGGTGCTTTCAGTTTAATGAGGAAGATAAGTATGCACACAAATACTGTAGGAAATAAATCTCTGTAGGTCTGTGTTGGAAGGTGATGCTCAGAGTAGATGTTGAGTAGTGCTAAATATGAGAGTAGCCATTAAGGTTCCCAAGGGGAACTTTGGTGTTAAAATGAGGGCACACTGTATCACAGAGGCCCACTGTGTTTTATGAGCATGAGGAAAGGAGAATGGCCAGTTGGAAGAAGGAGTGTCTTTGAAATCTGCCCCAACAATGTGATTGATGGTCAAGCATTCTGGATATAAGATGTTTTATTTTCAAGTCTTTGCTTGAGGTTCTCATTTATGAGCACACATATTGCTCCTTGCAAAAAAAAAAAAAAAACAATTTGATAGTGCCAATAGTTTTCTTTCATTATGGAAGACTCAAATAAGAAGTTTCACAAGATGCTAACCTTAAAGATTGAGAGGTGATCAATATATTAAACAATAAATATCCAATATTCAGCAAATGATGCATGATTTCACCAGTGGAATATGTTAGATATAAATAGTCAGTATACTGTTGCCAGAAAAATGCTTATTGGCATGTGAAATAATCAAGTAAAATTCTTGAAAGATGAATTACATTCTTGATTTGCATAACTTGGATTCAATACATTTACACAATATTTGCATTGGAAACATATCTAAAGCCAGCCAATGGAAAGAATACATGATTTTACTAACATGCTTATACATTAATAACATTACTTGGCAATCTGATGTTTCAAGACCCAGGGTGAATTACTTATTAAAAACCCATATACAGCTATCTGTCTTTATCTTTCTTTCTGTATGAGCCATAATGGCTCTGATTGTTTTCAAAATTATATTTGGACAGGATATGACTGCTACATGAGACCTCTCAAACCAATATCATTTCCCTCACTCATAAAATACATTATACTGCTGTGTGCATTGAGCCAAATCATTAATGAAGGAAGCATACCCTAACCTTTGTGTCTCTGATTTGACCAGTAGTTACACTGAAGCAAGCTAACATCTTGGAAATTGTTTAAAAAGTGAAGCTAACACGATTATGAATATTTATGGTACATTCACTTATTTCTTGAAAATTCATCCTGCCATCTGAACCATTTCATTATTCTTAACTATTTTCTAAGAGGCTTAACTTTGAGATAGAAAAACTATCTGAATCTTACATTATTTGTAAAACCAAATAACTGTATTCCTGGAGTACACCCCTTCTCTGTACTTATTTAAACATGCAATAGCTACAATAACTAGTTAAAATCTGTGAAATGTGCAAATTAAGAAGTACATTAATACAGTATTAACTTTTTCAGCTTTTAAAAAATATTTGGAAGGCAACCATTGACTTGCTATTATTATCTTAAAGGACTGCTGAAGTTTCTATTTAGTAGCTGAAACCAACATTAGCAAATTGCTTTATCTTTAGTTTTATTTGCACTTTGTATAATGTAAATATAGGCATCTGAATTTATCAATGACTGGAATTTTTGCACATACAGAAAATGAAAAAGTCCATATTTGAGATTAAAAATAACTAATGACCTTGAGTTAAGGATTAGTTACATACAGTTCTATTTAATTACTATTTGTATCATTTTCCAAAAATAGTCTTACAAAAATAGGAATACAATGTGAATTCTGCCTCATTGATGTGAGTATGTGTAACCTGTTACTTATAAAGTGTCTGTGGTTTGAAAGAAGGAAATATGGATATGAGTAAATTTAAGTTAGAAGGTGCAAACAGATGTGGTACGGGTTGGCACAGGGGCCTCAGATTGCAGAAGGCACCCAATAGGCTCGTAGCAGATGTAAGGTGTGGTCTGTGGATGTATTTATTTGGCTTTTTACAGTCATTTTTTAATGTACCCTGAAAGGGTAGGTGTGGATGGAACTGTGTCTGAGGTTCACTGTTGTGCCTTCCTCTCCTTATTGTGTTCACTCATTTATGACACCTGTTTAGTTGACATTTGCCTTAGCTATACTTGATTTAAATAGTGATCAGAGAACAAAGAAATCTGCCTTGAAGAGAGAAGTCTTAAAGCATTCTAGGATATATGATTGTTGATCCTCTGTTCTGAAAACAAGGGCATTAATGGCAGCAGATGGTTTGATGGTGAGAAAATTACCTTGCTTCACTAAGGTATATTTCATGGAAATCACTACGACATTATTCTAGAAAATTTGCTATTTCAGATACCTAATGTAATCCTGAATGATTTAAGCCTTGGTGTTTGTCATTTTGCCGGTTATCACTTTATTCTACATATGTTATTCTTTGTAATTGAAATTGGTTTAAAGTATACAAATGTGTGCTTAGTAACAACAATCATTTGCGGGGTACTTACCAATGTTTCCAAATTGGATCCTGATTTTCAGGGCCCACTCACAAAACACTCAAGCATACATCATACAAAATTATGGAATTTAGACTCTATCGAAGGTTATTCACTCATGGGCAAATAACACATGAGTGCAGTCCTCTCTTCTGCTGGATGAATTCCTGCAATTCTAAAGCCAGGATTCATTAGGAGTAAAGAAACAGACCTGCACTAAACAGTGATTTGGTCATAAGAGATGTCCGTGTAACAGTTCCAGCTGTGACCCTTATCTTTGGAGCAGACATAAGCATCACTATTCCTTAACTGTTTTTGGAAGGAAGCTGCTTCCCTCCTGGCTGGGAATTTAAAAAAGAAAGAATAGGTAGACTGATTTCCCTTTTGTCATCTTCTCCACTGTTTCATTTTGCTAAAAAATATTCTCCATTTACTTAAGTAGGATGTTCTGACAGAAGATAAAATGAGAAAGTGTCTAATGATGCTTTGGGCTGCTACAACCCCCTCAGGTACACTGATATCCATAAGAGCAATAAAAATGTTTAAATAGTTGTTTTGCACAGAAGTTTTTGGGAAGTCAGAGACTAGAGAGATGCACACGTCAGGGTGATTTTCTGCCCCTCTGGACCCAGGGTCTGGAGCTGACCCCTTAGCTGTCAGTAAAATATGAGGCATCTGTTGGTACTATAAGAATGAGGGATTAAAGTAACTCAGTATTATTTAGCACCACTAGACTTTTTGCAGGGTTGTTTTTGAAACATTGGGAATCTTTTGGTAATACACACACACACACACACACACACACAGACATTGCAGAGGGGCAGTTTTGCACAGAGGATGCTAGAGACTCTGTCATTGGCAAAGTGACTCCTTGGGGCAAGATTGGCCATAGTGAAGAGACATCGAGAGGATTGATGTCATCAGCATTCATGAGCTTTCACTAGATTCACAGAAATGACTGTGATGGTGGCTAAATTTGGGATTATTAACCAACCCATTTGGCATTGTTAATGTCATCTCCTGTGGATCCACCCATAGACCGGTGAAGTCCCAGGACATTTGAGTTATGCTTGTGGCTAATAATAATGCAAAACTTCCATTATTCACTTTGACTGTGACATGAAATCACATGGCACTGAATAATGATAAAGTAAACTGCAAAAAGTACATCCAAGAGATGCTGAGAGTCTGCCTTAAATTGCAAAAATGTTGAGTAGAAAGCTGAAAACCTGCCAATGCCCATCTATGGTTTATAGTAGATAAGCCATTAGTCTTGGCTAGGTATATCACTTCCTACATTATCGTGCATGCAAAATGTGAACTCCCAAGACCTGTGGGGTGTTTATCATCCAGGAGAGATAAGCCCTTAAGAAAGAGCCTGGGTAAGGTCACTGTCTCAGAAACAGATATGGTTTTTGGAAGTTGCTAATAATTGAAAAACAATGGTTTGGAGGCATAGAACATATTGGCCTAGTTAATTAAAAGCCAATTAGTGCCCTCCCCCATATAGACCAGCAAATAACCTACAACTAACCTGCTACATCCTTTTGCAAATGACTACAATTCTAAAAACTTGGAATGGAGAATTCTAATAGCTAAGATTGTTTCAGTAGGAATTTAATTGGGTCATATCACACAAAGATATCCACTGACATGGAAACTGACATGGAAAAGCAGCTTCTATACAAAATTGGAAAATGGGCTAAAGGTATTGATTAGTTCAAGGAAAATAGAGAAAGAAAAGCTTTAAATCAAATCAAGGAAAGCCTGTAGTATGTCAAGATTAAACCAGAAACTGAAAACTCTGATATAAATTAGAGCAATGTTTTGTGAGCCCTCATGAAAAACAAGAACACTACGACTCAGTTTGGCATTCTAAAGAACAATTCAGCTAAATCATTTCCTTTGTTTTTGTAGAAGATCATTCAAATAATAAATTTGGACATCACCTACATTGACTTATCCAAACATCTGGCACTTTTTCTTATGATATTGTAGATAATATGCAGAATTATAGATGTGGACATTTTATGGATTTATAATTATTTCAACAATAATATCCCCAAAGACTGAGTCAAACAACAAGTTTAATGTAGAAGGAGAGCACAGTGATGTGTCATCAAGCTTTCTCCCCATGATACCAAGATAGTGCAGCGTCTAAGGAGCATACCAGTTACCATGGTGATAAGAGAATTTACTGATCACACTTCATCAGGGCTCATTGACCAGTGCAACTCTCTCTGATTGTCTGTTCCACAGGGGCATGGGGAAGCAACTGTCTGTTAATCCACAAGCAATGGAAACAGTATTGCCTGAAGAAAATGACTAAAATGATAGCCAATGAATACCAATATAAGTATTCTTAAAAAGAAAAAAAATGGCAAGTCATTAGAAGGATGTTATTAATCTATTTCAGATAGCCAGGAAAATATCGAGATGCTAAAACAGGGAAATACACTCATAACCTTAGTTATTTCAGAAAGAGAGACACCTAATTGTTAAAACTAAGGTCAAAAAATCCATTCTGTAATTGGAATTAAGTTGAGTGAGTCCATCAGGACAAATTTTTTCACTCTGAATCTTTCTGGAAATTAGAAATGCCATAACTGAAAACAGCTGATCTGGGGAAGATAAAGGTAACTCCAATAATTTTGTCTATTTGGGAACTAATTAAGGGAATGCAACTTTGGAAAAAAGAACTTCAAAGGTGGACACTAAAGGGAAGATGTGAGCCTCTGTAAGGACTTCAAAATTAGAAGTGCATAGACACAGATCCCCCACCTCCCCAATTTCTCAGGCAGGCAAGATTATTTTAGTTACCAATAATTAAAAACAGATATACTCCAGTGATGGAAGTTTTCAAAGGTGAGAACTTTTTCCAATTAGGGTCCATTTTAAGTTAATCAGGTTGAAAAAAACTAGCTGAGGTTTCCTTGTGATCGCATAAAGCAGGAGTTTATTTGGTATTTTTCCAGGTAGGCTGATGCTTTTAGGGAAGAGCTGCTGCAGAAGCACAGACAAATCATTGGAGAGTACCTTGTGAAAATGGCTGCAGATCACTGAGGACATTACTCAGAGTCTTGTTCTGGAAGCACCCCAGAGAAGCAGGTTGGGACCACAAAAGCTTTACCTTAGAAAGTAGATTGACATCTGGAGAAAAATTGGACCTATCTACTTCTTTTATGAGGGCAGGAACTGAGTGACTGTCTTGCTTTTCAGGTATCCACATCACCTAACACAATGCCTGGCAAATAAGGAGGCACTCAATAAATCTAATTGTTCAATAAATTCAATGAATGTCAAATCTCATTAAGAGAGAGAGATTAGTGAGATTGAGTGATTGATTTTGAGCTAGTGGAAAAAAATGCAGGGGAAGATAGCCAGCAATACTTTGTATCTATGTACCAACACTATGCTACTTGTTTTACATATATTATTTTACATATATTATCTTTTTAAAAAATAGTCTTGATAAACCTCATTTTTTTATTCCTACTTTACACTGGAAGATAAAGCTCAAAGAAATTACAGATCACCCCAGGATCACACTGTTAGTAAGTATCAGTGTGATGGTTTTAAACCAGTTGTGTTGGGCTCCAAAGATAGAGACTTTACACTACACCAAGTTTTAGAAGAGCTCAGTGATTTCAAAAAGGAGCAGATTTACTCTCACAAAGCAGTAGTTCTCTATCTCTAGAAATTATAGTAGCTTTAGAGTTGGAAGGGAGATTAGTGATACGCTTCAACTGCCTCTTGCAATGGATGAGGGATTGAAGTCAAGAGAAGTAGAGGCATGCTCACATGCATGGCAAGAATGGGGCAGCATAAAGTTGTATGCCTTCTTGCGTACTGCCAGCACACTTTCAATTATTTACCGAATATCTGTCTTTCACACCAAATAATAAGTTCGATCTATGAAGTCAGGTGCATTAATTATCTTATTTATTTAATATCTCAGGACAAACCTACATAATAATATATCAATAAGTATTTAATAACTGCATAGATGAATGACTGGAAACAGTACTTGAACCCAGGTTTCCAAACCTGAAATGTTTGAACAGAAGGTTTGTGATCCTTTATCAGTGGTGTTCTGTGTTAGGTGTGACTTGTACTAGATAGTCACCATGGTCCCTTCCAGAAGTAACATCTATAAAATTAAATCAGCCTGGGAGTCTCTGATCTTTATGCCTACTGCACCCTATCTATACTTCTATTTTAGCATTTATTGAATTGCACTGAAATAACTGTTTACATTCGTATTTTTCTTACCAGAGTAAAAGTATATGCGAGTTGAGACTGTGTTTTTATAGTGGTTTCCAGCACTTACCACGGGGCCTTATACCTTACAAGTACTCAACAAATGTTCATTGACCTAACGTGCAACAAATTCAACTAAGATTCTTTGAAAGTATTTAGATATCTATCACATTGTTTCTCATGTTAGGTACTCCTGGTTGAAGATTTCTTTGTGAGAATGTGTTTACTGAATTGATTGGTTTCCCAACTTGTTTTTTATTTAAACAGAATTAGAGAGAAAGTGAGATAGGGCATTAAAAAGAAATCTGTGATACTCTTGGCTTGCCTGACACAAGGCTCTTCACAGACCCAGGTCTCCTTTTGAATTCAGTGTTAATTCTGCATTTATAGAAAGATCTAGTGCTCAGGATTAGCTTCATTAGGCAGTTGGACTTGAACAGAGGTGGCAGGAGATCAGGAAGGACCCTTTTAGAAATGGGCACAAAAAGACGTAGTGTGCATAGATGAATTCTCCTTTAAATAAAAACTGAGTCAGATTTTAGAATGAAATTCTGTAGTGCTGTCAAACTGTTTGAAACTGGAGTTGGCAGTTGTCCTTTCAAACTGTTATTTCAGAGCACGTGTCCCAGAAGGGACAGCTAAGAATGTTTGTCATATTTGAACTCTTTCCAGAGCCATTCAGCAGGATACTGGCAGTCCACTTTCTCGTGTTAATTATTTCTGCCCTGATTGCCTGGCAACACATAACATGGGAAGTATTATATTTTGTTATTTGTGAATGCTTCCAGCTGAATGCAGGAAGAAAATGGAATACAAAGTCAGCCGGAGATGCAACTTAATAAGTTAGGTGTGTTTTTTGATTGAAAATTTGTGATGGATGAAGAAGTTCATAATCCCATGATTGTGCATGTTCACCACAATTTCAGAGAGTTTGAGAGTATCACAATGTGTCTTGGTGGAAATGAAATACTGATGGATCTTAATGGGCACCAGACTAGAATCTATGAACATGAATTGTCTCCTCCACAGGCAAAACAGATTTGTTGTAAGCAGACGTTGTTTCATCCTTGAAGAGTCTCCTTCCTTCTCTCCTTCTTTCCTTCCTTCCTTCCTTCTTTCCTTCCTTCGTTTCTTTCCTTCCTTATTTTTTGATGTGATTGGACTCTAGAATTGAGTTCAAGCATAAAAACCTAAGATCAAGTATGATGGGAAAAGTGTCATCATTGTAACAATAGCAACAATAGTAAAGATTGCTGTAAACTGGAGAGCAATGAGGGTTTTGATCAGTGACTAAGGCCTAGTAGGAGCTTCTCACCACACCATTATTAGAAAGTTCTGCCTGTTGATGTGGCTCAGTTAAAAACTGCTATCTAGAACTGAAAACAATATACAGTTGACCCTTGAACAATGCAGGGGTTGGGGCACTGACCCCCTGTGAAGTTGAAAATCCATGTATAACTTTTAACGCGCCCAAAACTTTATCTACTAATTGCCTACTGTTGAGGGGAAGCCTTATTGATAAATACAAATAGTTGATTAACACTTTTTTGTATATTACATCTATTATATACTATATTCTTACAGTAAAGCAAGCTAGAGAAAAGAAAATGTTATTAAGAAAATCATAAGAGAAAATACATTTAAAGTACTCTACTGTATTTATTCATACTGTAAGTGTATGTCTTCTGTTTACAAGATGCGTTGTCTATCTAAAGTGGTGGGCAACCATAGCTGCAGACCTCAGTCGACGGTATAAATAAAGCAGTACTGCAAAAAAAAAAAAAAAAAAAAAAAGATGAAAACTACATGAGAACCATAAAAGAACACTTTTAACTGTGTAATGCAACTTACTGGTGAGAAGAACTGCTCACCTGGAGATGATTAGCATCACACAGGTGATTTAAGGGGATACTCACAACACTTGAGCTCACTGCAATAGCAACAGGAGGTGGCTACAAAATTATTACAGCAATACACTATATACTGCAGTTAATTTTATGCAGTTATGACTTAATTCTGGATCTTTAAGTTTGTTTATACATCTCTCTACTGCCAATAGTGCCATATATGGTCTGTAAGTGTTTGAGTTTTGACAAATTTTAACTGTTTAAAATAGATTTGTGTATATTTTATGGCAGTTAATGATAAAATAGACTAGTATCTAAATATATTTTTTGCATTCATGACATACTTAACTTTTTCTTAATTTTTTCCCCATAGTTTTAGGGCAAGTTCTTTGCCTTTGAGTTTTTTCAAGTTGTCACAGATCTCCAAAAGATTTTTCATTATATTAAAAAAAATCCATGTATAACCTGTGCAGTTAAAACCTGTGTTGATCGAAAGTCAAATTTATTCACTCACAGCATTGGAAAACAAAGGTACATTTCTGAATTATTTCCAAAATTTCATTTTTTTTTAAAAAAAGTGATTCTCTGATAGTTTTCTTCTTGCTGTGTTCATTGAAGCCACCCCTGAGTGACAATTTCAAAGATGGTAGTTTTGCATTCTGGGCTGGTGGGTGATGTGAGACAATGATCCAATGGAAATTAATTCCAAAAATAAATTGTAAAATACAATTATTAATGTGTTCAGAGATACATTTTTAATGGATGAGAGCAGCTTTTTAGAGCTGTAAATGCTCAGTTATCAATCAATATTTAAAAGTATATTAAGATCAATGTTGAAAAATATTTTTCTACAACAAGATTTCAAACATTTATTTAGACTTTTAGATTGTCATTTTCTCAACAACACTAGGTGAAAACAAAACCAAAACTAGAAAACTAAAACTAGACCCCCAAATCAAAAACATATTCTTGGATGAGATATACTCAGTTCCACACATGAACATTTCTGCAAAAATAATACCAAGGCGAGGTGTGGACAAAAAAGACAGCAGCAGGATGCATTCCTTTCAGATCTGCTGTCATCCCCATTAGGCCTACTTTCTCTCAGAATTAGCTTAGGGATAAGAAAAGGAATAAAATGGTGTTCTCACATAATTATTGTAAAGATTAAATTAAGTGTGGAACCCCAAGTTTCCTAAGGTAAGCTTGGGTTAAAAATGGGATTACCGTTTCTTGTTCTGCACCCTACCCACTGTGCCCTGCCATCTTTACTGGGTCATATCTGTGCCAAAGCTATTCTAGAGTCCCCAAATTGCCAAAGTTTACAGATTGTTTGGTGGCAAGTGGAGAGAAATGCTGATTTCACCTTTTTGTGTAATACCCTTAGATAACGGAACAGTGCTGTTTCTATTCTGATGTGTTATAAAATTCTTAGAGGAACAAAAAGCTCTTAAAACATTTCAACCTAGGCTCTTCATGAAAATTTAGACACATGTTCGTAGAGGTTACCCTATGAGGCAAAACCATGTGAAAAAATATTATATTGAAATAAAAATCCTCCCTCTACCTTTAGACCAATCTTTTCTCTCCAATTTAATTTTCCCTTGGATGAAAGTCCTCTCTGATAAGATTTCTGAATACCTCATACAAATAAACTTCCGGAAGGCTAGCTCCAATGCATCTCACAGGACAGTGTAGAAATATATTAATCTCAATGTTAAATACAACATCATAAAGATGTGGCAATTGTGGTCTGGAGACCAAATCTGGCCCAATGCTTGATTTGTATGACCAGCCAGCTAAGATTGGTTTTTACATTATTAAAGGGCTGAAAACAAATTTAAGGAATATTTTGTGGTGTGAGAAATTCAAATTTCAGTATCCACTTAAAAAGTTTTGTTGTGATACAGTTGTGCCTGTCTTTTTATGCTTAAGAGAAAGTTAAGTATGTCATTAATGCAAAAAACAGTGTTTACAGATGTTTCATGGTTGTTTATGGCTCTTTTTGCACTCTAGTGGCAAAGTTAGTGGTTGGACTACCGTGTGGCCCATATCTATATAAAATATTTATCATCTGGCCTTTTACGGGAAAAGTTATCTGCCTCTGACATCAAGATGGAACCACTTTATGTCATCACCAAGACATAAAGACTTCACTGGTTTAGGTGAAGGTCTATAGTGCAGAGTTTGGCTTTTAGAAAGTGCTCAATAAACATTAGATTTAGGTGTTCCTTCTTAATATATTAATTGCAGTTTAGCCTTTAGCTCATTATTTTCTTTTTCTTTCCTTTCTTCTTTCCTCCCTTTCTCCCTTTCTCTTTCGTTACTCCTTTCTTTTACCTGAAATAGCTTTAACCATCCCTTATGAATATTTAAGTCATCCTTTAATTTTTTTAATAACAAAGAAGTGATTTTAAAATATTTAAGCCAGATTAGTATCTTTTAAATATTCTATTAAATGCATTTTAATACACTCTAATAACAGTCAAAACATATAAAGTCACTTTGATTTTTCTTTCAATTAAACGTGAAGCATGGTTGTTTCATTTACTTTAGGTAAATTGTGCTAGAAAAAGCATGACTTATCGACAAGTACATTTTAAAATATTGGTTTGAAGACCAAGAGTTATTAAAATGTACATTGAAATTTAAGTGTTTTTATAATATTAAACATAGACAACAATTGCTTTTATGAACTGATGTTTGGTGTTTTTGTACTTTGTGTTTTTTTCTTTCTTTATAAAGGAAAAGGCAAACAACATTCATCAGGATATATTCACCTTTTAATTTTGATTTTTAAAGTAATAGTCATATCTTGATATTATAAAATAAATTGGTTTAGATGAATTAACTTAATTGACCATAAATATCTTGAAGATAGGGATGTATCATTTTCATTTTCACATTCCAGGGCCTAGCAAAATGCATAGTTTTGGAGTGATTAAGGAATGGATGGATGAAATAATTATCTCTAAGTTTAGATGACACTAGGATAATCTTCTATCACAAACATCCTCACCCTCTTATCCATGAAATGTCTTAACTTTTCTCAACCCCCTCTCAGAACAGTTTCCAGGCCCTTTGATTGCTCTTAATTTTCCTGGAGGAAGTTATTGCTTCCTCAGTATGAAAATCTTATCTTTTGACAGGGGATTCTGCCACCATCCTGAGGTAGAGAAAATGTGCTCTATCAATTTGTTTGAAAAGACAACATGAGGTTACAAGATGCAATGAGCTTGTGCTGTTTGTTTTCCATATTGGTGGTGTTCAAACATTTTGAATGTACACCTAATTCACACAGTTTTTTAGAATATACCTTTATAGATAGATGAATGGATGAATGCATAAATAGATATAGATTGATGAGTACATATGGATATGGACAAATACATTTAAATAAGTATATAAATAAATAACATATTTCAGAAAATTCTTAAATATATTGTCTGGAGATAACTAGTATTCATAGATAGAGTACAAAAGATTTTCACATATACTCCCTATCTTATTTCAAGTAATTATGAACATTCATTATAGAAGACAATATAACCCATAAATCACTTTAAAATATAGTAAATCACAGTATTCTGAGAGTTAACAAATGTTGGGCTATTGCATATGATAGGAAGCTGGGTGACATGTGTCCTAGTATGGATGTTGGTGTCCAGATGTATAATAAATACTATTAAAATAATCTTTCTTACATTTTGTAAAAAAGTATAAATATAATTTCTTTCTTAGTTTTTTAATGTTTATGGATTCAGCGGGTACACAGGCAGGTTTGTTACATGGATATATTGTGTAGTGGTGAGGATTGGGCTCCTAGTGTACCCATCACCTGAATAGTGAACATGGTACTCAACAGATAAATTTTCAATCCTCACTCCCCTCCCACCTTTTTGGAGTCCTCAGTGTCTATTATTTCCTTTTATATGTCCATGTGTAGCCACCGTTTAGCTCCTGCTTATAAGTGAGAACATGTGGTATATTATTTTATAATTTCTTATTCCAGTAGATTGTCCTGTACATCTCCTGGGTAGAAGCAGCTCATTTCTGGAAATTCTTATTTTGTAGTACATCTGGAAATATGGCTTTTTCAGCTCATTATATTTCTTCCTTCCCTTGAGTTGGGAATTTGGTAAAAGTGTGTGATGATTTATGCCAGAGGACAGATGGGAATGAACTCTAGTATGCTACCTTAAAAGTTATCTATTTGCTTTGTCACCTAGCACCAATCCTGGATACTTTGACTATCCCATCAGAACAACTTCCTTTTTTGTTTAGAACATGGCCTGGAAGGCTAATGAGTGGCAGTCATTCCTTAGCAACCCAGAAGCCTACGTGTAAGTTTAAATGGATATATTATCTATTTCTCCTAGAAGGTATCAGGCCGTCCTGCAAATAAAACACACTTTAATTATATTCACTCTACCCACTCAAGCATTGCCTGTGTTTTCCTTGGTTTTGAGAGTTGGAGGTTGTTCTGGGACCCCAAATACACTAGTAATATTGCTGGAGTCTCATTCTTTTTTTATCATTTCAACACTTATTATAGATTAAATAGTACATTTGCAGGTTTATTAGATGGGTATATTGCATGACACTGAGGTTTGGGCTACAAATGATCCCATCACCCAGTTAGTGACCATGTTACCAATAAGAGTTTTTTCAGCCCGTGCTCCCCTTCATCTCTCCCCTGTCTTTAGTACCTCTCCAGTATCTATTGTCTATGGGAATTCAGTGTTTGGCTCCCACCAATAAGTGAGAACATGTGGTATTTGGTTTTCTGTTCTTGTGTTGATTCATTTAGGATAAAGAAGTCTCATTCTTGGTAGGTTGAGAGCAGTTAGCAGGTAGGAGATGGGGGCAAAACTGGGTAAGATTTGTCCTATATGCTAGTTTCAACTCTTTTGTCAATGTTTAGTCATAGATGGGCAATACTGAAAGGGTTGGAAAATGGTGGGTGCAACTTTTTTAGTGGTACTTTGGTGCCAAAATTGATACTAAGTTTTACATTCAAACATCATCCTTTATTAAAGTGGAAATAGCAACCACCAAGAGTCTTACTAACCTGCCCCAAATGCTTACACTGCCACTATCAGAATCATTCTCTGGAGCTAAGATACTCGTTACACAGGAGTTAGGATAGGAAGATTAACTTTAGAAGCATGTTCATTTATTCAAAAATATTTCTTTGGCCTTAGCTGTGGTAGTCTAAAAAATTATCTATTTGGTACCTACTTATCTATTGTGTATTCACTACTTGGCCCTGGATATAAAAATAACTTAAATGCCAAAGAAGTAAATCTCAGTACTTTTTAATTCATAAGTTAAATATTGAGCACACACTGGGCATTTATTTATTATTGTGCAAAACCAAAAGAAGTAGAAGGAGGTTATAAGACCTATTCTATTTGGTTGAGTGGGTCCTGACAGAATAGTCACTTTCCCATGAAAATATTGCTATCTTTTTTACTCTTTGGGACATCCATATGAGAATTTGAATAATAGCTGCATTACAGGTGTGAAGATTTAGTTTATTTATGCTGATAAAATCTCTAGATAAGAGGTCTTCTTAGGTAAGGGGATCATTTAACTGTCAAGTAGAGAGCATGCTTGCATTCATGTTCGTCTATTGAATAAATTCTACTCAGTAAACACTGACACTGACTGGGTCTCATTAAGACAAAGTAATAACATTCTGTGCCAACAAATATCGTCTTCTCAAGTATGTATTTGCTTCTACAAGATCAAAATCCTGCTTCTGAGAAAAGTTGCCAGTGACATGTTTAAAAGACCTATCTTAACAGGAAAAGTTACAAAGCCAAGTAAGTTTAATTGCATGTCACCTCTTGGTTTTGACAAAATATAATGGCACAAGTTGCTAGTAAACTTAATTATGTAGATTTATTTTAGCTTAACAAAATATATGCTATATGTAGTAAGTAGCTAGCTATGAGCCAAGTTTTAACTTTTTTTTTGCAGTCAAAATGCTTATGAAAGAATGATTTAAATTAATGAAATTTATCAGTGTAATTGTTGCCAAAAGCAATTTTAACTGGAAAAATACCTTTACCCATGGTTCAAGGAAAAAAATATATGCACCTCTTTCAAACCTGTAAGCAGAAATTTGCTAAAGATATTACAAATTTTTCCTTGGCCTTGCACCTCTGCCAAAACTCCTCAGAATTTCCATAATTACTTCGTAATTAATATAGCTCGACTTTTTCCAAGCCACTTCTTAAAATTGCTTAGAGACAGAGATTGTTAGCTAAATGAAGATTCATGATCTTTTGATGACCATTCCCTGCCTCCCCATACTCCTTTCCCATTTCCTCTGTGCAATCACCCTTCTTTCATATACCCACAATAAAAAACTTGGATGTATTCCTGACTCTCCCTTCTCTTTTAGCACCTTCCCATCAGTCACCAGACACTCTGTCTTCTTTCTTAAATATTTTCCGATGTCAATGCTTCATGTGCATTCTCATTTCTATCACCTTACTCTGGTTCTTTATGTTCACACAAAGACAATTATTCTTTCATTTACCTCCCGGTCTGTCCCCACCAATCAACCCATTACATATGATTAATAGTCTTAAATGAGACTATTTTATCACTGCCCTGCTAAAAAATCTCCAGTGTTTCTGTACATCTTACAGAAAAAGTTCAAATCCTCAGCGTGGCCTTTAACTTCTATATTTTAGCCTTTCTCTATCAATCCACCTTCATTTTCATTCTAAGTTTGTCACTATATTCTGACCATGGCATTTTCTGCTTTTATTTCCAGATTTTCTTCATAGTAATCCCATTTCCTGTTATTGCTTCTCACTAATCGAATTTTTCTCAACTTTCTTGATGCAGTTGAAATTCTAACTCCTTTCCAGCTTCTCTGAGTCTTCCAGTTCCAATGGATCTGCCTTTTGTAAGGGATCTCAGAAACTAGGAACATACACCTCTGCGTGGTACAAGAAGAAGAAATTGAGTTTCGGAAAGGTTAACTAATTAGAAGCAACCATGATTTGAGCCCCTTCACTTTCCTTCCTGTTATACCTTGGTACCTTTCTAGGCTGCTTAAAGAAATGACAGTATTTGAGTTACTTATCTTTCTTTTTGGTGGTGATGGACATACTGCCCTGTATTATCGCTGAACTATTTCATCCATATGTGTTTGTTTCTCTCTATTTTATATGCTCTGAGAAATAAGAGATCAGGCATCACATGGATCTCAGTGCTAAACACATTTAAGCATTAGTATACATTTGTTGGTTGAAAGGTTTGAATGTGTCCTTTAAATTATGTAATATTCTAATAAGGTCTCTATTTTTTCGCTATCTTGTTCAAGTTGAATATAAAATCGTATCTTATTCTTGAAGAATGGCAACCTATTCAGCATTTAACTAATAATGTAGCAAAGGGAATAGAGATTGGAATAGGATTAGAAGGTAGAATTCAGACATTTAGATTAAGAAATAAATCCCTAATACCTTACTTCAATTTGCAAATTAGAAGATAATCTTTGAAATAATATGAAAATGAAATGTTTTGCCAAATCATTGGATTTTCTCTAAAATCATTTTTGTTATATTTGATCATATATTGTTGGATTAAGGAGAAATATTGACATAGGCATATCTGTGTAATTATTCCCTTGGCAAATAGGAGATATTTTGTTTTGTTTTTCTTTCTTACTAGGAGTCTAGTCTGTGGTCTACAACACCTGGGGAATAGCCAACAGCTAACTATCTAGGCAAGCTTTTGAAACATAGAAGGATACTTGAGAGCTAGCTTCTTCTAAAATCAAAGAAATTCTTCTTGACCTATTAGACACCAACTCCTTATATTGTTGCCCCATTAGGGATAAGCTGAAATTTATCTATAAAGTCAGCAAAATCTAAATTAATAATAAGGCAAACAGTTTTAATTTAAGATGGAAAAATATATTTTATCTCATTAAGTCCCACCGTCCTAATGAGTAGCAGTGATGGCCTAGAAGAGTTAATGCAAAGTCAGTGGAACAAGAGTTAAGTTTTTTTAAAATGTCATTTTCCATCCTGAAAAAGTCTGTGTGCAACAGTACATTTCTCACTTTTTGTAAGTCTTGGAAAGACATGATATTTTTCTGGTTTCGTCAGCAGTGAAAATGCCTTCACACAGGCCTGTAGCTGATGACATTGTAGTGAAAGCTCTCCAAACACTAATTGGAAATTTAAAAAAAAATCTTGACAACACCTCACTGCATCATAGTTATGTTTCATCACCTTAGACATTCATTATCACTCACCACATACACATATGTTAATGGGAAAATTATTTCGAATTGTCTTATATTGCAGAGTCAAGCCATTTCTCTCTCTTTTTAAAGTCATATTTAATTGTTTTTGGATGGCTAACAACTTGTGGTATCAAGTTGTAATTTTATACATAGATTATTGTGCAAAATGATAAGGAAGCCCTAATTTTTTTTTGGAGGGAATTCTTCAGGGAATGTTTTTCCAAAGAAAAAGATGAAATGTATTGATTTCCTCACAACAGTAAGAGAAAAAAAAAGTCGACTCTTTCCAGATTTATATAATTTATTAGAAGATTAACACTAGACATATGGCTCTAACTCTTCTTACTCTCTGAAAAGTGGGAATATGAATGCACATTTCAGTGGTTAGAGGATGATTAGTGAGAAACTATTGAAAAAGATTTATAGAGTACATTTCAATACATGAATACATTTCAGTATTTGAGTACAAAAGAAGAACAAGAAGAAAAAATAATGCTCAACTTACACAGGAGTCATAAGGACTTCGGGATATAATGCAGATGTAGTAAGCTCTCCTATACCTGTTCACCCCTTTGTATCCCACAAGGTTTTATTAGCTCTTTTTGAAAAAATGTAAACAAAGAAGTAAAAGATTCAATTTGTACCTTATTCATGGAATGAAGTTTACATACAGAAATAAGACAATATACAAAGAAAGATAATACTTTTGGCCCTGCTATCTGCTCTGCAGCTTTAGTATAGGTTCTGGCTTTGCAGAGTCCTTTCCTTCAGGCATGTTTAGAATCGCCTCAGTGTACACGGGGATTCCCCAAAGGAAATGACATCTCTGCTCTCCACACAAAGTGTAGGTAGAGGATATCTCATAAATGTAGCATATCACATGTTCTAATTCATGATACTACTTACTTATGACAATTTTCCACCTTTCTTCCTGCCCATTCATTTGTACAGCCCTGCATTTCTGCATGAAAATAGTTGCTGTATCAATGTACAGAGCTACTGCACTTATTAGAATGTTGGAGGAGGCTGTAAGTCAGATTCTTAAATTCTTCACGCTCTACCTTTTGCAATTAGAAATTTGTGACCTGGAAATAAAAATATGTTAAAGATGTATTATCCCCTACCATTCATTATTAACCAAATCAAGTTAAAATTCCTACAGTAGCTAACATTAACTGAGTACTTATTACTTGTATGGCATCTAAGTTAAAAAACAAGTAATTCCTCAAGCATGTAGGAAAGAAACAGACAGTTTTACCATGGTAACAAGTATATATCAGAACTGTTTCTAAACTTATTTAATGAATAAATGACAATTTGTTTCATTTAACATGTCTCTGAAAGCCAGCCAACCAATGACAGCCTTCAAAGCTGGCCAATCAGTAGTGGACTTACTCCAGTGAATATACTTTTAAAGCTGACACTGATATTAGCCCGCTCCTACAACATAAACCACACTTCTAAGAGAGATTTAGAGAACTCCTGCCTTAGTAACTAAGACATCTGCAAATTATGCATTTCTTAAGTACCCTAATAAATGTTCAACCGTTTGCTTTGCTCAACGAGCCTATGCCTGACCAGCATAGATCTTACTTCAGGATAGAATACATTCAACTTTTCCACTTCAGATTTTGAGTACTATTGTCTTTCTACAACAAAGTATTAACTAATTTAATTCTCCTGTCAGCTCTGTGAAGTAGATACCGTTATTCTCTTTATTTTAGAGATGAAGGAACTGGGATACAAGGAAGTTAAGGAATTTTCTCCAGCCTGCTACGACTACAGTGCCATAGCTGGTGAGAGCCCAAGCAGTCTGGCTCAAAGTCTGGACTTCTAACCACTTTGCTACACTGTCTCTTATGCCTTGTAAAAGATGTCCAGAAAAGTTCCTCCAGTCTCTCACAGGCCAGAAAAATAAGCAAAGATTTAGAAAAACAACTGATGTGTTTTCCCCTTTCCCTTTTTGCAGTTTGAGGCAAGAGTGATTTATGAGGATGTGGATAAAAAGTGAAGCACTTTAAGGTATTATTTGGGGGACTGTAAAATATGAAATCATCAAAATATGGATTATTTGTGGCTGAAGAGCTACTTGGTGAATAACCTTTTCCATTTGTGAACCTCTGTCTTTCTTGATTTTCTTTTTTTTATAAGAAAAAAGTCTCCTGTGATTGTAACTGCCAGACACAAACTGTAATTCTACTCTGCTTTTCTTTCAAGGCTGTTTGGCTGGAAGTATGCAATACCCAAGCATGGGGACAGCCAAAATTTTATAGGCTGAACAGTATTTCCTTAGTGAAGAAAAGATAAACTATTAAGAGGTCAGGGAGTTTGGTGTTTCATGACTGGGTGATTAGGAATGAAATAATTATGCATATGTTCAAAAATATTACTGAAAATTTCTTGGTGGTAGGTGCATCATATTAAACAGTTATTAAATTTAAAAAACCTCAAATGTAGAATTAGAGAATAGACAATCATGATTGCTGTGAGTTTCTCCAGTAGGCACCAAAATATCATTAAAATTAAAACTGATTACCACAAAGAACTTTTAAAACTCAATGCTAAGAAAACTAATAACCCAATTACAAAGTCGGCAAAGATCTAAATAGACACATTATCATAGAAGTTGCACATATTGCAAAAAAATCATATGAAAAGATGCTGAACATCCCGTCATTAGGGGATTGCAAATTAAAACCAGAATTCACCTATTAAATGGATAACATTAAACACAGAGAACAAAAACCTGAAAATACTAAGTGCTGGTGAGTATGTAGGGAAAAGGAAACTATCATACATTGCTAATTGGAATGCAAAATAGTGCATCCACTTTGGAATACAGCTTGGTGATTTCTTACAAAGCTACACATAATTTTAACATATTCTCCAGCAATGGTACTCATAGGTATTTACTTAACTGATCTGAAAATTTTTGTCCACATAAAACCTGTATGCAAATGTTTATAGAAGTTTTCTCGTAATTGCTAAAAACTGGAAGCAACAAAGATATCCTTCAGTAGGTGAATGGATAAACGATGGTATGTCCATACAATAGAACATTGATCAGCCATAAAAGGAAATAAGCTGTTAAGTGTAGATGAAGCTTAAATCCACATTGCTAAATAAAAGAAGCCAGTCTTCTTTTAGAATACATACTGTATGATTTCAATCACATAACATTCTGCAAAAGGCAAAACTAAGTAACTGTAAAAGCTCAGTGGTTCCTGTAGATTTGGGAGAAAGAAGAGAAGATTAAATAAAGAATACAGACATTTTTAGGGCGATGAAACCATGCAGTTTGATATTGTAATGGTGCATACATGGCATTATGTATTTTTCAAAACCCATTAAATTTTATACCACAAGAAGTTAATCTTAGAGGGTGCAAATTTAAAAAAAAAAATCATCTAGGATGTAGTGTACTCCAGGATGAATGTGATGGTAAAAGAAGAAAGCTTCTAACTGTGTTACTAATGAATGTAACAATCTCAGTGAATAAGATAGGAAGAAAAGGCGCTGACTAAGTAACTTTGGAAATATGTAGAGTCTGTAAGACTAAAATAAAAGGTACTTGTATGTAATCACTATATTCTAGTTGATAAAATTGTTTCTCATGAGGAAAGGGTTGACAATTCTTATGAGGAAAAGGTTGATATATATATGTATATATTATATATATAGATGGGTATATATATGTGTGTTAGTGTTTGTGTTGTGTGTGTGTATATATATATAAATATATGAATGGAGCAATTTTGTTAATGGTGGATGGTGAGAGCCAGGTATCTCACTGTTGGAGTGGAAGCAAGGGGAGGAAGCTACAATGATTTGTGTGATAATAAATTAGAGTTGGTGACATCAGTATGAACTTATGTTTAGCTTAGTATAGACAGATGATTATGAGTAGAAATATTATAGATATGAGTTTATACATGGTTTAGTATACAGGCATATATTTCCTTGCTTCCTCCACTGAGAAAGCCTAAAAGTAGTGAGACACCGGTAGCAATGAACACTTCTAGCACCGGGATCTTTGCTTCTAATACCATTCTTCAATAATATAAACCAGGGCTCTTTAGAGAAATGGCTGATTATAGGTCTGGGAAGAATATACACAAGATGAGCCTGGAGCATCTTGTGCTAAACAGGAAGTGCTAAAAAAAATAAAATAAATGGTGGAAGTATGTCAAAGGGACACAGGAGCAAATCAAGAGTTTTTCATGGCCAAAGCTAAAACAATTTGAGCAACAAAATATATTAATAAGTGTTGTATTATAACTCCAAGTATAAATAGATATTCTTGCATCTATGTTGATATAAATAAATAAGTCAATAAATAAAAAGGGGAGAAGAGACAAAGCACTCATGAAGAAGAATTCCAAATAATTTATGTAGATACAACACACTCAAGGAGGTTGTGATGGTTAAATTTTATGTGTCAACTTGACTAGGTTATGTTGCCCAGTAGTTTGGTCAAATGACAGTCTACATGTGACTGTGAAGGTATTTTGTAGGTATGATTAACAATTGTCTTAATGTAAATGATAATCACCCTCAGTAATGTGGATGGGCTCCCTCCAGTCAGTTGGAGGCCTTAAGAGCAAAAACTGAGGTTTCCCAAAGATGAAAGAATTCTGCCTCAAGACTGTAACATAGAAATCCTCTGTGAGTTCCCAGCCTGCTGGCCTGCTTTGTGGTTTTAGACTTGTGAGCCACCACAATTTTGTGAGACAATTCCTTAAAATGAATCAATCAACCCTCCCCCTTTTCTTGTGACCTCTTTCTCTCACTACCCCTCCAGCTGTCCCTTGGGGTATTTGTTCCAATACATGGGGTATTTGTTCCAGGACCCCTGACATATGCCAAAATCTGCACATACTCAAGTTCTGGAGTCAGCCCTGTAGAAACAAATATATGAAAACTCGGCTCTCCATCACCTTGGGTTTCACATCTCTGGAAAACCGTATTTTCAATCTGCATTTTGTTGAAAAAATCTGCGTGTAAGTGGATTTGATCAGTTCAAACTCATATTGTTCAAAAGTCAACTGTGTATATTATAATTTGTGTTTTCATGTATATTTATTTTAAGGAGTTGTTTATATACGTATGTATGTGTATATATATGTATTCTTTAAAGTAAATATATATATGAAAACTTATAAATATTTATGTATAAATATAAATACATACACATACATATTGGTTCTGTTTCTCTGGAGAATCCTAACTGATACAAAGGGGAAGCAAAGCTTTGTACTCCTAAGTGTGGGCTGTGCACTGTGACTGCCTCCCAAAGAGTACAGTATGGGAGTAACTTAGCCTTGGAGAAACCTGATAGACCCTACCTCAGCCAGGTGATCAAGGTTAACATCAACATTGATAAAGCACATTGATAATATATATTCTTGATGTAAGATGATGAAAGTGGTAACTTCTGTGATCTCCCTACTTCAAACTCATAACCCATGTCTGATTTTGAGAAAAATGTCAGACAAATTTCAATTGAGGGGCATTTTATGAAATACCTGACCAATATTCCTCAAAACTTTTCAAGGTCATTAAAAACAAGAGAAACTTGAGAAACTGTTACAGCCAAGAGGAGCTTATAGATATGACAAGTAAATGTAAAATGGTATCCTGGATGAGATCTTAGAACAGAAAAAAGGACAATTAGGGGAAAACTAGGGAAATATGAATAAATTATGGACTTTAATAATATATCAATATTGGTTCATTAACTGTAACAAATGAACAAAACTCTTATAAGAAGTTAATAATATGCAAAGTTAGTGCAGGCACATATGTTTATAGCAGCACAATTCACAATTGCAAAGATGTGGAACCAACCTAAGTGTCCATCAGCTAATGAGTGGATGAAGCAAATGTGGTATACATACACGTGGAATACTACTCAGCCATTAAAAGGAACGAAATAATGTATTTTGCAGCAACTCGGATGTAGTGGATGGCCATTAGTCTAAGCGAAGTAACACAGGGATTGAAAACCAAAAACCTTATGTTCTCACTTATAAGTGGGAGCTAAGCTATGAGTATGCAGAGGCATGGGGAGTTATATAATGGACCTTAGAGACTCAGAAGGGGAAAGGTGGGAGGGGTCCAGGGATAAAAAAACTACACATGAGGTACAATGGACAATACTCGGGTATCAAGTGCACTAAAATCTCAGAATTCACCACTATATAATTAAACCATGTAACGAAAAATTACTTGTACCCCCAGAGCTATTAAAATTTTTAAAAAGCGAGTGGAGAGCGTATGAGAATTCTGTGCACTATCTCATTAACTTTTTGGTATATGTTAAACTTCTAAAAAACAAAGTACATTAAAAAATTGTTAGTGTTCAACTATGAGTTAATGCAATTTAAGTACAAATAAGAAAGACACTGGAACATACCCTCTAAATTATATATTGTTATAGGATTGTAATGACAGAATAGCAGATTATGCCTAAAAAACACCTAACTGGCACGTTGTAAACATAATAGAAAGTTTAAAATAGGAAGCTAATAAGAAAGTTAAATGAAAGTAATTTTAACTAGAAGGAAATAATCTAAGAAGGCAAAGCAAAAATATAAGAAGATCAATAAATTTTACTACAGATGGATCAATACAAATAGGATGCTATTTCCACTCTCAGAGAAAGAAGAGAATTAGTGTAAACAGCAAAACCAGCTCAGTGTCTTGCATTCAAGAAAAATCTGGTTAGTTTAACTGCTTTATGTGTTTCTATACAATATTTTCCCCTTATCCAACTCCTAACTGGATTTAAACTTCTTCAAGTGATAAGATTATTACACCTTTTTTGAGATATAAATGCATTACAGAGTACTATACATACAGAGGTATGTGAGAAATATCGATTTAGAGAATATCTCTTGTAGCAAACAGGTACTTGCTTTTTAAAATCCAGTCTGAAAAGATCTCTGATTTTAGTTGAAGTGTTTAGTTCATTTACACTTAATGTAATTATTGATATGATTGGGTTTGAGTCTGTCTTCTTTATTTGCTCTTTGCCCTCTGTATTTTTCTCCTTTTGTATTCAAATTTTTTGCATTCCATTTTATTTCCTTTTGACCTTTCAGCCAATGGTTCATCTAAGAATTGCAATACACATCTCTAACTGACTAGCGTGGTTAGAATGAATATTATATGAGTTACTGTAAAATATAAATTAGTTATGTATTAAGCCACTCGTGTTGCTATAAATAAATATCTGAAGCAGGAAAATGTATAATAGAAGAGGTCTAATTGGCTCACAGTTCTGCATGTTGTACAGGAAGCATAGTGCTAGAATATGCTTCTTGTGAGGGCCTCAGGAAGCTTCTAATCATAGCAGAAGGTGAAGGAGGAGTAGGCATGTCAAATGGCAGGAGCAGGAGCAAGAGCAAGAGAGAGAGGGAGTGGGAGGTACCACATACTTTTAAACAACCAGATCTCATGAGAACTCATTCAACATTGCTAGGACAACACCAAGTCATGAGGGATCCACCCCATAACCAAAACACCTCCCACCACACCTCACCTCCAACATTAGAGATTACATTTCAACATGAGATTTGGGTGGGGACAAATATCCAAACTGTATCACCTTACAGTAATATATTCCACTTATAGTACTCTGTAATGCATTTATATCTCAAAAAAGGTGTAATAATCTTATCACTTGAAGAAGTTTAAATCCAGTTAGGAGTTGGATGAGGGGAAAATACTGTATAGAAACATATAAAGCAGTTAAACTAATCAGATTTTTCTTGAATGCAAGAAAATGTCTTAGAGTCGTATATTTCACATATATATATACACATTATAAACTCCACAATAAAATTTTATTGCTTTTTGCTTTGGGAAGTAGTTTGTCTTTTTCAAAAATTAATAGAAGAAATAGAAAAGGTTTTAATATTTACCTGCATGTTTATCATTTGTTATTCATTTTTTGTTATAGATACAGATTTCCATATTGTATCATTTCCCTCCAGTGCTGAAGAACTTTCTTTAGCAGTACTTGTAGCACAGATGAGACAAATTATCTCAGCTTTTGTTTACCTGCAAATGTCCTTATTCTGCCTGCATATTTGAAAAATATTAATATTTTCACTGGATATAGAAATTTGGTTTGCTTGCACCAATTTAAAGTTATCACTTTATTATCTATTGGGCTTCATTATTTCAGATGAGAAGTTACCTGTTAGACTTATTATTCGTTTGTATGTAATATCTGTCTTCTCTGGCTGCTTTTATAATTTTCTCTTCATCTTTGGTTTTCATCAGTTGACAACAATGCATTGAGATGTGGTTTTCTTTGAATTTTGAATTTATTTATCTTTGGGTTTACTGAGTTTCTTGGATTTATAGGTATTTATTGGTATTTTTCATCATATTTGGATTTATTGGTATTTTTCATCATATAGGATTTATTGGTATTTTTCATCATATTTGGGAAATTTGGGGCAATTGTTTTTTCAAGAATTTTCTTCTGCCCCATTATCTCTTTTGTTTTTTCTTCTTTTTGAGCTCTAATTATACATATTTATACTGTTAGTATTTTCTCACAGGTTACTGAAGCTCTATTTATTTTGCTTTTCATCTTTCCCCACCATGATTTTCAGATTGGGTTGCAATCTGTATGTTGGGTTGCAATCAGCTGTCCAGTGATTTCTTTTTTCAGTTCAGGTATTGTACTTGCCATTTATAATTGATTCCTTTTATTTCTCTGCTTATATTACAGAGTTGTTTACAGACTGTGGACTTATTTGTAAAAGCAGTTTAAAGTTCCTTGCTTAATAACTTCAACATCTGGGTCATCTTTTGTGTTTGTCTGTTTTGACTCTGTTTTCCTCTTTGATATTGGGAATATTTTCTTGCTTTTTCACATGTCTAGTAAGTTTTAAATGTATACTGGTCATTGTGAACATACAATGGAGGAAGGCTGAATTATGTTATTTTTTAAATTGTTTTATTTTGTCCTGGCATGCTGTTAAATTCGTGTTGGGCACTCCTAATCTTGTCAGGCTTAGTTTTATGCTTTGTTATCCTAATCTTGTCAGGCTTAGTTTTATGCTTTGTTAGGATGGGTCTATTTTTTTCTTAGTCTTTGGGCATAGGCCTCACTCTGTTTGTAGTTTTGATCCTAGAGTCTCTTCTTATTATGTCTCAACTTATTGCCTCAGGTGCACAGTGAGACTTCTTCACTCTGGTTGGGCCTAAGTTATATTTTTTCATAGCCCTGCATGATTTACACATCTTCATTTAAGTCTTGGTTTTGTAGTAGCCACTCTGTTATATCTTGTATTTTTTTTTTAACTTTTATGTTCAGGGGTACATGTGCAGGTTTGTTGTATAGGTAAACTTGTGTCATGGGAGATTTTTGTCCAGATTATTTCATCAGCCAGGTATTAAACCTAGTACCCATTAGTTATTCTTCCTGATCCTCTCCCTCCTCACACCCTCCACCTTCCAATAAGCCCTAGTGTGTTGTTCTTCTTTATTTATCCATGTGTTCTCATCATTTAGCTCCCACTTATAAGTGAGAACATGTGGTATTTGGTTTCTGTTCCTGCGTTAGTTTAGTAAGAATAATGGCCTCTAGATCTATCTATGTTCCTGCAGAGGACATGATCTCATTCTTTTTATGGCTGCATAATATTCCATGGTGTATATGTACCAAATTTGTTTTTATCCAGTCTACCACTGATGAAAATTTAGATTGATTCCATGTCTTTGCTGTTGTGAATGGCGTGTTCAAGAATAGGGCTGCAGTGAACACACATGTGCATGTGTCTTTATGATAGAACAGTTTATATTCCTTTGGGTATATTGGTATTTCTGTTTTTAGGTCTTTGAGGAATCACTGCACTGTCTTCCACAATGATTGAACTAATTTACACTGCCACCAACATTGTATAAGTGTTCCTTTTTCTTTGCAATCTCACAAGCATCTGCTATTTTTTGACGTTTTAACAATAGCCTTTCTGACTGGTGTAAGACAGTATGCTATTGTTTTGATTTGCATTTCTCGAATGATCAGTGATGTTCAGCTTTTATTCATATGCTTGTTGGACACATGAATGTCTTTTTTGTAAAGTGTTTGTTCATGTCTTTTGCCCACTTTTTTTATATTTACAGTTTTTATTTTATTTTATTATTATTATACTTTAAGATTTAGGGTACATGTGCACAAGGTGCAGGTTTGTTACATATGTATACATGTGCCATGTTGGGGTGCTGCACCCATTAACTCGTCATTTAGCATTAGGTATATCTCCTAATGCTATCCCTCGCCTCTCCCCCCACCCCACAACAGTCCCCGGTGTGTGATGTTCTCCTTCCTGTGTCCATGTGTTCTCATTGTTCAGTTCCCACCTATGAGTGAGAACATGCGGTGTTTGGGTTTTTGTCCTTGCGATAGTTTGCTGAGAATGATGGCTTCCAGCTTCATCCATGTCCCTACAAAGGACATGAACTCATCACTTTTTATGACTGCATAGTATTCCACGGTGTATACATGCCACATTTTCTTAATCCAGTTTATCATTGTTGGACATTTGGGTTGGGTTCAAGTCTTTGCTATTGTGAATAGTGCCGCAATAAACATACGTGTGCATGTGTCTTTATAGCAGCATGATTTATAATCCTTTGGGTATATACCCAGTAATGGGATGGCTGGGTCAAATGGTATTCCTAGTTCTAGATCCCTGAGGAATCACCACACTCACTTCCACAATGGTTGAACTAGTTTACAGTCCCACCAACAGTGTAAAATTGTTCCTATTTCTCCACATCCTCTCTAGCACCCGTTGTTTCCTGACTTTTTAATGATTGCCATTCTAACTGGTGTGAGATTGTATCTGATTGTGGTTTTGATTTGCATTTCTCTGATGGCCAGTGATGATGAGCATTTTTTCATGTGTTTTTTGGCTGCATAAATGTCTTCTTTTGAGAAGTGTCTGTTCGTATCCTTTGCCCACTTTTTGATGGGGTTGTTTGTTTTTTTCTTGTAAATTTGTTGGAGTTCATTGTAGATTCTGGATATTAGCCCTTTGTCAGATGAGTAGATTGCAAAAATTTTCTTCCATTCTGTAGGTTGCCTGTTCACTCTGATGGTAGTTACTTTTGCTGTGCAGAAGCTCTTTAGTTTAATTAGATCCCATTTGTCAATTTTGGCTTTTGTTGCCATTGCTTTTGGTGTTTTAGACATGAAGTCCTTGCCCATGCCTATGTCCTGAATGGTATTGCTTAGGTTTTCTTCTAGGATTCTTATGGTTTTAGGTCTAACATGCAAGGTAATTTATAGATTCAATGCCATCCCCATCAAGCTACCAATGACTTTCTTCACAGAATTGGAAAAAACTACTTTAAAGTTCATATGGAACCAAAAAAGAGCCCGCATTGCCAAGTCAATCCTAAGCCAAAAGAACAAAGCTGGAGGCATCATGCTACCTGACTTCAAACTATCCTACAAGGCTACAGTAACCAAAACAGCATGGTACTGGTACCAAAACAGAGATACAGACCAATGGAACAGAACAGAGCCCTCAGAAATAATGCCACATATCTACAACTATCTGATCTTTGACAAACCTGACAAAAACAAGCAATGGGGAAAGGATTCCCTATTTAATAAATGGTGCTGGGAAAACTGGCTAGCTATATGTAGAAAGCTGAAATTGGATCCCTTCCTTACACCTTAGACAAAAATTAATTCAAGATGGATTAAAGACTTACATGCCCACTTTTAATAGTGTTGTTTGCTTTCTTCTTGTAAAAATAAGTTCTTTATAGATATTTGATATTAGACCTTTGTCAGATGCATAGTTTGCAAAAATTTTCTCCCATTCTATAGGTTGTCTGTTCACTCTGTTGATAGTTTCTTTTGCTGTGCAGAAGCTCTTTAGTTTAATCAGATACCGTTTGTCAATTTTTGCTTTTGTTGTAATTGCTTTTGGCATCTTCGTCATAAAATATTTGCCTGTTCCTATGTTCAGAATGGTATTGCCTATGTTGTCTTCCAGGGTTTTTACAGTTTTGGGTTTTACAAATAAAAAAGAAAAGAGAGATAATCCAAATAAACACAATTGGAAATGACAAGGGGGGTATTACCACTGACACCACAGAAATGCAAATAACCATCAGAGAATATTATGAACACCTGTATGCACATAAAGTAGAAAATTTAGAAGAAATGGATAAACTCTTGCACACATACACCCTCCCAAGACTGAAGGAAGAAATTAAATCCCTTAGCAGACCAATAATGAGCTCTGAAATTGAATGAGTAATAACTAGCCTACCAACCAAAAAAATCCCAGGACCAGATGGATTCATGGCTGAATTCCACCAGAGGTACAAAGAAGAACTGGTACCATTCCTGCTGAAACTATTACAAAAAATTGAGGAGGAGGGACTCCTCTTTAACTCATTCTAGGAGGCCAGCATCATCCTGATACCAAAACCTGACAGAGACACAACAAATAAAGAAAACTTCAGGTCAATATCTTTGATGAACATCGATGCAGAAATCTTCAACAAAATACTAGCAAACCAAACCCAGAAGCACATTAAAAAGCTTATCCATCATGATCAAGTAGGCTTTATCCCTGGGATGCAAGGTTGCTTCAATGTACACAAATCGATAGATGTGATTTATCACATAAATAGAACTAAAGACAAAAACCACATGATTATCTCAATAGATGCAGAAAAGACTTTTGATAAAATTCAACATCCCTTCATTTTAAGAACTGTCAATAAACTAGGTAATGAAGGAACATACCTCAAAATAATGAGTCATCTATAACAAACCCACAGCCAACATCATACTGAATGGGCAAAAGCTGGAAGCATTCCCTTTGAAAACCGGCACAAGACAAAGATACCCTCTCTCACCACTCACATTCAACATAGCATTGGAAGTCCTGGACAGAGCAATCAGTCAAGAGAAAGAAATAAAGGGCATCCAAATAGGAAGTGAGGAAGTCAAATTATCCCTGTTTGCAGATGACATGATCCTATATCTAGAAAACCCCATAGTTTCGGCCCAGAAGCTCCTTAAGCTGATAAACAACTTCAGCAAAGTCTTAGGATACAAAATCAATTTGCAAAAATCACTAGCATTTCTATACACCAACAGTCAGGCCTAGAGCCAAATAAGGAATGCAGTTCCATTCACAATTCACACATACAGACACACACACACAATACATAGGAATACTGCTAACCAGGGAGGTAAAAGGTCTCTACAAGGAAAACTACAAAACACTACTCAAAGAAATCAGAGATGACACAAACAAATGGAAAAACATTCCATTTTCATGGATAGAAAGAATTAGTTAATGTGGCCATACTGCCTAAAGCAATTTATAGATTCAGTGCTTTTCCTATGAAACTACCAATGACAATGACATTTTTCATAAAACTAGAAAAAAAAACTATTTTAAAATTCATATGGAAGCAAGAAAGAGCCCGAATAGCAAAGCAATCCTAAGCAAAAAGAACAAAGCTATAGGCATTACCCAACTTCAAACTATACTACAGCGCTACAGTAACCAAAACAGCATGGCACTGGTACAGTAACAGACATGTAGACCAATGGAACAGAATAGAGAATCTAGAAATAAGGCTGCAACCTACAACTATCTGAACTTCGACAAAGCTGACAAAAACAGGCAATAAGGAAATGACTCCCTATTCAATAAATGGTGCTGGGATAACTGGCTAGCCATACACAGATGATTGAAACTAGACCCTCTTCCTTACACCATATACGAAAATTAATTCAGGATGGATTAAAGATTTAAATGTAAAACCCAAAGTGATAGAAACCCTGGAAGTTCTTATGTTTTCTTGTCTTAGTTCTCAGCTAAAGGACCCACTCAGTCCTCAATTAGTGTCTCATGGGAAAGCTTCAGTGAGACTTGTCAGCCTCTCCTTTTACACAGCTTCTGCCTCTCTAATACCCCATCCTGAGAATTCCAATCACTTCAGTGGTGCTGTAGTATAATCTGCCTGTTCATCTCAGCAAGCCCATTTTCTGCACAGGGCTTCCACCTGTGTGGTTTGAAAAGTGACCTCAGGTGGAAAGCCTGATCACTCACACGGGTGGAAAAATATCAAAAGTGCATTTTAAATGAGTATACTTTAATGGCTAAAGGCTAATAAAATGCAAACCTCCAGTAAAATATATAATGGTCTCACCATTGCAAAACAGGCTAAGTTTTAGGTTTGATGAACTGCTTTCACTCTCTTGGTGTTGTCATAGCATCATAAGTCACAGATAGAGGAAATGTAATACAGGTACTATGACAATGATAAAATAACTTAATACAGATGTTTTTGTAAAAAAATGTTAGGCTGGAACCAGAAAACAGAAACACAAGGAAATGTAAGAAAAAATATTAGAGATATTCGAAGGTGAATAATCTTTGTGCGTAGTTTTCCATCAAATTACCCAACTCAGCTCCTGATTAGCTGTTTCCCTAGTACTTCAGTGAAAAGTTAATTGAAAACTAGAATATACTAATACTTAATTTTAAAAAATCTTTTTTATCACCTTTGAGTGATCAGAAATACTATGAGAACTTCTACAAGTTTTACAGTTTGCATTTGTAACCGTTGTCACAAATGGTTAACAGCACAAAAAAGTGCTTTTTATTTTATTTTTCTTTTAAATGATAGAAAACATTACAACAACAGGGTGTACATTCATTAAAGTTTAAAAACACAGGAAATTGTAGACACTAATGCCTCCTTTATTTCTTCTTCCTTTTGGATCTTCTTTTCAATTGTTGGTTTCTGCAAAGTACATCAAATAAAAAAAAAAACCTAGTAAGAACATGTAAGTATTCATTAGCTATCTGGAGGAGTAAATACAAAGGAATGTTTTCTATGAATACAAATTAGGAAATGTTACTTTTGTTTTCTTTGCTTCACTGTGAGGAACCCACACCACTGAACACATTTTAAATGCTACTTATCTTCATGTATCAGCCCCAAACTAAAAATTTTAAAAAATCCAATCTGACTGACAGATATTAGTAATAATAGATTTACTTTGATTTTAACTTCATGTTAAAAAATATATCCTTTACTTGATGCCTTCTTTACTTAGTACTCCATGTTAAAACAGGAATTGTGCAAGCACTTTCAGTGGATACAGAGTTACATTGTGCTTTTATTATACTTGGTATGGTTTCTGCATTTATAACCAAAACCATTGTTAGTATTTCCATGCGTTGTATCATCTAATGTGCTCAGTCTTCTTCCTCTTCCATTACTCATATTTTGCAGCTGTTTTTAGTTATTTCAGAAGAAATCTACCATCAACTATGCCTTGCCTGGGAAGCTTAAGAGCACAACCTTTATCATCAAATCCCTAATCTACTAGTTGGCCTTCGGCTATTCATGTTACATCATTGAATCTCAGTTTCATGTCTATAAAATGGTGGATAATAACTGTCATCTCTGGGGATTATGTAAGGATTCAATAGATAATGGATACTTATATAAAACATTCAAAACGAGGTATAGCACATGATGAGATTACAAGTAACAGTAGCTACTTTCTCTGTCATAAACATCTAAAAGATTGTTGAAGCTCTTCACCATACCATATGGTCTACATCCGTAATAACATTGAGAAATAGGTAGTTTTCACCTCTAATAGGCTTAATCATCCATTTTTCACATAATGTAATCTGATGTGGTCATCAATATATAAGAAGGTATTCTTTCAAATTTTTGGTATCAACAGAAGCAAGACTTAAATTTCCAACTTGTGATTCAACAATTTAATGTTTTATTTTTAAAAGATGCATTGACAGATAAAATTGTAATCCACTGTATAGCATTTCATAACACTATTTTGAATAAGACAGCCAGGATATTCAGATCTTTACTAGTCCAAACCAGATAAACTATAATTTTCAAATGGAATTCTTTTCACTGCTATTGATTTACATTGTTATAAAGCCAGCAGGTAAAAATCATGTTTGCCTTACCAAGGTAAACCAAAATTATGACTGCAGTTATCTTCAGGAATAATTATATTGGACATTATACTTGAATTTCTTCCTTTATATAATAAATTTAGATAGTACCAAAAATAATTGACCAACTGGATTCACTATATCATAAAATTGGGTCTCATTTTCTTTCATATTCAATAAAGTATTTATTTTTATTTAACAAACAATATGTCATAAAGTTTTGAATAAACTGCTCTTCTATGTGTTATTGTGTGTATACAATGAGTATGATGTGGTCTCTACATGCAAAGAAGCATGCAAATCCATAGGGGAAATAGACACACTTGATAATGCATAGAAATTAATGAATGGGTCAGGGAAACAAATTGACTTCTATCTCCAAGATAGGCTACTTTTCACTATACCCAATAAATAACCCCCTCGATTACTGAGGTTATCTTCATAAAGATGCTACATACTATCTTTCTGTTTTGGTCTGTATTTTATCCCTTGCCCCATTCTTAATGAGCAATCAATGTTATTTCAAGATAAGTAATCTGTTAAAAAATGTGAGTAGTAGAATCCATGTACTTCTCAAACTAAGTGGATGGATGTGATTTCTCTCAGGTACAACACATTTTGACTTTTTCTGCTGCCTTTGCTTTCTTTTCTGACACATAAGATGCATATTTTAGATCAAATAAATTCATTTTTCTCTAGAAAGAGCTCATAATTAAAACTAAGTTTAAACAAAGCATAATGACCTAACTCTAAAATTCTATATTTCTTTGCCGGTAGAAACTTCTCTCTCAATGATAAAATCCAAAACAGCCTGTGATAATACCATGAAATCCAGTAAAAGGGACCCAGAAGAACTTAAGCTTTAAAAAAAGAATATCCGTGTGTCTTATCATACACATTACATTTGAAAAAAACACATATATGCTTAATGGTGAAGATAAGATTCTCTCCTCTCAAAGACCAAGAAATTATGCAGTCATATTCTGTCTCTGTGCAGATAGCTTTCCGTTTGTTTAAGAACAATGTTACCCATAAATTCTCCAGCTTTATTCCGTAGCTTGAAGAGCCTACGCTGATAAATTTAAGTTGGGCACTCCATTTTTCTCAGAAATAATTCTTGCATTTAGGGTGACTCCTTCGAACTTGCTTTATTAGATGGGGTTCTCCATCTTCTTTTGTACCAAGAAAGGGAGAACTTTCTATGTGTATATATACAAATATTTTAACATAATTTTTCTCACACTTTGAAGCAGATATCAGATAATCAGATACCAAGTTAGTGCAGTTTGCTAATATTATATTTTTTTTAAGTAACAAAGCAATCATAATCTGTGTTGCATTTGTTTGGTCTTTCTTCTCCAAATTGCTCACTCAGGTAGGAGCAGCTGTTAGTTAGTGGTAAGTCAAGAATTTAGGGATTCTCTACAAGGAGGAGCTGGTACCATTCCTTCTGAAACTATTCCAATCAATAGAAAAAGAGGGAATCCTCACTAACTCATTTTATGAGGCCAGCATCATCCTGATACCAAAGCCTGGCAGAGACACAACAAAAAAGAGAATTTTAGACCAATATCCCTGATGAACGTCAATGCAAAAATCCTCAATAAAATACTGGCAAACCGAATCCAGAAGCAAATCAAAAAACTTATCCACCATGATCAAGTGGGCTTCATCCCTGGGATGCAAGGCTGGTTCAACATATGCAAATCAATAAACGTAATCCAGCATATAACAGAACCAAAGACAAAAAGCACATTATTTTCTCAATAGATTCAGAAAAGGCCTTCAACAAAATTCAACAGCGCTTCATGCTAAAAACTCTCAATAAATTGGGTACTGATGGGGCGTATCTCAAAATAATAAGAGCTATTTATGACAAACCCACAGCCAATATAATACTGAATGGGCAAAAACTGGAAGCATTCCTGGCACAAGACAGGGATGCCCTCTCTCACTGCTCCTATTCAACATAGTGTTGGAAGTTCTGGCCAGGGCAATCAGGCAGGAGAAAGAAATAAAGGGTATTCACCAATGGAACAGAACAGACCCCTCAGAAATAATGCCACATATCTACAACTATCTGATCTTTGACAAACCTGACAAAAACAAGAAATGGGGAAAGGATTGCCTATTTAATGAATGGTGCTGGGAAAACTGGCTAGCCATATGGAGAAAGCTGAAACTGGATCCCTTCCTTACACATTATACAAAAATTAATTCAAGATGGATTAAAGACTTAAATGTTAGACCTAAAACCATAAAAATCCTAGAAGAAAACTTAGGCAATACCATTCATGACATAGGCATGGGCAAGGACTTCATGTCTAAAACATCAAAAGCAATGGCAACAAAAGCCAAAATTGACAAATGGGATCTAATTAAACTAAAGAGCTTCTGCACAGCAAAAGAAACTACCATCAGAGTGAACAGGCAACCTACAGAATGAGAGAAAATTTTTGCAATCTACTCATCTGACAAAGGGCTAATATCCAGAATCTACAATGAACTCCAACAAATTTACAAGAAAAAAACAAACAACCCCATCAAAAAGTGGGCAAAGGATACGAACAGACACTTCTCAAAAGAAGACATTTATGCAGCCAAAAGACACATGAAAAAATGCTCATCATCACTGGCCATCAGAGAAATGCATATCAAAACCACATCTCATACCAGTTAGAATGGTGATCATTAAAAAGTCAGGAAACCACAGGTGCTGGAGAGGATGTGGAGAAATAGGAACACTTGTACACTGTTGGTGGGACTGTAAACTAGTTCAACCTTTGTGGAAGTCAGTGTGATGATTCTTCAAGGATCTAGAACTAGAAGTACCATTTGACCCAGCCATCCCATTACTGGGTATATACCCAAAGGATTATAAATCATGCTGCTATAAAGACACATGCACACGTATGTTTATAGAGGCACTATTCACAATAGCAAAGACTTGGAACCAACCCAAATGTCCATCAATGATAGACTGGATTAAGAAAATGTGGCACATATACACCATGGAATACTATGCAGTCATAAAAAAGGATGGGTTCATGTCCTTTGTAAGGACATGGATGAAGCTGGAAACCATCATTCTCAGCAAACTATCACAAGGACAGAAAACCAAACACTGCATGTTCTCACTCATAGGTGGGAATTGAACAATGAGAACACTTGAACACAGGAAGGAGAACATCACACATCGGGGCCTGTTGTGGGGTGGGGGGAGCAGGGGGGGATAGCATTAGGAGATATAACTAATGTAAAGGACGAGTTATGGGTGCAGCACACCAACATGACACATGTATACATATGTAACAAACCTACAGATTGGGCACATGTACCCCAGAACTTAAAGTATTATAATAATAAAAAAGAATTTAGGGATTCTGGATTCTGGCTGAATGTGATCCACAGACTGAAGAAGCTCTTTAAAATCAGGGATTGTTTATCATGATCTCTTTAGTATTGAGCAAAGTACTCTGTCTAGAAAGACATTTATAAATGCTTTAAAACCTGGCTGATTAAGAACTCCATACTTCCTGGTAATAAACAAATCTCGTTTTCCCATAATTCCCATGTTGTGATATTAGAGACTCATAAGCGTAGATCTAGTTCTCTTTAGAGACCCTGTGGTGAAAACTCAAAAGTTCAGGACTGAATAACCCCACAGAGAAGGCTGAATCCTAAGAATATCAGGGTCAGCAAAGCAGTTGACTCAAGACAGGCTGACTTGACGATGCATAAAAAGATTTTGTCCTCCAAATCGTGACTCTTAATTCCCAATAAATGTAATTTTGATTTGGGATTCAGAAGGTGCTGTACCAAGGTATGCCCAAGAGTTTTGGAAGTAACTAGTGGCAAAATGAAAGCTTGTCTATCCAATCCCTTTCTGCAAAAATTTTAGATTTCTGTGGAATTTTCAAGCCACATGGACTTCACTGGGGATAATGAAACAGCAGTGCTCATATTTAAGCATAGCTGTGAAAAATGCTTGAGGGGCATGTTGCAGTGTCAAGTTTTAGAGGTTGGGTCAATTGAGGGTCTGTCCTTGCTCTGTCTCTTGCTACTTGTTACTGTTTTTGCACCTGTAAAATGGTGTGAGAATGCGTGTCTCATGAAACTGTTGTGAGGATATAAGGGAATACATTTCACAATGGTCTCCAGGTGCAGAGGGAGTAAGGATAATGTCATTTATGCCTTCTGACCATGGGGCATATTTTAAAAGAATATACACAGAGTAGGAAGTTCTTACTCAATTTTTTTCTCTGTAGATAAAAAAGAAGAAAAAAACCTCTTTGTCTGGAAATTATCTTAAAAGCCATATTTCTTTTTTTTTTTTTTGCACTGTCAATGGAAATAGAAACTAGGTGGCCTAATGTGACATTCTGTCACTGAAATCATATAGAAAGCATAAAGCTTGCTCTACTGAAGAAATTTAGAGAGATTAAGATGCCACCTCCCTCCTTGTGATACTTGCTTATGAGAGTGTTGTTCTAGAGCATTTGATTTCCAAATATGGTCTCTTGAAACCTGCCTCAGGATCATCTGAGGTGTTTGTTAAAAATGTAGACTCAGGGTCTAATCCCAAATGGACTAAATTGAAACATCCAATACGGGGCCCCAGAACCTGCATTTTAAACACACCCCCAGATGATACATATGTAATCTGAAGCTGAAGAATCTCAACCTAGTGCAGCAATCTCCAAATATTTGACCAGCCACCAATTTGTAAAGGTTTTGATATCCTCCACGTATGTGGTGTATATTCAATTACCAATTGTAAACATTGTCATGAATAAAATTTTAGAAATCTAGTAAAGGTTAGAAATATAAATATGATTACAAATTAAACATTTTATTTCTTCCTTTATAATGGTCTTATAAACAGTCTGGGATGTATCTCTGGTCCAAATGTTACCTTTACCTCAAATGTGGAGAATAGCATGCTTTAGAGATGGGACATAAAAATCTATCTCTGTGTATTATATATTTTTTAAAAAATTTCTACTGTAAAATATAATGTAACTCTTGGCTTCCATTCAAATGTGACAAGTCTTAGCATTTTGCCAAGTTTACTTGAAAATTTTTAAAAAATAAAAAACTATAGAAACATTTAAAATCCTCTGTGTATTCCTTCCTGTCCCTTGTCCCATCCTTTTAACTCCAGAGTAACAATTATTCTGAAATGTCAGTGTTATGGCTGTCATTCATGGCTTTATACTATATCTACATAGGTATTTATCCACAAACAGTTCTCTTTCTCCTTCCCTTTTTCTCCAAGAGAATTGTTATATGTGATAATATCTTTATGTAAGTGCTTGCTTATTTTGCTTAGTATAATGGTCTTTAAATTTATCTGTATTGGTACATACAGATACATATACATAAAATAAATGCTAGTTTATTTTAGCTATTATAATATTTCATTGCATGAAAACGTGTATTTGTGCACATGTGAGAAAGCTTTTCTTGAGTTATATGCAAAACTGGAATTCTTAGCTTGCACATTTAGTAGATCTACAATTTTTATTTTTGGATGTCTTATGTCAGATATAAAAGTGTACAAAATATATCTTGCTTTAAATTTTATTGGTCATGATCAGCAGGATAGCACATACTTTCATGTTTGTGACCCTTTTTTTTACATTTTCCATTAACTCTCATTTTCTTTGTTCATTTATTTTTTCTGTTGGGTTCTTTGACATTTTCTTATTCATTTGCAGATGTTTTTGTATATTTTGGATACGAACCTTTTACTTGTTTATAGGTATTGAAAATACATTCTCCTAATGTGTAGCTTGCCTTTCACTTTTGCTTTTTTTTGCACAAAAAATTTAAATTTTAATCGAATTAAATTTATAATTATTTTCTTTTAGATTTGTTGAGTCATCAAAACCGCAACGTCATGTTTTCTCTTATACTTCCTTTTTCTAAGTTTAACTTTGATTTTCAGATGTAGTTCTTTGGTTCATCTGCATTTTTTGAAAAGTGTATTTTTTAATTTACATGAAGTAAAATTCTTTTTTGTTTTTATTTTTGGCTAAACTTTTGTGTGAGCTTTGACAGATGAATGGACTTGTGTAACCATTGCCACAATCAGGATGCAGAACAGTTCCATCACTCCAAGAACCCCTTTGTGTTGTCCCTATACAAACTCTCCATCTACTCCCAAACACTAGCAGCCACTGATCTGTTCTCTACCCCTGTAGGTTTTGTCTTTTTCTGTTCTCTACCCCCGTAGGTTTTGTCTTTTTCTGTTCTCTACCCCTGTAGGTTTTGTCTTTTTCAGAAAGTCATAGAAATTGAATATACAATATGTAATCTTTGAGTCCAGTTTTTTTCACGATTAAGATTTAATCATGTTGGTTCATGTATCAATAATTTGTTCTTTTTCTTGCTGAATACTATTCCATTGTATGGATGTAGCACAGTTTGTTTATCCAGTAAGCTACTGTAAGATATTTAGGTTTTCAGTTCTGGTGATTATGAATATGCTGCTATAGATATTCTTGAACAGGTTTTCGTGTGAGCATACATTTTCATTTCTCCAAGGCAAATACCAAAGATTAAGTGCATATTTTACCTTATAAGAATCTGTCAAGCTGTTTTCCAGAGTGACTGTTAGCATTTTGCAATGTATGAGGATTCCAGTTACTCTGCATCCTTGTCAGCAGTCAATATTATCTTTTATTTATTATTTTTTAGCCATTCTAACTATTATCTCATCTGTACCTCATTCTGGTCTTAATTTGCATTTTCCTCATGATAAATGATTTCAAACTTCTTTTCACGTGCTTGTTTGCCATCACATATGTTCTTTGGGGAACTATGTATTCAAATCTTTTGCTCATTCTAGAGGGGGTTTTTTTCTTATTATTGAATTTCAAGGGACAGGGTTATGATATTTAGTCTAGCTCTCCTTGTAAGAACTGGAAGAGGAATAGTTGTCATTAGCTATCACATTCTGTCTTGGGCACATAGCAGCATCAAGACATCCTAACAATTCATACAAATGCTTAATAGTGTTAACTGTTATGTCAGTGTTAATTGTGGTTAAATGGGGGGAGTTCTCTACTCTCGGTAATAAAATTATCTTTTCACTCCCCATTGTCACCAAAGCATAAAAAAAGTTCCTTATATATTCCATATATAAGCTGCTCATTGGATATATGGTTTGTAAATATTCTTTCCCAGTCTACAGTTTGTTACTTTTTTTTTTTTTTTGAAACAGAGTCTTGCTCTGTCGCCCAGGCTGGAGTGCAGTGGCACGTACAGTTCTTTACTTTTAAAGAATCCTGGCCAGTTATTTTGTAGACTGATCTTCATTTCAGGTTGTCTGATGTTTCTATGATTAAGTTCAGATTATGCATTTTGGGCCAGAATACCACAGAAATGACCTTAATCTTTGGTTGTCTCTGTGCTTCATGTCAGGTGATACATGATGTAGATATGTCTTATTGTTGTGATGCTTTCATTTTTTACATAGGGGTTTGAGTTATCAGATTATAATATTAGTACATTAAAGTCTATTATTATAACAGTGGTCTTGTCAGTTTCTTCTTGAATTCTACCAGTTATTGAGGTAGGAATTTTTAGGCTTTAAAAAATAACATGATATTGTGAATAGTGCCGCAATAAACATACGTGTGCATGTGTCTTTATAGCAGCATGATTTATAATCCTTTGGGTATATACTCAGTAATGGGATTGCTGGGTCAAATGGTATTTCTTGGAACCAAGCCAAATGACCAACAATGATAGACTGGATTAAGAAAATGTGGCACATATACACCATGGAATACTATGTAGCCATAAAAAATGATGAGTTCATGTCCTTTGTAGGGACATGGATGAAGCTGGAAGCCATCATTCTCAGCAAACTATCACAAGGACAAAAAACCAAACACCGCATGTTCTCACTCATAGGTGGGAACTGAACAATGAGAACACACGGACACAGGAAAGGGAACATCACACACCAGGGACTGTTGTGGGGTGGGGGGAGGGGGGAGGGATAGCATTAGGAGATATACCTAATGTTAAATGATGAGTTAATGGGTGTAGCACACCAACATGGCACATGTATACATATGTAACTAACCTGCACGTTGTGCACATGTACCCTAAAACTTAAAGTATAATTAAAAAAAAATAACATGGTAATTAACATCTTCTGTGTTTATTCCTTAGTCTTGTGTGTTACTTCCTTCTTTGTTGCTATGATGGTTTTTGGCTTTAAATTCTATTTGGTCTGATAGTAATATTGGTAATTTTCCCCACTTACCCCTTCCTTTTTAGTCTTTTAAATGGTTTTTAGCTCAATTTTGGTGCCTTGCAAATATTTTAGACTTTCATTTTTAAAAGATGCACTTATATTTTATTGTAAATATTAACACATTTAGAATCATTGCTACCACTTTATTTTGTAATATTTTCTAAGTATTCATTTTCTTTTCTTTTCTTTCTTCTTTAGAAAAAAATTCTTTTTTATTTCTTGTGCAGGTTTACAGGATTTCTGTTCAATTTCTACTTGGGGCAAGGTTTCCCTTAATTGTTTTTACATGAGTAATTAAATATTTTTCTAACAAGGCCTACATTGATTTAGTGTTTCTCTCTTAATCACAAACACACCACAAAGATCCTAGTAAAGTTTAACTTTCCTTTGAACAGCTCACCCAATTCCATGTGCACACATGCATACATTCATATTGTTATTGCTATTTAGAATAATAGTTTTATTATTAAAAATAATAAACTATTGCATTTAAAAATCAATAGTTAAATATAGTTTGAAGCATGCATTTATTAATTTATCTGTTCACTGTTGTTTTTACTTGTCTTTTCTTCAGGGCACCATTTTCTTTTATTATATATAACCTTTAATAGCTCCAAATTGGTGTTTCTCAGCACACTGGATGGTTAAATATTGATCTCCTAAGGCCTAAAGGTGAACCAGTGATTTTTAGGTGACCAAGTGCTTCCACCTGAGCATAGCCTTGTTTGTTCACTCCCATTATGATTTTCTAAGTATGTCATGATTTTAAAATGTTTGGTAAATGTCACTCCAACAGCCTTTCACTCTGAGTCTGGAGCTTAAACTCTCATCTTTGAATATCTGAACAGCTTTTTATTACCTGGATTTAAAATTTGAGGTTGACAGTTTTTCTTCAGCATTTTAGTATTACTTTATTCTATATATTGCTTCTAATGGGACATATCTTGTCAGATTAATCCTCATTCTTTTGTTCATAATCCTTTTTTCCCTATGATAGCTTTTGTGGTTATCTCTTTATCCTTAATGCTTTTACATTTCACAATGATGCAATTAGGTGTCTGTTTATTTTCATTTATCTTGCTAAAACACTTTGAATTTCAGAAGTAGTGTCTCCTTTCTACTTGGTAAAATTCTCACTCATTTCATCTTTACATTTTGTGTCTCCATCACTTTTAAAAAATCTGAACTCTGATGCTAGAACTCCTCTATTCTCTATGTCTCTTAACTGTTTTGGTTCCTGTTTAAATCACTTTATGACTCTATGCTGCATTATGGGTGAAGACTTCAGTACTATTATTCACTTAATCTCTTCTCATCTGTCGGCTACTGTGTCCAGGCTAGATTTTATTATATCTTTTAAGATTTTTTTCTCCCACAATGGCTACATTTTTATAGCCAAAATTTATATTTGCCTGTTTATTTTTATATTGTGATGGTTAGAATCCTAAGGTCGTTTCTGTGATCCATGTCCATGTTGGTAGATATGCTTCTTCTTTTGAATGTAGGTGGGACCTGTAACTTGCTTCTAACCAATTCAGTTTGACAGAAGCGATGGAATATTATTCCCATGATTATGTTTTGCTATACAGCAAAACTGAAGAGAATTTGCAGATGTAGTCAAAGTTTTTAATCTATTGACTTTAATCTAAAGGGAGATTATCCTGGATGGGCCTGTCCTAACCAATCAAACCATTTTAAAGAGGGTCCAGAGGTCATAGATGGGGGCAGTGGAGTTGCTCTTTTCTGGGCCTTGAAGAAACAAGTTGCCATGATTTCCACAGCTACAAAGAAATACATTTTGCCAACAACCATGTGTGCTGTGGAGAGGCCCCCAAACCTCCAGTGAGACCACACCCCGGCTAACACTTTGATTACAATGTGGGAGACCCTTAGTAGAGGAGACAGATAACACTGCAACTGGCCTCCTGGACCACAGCAACTTTGAGATAATAAATGTATGGTGTGTTTAGTCACTAGGTTTGTGGTAATCTGTTATCCAGAAAACTAATACATATTTGTATCAATTTTTGTTTCATGGTTTGCTGTTTTAATTTCAGTATTTCCTGTTCTTTTCTTGAATATTATTTTTATTTCTTTAGTTATTTTATTATTAATTAAACTTTATACCTCTTTTCTATTGTTTTTATTTCATTTTATCTGCATTGGATTTTGAATTAATTTTGTTAGCTGTCTAAGAACTACATTTTTTGTTCATGTAATTTTCGGGTTTAGGCTCATTTAAATAGGAAACGCTCTCCCTTTTACCCCTTCCCACCACCTTCTTCATCTAAATCTCTATTCCCACATTACCTGTTGCTTTGAACTGCCTCCCAGAGGCCTGCTGTTTCAGAAAGAGACTTTGTATCAGCTGCACCATGGTGATTAGTCCTGAAGCCAGCTGGTATATTTCTTTAGGTCCTGTCATGGAGATATTTTTGTCTTGTCCTCCCACCTCCTTAGGTAACATTCATAGAATATCTAACCCAGGAAGCAGACATTTTTTCAGATTTCTTTTAAAATAGGGAGCTTCATCATACCAGCCACTGGTTTCAATCAGTTAGCCTGGTCTCCCTGGTAACATAAGACACTTTGCTATTTGTTGTTCCTCAGACTCTTCCAGCCCCAAGTCTATTTCTGAATCAGAAGCTCATCTGGTTTGCAGCTTCAGCTCTGCTCACTCCTCTATTCCATTTTGGGATCTCAGGTGTATTTACCTTAATTTGAAGCCTAGTTGTGTTTTTTTCTCTTTTAATTGAAAATATTTATTATCATCCATTTATGGAGGGAAGGACAGAATTTAAACTTATAATTCTTATTTACTTTGCTGAAAACTATAAAAAGGCTCATAACCATATTATTTTATTAGATATATTTAATAATGAACTATATTTAATAATGAATGCAATATTCACACCAACATTCATGTATTGACATGTACTTATCTAATCTTTTTGGATACTTATAACATTTTTGCTTATTTTCTGAGTATTATATCTTAGTCATGGGTCCCTGACATCAACTTTATACACTGATTCCTTTCAATGGCCAGAGTTGGCTGGATTAATGGTTTAACCTGGGTAAAACAAAGGTTTTTCCTGAGAATTTGAAATTGAGAGAAAAAGAAGAAAATAGAGAGTACTCAGTTGCTTTTCCTGTGGCTTACCTATGTTAAGCTAATCATGCCAAGTTTACCTTCAATGAAAGAAAAAGTAGAAGGTAGTTGTTGTTTTTTTTTTTCAGAAAGACAGGAGATAACCTGAATAGAAACAAAGGTTAGAGATGGATAGAGGGCTTTATAATTCCATAATAATCTTTCCTATATGTGTGTTTTAAGAGATACCTACAGATCCTTTACAATAAATTTATCTAGTTGGTGTTACTTTATTGAGTTTCTATTTCTTGCAAGTAAAATGAGTCCTAACTAACTGTGAGGGGTCTGCCTGTCATTCACTTGGCTAAGCTGGACCTATGCTTTCCAGAATACCCTTCCCTAATGCTCTAGGCTAGAGTTGGCTAAAAGTGGTACTTGCATGACATTTGTTTAGAAGAAGGAAACCAGCATCCATTGCTCTCCAAAGGTTGTGATGACAGTCGTGTGATGAGATCTGAGGCTGTGGTGGCAGACTGAGTGAGGATAAACTGATGGGTTATAGCTTGTTCTTTAAAATCTCCTCTGCTCCACATCCAGCAATCTTGCCAGCTGCTGATCTTGCTGACCAATAAAGGCCTCTTGTCCATCACCAGGTACTTGGAGGCAGACCCCTAGACTTCTTCCAGAGACTTCTCCATCACCTCCCATTACTCAGATCCATGTACATGTCTGAACATGAAATCAGTGGTTTCTCAGACTGACTGATCTCTGACTCCTCTAGCTTCCCAATTTTTCCTTTCAGACATTCATTAAGGAAGATCTAATTCCTACAGCAAATCTCTCATCCCATAGTTCATAATCATTTTGCTTCCCTGACTGAATCCACATTAGTGATACACTAATGTAACTTGTCATGTTAAAGCATTCCTTAGGAGTATGATTTCCAGCCAATTTCCTCAATACGCTTCTCTGCTGAAAGACTAGCTCCCATGTCTTCTAAATTGCTCCACTGCAAAGTTTTCTGTGCCAATAAAGATTTTTTCTTCACAAATATTGTTAAATTATTATATACAACATAACCTTTGAAATTAAAATCTATGGATTTTTTGCATACTGTTTATTGAGCAACTACTACATGCTAAGCAAAGCTCTCAAACTGGGGATGTAATAGTAAATAAGATTAAAATGCTTCTGATTTTATAGATTTTTGCATTCTAATTGGAGAAGGGAATACAAACAGGCAAAAAGGAAACAAATAAATAAGATAATTTCAAATAGTGCTTATATTATGAAGGAAATGGGCAGGGAGATCTGAGAGAGAATAACTAGCAGTGATAGCTTCTTTAGACCAAGAAGTCAAAGAAGCACTCTTAGAAGTTGTCATTCGAACAGAAACAAATGACATGGAGGACCACCTCCATAGAGATCTTGGGAGAAAACATTCCAGGAAGATGGAAACAGTTAGGTGCAAAGGCCTAAGAGGAGAAAGAACTTAGCAAGTTCTAAAGAAGGGAGAAGAGTGGCAGAAGATGAGGTCTGAGAGGTAGGTATGGGTTAAATAATGTATGGCCTTGTAGGCTACAGAAAAGAGTCTGAACTTTTTTCTAAGTGCAAGGAAATACCAGTGCTGAATTTAGCTTTGTTATATGTTTTCTGTTTTAAACTTCCCTCTGATGACTGGGTGAGGATGGATGGTAAGGAGACAAGATTGGAAACAGAGACTAGTACAAGGAGCATGGAGAAGAGGCAAGACTCAGAGTTGGAATTATGTAGCACCTTTTTTCTCTCATGTCCCTTCATTGTTTATTTCAGGAAGGGAAGTTCTTCCCTCACGTTCATTGAAAATGTGAGCCATTCTATGTCTTTTCTGAGTAATTTTAGATAAATTTTATTCACTTAAAATTATTTCCAAAGTTAGAATGTGCATTCACGTAGAATAATCGACACTTAGTTTTCATTCAAAGCTCAAGCCTGTTGCAGGTGCAAAGCCTACATCTGGGCAGGGATTGTGGTTGGCTTCTTTCCACCTCCTACTCTGTGGTTTCTGTTTCCTGGTAAGGGAGATAGAGGGACAAATGAAAGCTAAGGGGAACTGAGGCAGGAAGGCTCTGACTTGTCTGGTACCTCAATTCCCTCTATGCCTAGCTGATATTTAGAACTCATGCTTTCCTTTCTGGAGTACTTTTATGATTAATCAGAAACCCTACCTACACCCCCAGTCACCTGAAATCTTACTGATGAGTGATGCTCTCTCTGTCTCTTCATTAACTACTTCTAGTTAATGAAGGACCACCTTTTGGATGGTCCTATGGGGCATGATATATGTGAACCTCACAACTCTTGGAGTATGTGGACAAAATCTGATAAATGAGGAACATTTAGGCATCATTACACTGAAGAATTCTAGGAGAACATTCAGAAGGATTTAGTCACGTCTTTTTTTACTGCTTCTTTCAGAGCAGATAGCTCCTCATATATTCACTTTTGAATTTTCCAGGAAGGAGTCAGATACCAGTTTATTATATTTCCCACGCTGCAGGGGCTCTTTGCTCCTCACTGACACAAACCAGTCTTCCCAGATATATGTCTCATGCCATCAAATATCCCACCTGCTATAACCCCTTCTGCAGTCTAACACAACACATGAGTCATTCCTCACTTGTTCTGTGAAACATAGCATAGTGGTTTAAAAATATAATTAGGGATACAGACAGCTTGGGATCAAATATGAGTTCAACCTGTTAGCTGTGTGACTTTCAGTAAAGTATTGAAGTCGTTTGCACCCCAATTTCTTAGACTGAAAAATGATGATAATAATAAGAATACCTTACAGAGTTGTGAGAGGTTTAAAAGAGTCATTATTTGCATAGATTAGTGTCTGGGTCATTGTAAGCACTCAATAGCTGTTGCCTGTTACTCCCTGAAGCTTTTCATTCCTAGAACACTGTCTCCCTTTCAGCCTGTCCAACACTACTGTGCTCTTAGTTCCTGATGATTTGAATACCTTGGCATCTCTCTTCTTTAGTAACCTCTTCTTCAAGGGAGTGGTATACCACCTTACCTCAGAAATTCTCTCACTTATTCCCTCATTTCATCATTATAACAGTTGTAAACCTTCCATCATCTCACTTTTAAATGATCTAATTCTCTGTCTGCAACCTTCTATTTTCCCTCTGGTATCTCAACTTCAATAATCCCTCAACCCAGGCAGAACCCATAATCCATTGATCTTACCATATTTGCACTATCTCTCAGCCCTGTCATGTTCTCAAGTTACCTTGTACATATTCTAAATTTCATAATGGAACAGTAGACTCAATACTTTACCCATAATCCTTAACTTTCATGATCTTCTTGCTTTATTTGTACATACTTGGCAATAGCCCAGTCATGGCCTAATCCACTCCTTCCTTGGTCAGCTCCTGCAGGTGTGGAGTGTGTTGCACATAGACGAAGACATCCTGCCATACTAAGTTGTCTCATATCAAATCCATGAAAACTAATTTCAAATGGGGTCCAATTGGTTTCCATCAAATTCTATAACCTTCCCCCAATTATTTGCTTTTCTATCCACTGGAAGAAAATTTCATACCTTCTCAACCACCCTCAAACTTCTTCCTCTGCCTACGTCTCAACTGATGATTTAATAGGAAAAGGGAAGTAATTAGAAGAGATTGGACACAAGCTCTCTTGACTGTGTTTACCCACTTAGCAGCATGTGTACATACATATGCTTTCTTTTCTCCTCTTATTGAAGGTGTACTAAACATGCTGCTACACAGGAAAAAGCTCCACCGTCCCCACTCCTTCCTGCCCATGTGCACCTGTCCCATTTCCTTTCATTGACTCAGTTATCTTCTCTCACTCCTGCAATACCAGGTTTTCCTATCTACTGAATCATGCTCATTAGCATCAGATATACTTATATATCTCAATCGATTAAAAAAATTCTTGGCTGGGTGCAGTGGCTCATGCCTGTAATTTCAGCACTGTGGGAGGCCGAGTCAGGTGGATCACTTGAGGTCAGGAGTTCGTGACCAGCCTGGCCAACATGGTGAAACCCCATCTCTACTAAAAATACAAAAATTAGCCAAGCATGGTGGCACATGCCTGTAGTCCCAGCTCCTCAGGAGGCTGAGGCAGGAGAATTGCTTGAACATGGGAGACAGAGGTTGCAGTGAGCAGAGATCATGCCACTGCACTCCAGCCTGGGTGACAGAGCAAGACTCTGTCAAAAAAAAAAAAAAAAAGAATTCTCCTAACTTCTCCTGACCTTCAGATTTCCTCCTTATAATGCCCTCTTTTTAGCAGAACTCCTCGGAAGAGTTTTATAACTGCTGAGTCCAGTTATTGTTGGTCAGTCTCTTGATTCACTGAAGCTGATTATTGCTTCACCCTTAATGACACTTAGACTCATGATTTAAAATTCCACCTACCTTTGGCAACTCCCAAGATTAAAGTTTTAACATGTCTACTAGATATTGAACAGAGGTATTTAGCATATTCTCAGTCGCTGTACTTCACCTTCCCAACTCCCACTATTCTCTTCAATCTTTCCCAATTCACTAATACCATCCTTCCCATTACTCAGGCCAAAAATCCTTAGGCTCATGCTTGACTTCTTTCTTTCTCACACACTGTGTATCCAATTAGTGAAACCTATTAGGCCTACCTAGTAAATATATCCTGAATCCAAATGCATTTAACCACCTCCGTTGTTTTCATCCTGGCCCACGCCACCATTATCTCTGACCTGGAATTTTGCAATAGCTTCCTGTTGCAAACCTGACTGCTTCTCCCCAGAAATATTGCTGTCAATTCAGAACACAGCAGTTGAAGTCATCCTCATAAACCCCTATGGCATGAAGACTAATTTGAGGGGAATTCTTTTTAACAAAATAGAACTAAAATCTTTAACATAGAAGATGGAAGTAAGTGGCAGGAATTAAAGCATTCTAAGTTTATTCTATTTGATAACAACTAATTAAATCCATGCATTGCATTTGGAGAATTATGGGAGGAGGGGTTTTCTATGCCATGAAGCAATGTTCCGTGAAGCTAATTCTCTGGTATAAATTTTCAATAAACCTGATGAAAGTGCTATATGCTAATTAGTCTTAAAATGGAAAGAACATTTTTAAACTTAATTAACACTATGTTATTTTTTGTGGCCTGTTGACAGAGACCAAGTTGTGTGGGAAACTTCCTTTAAGAAAGGTACACTTACTATATATGTTAACTGTGGACTTCCACATTGTGAAAGAGAGGTCTACTGGAAATAGAATTTTCCTCTAATAAGAAAATATTGTTAGTGCAGAAAGAAGGTAAATTTAGATTGGCTAGGCTCAGAGGAAACAAAGTAGGCATTCTTTTCATATAAGTACATGAAGAATCCTTTCATAAAGTTATAGTTGCTAGTCTTCTTAGTCACATGGTAAGTACTTAATGATATCCATTTTCGCTATGTTGGAGATAGAAATGTTGCGTTAAATATGTGAAAGCAAGCTGGAAAATATTTAATTAGTGATGGTATTATTACCTATGGAGAGGAATGTTTCCATCCTATCACTGGTGGGACACTTGGAATCACCTGTTTCCTGAACCTCATTTTCATGTTCAATAGCTCAAATATTCTGGTAATCCCATGCCCACTTTGTGAACTTGAGCTTCGGAAGGGAGGCAGATAGAATGTGAAACAAATGTAGGCACAGCCACGCTACTCAAGAGAAAAGACTCCTGTGAATCCTGTCTCTTCTGAGTCTCCTTAGTTTTTCTGCCTCTTCTCTGATGCCCAGCTTTCTTGGTAGCTTAGGTGGAAATTTACTTATGAAACATCCCTAAATAGAAAGGTTAAGAGCCTTGATTTTCCCCAACAGTAATATAGAGCATCCTCATATTTACAGTAAAATTCTTCAGTTCATTTAATTACTTGCATCATTCATGTGGGGCTTTTGTTTGGTTGATTATTCCTTAGATCTTTCAGTATGCAATGCTTATACAGAACTTTCATTTAAAAAAATGCAAATATGAGGGAATAAGACTGTATCCATAAGTCATATGCCTACAGGAAACTTATTCTTCAGTGGTGTACCTTAAGTGGAAGTCTCCATTAGTTAAATGCTCCTAATCCATAATCCCCTATTAAGAAAGAGGCTTGTTTTACTTTGTTTTCAATTTTCAGTTATTATAAATACTATAATAATAAAAAATTTCCCCTCAAAACTTTCAGTTTGGTTTAAATGCTTGATCTTGCTAAGTTTTGACAGGTTGCAAATTGTTTAATTCAGGTGCTTCAATTCCTGTTAGTTGGATTGACATAAGAGCAGAAGCCAGATTCTCTTCTCTTTGCTGACATGGCCACATAGATGATAGGGCCTAGTTTTGCACTCATCTGTTAAACTCCATTAATAATATATTAGTTGACAGTTTTACAAGCTGACCAACTCAGTGTTTTATTTCATTGCTACTATACTAACTATACAAAGGAATGCATTGAATAAAAGTGATGACACTTTGAAAGGCAACCACTATTTCAAAAATAATCATTGGAATATATACAGACTCTGTGGAAGAGTTGAGAGATTATGCCCCTATGCTAATATTTGTTCACATCATTTTTTACTGCATGTGTGGTAATTGTCACCTTGAATCACAAGAAAATGCAGAGGTTAGGAAATGGTATTCTTGCAAATTTCCTCTGGACAATTTTTAATGAACAGGCATATAAATATTTTGTTTTCTTGAGGAAGAAGAGAAAATGTCCAATTTACATAATCTCAATTTCTTTGCTATCTACTCCACTGAAATATCTTTATGTTTTTGCATGATTTGCTACATAGATTAAAGTAAAATCACTAGGAGAAGCAAAGTATATATTGTAATAGAATGAACAAATATAGCCGTGAACACTGGGCAAGGACTCTTGGCAGCTCTTCCCTGAAAGCTGTGGAGGACCTGCTGTGCGGAGCCCTAAGGCATTCTGACAGTGAAAAAGCACACTGATAAATAATGTTTTAAAACATTTAATTAATAACTAAGGCCACAGTATGTATCCCTTGTAACTCAGACAAGAGAGGTTTTTTTTTTTTTTTTTCTTCTTTACTCTGCAGTATTAGCTACTTTCCGAAGAGGTAATATGCAAAAGATATGAGGAAATGCCAATGTCTTTTTAATTAGTGTTTTTGACTATAAAAACTTTATAAGCATTCCAAAATGAATTATGGGGAGATAGAATGGCAACTCAATAATAATAACAGCAACAACATGATACCATTGCATGGAAATACTATAGAGTGTTAAAAGCGCAGGCTCTAGAGTTATACAGGTTTGGAGCGGAAACCTAACTTTGCCAGTGTAAACTCCCTGCATCTTCTATGTAAAATAGGGATATAATAGGACCTATGCACAGTGCTCTTAGGGCTAACATAGATAATATATGTAAAATACTTAGTGCTTGGCACATAACACTCAGTATGTCTTAGCTATTCATTATGAGTACTGATATTTTACACAATGCTCCATCTTGAAGAAGAGAGTGACAGAGTATGTTGAGCATTAATGCAAGTATTATTTCAGGCTATAAGCCATTAGATGGTCTTTGGTGCAGAAAACCCACAGGCCCCTTTGGATCTGGTATCCATAGAAGGACATACACAAGACTCATGATCCCCATATTCTTTCATGGTTTCCTCATGGATCCCTTTGACCTTGTTTAAAAAAAAATGTGAGATGCCTTATGAATTCCACCTCAAGCCACAAAACCAAATGTTCTAAAGTCCTGCTCATACTACAAACATGCCTGCGAATTCCACGCTGGGGTTGTCCTTCTTATTTCTTTCAGATGATGATTTATTTTCACCTATTCCCTTGTTCTTTCCAGGATAGGTTAATGTGGACTTGTAAATCCAGTCACCTTCCTCAAAGAAGCCTTTTCTGACCACCACAGTCTAAGCTGATGTCCCTCCCATGTACTCCCAAAGCATCCTGTGTTTCTTCTGTCTCAGCTCCCTGCCCTGTGACAATTACTCTGTTTTCTTGTTTTGCTTTCCCTTCCAGCCTATAAGCTCTAACAAGACAGGCAGCATTGTGTGCCTGCTGCCCACCACAATGTGTGGTATATTGTAGGTGCTTAATAATTTTTATGTGGTTGTTGTTCATGATTGAGAGAGTGAGCTAGCTGTGCAAGTAGTTATATTCCAATGCCTGTGTCCTTAAGGATATGTATTCTCCTCTGATAGAAATACAGGTGTAAGGGATATGAAGTGAAAATTTACATGTAATAGTAATAGTAAAATAAATAAATTAGATGGGATACGGACCCTATCCACTATTATCCCCTTTTAATTTTCACAAAGACTAAATTTTGCCATTTGTTCAGGAGATAAAAAAATGTATGAAAATGTGGGCCTTGTTCACACACCCTCTTTGACTTATTCATTTATTTAATTATGTTGTGCACTTGGAAAATGACTAAGTTATCTATTTCACATAAGGTAATATAGTTATAAAAGGATTAGAATGTTCACATAGTAAAATAACCAGAAGTAAATCTGTGCACTGTTTTATATTTTACAGAGCACTTTCATACTATTGTTTCATAATAATAAGTCTTAATATGCACTCAATCTCATTTTCCCCTTAGATTGCCTATTGTTAGCCCAATGAATTTGGAAAATGACTTCCAGATCCAGAAATTTACCTAACCTTCCCTTACAACCTTGACTCTAATTCTTTTGTTTCTAACCAAAAAACAGCTCAAAGCTCTGTATTATGTTGTACCCATTTGACTCCAGCTACTTTCCATTTGGTGGCAACAAGTTTTTTGTTGTTGTTGTTGTTTTGTTTGTTTTGTTTTTTTTAATGTAAGCTTCAGTCACATAGCTGAACATACCCTCACGTCTTTTCTATCTTACTAATTATCAGTCTTCAAATGATTTTCCCCTTCTTTAATCCTCTACTAATTTGGCAAGAATGGCTTGGTACCATCTAGGTTTTTCACCCTATTTCAATATACTTGCATTGTGATTGGAAGGCTAATTTGTTCAGGACTTGTACAATGATGAGCTTTTCTCAAAACAGAAGCAGCAAGCTGCTTCACACCAACGTATACTTGGCCCCTCTCCTGTCAATCCATATGTAGCAGATGCAGATAGAATCTGTTGGTTGGCACAAGAAGCTCTGTTGCACATGGCTCCTATTTTTAAGCCTCTGTTGGTATCCATGTGCGGAGAACACGGCTTGTTACTGATGGACTCTGAATCACTCCACAAGGAACCAAATTCAGAAATCCATGCAAGCAGCCTAAAAATGAAGAACTGCTTAGTGTGTATGTGTGTGTGCCTGTGTGTATGAATATATATTGACCAGGAAAACATGAATAATTCAGCCCCCTCATACCTAGCCACTAAGATCACAGCACTCTAAATAGAATTGCAATGATTCTATATAAATCGTATCAGTCTTGAAAGGTCCAATGATTTTACTGACAGATTTTCTCTCACTCCCCACCTTTTTAAACAGTACTATTACAGAGGCACAGATATATGAATTAATGGCTCTTTGATTTTAAATAATTGTTGCAAAAGGCCATAAGGGTGGCTTGCTGTAGTATGTCATTTTATGGAGAATAAAGGCCCAAAAGATAATTTCAAAAACATGTTATGTCCTGTCATTAATGATAAAAGTGCATTAATTGATTTGGCTGTCATCAAGAGAGAAGTTTGATATGAGATTTTCAAATTGGTTCCTAGACAGTGAGAATCAAGTGATTACTTGATTTTTTGTTAGGGGTTCTAGTAATTCCTTACTATAAATTATTTTTTATCACATGAGATACCTTTCAAAGTACACTAAAATTCTAACGAGAATTTCTGGTAGAGAAAAGACTGTTATTCAAAAAATGTTTCTTTTGCTTAATGTTTTTCTTCCCATACCTGAGCTGACACTTTGTTCTTTTATCTTTATCTCATTCTTATCTGTTACAATATACACATACCTTGTATGTCCGCCTCCTACTATCCTGTAATAGCTGAATATATTAAGGAAGACCTAAGGTAATTCAGGCCAGTGAGGGATATGATGAAATAGAATGATTATTTTGGGATAAGGGGCTCAAGAAAGGCTAGAGAGTGGCTAACACAATAAAGAGAAGCTTTTTTTATCATATAGATATGCCACATCAAAAAAAGGTGTATTTTAGTGTCCCCAAAACCTGCTGTAAGTATAATCTCAGACACAATCTTGTCTCGGACTTTGATTTAAGTTTATAACTTAGTTTTGGAAAATACTGCCCCATACACTTTATTGTGGGTGTCTGTCAACAACCAATCCCATCCCAAGACCAATGACACCCAGATGGAATTTATCCTCTGGGTAAAATTTGTTTATTATATATACAAAATAGAATAAAATATAAAATACCAGCATGTATATACAAAATAATGGACAGTATTAGTTTTGTGAAACATTTGTTTTGGTTATAGTTTGTGTGTGTGTGTGTGTGTGTGTGTGTGTGTGAGTGTGTGACTGGATTATGATTCAGTGGCTCACCCATTTTTCCTTTCAAAAAAGTTTGAACCTTGCTACCCACAACCTTGCTACTTCTCTGACCTCCCAGTCCCCCAAACACCCTAAGCTTCACCAACTGTAGACAAATGACTAGTTAAGTAGGGTCTTTTGAGATCACCTCCACTACACTAGGAATTGGTAAGAAGAATATTCCTGCTTCAGGACATCTGAGGGAGAGAGAGATATTGATGGCATGCTCTTTTCTCAGGCCATGCATAGTTCACCTGTTGAAGATAATCTATGATCAGCCCTATCTTCCCCTAAATCTACCCTCTACCCCTTTCATAGGCAGTTAAGGATAAAAGTTGAGGTACAACCACTTACATTCTACCTCATGAATACAACAGAGTTTGCTAGAATGTTTGGCTTGTGAGTATGGTGGAAACCTTGCTCTGTGCCACTCTGAGAAGGGCCTCAGGTACTCATACCAACCAAATTAATTATTATTACTTCCTTTCATGATCCTTGGCTGTGTGACTCACCTTTGCTCTGATCTTTGACTTCTAGTTCTTATCTCAGGTCCTGCCATTAAACACCTTATTTGGTCATGTTTATCTGAACTGACCCTCAGCCCTGTCTTTAGGACAGAACTTTATATTTAATTTCAGCCTCTGTGTGCTTTTCACCTTAACACTGTATTCCCCAGGGGAGAGTTGAATCAGCCCTATACAGCATTCTGGAAGGGAAAAGGGGATTAGAAAGATATATCTTTCTTGCCATTAGATTGAATCCTAACTCACTTAGCCTCTGCCCCTCACTACCTGTCTGCTGATGGAAGAAGTTTTAGAAGGAAAGAGAAACTGACTGTTAAGAATCAGATTAACTTATGACTGTGCAATCTTTGCTTAGCTAAGTTGCAATATATATTCTCTTCTCTGTTCTATTACCTCCTTTCACTTTTTCTCTCAGAATAAATTCAAATTAAGGCCATCCTAGATCAGGCTTTTCTGGGAGCAGATCTTGAACCAAGGATTGGGGTGCAGATGATTTTATTGAGGACGTGTTCTCCAGAGACACCATGAAGGGAATAGGCAGCAGAATAGAGAAGGGGAAAAACCCAGCCCAGCTTTGGTGGTTTTTTTTAGTCCAACTTAGAGTATAAGCCATACCTCAGAATTTGAGAATTTGTTCCCTACTCAGCAAAGGGGCAGGTTGTTTGTGCTCTTACGCCAATTGTTCCTTTAGGAGATCCTTGGGAAGAGAAGGGCCCAGAAGCAGTAGTGTTAACCTCTGGGCACTTCCCATTTTCCTCCATACCAAAGGCCAGTCTTCAGAGGCAAAGCAGGCAGATGTTGGGGGAGGGCCACACAGAACTTGTAAAAGGGACCTTAAAAGATCTGGAAAGGCACCATGAGTGTTCAGTGCTTGTTTCTCTAGTCTGAAAAGTGGAAGCCATTTTCTAAAACCATGAAAGAATAATTTTTGCTAGGGCTCTGTTTCCAATCCAAAAGAATCATGTTTTCCAATCGCTGATGTCAGGATTAGACAAAAGGTTTGTTGCCTAGACCCTGATCAATTCATACTTAATACTACTGAATCCTTATTATGGTTTAGGTACAATTTTAAGGCTACAATATATATTATCTCTTTTAATCCCATTTAATTTACTCATCAGTCCAGTATGATACGCATTAGTATGTGGTTGAGCTGGGAAGTCTGACTTCAGGGCCTGTGTTTCCCTACAAAAAAAAAAAAAAAGCATGGATTCTGCAAAATTAGAAAGGAGAAAATCATGGCTTTCAGGCCCAATTTCTGCAAACAATTCTAAAAAAATAATTTAAAAAATCCTGAACTCAGTGGAATAAGAACCCTAAGCCTGTCATTAAGCTGGATTCTAAGATGTGTCAGACATGACTACATGCACAGGGTTTATGAATTGGAGCTATCATAATCAGAATGTCATCTCCAGTGCTCCGGGATGCTTTTCCCTCCTAAGGGAAGATCTTGTTTTCTGACTAGGCTTCAGTACTGAGATAGCGATCTTCAGAGGTCCCAAGCCTTATAAAGGTTATGGTGCATCTTCAATGTCAGATTTGAAATAAAAACAATACCAAACTACAAATCAACATAATGAGGCCTAACAATTCTTAGAATGTACTCAAAATGATTACTTCTTTCCTCATTTAAAATATATCAAAATCTTTCAGAAATTTATTTTTTCTCCTGTTTTGGCGGGGCAGGGAGAGGTCTTCCGGATTTCTGGTGTCTTGTGTACTAGCAGAGTCTTGACTGTTGAATAATCATCTCCACCACCTTCCCTTCTCTTGTCCTCACCCTCACCCTTCAGTATACTGTAGTCCTTCCTAATCCACCATTCCACAGTCTCAGTTGATTGCAGTCAGCTGCATCCTGAAAATAGGTGAGCGCAGTATATTATGAGAGAGAGAGAGAGAGGGACTACAAGCACACAACTTTCATTACAGTATATTGTTATTGGTATAATTATTCCATTTTATTATGTTTTTGTTTTTAATCTCTTCTGTGCATAATTTATAAATTAAACTTTATCGTATGTATATATAGGAAAATATATAGTATGTATAGAGTTCGGTACCATTCGAGGTTTCAAGCATCCACTGAGGGACTTGGAAAGTATCCCCCATGGCTAAGTGGGAACTACCATAAACACACTCTCTCTCTGTCTCGCGTGTGTGTGTGCACACACACACACACTCACCCAATGTCACCTCAAAAGTTAGTCACCTTTTTCACCATGTAGTTCATAGCATTTATTAATCTCACATATCACACATAAAAATAATGTTTTCTCTTAGGAATAAGGGAATTTATTTTCTAGAAATGAGATTTAAAAGCACATAGGGTTTTCTTTCACCCAGTTGCCTTTCTTTACAAATAGGAAGAGGCATGCTTTTTTTCCCCTTTCTGTGCGATTGTTCTGTCTGTTGTATGATGCTTTTTGGTATTGCTACAATTTCTACTGCAAACTGAATTTTCCTCCTGTTGCTGCTGGTTTATATTGTTCTCCCCTGCAGAATTCCTTACCTGGTTTACTTCCATCAGCAGCAGTTTGTGAGTCTCAGATGATTTGCTGTTTGTATTAAACTGTGAGTTTATATCAAAGAAGCTGTGAATTCATTACGAGAAGGCTGTGATTCTTTCCTGAAATTTGGTCTTAGTTACCTGGCTTGTTCTTCATTATTGGTTACTTTTCATTTAGAATTGTATGATATTAACTGTTTTCTTAAGCTACTGCCTTAAGTGCTGCTTTAGAACATAATGGAATATAATACTTTAACAAAAAATGTATGCATGTAATTATCTTTCCATTAAATTTTTTTTTCCAAAATATCTTTCAAATGTGGAGTATACATTCTCTCCAGCTTTTCATTTTAGGTATGCTTGTTTTGAAGTTAATGAATTCCTTGAGTTTTAGATAACTATTGACAAAACTTTTATATCAGTTCTCTTTATTAACTTATCAAGTTAATTCTGAATCAATGCTGTCTAGTAATACTAGAATGTAAAATGAAGTTGCATTGTATTTTCTCTGAGAATTCTCTTCTAGAACTGACTTTCCAACATCAGGAGCAAATCTATTAAAGTCACACTATCTTTGTCTTTCTAAGCCTTAGTTTCCCCCAAGTGCTCAGTGAGAAATAATATAAAAGGCTCCCTTGTGCTGTGTAGACTAATGACAAAAAATTATTGGATTAATGTTTGGAAAGTGTTTCAGAATTCTCTCAAGAAAGCTATTATGTAAGTAGCAAGTACTGTTATTATTTTGCTATTTCAGCTTCCTTATTTTTCATCTCTCAAAGTCATTTGGGTCATTTACTACGGAATTTTCTGATTCCTTGACAATTTCTAATGGCTCTTTGGAGAGGCTTTTGAGGGCTTTTTAGTCCCCCTGTTGATGATCTTTCTGCTTATGGAGTTCATGCTTTTTTCACAACACATTAATATTCAGGTTTGAAAAAATAGTTGTAGCTATCTTGTACCTAGATGAAATTGCTTATGTTTTGGAGGAGAAATTTATGATCTTGCTTTTCAAATAGGATTTTTTATTTTTTGTAGACTTCCTTTGTGGGGTGGTGAAAATGGAGCTAGGAATGCCAGTTATGAATGATACCCTTTGGAGAAAATGTAATTGAGCATGGTCCTTAAGTCATCCTATGAAAGCATCCAAATTCTTTATACCTGTAGTTAGGCTATCTTTTTGCTCTCCAGATTAGAGTGAAAAGTTAGCAATGCTACTTTTTGATTACAGAGCATTTGCTATATTCCCATACATCTATTGTCAAAATTTGTATTTCTCACAATCCCCAAAATTGCGGAATAGAAAGTGACAACATATTTTCTTACTTCCTGCTTATTTCTTCTAAGCTCCTGTGAATAGGAGGTGGGACGACAGGCTAGTTTTTTTTTTCCATAATATTATATCATCATGAAAATTCTAGAGTGGGAGAGAATGATAAAACTAGTCATTAGGAGTATATTGCTAGTTAGTGGCAAAATTCTATCTGTACAATGATTTAGGGTTTCATTTAGGATTTATTTTCATATGGAACTCTACTAAATATGGTGCCAAGTAAGTCTGACAGTTTAACATTTTACCTTCAGAAGTGAGGAATATAGAATGGGAATATACTCAAGCTCAAGCTTTCTCATCTTGGTAGTTTCCCTAAAAAGTTTTTTTTTATCTGACTGGACAATATTAAGTGCTTTAGTTTTTAAAAAAGCGAGAAGTACTAAGTCTTTATTCTGATAATTAGCAATTGCAAGGAAATAATTACACATTATTCTACATTTACTCTTCTGTATTTTACTAAGTATATTTTAAGGTAGACAAATAGCTCCAGTTGATGAGCACTAATGGAGTGTTCTTGCCACAAAATAAGTTGATTCTGTATTTAATCAAGCCATCAGAGCTAACTTCCATTTACAGGAAAAATAGAAAATAAAAATATAAACTTAAATAATATTACAAAAAGTATAGGTAAATCCAAAAATGAGCCATTCTCCACAATAAATACACCAATTTTTGCTGTAAAGCAATGATGTGGGGAAAACAGGTATCAGGAACAAGGGCCTGCTTTATTTTAAACAACTAAATATAATAGGTAGATCTTGTTTGAATTCTGATTCAAGTAAACCAACAGTAAAAAGGACATTTTCACAATACATCCAGGGAAATTTGATTATGGAGTGTACCTTGGGAGATGACAGTGAGTTATTATTAATGTTTTAGGTGTAATAATGACATCCTAATTGCCTAGGAAAAATGCCATATTCTTAAAAAAGGTATACACTGAAATATGTAAGAGTGAAATGAAAGGAGGTCTGAGATTTAAAATAGATCATCAAAAGTAAAAAATAGCCAAATCAAATGGAACAAAATCTTGATGGTTGTATGGAGAATCATTACACTTTCTTCTTTTCTATATTCAGGATAAAATAATTTTTAAGTGAGGAAAAGAGCGTGTGCTTGAGAAGGCATTTCAGATTTCCGATTTTTTAATTTGTATAACAACAGTGCTGTTGAATTCTTATCCACTGTCATTACTAATTATTTTCATGAAAAACTGATGAGTTGGATTATCTTCTTTTTCACTTGGGAACATCTGATATGCATGATAGGTCTCTAATTATCTATCTATCTATCTATTATTTACCTATCTTATCTATCTGTCTATCTATCATCTATCTATCTTAACAGTTACATTAACACTTTTAATAAATTTAAAGCAGCATGCACTTAGTAGACGAAATAAGAAACTGACAAACACTCCTTTTCTTCACACTCTCACAGGTTTGTTCTTCTGTCTCTTCTCTCATAGCTTTGAGTCTTCATCGTTTATTCTGGGAGAGGCCAGGCATTCTCATCCTTGTGTACTTTGGTACATATTAGTCCCTTTGACAAAAATGCAATCTCATTTCTCAATAATGAAGGACATTTGTAATCATATTTAAAGCCTCAGTGCAAATACTCGATCATCTGTGAAACTCAACTTGATTCCTTCAGTCTATTTTCTCAGTCTCCAGTGCTCCTTAGAACAGTTGCCTTTTCTGTTTTTCTGTATGTTCATCTCCCTGCTGAATGATGAGATGACCGAGGACAGGGCAGGTGCGCCATCTCTTCATATTTGTATCTTCACTTAGCACAGAGCCTCAAATATATTAGAAACTCTGTAGATATTTATTGAATGAGTGTGTTAAGGGGAGTCTGTTAGTCTAATTGCATGTGGGAAGTCTTAACACTGAGATGGCTTATTGAAAGAAATACTTCCTAGTTTCTCTCCTCTCAGTCCCCCGGGACTGTGCTTTTGGCATCTTAGGCAGAAGCACTAGAATTTGGCTAATTCAGATGTCTGGGGACTGGTTTTGCAGGCTTTAAAATTCATGCCTCTTTTTCTCTTAAAACTCAACAACTTTGCCTTGAAGTAGAACATATTTCCATTTTTTCTATTCCATTGCAGCCACCTTTTTTTCTTTCTTCCAGTTTTACAACTTCCCCAGAGCATTACTTCCTTCCCTGTGGTCTTCCCAAAATTCATTTTCTGTTTACTGTTTATTGTAGGACTATATTAGTATGGAACAGATTGTGAACTTCATATTATGTCTCTTGTCATCCCTGTTATGTACACATCAAAGACAACCTTCCCTGAAGCTGTGTTTGGCATCTTGGGACTCTCTCTTTGCAGAGTCAAAGATCTGAGACCAATACCTATTCACAGACTATTTCCATTGCTGCTGAACTCCTACAGGGAAAACAGTGGAGAAGTCTTGAAACCTATGGGCGAGTTCTTAAAGCTATCAGTTTCTTGACCTTTCTGCCTTATTCTTATTTCCCCCAAATGTGCTGTGTCTTTTTGAAATGCAAGCAGAAGGCTCGATCTCCCTTGGGCAGAAGCAGCACCTTTTGTGACTTTTCTCTCTACTTAGATTAGTATAAGTCCTCTGTTAACTTGAGAAGCTCAATTCCAATCATATGGGCTAACTGAAAACTCAGAAAATCTAAACTTTGAGAACTCTGATAATGACTCCTTGCCTCAATTGATATTTCAATGAATTCCACAACTTTGAGGTGTTTCTTTCCTTCATAGAGCAAGAAGAGCAGCATAAAGGTTACTCAAGGAAAGATTCAGAACCGTAGATTTGAGTAAAAAGCCGTAAAAATTACCTAAGAAACTACCAGAAAGTGGCTCTTACCTTCTCAAGATCCTCTTAAATCAACCTTTGGTTGTGTTCTATTACAAACTAAGAGAGGTGTTTTCAGGATTAGGTAGAAAAGATGAAAAGATGTGCAAAGAAAATAAAAGCAGGCTCTAGACAACATGAGGATAAGTGAAGGTTGTTAGACAGTAAAATAATTATATTCAATGTCCTCTAGAGTAGGGAAGCCAAATGGGGCAGATTAGGTACTTATAACTCAGTGTTTGAAATCATTGCCTACTCCCTTTCAAAGTAAAACATGGATCTCTGAAGATGACCATGGAAACACTTACAACAACAAATGTTATTTTCTTAAAGCAATTTAGTCTTATAACTCACAAGGAGAGAGAAGTAATGTCAAGAACAAAAAGCAACAGGCATGGCATAAAGACAAAAAAAGAGTAGATATGGAAACTGTACTCCCAGAACTCTTCTGGTGATTAACAAGGGGCCTTTGTTGCATCATCTAGCCATTTCTGAAGCTACTCTGACATATTTTCTACTTTGAAAATAGAGAAAGTAAAATTATAATTAGTTTGACATCTCATCATGCGTGAATTATGAAGCTCATTTTTGCTTGAGAGAAAGGAAAAATATCTCGAGCAACTCACACTAAGTTGCCCTTGAGACAGCGTAGTCAGGAAAGACAGAATAGATGCCGCCCAAGATATTGCCCACTGGGTTTCTTCTTAATACACATGCCAAGACCAATCCACCAAGGAATGTCTCCATGTTTATCATTATGGTGATATACACGAGGACTTTCTACAATTGCTTTTTCCCTGCAGTAATCTGACTATTGGAGATCTCACCAGTTTCTTTGTCAATGATGTGGGAGATGTTTACTTCTAATGAGACAAGGGACAACAGAGTGGAACAGAGTGTGAAACAAGGTAAAATAAAGAAAGGAAACTTAAATTATGGAGAGATGTGTGAGAAAGACCATGGAGGCACCTGGGAATTGTGGATTGGTTTTATGACAAGAGGAGTCACTGTGACTCTTGAAGTAGGTAATTCCCAAGAGGAAGTATAGGGTAGCAGTTACGATAGTACCAGAGTAAAAATTTTTGTGGTTTCACTTACTAGTTTTGTGATGTTGGGCACACTATTTAACCTTTGATGCATCAGTTTCCTTATGTATGAAGCAGAAATAATAACAGTACCTTTCTCATAAAGTAGTTATGAGAATTAAGTGAGTTACTGTCTGAACAACACTTAGAATAGTGCTTGACAGATCTCAAGTATAATATATGGGTTTGTTAATCAAGTAAATTTCCAAAATATTATGGAAAGGTGGTCTCATCATGGATATGTAGGGAAAGTAATAAACATTCATTCATAGCAAAATTTTATTTCATCCTTTAAATTCATATTTTCTATTTGTGGTAAAATGTGTTCTTTGAATAACTTGTTAATATTTGTATATACTGTATAAATTGTAGGAGGTGTCTGCAATTACTTTTTGTTTTGAATCACAAAAATTTGAAAGCTACTCTTTCAGATTAAGAATCTACTTATAAAACTTAAGCAGATATTATATAGGAATATTTTATGAGAGTATTGCCATTGTTTCAATAAGATCAATATTCTGCAGATATTCATTTAACTTGTTGTGTCCCTTTTTAGGAGTGTAGAGAATCTGAACTTCACAGAGTCTCTGTAAAGGGGAAACCTGGTGTACAATGTGATTACCGTAATTATCTGGTTGGATAACAAAAAGGTTGATTACCTGACCAGGAACAAATCAGATTCTCTTTGATGAGAAGTGGAACTGTGAGATAGAAACTTTTGTCAGTCATTGATTAGATCCTTAGCTAAGACTAATATAACATTGGAACCAGTGTCAATATCACAGCTATCATGTACAAGTGAAAGTTGGAGAGGAGCAAATATTAGCTGTTATATATTAGATATTTTTTTCATTATTTCAACCCTCTTTCCTGATCTTCCTAAGTTATTTTCATGGATGTATATTCCTTGCAACCTAGTATTTCCAGATTAGAATATTTTCTATGGTTTGGATGTGGTAATGCAAATAAAAGGATTAATACAAATGGCTAACATTAGAGTGGCTTAACGAAAGAACAATTATACCACTGAGGTAGTGGGAAAACTGTAGAAGACAAATTGTTATGGTTTGTGCTTATATAAGTGAGAATTTTACATTGTAGCAGCTCATATTACTTATCACTTTTTATTGAAATTAGATATCTCCAAGTCTTTTCTTGAAACGTAATAAATGGAATATAATCTTTTAAATTTGTATACAATATCAGGATACTCATAAAATCCTATAAACATTTTTTAAAAACCTTTTTTTATTCAGGAGAAATTTCAAAATTCACACATATTCTAATACAAATAGAGAAGACTTATGGTGCTTCAGAAAAAATTCCACAAAATTGGGCAGATGTTCACATATATTTGTGTGCATTTTTAAATGAATGCACCTTGTTGTACTCCATCTGTTTGGTACTTTAAACTCTTTCTGGAAATGGCATCTCAAAGATTTGAGAAGCCTTACATGCACATATATGCAATAATAAGACTTCAGGGCTGCTTCATAGTGAAATAAAAAATAAAAGCACAGTTGCCTAGGCAGTACTGCTTAAAACGTTTCTTTTATTAAGATTAAAACATTTCATAGAATAACATTATAATATATTTAGGATCATTTTTCTTGTTTACTTGTATTTTTCTGTCTTTCTGAATGTCTTTGGTTATAAAAATGTCCTATTATATTTTAAATACTGCAAGCATCAGAGAAGGAAAAGGCAGTGATTTGTGCTTGTTACTGCACAAAGTGCAGTAAGGTTAATGAACTTCTACTACTAACAGGATTAAATGTTCAATTTAAATCCAGGCCAGGTGAAGTACATGATTATTCTTTTTTAAATCTACTATAATCGTACCTAAGCATTTCAATCTTAGTCTTTTTTCTGCCTGAACAAAATATGCTAGATAAAAATGGAGGTCTTATTTAAACTATAATCATTTAGTTTCCATCTAGTAAATTTCATTAATTACTTATAGAGAGGGAACAGGTTTAGGATTTTGTGCATTTTAAAGAAGAGCAAATAGCTTTGTGCAGCTGTTTGATGGAGGCTACAGGATCACTAAACATAATATGATTTTCAGTTCTGAAACTGAGATAAGGAGTAAAGGATTTGACTTTAGTGGTATGTAGTATACTAGAGCTTAAACCAGAGGACTAAGAATTTGTAAAGTAACACTGCTTCATGAAAATTATACTTTAATAAATCATGTAACACAAAATGCTGAATTTGTAGGAAATTCTTTATATTAAACCATAATAATTTACCCACTTAAAAGATGGGCATATATTGGGTTAGCATTTTAAATGGGTTTCTAAGTTAGGATGTCTCAGTTAAATTTCTCTAGATTAGAATAAGATTGACAGCCTTATTTTGAGTAGTAAAAACTGCCGGTTTTGTGTTTCCTGGGGAAAAAATCTTCCATATTGAATTTCCTCCATAGAAAGCGTGGACATCTGGAGAGGGAAGGATGCTCCCTGGGGAAAAATTCACAGATCATTCTTCATAATTCTATTTTAAATAGAACAGATATAAACCAACACACTCCTTCATTGATTTATTCACTCATTTAATACATTTTTTTTTTGTTGTTTCCTATGTCTCAGATGTTTTGAAAATCTTGCCATATAGCTGTCAGTAAAACCAACTACTTGTCCTCCTGGAGCTTCCATTCTCATAAAAAGCAACAGAGAATAAACTTGGAAACTCAGAATAGTTATAAATAGAGCCCCTTTCAGTCTCAAAGTGGTTCAATGAGAGTGAAACATTACTAGGTCCCCCTTTATATATATATATATCAGCCGATGACAAGTATTGTCAAAAACAATAAACAGGGTAAAGGACAAAGGAGTTTGGAGGAGGGAATGCCACTACTATTTATAATATAGAATGTCAGGGAAGGCCTTTTAGTTAGAAAGGAGCAAGGAAGGCCAGTAGATAATGCAGGGAAGAGTGTTCCAGGCAAGTGCAAAAGCTCCAAGGCAGACTTTTGCTTGGACCATTCAAGGACCAGCAAAGAGACTAGTGTGGGTCCAGTAGAGTGGTGAGGGGCAGAACAGCAGGAGAGAAGTCAGTGAGTTTTTTTTTAAATTAATTAATTAGTTAATATTGAGACAGAGTCTCTCTCTGTCGCCAGGCTGGAGTGCTGTGGCCCGATCTCAGCTCACTGCATTCTCCGACTCTCTGGTTCAAGCAATTCTCCTGCCTCAGCCTCTCGAGTAGCTGGGATTACAGGCATGCACCACCACACCCGGCTAATTTTTGTATTTTTAGTAGAGATGGGGTTTCACCATGTTAGCCAAGAAGGTCTCAATCTCCTGACCTCGTGATCCGCCTGCCTCGGACTTCCAAAGTGCTGGGATTACAGGCGTGAGCCACCGCGCCTGGTCTCAGTGGGTTCTTGAAGGACTTGGGCTGTTACTCTGAGTAAATGGGATTCATTACATAGTTTAGAGCAGAGAAGTGACATGCTTTGACTCATGTTTTAAAAGAATCATTTGAGCTTCTGTGTTGATTACATGCTAGGAAGCAAATAAGGAAAATAGCTACAGAGCAAGTTGTATAGTCCAGGCAGCAGGGATGGGCTCTTGAAAGAGGTTGATAGTGCTATTAGAAGTGGTTAGATTTTGAATATACAGGCATATCCTATATAAAATCTCTCTAATAAATAAGAACGCCTCTTGATTGTCGAATTACCCACATTTCATATTACTCATACACAACTTTCTCAATACATTTTTAAGACTATACTAATATAGGAAAAAAATTAATATTTATGTCCTAAACACACAAACATTTAAAAATATAATATGCAGGAGAAAACTTGAAACTGAAAAATAGTTGCTAGAGCACCAGAATTATGTGTAGATATTAGAATAACAACAAATTGGCAAAAAAAAGGATGTGCATTTTGGATTTTGCATATGCTATGAGGCCTAACGGTGTCATATTTAGCAGGAATGATGAGCATTATCTTTAAACATGAGGATGATAAGATGGGAAGCTTAACATTTTAAAGTAGCCAATCCCTTATAGCTTTGTTCAAAAAATAATGGAAATGTAAATAAAAATCGATTTTGCATTTTTTATCTAAACATATCAAATCTGTTTTTCAAGTTTTGACTTTTCAAATGTCTCTACAAATACCCAAATGACAGAGAATCTCTACCAGTTCCTCTGAGTTTGATAATTTGCCTGAAATTGGCCATTCATTACCCAAATTGTCAGTACCACCACCTTCTAAAGTAAGTGACAAAGATAACTTTAATCTTTTACCCTTTTTCCTTCTCAACATTTGCCAAGCCTCAAGTGTCCAACTCACTTGGTAAGTATGTATTAGAGAATTGTCTAATTTTTATTGTACATTTTTCCCTGCATATTTTGGATAAATATTATTTACCATGAAAGATTTCAAAATCTAACAACTTTTGCTGTATTTTAGGTATGCTTTAGTCCTTTAGAAATTTAGTTGGGGACTTTTGTTTTGATGTAGCTCATTGTATTTTTCTCACTTGAAATAATGTGAAATAGGCTGCTGATTCGTGTTTTGGTGCAGAACATTCGATGCGCAGGAATTCTTAATGATGTTAAATAGAAGTTACCTATTCTTAAAAGGTAAGATCAACAGGGAAGGGATGGGTCAGGAATGATTCCATAGTTTTTAGTCTGGGAAAATCGGAAGGATAGTTACATTTACTGAAATTGGTATGACAGCAGGAGGAGCAGGTCTTGGAGAAAAAGCACGAATTCTGTCTTGGACATGTTGAGTGTGAGATTCCTATTAGATATCCTAGTTGAAATATGAATAGGAGGTTGAATAGATGAATCTGTTGTTCAGGAGAGGGAACCAGGCTAGAAATGTAATGTTGGTAGTTATCAGTATAGGTTATCTGCATAGGTTTATAACCCTGAGATTTGTTTTGATCACAAAGGGAGTGGATATAGATAGAAAATAAGTTTAAAGAAAGAGCCCTGGGACTTTTCATCATTTAAGACCAAGGGTATTAAAAAGAAAAGAAAAGAGCCAGCAAGGGAGGTGAGTAGAAGTGGCCGGTGAGGTAAGAGGAGAGCCAACCAAGAGGGGCCAGAGAAGCCATAGGTAAAGTTTCCTTCCTTTTCTTTCCTTCAACAAAAGAGGTGGTAATCAACTTTATTTAATGTTCCAGATTGTTGGAGTAAGACAAGGGCTGACAACTGAGCAATGAGCTTAACAACCTGAAGGTCTTTGGTGATTTGATAAGGGCTATTTCACTGGAATGGAGGGGGCAAAAACCTGGGATCAAGGCAAAATGAGAGGGGAAGAATTGCCAACAATGAGTAGAGACAACTTTTGATGAATTCCTTTGGAAAGAGAACAAAGACATAGAATTTTAACTAGAAAAGAATACTGAGCAGAAACATTTTTGGATAGTTTGCTTTTTATGTTTTTTGTTTGTTTGTTTTTGACATGATGGATTTAGTACCATGTCTGTAATGTTGAAGAAAATAGAAAAACAAATGATTTAGGTAACAAAATATTGGCTGTAGAGATATCCTTAAGTGGTAAGGGACCAGATCTTAAGCACAAGTGTGAGTTTGTGTAGGGTGGGGTGCTGACAGTGGTGGCCTTAATGGGAACACTAAAAATTCATTTCTAGGAACAGAAGAAAAGGCAGAGCATCTGGACACAGATGTAGGTAAGTAGGTAGATGTACTAGTGGAAGTTTATGGAAAGTCTTTTCCAATTGCTTTAATCATTGTCAATGTTCAAAAGAGGAAAGTCCTTTAGTTGAGTGCTGAAAATAGTGAAATGAGTTTGAGGTTGTTTAGAAAATATGTCATCTCTAGGTCAAAAACTATTACTTATGCTAAGATCTAAGAAACGTGGTGGTGACATGAAAACAGAAGTCATTGGGAACAAGGAGGAAAAATAAGTGTGAGACAAAGGTGTTGCAAAAGACATCAAAATAGAAATGGATGTTTTTATCAAAGACTTGCCACACTAAGCAGAAAGGAGACTTTTAAACAGGGTGCCACGAGCCTTCCAAAGTGTGCTATCAAATGGTTATCAATGTCCACAATATCTGACAAGATGATAAAATGGGACTCGTTCTATCTCTATTTTATCGAAAGCCCCACAGTCTGAGAACAATACAAAGGTACCTTGTTACTCTATGTCCTAAACCAAAGAGCCAGTCCACTTAATCAGGACATGTTAAAAGATCACGAGACTAGTTCAGACAACTTTAGCAATCTCTCACCTCTAGTCTCTGTAAGTGGAAGAGTTTGGAGAAGAGTGAGAATGTTGTGGAAAGAGTTTTTGGAGTACCATAGAGTTTCACCTCCTCCTGCAAGTGACATAAGCTTAGAGAGCATTTTCTGTTTTGTTTTTGAATTAAATTTATTTATTTATTCATTCATTCTTTACAGAGGTAATCAAGTTACTGAGAGGACTTTCTAGGAGGGTTGAAATATGTCCACAGAGTTTTGGCTTGGGATTGAAGAGCAAAGAGGAGAAAGGCTGCACTGGGAGTGAGTAAGCTGCGCTTCCACCCGACTAGGACAGGGGTGCATGCGTTTCCCATAGGCCAAGTGGTCCTTGGGAGTAGGCTGACCCAAAATAGTTTTAAAGGAGACCTTGAAGGTCTTCCAGCCAAGAGCAAGATGACCTGAATAGGAAAAGCAAGTCAAAGCAAAACAAGACACCATATCCTACAATTTCTGAATTGTAGGATGTTCATGAGGGCAGGAGTGGGTGACTGAATGATTAGGGTAAAGTCAGAAAAACAGCATTGCCTTTATCTAAGGAGCTCTGTTTTTGTTTTCTAAAGAACCTACAAGAGCCTGCTTAGAAAAAAAGATATCCAGAGATTCCCCACACCCTTATACAAAGTAAGACTGTGTCCTTGCCTTCTGATCCCTTCTTACCCTGAGGCTGGCCCCAGAGGGTTTTGAAGCTCTCACTATCAGAGTAAGACAGACAATGGAAGAAAGAAGAAAATACCATATTACACTCCCCACCTCAGGCTTTCAGGCCGGAGACAAGCCCTAGCTTGGAAAATGGAAGACTTAGCCTGGATGTAAATTTCAAATTAGGGTATTATATTAAAAGGGACTGGTCATTTTAGTGCCTGAAATGACACTGCAACCAAAAAGGATCAGGAGTGTTAAGGGACCTGCCTGGAAATAAGTGATTTCCAGAAGAGGTTTGAAGAATAGTCAGGGAGGAATGAAATTGCATCATGATTCACTCATTGAGTGCTTCACTTTCAATATGTCAGTTACGCAACCTTATTAAAATTATAGATATATTGTGAAGGCTACACTGTCAGATGGAACACTGAGCATAGCAAGTCTTGCCATATGGCTTAAATCGATACTACTCAGTGACTTTCTACAAGTTAATGGTAGATGTTGTGACTTCACAAAATGTTAAGTTGGTCTCAAAGAAAAATCAAAATCAAGTATTTACTGGAACATGAGAATATTCCAGTTTTGAAAATATAAAGAAACATAGTCAAATAAGCTAACTATTCTGTTTCAATGGTAACCCAGTGATGAAGAGCAATCAAATGAAATAAACATGATAATATATATAATCTACAGTTTTCTACATTTTCAAAAAAATAACTCTATAAGATTCTTAAATAGGTCACCAGAAATTTGAGTTCCTAATTAAAACTGTGCCATGATTAGAAAATTTGAAAACCTACACAATATAGCCTACCAGCTGTGGTTGAGCTACTAACCCCCACACCTTGAGAACATGGCTTAATTTTAAGGCTCATGAATAGGTGATGATGAAACCATTGGTACGTCATAAGAGTCAGCCGATGTATTTGGGATTCCTGATCTATCCTTCATTTGAGTAGAGTGGCTATCTCTAAGTTGCATACTCTACCCTAATACAATAATGTATCATTTAATTATGGGACTACATTCTGAGGAATGCAGTATTAGGTGATTCTGTCATTGTATGAACATCACAAAGCATACCTAAGCTATATGCAAACCTGTACAGCACTTTACTGTACTGAATGAGTACTGTAGGCAGTTGTGACACAATGATAAGAATTTGTGTACCTAAACATATCTAAACATAGAAAAGGTACAGTAAAAATAAAGCATTACATTCTTATGGGACCATCATCATATATGCAGTTCACCATTGACCAAAACACCATTGTTTGGCACATGACTGAGTGTATATACATACACACACATATGTATACACGTGTGTATACATATATATAATGCAATGCTATACTATATTTAATCCTCACTTTATAATAATGTAATGAAGATTAAGCAACGTAATGTATAAAGAGTAAGATCCAATTCATTTCCTTCCTTAACTTCAGAGGCAACACCTTTTCATGTTTGCTTTCCTGGGATATCACAGAGTAGGTAATGACATGCTGACAGCTCTCACTTCAAATTCATGACCATTAACCTCAAGGGGGCAATCCTAAAAGCCATTCATACCTTTTTTCCTCCATAAATACCCAATAACTCATCCTGCTTCTTATCCATTTGTGAATGTTCCCATAATCTTGTTCATTCCTTCTTTCTTACCACTGGAAAATTTTGCTCATGAGGTCATTCCTTCCTCAAATTACTAAGCTGACGGACTTCGTTACATTTTTAGCATGCAGAGCTCCATTGTTTTTTTCCTAATGAAATCTTACATAGAACACGAAAGTAGAACTACTCTCATTCAAGCACAGGGTGTGGCTGCAGTGTGAGGTCTCAGAGCCCTGGATGCACAGCCATACCCTCCTTGTCACCCTCCATCACCCACCCCAGTGGCAGCCATATCAGTAGGTATTTATAGAAATATTTCTCGTTTCTTGTTACTCTACCCATGGCAACTCATTATTCATGGGTGGGTATATGTAAAGCATTTAGACACTTGATCAGTTTCTCTTCCTTCTGTCCCCTAAACATAGGCTTTCCTGAAGTTTCTTGTCTCAGGCCCTTTAAGATTTGTTTCACACTCCTGCTTCAATGATCTTATCATCTCATCTAATACCAACTCTCACTTATTTACACACAACTTCCTGTTATACATCTCTAGTCCCACCTCCTAGGTAATTGTTCAATCTCTCCCTTTTCCAGAGTCATTGCCACATGCTCTAACCCTGGTTTCTCTTTTTGTCCCAAAGCCAGTTCCACTTTCTTCTTTCTGTTTATGGTCACGATGTTCTTCGTTCAAGCTTAAAACTTCACAATCATCTTTGAATTCTTTATCTTCCTCATGTCAGTCAGTTGTCACAGTATATAGATTGTGCCTCTGAAGTTCAACTCACATACCTCCTCTTGTGTCCATTCCTAAAACAATCACCCTGGTTTAATTTCTTATTGCAGTTTGTTTGGTCTAATGCAATGAATACTGAATTAGTTCCACTGCCTCCAGCTTTCCCTACACAAATCCATCACACTCACTGTTGCCAGGCTGATCTTCCCAGAGCACTGATCCACCTATTTCACTACCACAATCCTTCAATGACTTCCTTTTACCAATTGGATTAAGAACACACTCTTCTGCCTAGAATTCTTGGCCTACCACAATGTGTTCCCAACCTGTTTTTTGTGCATTATCTTGTTTAATGTCCTATAAAAAGTCTACATTAAAGACAAATTAGAAAATTTGCTGTAGTCCAAACACATCCCATCTTAGAAATATGTTCCTCTGTATTTTCTCTTTCTGCATCTGTATAATTTGTAGATGCCCTTCAAAGCAGTATAATACAATGATTTAGAGCCTTGGCTTTAGAGTTAGACAGACCTGGGTTCAAGTGCTTCCATTTAAAGGCTTTATGACCTTGGGTTGGTTACTTAACCTCTTTAGAGCTAAATTCTACATTTTTTAAATGATGATGATAATATTACATACATTATAAAGTTGCTGAGAATTAAATCAGATAATATGTCTTCACACTTAAAGCTTTTAAGCAATGGTATAGCATAGGAAGTACTAGTGAGTAAATTTACTCAAACACGTAAGGTACCATCCTCAGGGATTTTGCACCTGCTGTCCTTATGCCTGTAATACTCTTCTCCCAGGTACATGCATGACTTATGCTCCTAGGTCACTATTAAAATGTCACTTCTTCAGAGGAGTCTTACCTAATGATCCTAAGAGTACTCACTGTGTCCACTCTGTTCCTTTATTTTGCTTCTCTTTCTTTAAAACAACTGACATTATATTATTTATGTATGTATTTATTTGTATATTGCCTGCTACACTAGAAGGTAAGCTCCGTCTGAGTCAGGTCTTAGTCTATTTTGTTTATTGCCACATTCCAGGCACCCAGGGCAGTGTCTGGCATATGGTGGCTATTAATGGATTTTTATTGAATGAATAAATAACCAAATTAATCTTTTAAATAAATTTTAGCTTTAATTAAAGGTAGTTCCAAATATTTTTGTTATAATAATTTTTTTGATCAGCCCACTGAGTTAGTTACCTCCTTCTGTGAAATCTGTATATACTTCCCTAATGGAATGTATATTCTGATTTAGATATTTATGTCTGATCTTAGCACAGTTTGGCAGATCAAGTATTTCTCAAGAATAGGAATATTGTAACAACAGAATTGAGTAGTTGTGACAGACTGTAAGGTATACATAAACACACACACACAGCTATATATAGTAAATTTATATTTTAATTTAAATTAAAATTTAAATATACATATATATATATCCAGTAGCCAACACAAAGTGAATTTTATATAGAAGTCACTCAATAATATAAAACTGTTATTCAATAACTAATACATAGTATGCAATTATATATCAATGAGATAGATAATAGAGAAGCAATGATAGTAAACAAATTGTAACTAGATAATGGAAATAGTCATAATTTATTGAACACCTAATGATGCTCAATGTTGACTTCAATAATAGCCTGAAAAAATGGATGTATGAAGCTCTTGGAAGTTAGGTCGCTTTTCCAGGGTCACCAAGAAGGAATAATAATCATAGCCACAATACCAGCCAGCATTTATTGAATGTGTTTTAGGCATCGGGCTGTTAACTTTACATGTATCATATAATTTAATTTAATCTTTACAACATACTTTTGAGATAGATAATATAATCCTTATTTTTTAGATAAAGAAAATGAGGTTCAGCAAGTTTAAGTAATTGGCTTGATATCACATAACTTGTGAGTAGTAAAAGAGCAGGGTATGCCTGACTCCAAACTTTAGCAGAGTAATTACATATTCTGCTCTGAAACTTTTGTACTATAGATACCTGCAACAATAGTCTCATGATGGAGGGATGAATTATTTACACTAGGAGGCTGGGATTACTTGATTTTTTTGAAGACAACTGAAATAAGTCCAAATTTGAAGTCTTTTATATTCTGGCTCCCCCATCCTTCAACCTATTTGCTCCTGCTCCCTCCCAAGCCTTTCAGGCCACCAAGGCTGTCTGAAACCTCATGGGCCTCTGAGCAGGCTCTATGTATTTCTTTTCCTTTGTTTTTGCTTCTCCACCTCTTCTCCACCCTGACCCCCCAGAATCCTCTAATCTCTCTTCTCCACTTATTTGATTTTTTTCTCTGTTCAAATGCCACCACATCCATGGTACTTGAATTCTTCTTGCTTTTATCGGCTCATGGTAAAATCTACATTCTATACAATTCTGGTAGAAGAAGCATTTGGTGCTTCTTTTCACAGCACTTGATATTGATATTTAACTTTGTTTGTGTGTCTATATATGTCTTGTTTTCTCCCCAAGGGAATTTTAAGGACCAAATTCTATCATGATTTCTGTTTCTCCATCATAATAACAACATACTGACACACAGTAGGTATTAAATTTCTACTTAATTGAGTTGAACATACTAAAAAAAGTCCCTTTAAATGATACAATTAATTTTTAATAAAGTACACATGTTTTAACAGAAAGTAATACAACTAAATTAAGTGAATGTACTTCTACTACCTGCTAGAGGCATAAATTTAATGAGATGGAAGGGTCAAAGAAAGTACAATGGAATAGGGATGCTTTGTACAAGGGTCAACTAAGTATTAAAAAATGGTCTCAGGGTCAGGATTCATCTGTTGGGGTTCATTTTTTGCTTTTTGTATAAATGAAAAGTTCAGGACTAAAATAAGTACCCAAGTTATATTACTGCTGTAGAGATCCAAATAGCAATGCACAACGCATGAAATTATTATTTAGCAGTCATCTCAGCCAGAACTGAATATCAATTAACATTAAGATCTCACTGTTCACATGGCACTGTGCTAGGCACTTAGAAGGGTTGGGAGGCACTTTCCTTAATCTCTGCATATATGAAGCTTACAGTTAAGATAAATGCATTAAAAGAGACATACATATCCATGCATGTATTAACAAGAGGTCTAAATTATAGGATACGGAGTGTGGGGGAAGAGAAATACAAAATATTTTAAAGTGTTCTCATGGCATTTTGTATTTTGATGTCACTCTGAAATGATTTGTAAAAAGGAGAGAAGGCAAGTGGGACTGGAAATGCTGAAAAGAGGAAAATAAAATGTAAATGTGTTTAGTGGGAGGGCTCATATCTTGAAACGTTTTTGTATTTCTTTGCATTGCTAGCAGATAACTGGAGTGACCGATAGGTATTTTGTAATCCTCTGCTAATTTTCCTTATAAATACACTTTAGATAAGTTTTCCTTGTAAAAATAAACCCACTCTTCACCAGAGGCTACTCATCCTATGTCATTGACTCTGCTACCTCATCAGACTTGCTTTTCTTTCACTGTTCTCTCCCATTTCCATACAGACTTAATCGTCTGCATCTTTTCTCATTTCTCCTTCTATGAACACTCAGATGACCTCACTAAATTGTTGAGGTTTCATGCTCTTCCTGACTTTTCTTGGCCTCTGAAAGCCCCACTGCATTTTCTCAACCTATAAAGAGGCACATAAAATCCAACAAAGAGTCGACAAGCCAAGATTCCCAATCTATCTTCCTGGCTGACATAGGCTGACTTCCCGAGAATGCTAGGGCCCTGCTCATGATCTACAGGATTTGGCACAAGCAGTGACGATTTCTAAACCCATGCAAAGGCAAATCAATTATGTTGGGCATTCTTCTTTGAGATCCAAAGGATTTATTTCTTCAACATAAAACACTGCTGCATTTATTTAAGCTTGAAGGCAAAAGGCTAAGCAAAAGGTACAGAATTGGTGATTGAGTCTAAATAGTTACTATTAAGAAGTGGAAAACTGAACTCTGCGGTGAAGCAAGCTTAGAGACTCCACCAGGAGGTGAAAAGCTAAAGCCCATACATTAAAGCCTGTCTTATATTTAAATGCTTGCTTTTCCTCATTCTTCATGTCAAACAAAACAGAAGAAAACTTGTTGCTTCTAGCTCAGAAATATCTATAAAATTAATCTCCTTTTCCCCCATGCTGACACTGTCTTGGTTTGCCTTGCTTAACTCCACTTAATAAATGCCCTCCCAGATTTTTCCAGCATCCACTGCTTCTTTCAAATTGGAGCAGGATGCTCCACATCCCTGCAGGAGTTCCTTCTATGGACTGAATTATGTCCTCTCTTCCCTCTAAATTCATATGTTGAAGCCCTAACCTCCAATGTGATGGCATTTGGAGATGAAACCCATGGGAGAAAATTAGGTTTAGATGAGATTTTTGAGGTGGGAACTCATGATGGGATTAGTACGCTTATAGAAGAGATATCAGAAAGTTCTGTCTCCTCTGTCTCTCTTTCTCTCTCTCTCTCTCTCTCTCTCTCTCTCTCTCTCTCTCTCTCTCCCCCCCCCTCTCTGCCATGTGAGGACACAGTGAGAAGATGGCCATCTGCCAGCCATGAAGAGAGCCCTCACAAGGACTTGAATGTGCTGACTGATCTTGGACTTCCAGAAAGGAAGGAAGGAAGGAAGGAAGGAAGAGATAGAGAAAGAAAAGACACAGGGAAAGGGGAAGGAAGGAAAGAAAGAAGAAAAAAGAAAGGGGAAAAAAAGATGGATTTTGGGCTACCAGCTCAAGTTGATGAGTGATTTTAATTGATATGGCCCTTTTTCCTCTGGGAAGGCCCCAACAATGTTGCTTTCTATATGAAAAGAGGAAAATACTTTATTACCCTAGTTGGTAACTAGGATATATATTTCCAACCAGTTGCCATCCTCAGTCCACTCACCTAGTGGTATAAGTTTAGGTAGCTGTTGACAGCGTGATTATTCACTCTTACTGTTTTCTACCCATTGAGAAAGTACATAGGAATATCCATTTTTAGGTGGATCCAGGTCCAGTGAACAATTCTTAGAGGAAAAAGATACTAATGCATAGTAATCACTCACTTGCCTTGAACTTTTTGGACTGTTTAGTCAGAACAAAATATGGATATTGTTATGATCAAAAAGAGCCCAAAGCCTATATGTTTGGAAAAGATAAAGGAAGAATCAAACAACATATTTCTTCCTCTATATTTTTACAACCACTTCTTCCCCCATTATGAATATAAAGCTGCTTATGTGATTTTTTTCTGTGTAGTTTAATAAAATGTAATAGGAAAGAAAGATATTTAAAGCTCAAACTAATTGTAGCTGTTTCTGTCCTCAAATAGAGATGCTGTAACTTGTATCAGTGTGGAGATAGAGCTCTATATCATCTTCTCCCCTTCGCAGAAACTGGTGGAGGAAGTTAGGGATGGGGGTCAGGGGCAGGGAGTGGAGGGAGACGCTTAGTAGATGACTCATTTAAGTGTACCAGAGAATCTTCAGAAAACATCCAGGGCTGAAGACAGGGGATAAAGAAAGCTGAATTTGTTGGCATAAGAAATAGGGAGACTTTTCTTTTTATTTTTGCTTGGGTATTTTTATTTTTGAAGAGCAGAAAAGAGAGAAAGAAGCCAAATAAATGGCTGCATGTGTATTGGGGGTGGGGTGGGGCTAAAGCTCAATCTGGTGGGAGTATTTTACAGAACACTTTAAGAACAGAAAATTAGGTATAAAATGACAAATTGAGCATGTAGGTCTACCATCCCCTCCACCAAGTCCCAATAAACATATATATACATACTATTGATAGCATAATAGTACTGGAAAATAAGAAAGAAAGCAGGCAGTGCTTGAGGATTTTAAGGAAATCTTGGAAGACTGGAATGAGAATTATGAAGAAAAACAAGAAGAGTGATCCACTGGCCAAAAGTAGCAGAATAAGGTAAGTCTTATTAGAAATAGCCTAGAGACGCTCCAAATTTAGAGTCAATACAGAGAGAGCCAGTGTAGGCCAGAGTGCAGTCACAGAGATTGAGCCCAGCTGGCACCATTTCCTCCCTCTCCCGGGCATTCAGAGATTGTGGTGGCTGACCATTTCTTTTCTGCAAAAAGTGAGCCAACAGGTGAAGATGATTCTGTGTCATTGTAGGAGAGGAACAAATCTAGATAGAAGTAATGCTGCACCCTCAAGTAAACACGGAGTGGAATGTGAAAGAAAAATTATTACCAGAAGAGAAATTTACTAAAATTCTGCACTGCCAGAGAGTCGCCATCCTTTCCGTCTACCTTGCACTCACATACTCCATAATATACACATAGCCTGCCATTTGCCTTTCCATTTAAGGAAGAATTCTGTTAGGGTAAAAGACCTAAAATGACTGCAGAGGAAAAATATATTAATAGGTATACTAACCAACAAATAGCCACAAACCAATAACCAAGTATTTCCAATGTGGAGCAAAACCAAAAATAGGAAGGAGAAGGCAAAGATCAAAGAATGGGACAACTGATGCCAGAGGAACACAGATAACCAAAGATAGAGAAGATGATTCTAAAAAAATTTTAATTAAGATTACTACAAAAATTTTAATTATGATTAACAAGGAGAAATGTGAGAATAGTTCGATATTCAAATGAGAATGTATTACTTGGAACAAAGAGAACTCAGAATAAGAATTATTTAATCAACTTAAAATTATAATTGTTAAAAGTTCATAGGTAGACTGAGTAATGTGAAAGATAGTATTAAAGCTAAAACAAATGATTTGGAAAATAAGGTCAAGGAACTCTCTTCCCAAAAATATAAATAATATCTGAAAATATTTAAGATGGTAGAAGGAAGATACAGCAGATTCAACCTCTATATAACATGATCTTTAATGACAGAGAAACAATGGAAAAGAGAAAATGATCAAAGAAATAGTAGAAAAAAATTATTCATTCAAAAAATATATATATACAGATTTTTGGTCCACTGTGTACTAAATAGGGTAAATTAAATTAAAAAATAATGTAGCACAGAATGAAGGAATTTCAAGACTATTGCAGTAGAAAGTGGAGATTGAACTCAAATCCACTGAAACAAAAGGTGAAAGTGAGAGCTTTAAGCACTGGAGTGAGTTGAAAAGTACTGGAAGATATTAGGGAGGAGGTTGTTAAATATGATTAGGACATTTGTGTTTGCTAATTGTTGTTTATGGAAGTTATGCAGCCACTTGCCCATAGCCACTGGGACATAGGAGTGCTTTCTCCTTTGATGATTACATTTCAAAGGGATAGCCTCAGGTCATTGAGAAAGACATTCTTGGGTTGTAAAACTGGAAAGAGGCTGGGAGAAGATTTACATGTCAAAGAGGTAGAGAAAGAATTTACAACTGCAAGTTCTCTATGTGAGTGATCTGAGAAAAGGGAAGTCAAGTGCCTAAATCAGAAAGAAACTTGTGATCTTTAATACCAGTAAGGAAGGGAGAGAGAGAAGGAAGGAAGGAAGGAAGAAAAGAAAAAGAAGGAAGAAAAGAAAAGGAAGGAAGGAAGGAGGGAAAGAAAGAAAGAAAAAAAGAAAGAAAGAAAGGAAAAGAAAAAAAGAAAAGAAAGGAAGGAAGGAAAGAAGAAGGGAAGAAAGGAAGAAAAGGAAGGAAGGAAAGAAGGAAGGGGAAGAAAGGACGGAACAAAGGAAGGAAGGAATGAAAGAAGGTAGGAAGAAAGGAAGGAGAGAAGAAAAAAGGGAAGGAAGGATAAAAAAGGGCAGGAAGGAAGGAAAAAAAGAAGGAAAAAAGGAAGGAAGAAGGAAAGACCTGTCAAAAGTCTAGTCAATCTGAGGGGAATGTTAAGACCAAGCTTGTCCAACCTGCAACCTGTGGGCCACATGCATCCCAAGACTGCTTTGAATGCAGCCCAAAACAAATTCATAAACTTTCTTAAAACATTATGAGATTTTTTGTGACTTTTTTTTCTTTAACTCATCAGCTGTTGTTAGCGTTAGTGTATTTTATGTGTGGTCCAAGACAATTCTTCCGTGTGGCTCAGGGAGCCCAAAATATTGGACACCCCTGGTTAAGACCATCTTGGTCACCACCATGCATACCAGGTGGGCACGGGTTAAAAGTTTCCTGATGGAATGCAAGCTGCCTCTCATTAAATTTCGATAAAACATCTATATTAATTTTCTATTGTTCTTGTAACACATTTCCACAAACATCTCCATTTTGGAAGGTCACCTATCTCACTGGTGGGAAAACCAAGGTGTCCACACCTTGAAGGAATCAGAAGGCTGATTCCTTCTGGAGGCTCTAGGGAAAAATCAGTCATTTGTCTTTTCCAGATTCATATACCTTCCTTGGCTTGTTCTTTCTTCTTCCATTTTCAAAGCCAGTAATATAGCATCTTCTCTCCTCTCTGAGCTCTGATTTCATTGTCACATCTCCTTTGACTTTGACCTTCTTGACTCCCTCTTTAGGAACCATTTTATCCTCTTTGTTGAGCCCATCCAGATAATCCAAGATAATCTCCTCATCTGAAGATCCTGAATTTAATTTATCTCCACAATGGCTTTTGCCATGTAATGTGGCATATCCAAAGGCTTTAAGGACTAGGATGGGGACGTCTTTAGGGGGCCATTATTCCACCTACCACTACTTCGTAGGCTGCTAACTTGTTTGCTGCTGTCAGTTCGGGACCCCTATCTTAAAACTCTTTGTCTGTTCCCACCCTATCCACAGGCCCAGGAAAGAGTCCTGGGAAATAGGATTTGCATATACATGTGTACATGAGCACAAACAACAAGGTCATTCGCACAGTCACTTTCACCTGAGCAGACAGGTCTCTTACACTGTACCACCCAGTCCATGTCTGCAGCCTTAGGGAATATGACATCCCTTAGGCTGGAGACGGCCTGGCCTGCTCTTCTCCTTCTTAGGTACTCCAGTGTATCTAATAGTTTTACCTACCCAGATGTGTTCCTGATGATGATGCTGGTTTCACTTGCAAATTCCCATATAATGCTTAGCCCTCTGGTTTGGGTATTTTAATTTTACTGGATAATGATCGTGGTGATTTTAAACATTTCCTGTTGCTTGTTAAACTGCATGCCCGATTCAGCTCCAAATAACAGCTTTTACACGCAAGTGAAAATTTAGCTCCTAGTATTTAACAACTACTATAATTTTAAAATCTACTTTCAATTAAGAAAACCTTGTAATTCTAAAAAGTGGTTATGTTCCAAAGAAGTGCTGAAATGTCAACTGAATACAAGTCCACTTTATGTCTGGCAGGAACTGTTCAGTTGTCGTGTGGCTTAGCATTGAAAAGCTCGCTCCAAAGTGCTACTGACAGGCCTGGTCTAGTGTGGCATTTAATATTTCCCTTTATACATTTCCCCATGGTGTCAGAACAATCTCCAGTAATCAAAAGAGGTGAAAAGAGCTAGAATAAAATATTCGTTAAATCTAAACATACACAATTGACGTGTTCAAGAAAATGTGCATAAGGAGTGTATTATTGATTTTAACAATGAAGATCATTTATGATTCTGGAAACAAGGTAGCTTTTGAGAATATGACAATTATCTCCTTTATGTTGCCAAAACTCTATATAGATGGATTAGTTTTATGAAGAAAAGGAGTCTTTAAAGCAGCACACCTTTTTGAAAGTTAATCTAGTAGGACTCTGTCATTGAAGAATCAAGTCCAAGTTTCATGGAAAATTTCCTTTATGTTTTAAAATTTAATTTATGTTGAAATTAGTGCAGGTAGTTGACATAGAAATGAGTTGAATTATTTACACAGAGTACTTGGAGATCCTACTTGGTACATAAAAGGCTTGAAATCTATCAGCTCATCATTTACTGGACAGTTGCTGACTCTAGATGTTTACAGGCATAAGATTAATCAGAATTTCTTTAAAACGAAAAGTTTCCTCAAAAAATCTGAAAACAGAGGTGTCATATAATCTAGCAATTCCACTTCTAGGTATCTCCCCAACAGAAAGGAAATCAGTGTATTGAAGAGATATCTGCACTCCCTTGTTTGTTGAATCACTGTTCACAATAGCTAAGATTTGGAAGCAACCTGCGTCCATCAGCAGATGAATGGATAAAGAAAATGTGGTACTCATACACAATAGAGTACTATTCAGACATAAAAAGAATGAGATCCTATCATTTGCAGCAACATGGATGGAACGGAGATCATTATGTAAAGTGAAGTAAGCCAGGCATAGAAAGACAAACATCACATGTTCTCACTTATTTGTGGGATCTAAAACTCAAAACAAACTCTTGGACATAGAGAGTAGAAGTATGATTATCAGAGGCTGGGAAAGGTAGTGCATTCGAGGGTGGGGGTGGGGTATACAGAGGAGATTAGGATGATTTATGGGCACACAAAACAATGGACCGAAAGAATGAAAAAGACCTACTATTTGATAGCACAACAGAGTGACTATGGTCAATAATAATTGTACATTTTAAAACAACTAAATGAGGGTAATCAGACTGTTTATAATAAAAAGGATAAATACTTGAGGGAATGAATGCCCCATTCTCTATTATTTGATTATTACACATTGCATGCCTGTATCAAAACATCTTATGTATCCTATAAATATATATATCTACTATGTGCCCACAAAATTAAAAATAAAACAAAAATAATATAATCTTTAATCATTTAACATATAAAAGGTAAGGTCATGTCTATGCTAAAATGAAAGAAAGAGCAAATTTGTGGTAAATTGTATAGCTTTTGTTCTCCTGGCAATGTTTATTCTATAACTGGGTCTTTCTTTTTTGTATTTTTAAAGTAAGCATTTAATCAAAAACATTTAGTCAAAACATCATGTTTTTGTTTGTTTATTTGTAAGAAATTATATTTCAACATATGTAGGTTAAAAATGTGTTAGTTTGGTTTATTTTCTTTGTTATTTTATCTCCTTTTTTTTTTCTTTCAGATCATCACTCAGCCTTGGTGAATTGTTTTGATTAGAGAGAGAGAGGTCTTTGAGATGGTTTGCAGTGAGAGCGTCATGGTTTGTGCAGGCAGGCAGTATTCTTTTTGTCTTTTTATTGGGCCAAGGACATCTACAGATTTTATCAATAGGTGCATAAAAATTTGTAGATGGGGGTGGAACAAAGTTTCATTCTCTCCATAGACACAGCACCAAAATTATCAAATTGAACACATTTCTACTTGAGAAGGCTCAAGATTTGTCCTTAGCCTGAATTGTGCATGTTCTTCCTTTTAATATGCATTTTTTTAAATGCCAGGGGAAATTTAAGCGGTGTTTATTAAAGCAGAAATGTATTGATGACATGTGTTGGAGGTTTTATTTCAATCCCCCGAGTTCTGCAATGAACAGATCTGTTTTACACTCAGCCCAGGCAGCCTGATTTACCCACTGGCCCTTCTGTTGGATACCTGGTGATTTTATTTTTCATCCGTGATATGGTTCGGTTGCCCCCATTAAAAAACATATGTTTAATTGAAACTTTTAAAGAAAATTTGAGAAAATCTTATTTAAAGAAGTTTATCACACATTATAAAGAACTTTTTGAGACAGAAAATATTTTAAGAGGAAAAAAAGCCTTAATTTTCTAACTGTTTGTAGTGATGCTCAGTGACATTGCTTTGATATAGAGGAGTATGATAAGGGCTGTTAGCTGATTTTCTGAGATCAACCCATTTTAATGTACTTGTCCAATAATTAACTCAATACTAGATGAAAGCAGTCTTCCAAATTCCAACATTAAGTTTTAATACCAAGCCAGGTATGAGGCATTCAAACTCATTGCAGCAAACAGGTTTCTAAGTGTGGCTTTTTCTTTCATGCAGAGAAGGGACTGATTAGTTTCCCAAACCATAAAAATTGTTTTCTTTCTTTTTCTTTTTCTTTTTTTTTTTTTTTTGAGGGGGGCGGGGTGCGGTTCTGAAACTGATTTCTTGGTTGTCTCCATTACTCACAAATCCGCTTGCCATATTTGGTAGCAAAGGCAGGGGCTAAACTTATCTTAGCTGTTGCCCACAATTTATGAAGAGATAATCCAGTTCATAGGAAATGAGGTACTTCAAGTATTTGAGGAATGGCAAGTATTTCTTTGTCAGCATTGATTCAGCTTCAAATACGTCTCCTACTGATCTCTGGACTACCGCTCTACGCCGCATTGATCCATGCAGGAATAATTGTAAAGAGTTTCCAGGATTTCTTTTACTATCAGAAAAACAACACCCTGGAATCACTTTGCCTGTGGTTTATAGTGAAAACAGCCGTCTGAGCATTTTGAGCCAATAGCTTTGGATAAGGTGTGTAATTTGTTTGGTGCTAAGTTCTGTGACATGAAAAGTAAATTACAATTGGGAAGGATAGTGGGAAGAGGGATACCATTATTAAAGAAAAAGAAGAAAAGAAAAAAATATTGTTTCAGCAGCAAGGATTTTTGAGGTTTAATTCTTCTCCCCACTCCAAATTTGCTGGCTTGAGGCTACTCATCGCTTCATTGCCACCCATAAAAGCACATGGATTTTAAGCTGATGAAAAAGATGGACATGGATTATGCCTTTTCCTCTGCCAATGCTATGAGAATACCTTGGTTCACTAGAAGAAATGCTGACAGGTAAAAATGAATAGAATATCATAATTTTTATTCAAATAGGATAGCAAATGCTTGTAAAATATTCCTAAAATTGTGCATAACCTTTGATTCAGATAAATCGCTTTTAAGAATATAGAAATAATCATGTGTTTGAGCCCGGAGTTTGCTGCCTAACCATGGCACATTAACATAGGTAAAATTAGGAACAACTTGAATGTCCAAGTGTGGTCTGAATGAATATATTGAGGTATACACTAGTAAAAATGTAAGTAGGTGGACTCATACCTTCGCAGCAATGATACACTCTTGTAGGCATTGAAAATGTGTTGATACTAATCTAGATACTGAGCATAAAGAATTAAGGAAGAAAAACAAGGTCTATGATCGTATTGAATTTATATTATGTATGGAAGAATTGATAGTGACAGAAAAGTACATTTAACATATATTTTTAAGATAAAAATTAGGTGGCTAAACCTGGGTTTCCCAGGAAGCAAATCTAATGGCAGATGGCTTATGTACTATTGCTTTATTAGCAAGTGCCATCCCAGGAAAGAGAAGTGACAGAGCAGGGGAGTAAGGCAGGGAAGAAAGGGAGAGCCAACAGGAGGAGAAGGCATTATTGATATTGATAGTGATATTGGTCACTGCTGAGTTAAACTGATTGCTGGTTAAGTGAGGCTGAGCCCTCCTCAAGTAGCCATGTAAAGCATCTCTCTAGACTCTGTAGAGTAAGGGTTGGGAGCAGAAAGGGGGAAGAATGTGTCCATTGGCTTCTATATCTATTGGTCATTTTTTTCCCTCTGGGGTGTTAATTCTTCCACACTTCCAGGTTATTCATGTGTGGACAGGCACTGAGTAGATGCATCTGTGGGCATCCCCAAGGCATTTCAGGTATGCATGTTTGAAGTAGGTCAAAGCCCACCCAGGAGATGCCTGGGTGTTTGATGCATGTAGAACACTGATTGAGTAGGTTACGAAATATATGATTACTATGATTCCGTTTTTGATGTAGAAATACTTAAAATGTTAACAATGATTATAGTTGGGTTTTTGGAATATGGTTTGTGTTTGTGTTCTTTTTGTCTTTGCATTTTTTTCTTGCAATGAACATGGATTGGTTTTGCAGTAAGAAAAAAACTAAAAACTTATATTTTTAAAATGGAAATTTGTCATTCTTCATATTTCACAAATTATGATTTTTCTCCAATGTTATTTACTTAAAATTTTTCATTCTTCTTATTTCACAAATTATGTTTTTTTTTTTACTATTATTATTACACTTTAAGTTTTAGGGTACATGTGCACAATATGCAGGTTAGTTACATATGTATACATGTGCCATGCTGGTGTGCTGCACCCATTAACTCGTCATTTAGCGTTAGGTATATCTCCTAATGCTATCCCTCCCCCCTCTCCCCACCCCACAACAGTCCCCAGAGTGTGATGTTCCCCTTCGTGTGTCCATGTGTTCTCATTGTTCAATTCCCACCTATGAGTGAGAACATGCGGTGTTTGTTTTTTTGTCCTTGCGATAGTTTACTGAGAATGATGATTTCCAATTTCATCCATGTCCCTACAAAGGACATGAACTCATCATTTTTATGGCTGCATAGTATTCCATGGTGTATACGTGCCACATTTTCTTAATCCAGTCTATCATTGTTGGACATTTGGGTTGGTTCCAAGTCTTTGCTATTGTGAATAGTGCCGCAATAAACATACGTGTGCGTGTGTCTTTATAGCAGCATGATTTATAGTCTTTTTGGTATATACCCAGTAATGGAATCCTGGGTCAAATGGTATTTCTAGTTCTAGATCCCTGAGGAATCACCACACTGACTTCCACAGTGGTTGAACTAGTTTACAGTCCCACCAACAGTGTAAAAGTGTTCCTATTTCTCCACATCCTCTCCAGCACCTGTTGTTTCCTGACTTTTTAATGATTGCCATTCTAACTGGTGTGAGGTGGTATCTCATTGTGGTTTTGATTTGCATTTCTCTGATGGCCAGTGATGGTGAGCATTTTTTCATGTGTTTTTTGGCTGCATAAATGTCTTCTTTTGAGAAGTGTCTGTTCATATCCTTTACCCACTTTTTGATGGGGTTGTTTGTTTTTTCTTGTAAATTTGTTTGAGTTCATTGTAGATTCTGGATATTAGCCCTTTGTCAGATGAGTAGGTTGCAAAAATTTTCTCCCATTTTGTGGGTTGCCTGTTCACTCTGATGGTAGTTTCTTTTGCTGTGCAGAAGCTCTTTAGTTTAATTAGATCCCATTTGTCAATTTTGTCTTTTGTTGCCATTGCTTTTGGTGTTTTAGACATGAAGTCCTTGCCCATGCTTATGTCCTGAATGGTAATGCCTAGATTTTCTTCTAGGGTTTTTATGGTTTTAGGTCTAACGTTTAAGTCTTTAATCCATCTTGAATGAATTTTTGTATAAGGTAGAAGGAAGGGATCCAGTTTCAGCTTTCTCCATATGGCTAGCCAGTTTTCCCAGCACCATTTATTAAATAGGGAATCCTTTCCCCATTTCTTGTTTTTGTCAGGTTTGTCAAAGATCAGATAGTTGTAGGTATGCGGCATTATTTCTTAGGGCTCTGTTCTGTTCCATTGATCTATATCTCTGTTTTGGTACCAGTACCATGCTGTTTTGGTTACTGTAGCCTTGTAGTATAGTTTGAAGTCAGGTAGCGTGATGCCTCCAGCTTTGTTCTTTTGGCTTAGGATTGACTTGGTGATGCGGGCTCTTTTTTGGTTCCATATGAACTTTAAAGTAGTTTTTTCCAATTCTGTGAAGAAAGTCATTGGTAGCTTGATGGGGATGGCATTGAATCTATAAATTACCTTGGGCAGTATGGCCATTTTCACGATATTGATTCTTCCTAACCATGAGCATGGAATGTTCTTCCATTTCTTTGTATCCTCTTTTATTTCCTTGAGCAGTGGTTTGTAGTTCTCCTTGAAGAGGTCCTTCACGTCCCTTGTAAGTTGGATTCCTAGGTATTTTATTCTCTTTGAAGCAATTGTGAATGGGAGTTCACTCAGGATTTGGCTCTCTGTTTGTCTGTTATTGGTGTATAAGAATGCTTGTGATTTTTGTACATTGATTTTGTGTCCTGAGGCTTTGCTGAAGTTGCTTATCAGCTTAAGGAGATTTTGGGCTGAGATAATGGGGTTTTCTAGATATACAATCATGTCGTCTGCAAACAGGGACAATTTGGCTTCCTCTTTTCCTAATTGAATACCCTTTATTTCCTTCTCCTGCCTAATTACCCTGGCTGGGACTTCCAACACTATGTTGAATAGGAGTGGTGAGAGAGGGCATCCCTGTCTTGTGCCAGTTTTCAAAGGGAATGCTTCCAGTTTTTGCCCATTCAGTATGATATTGGCTGTGGGTTTGTCATAGATAGCTCTTATTATTTTGAGATATATCCCATCAATACCTAATTTATTGAGAGTTTTTAGCATGAAGGGTTGTTGAATTTTGTCAAAGGCCTTTTCTGCATCTATTGAGATAATCATGTGATTTTTGTCTTTGGTTCTGTTTATATGCTGGCTTACATTTATTGATTTGTGTATATTGAACCAGCCTTGCATCCCAGGGATGAAGCCCACTTGATCATAGTGGATAAGCTTTTTGATGTGCTGCTGGATTCGGTTTGCCAGTATTTTATTGAGGATTTTTGCATTGGTGTTCATCAAGGATATTGGTCTAAAATTCTCTTTTTCGATTGTGTCTCTGCCTGGCTTTGGTATCAGGATGATGCTGGCCTCATAAAATGAGTTAGTGAGGATTCCCTCTTTTTCTATTGATTGGAATAGTTTCAGAAGGAATGGTACCAGTTCCTCCTTGTACCTCTGGTAGAATTTGGCTGTGAATCCATCTGGTCCTGGACTTTTTTTGGTTGGTAAGCTATTGATTATTGCCACAATTTCAGCTCCTGTTATTGGTCTATTCAGAGGTTCAACTTCTTCCTGGTTTAGTCTTGGGAGGGTGTATGTGTCGAGGAATGTATCCATTTCTTCTAGATTTTCTAGTTTATTTGCGTAGAGGTGTTTGTAGTATTCTCTGATGGTAGTTTGTATTTCTGTGGGATCGGTGGTGATATCCCCTTTATCATTTTTTATTGCGTCTATTTGATTCTTCTCTCTTTTCTTCTTTATTAGTCTTGCTAGCAGTCTATCAGTTTTGTTGATCCTTTCAAAAAACCAGCTCCTGGATTCATTAATTTTTCAATGTTAATTATTTACTTAAGTTCAGCCTAATTTATCCAAGTATCTTTTTTTTTTTTTTTTTTTTGCGACAGGGTCTCGCTGTCACCCAGGCTGTAGTGCAGTAATGTGATGGCGGCTCACTGCAACCCGCCTCCCGGGTTCAAGCAATTCTGCTGCCTTGGCCTCCGAGTAGCTGGAACGACAGGCATGCACCACAACACCTGACTAATTCTTGTATTTTTAGTCGAGATGTGGTTTCATCATGTTGGCTAGACTTGGTCTTAAACTCCTGGCCTCATGTGACCCACCCACCTCAGCCTCCCAAAGTGCTGGGACTACAGGCTTGAGCCACCGTGCACGGCCTCAAATATCTTACTTAATAATGTAGGAGAAGATGATCAACCCCAGCAAATAATCAAGCTGCCAAATTAATTACTAGCTTTCTGTAATCTGTATATGCTATATCGTATGCTCCTAGCATTCAGGGACACATCCTATGATGATGACATCATTAACATTATAGGATATGTCCCTGAATGCTAGGAGCATACGATATAGCATATTAGAGGGTAAAGAAACATTTTCTACGGATATATCTGAAGTATGAAGGAGAGATGGAGAATACGGGCGCTGGGATGCAATTTTAGACAGGGTGGTCAAAGAATGTTTCATCGAGAGGTTGACGTTGGAGAAAGAAGTGAGGGAAGTGAGGGAGTGCTGTAGAGATAACTTAGGAGAAGAATATTTGGAGAGAGAGAAAAACAAGTGCAGATCCTGGAAATGGGAATGTGCCTGGCATGTTCAAGGAGCAACAAGGAAGCTGGAGTGGTGAAGCTGAGTGAGAGAATAGTGGAATCACAATGCTTTACATAGTAGGTGCTCAATAAACATTAGTAGAATTGCAGTCAGCAGAGTTTTGAAATTGAGAAGCTCGTACCTTATATGTTATGTTTCTTCATAGGTTTAAGTTTTAGTACAATGTCTGGCAGAGAGTAGATTTGTGGAATTAATAAATTTCTCTCATCTTTGTATTCTCCAAATTGTTAATTTATATTTTAGAACTATCTTACAATTTTACAGTCTCTTATTACTTGCTATACTTTATTTGATTTCATTGACCAACAATAAGCTTGGAGAGGGCAAGGCTGTGTGTATCTTGTTCAATAGCATAGTCCCAGCCTGGCAATACAACTTTTGAGAGAATAACTTGCTACCTTTCTAATGGGAATTGCCAGAACAAGTAAGTTCAAGGTATAAATCAGATAATAAGCAAGAAATTAAGTTCACTTTTTAAAAGTTGACCCCATCACTGGCCTTGTAAGCAGAAGTGTTCTGAAGTAAATTGGGGGTAGGAGGGGAAAACCATGTGAAGATTGTCTAGATGACAGCATGATGGAAGGAAGCATCCCCAAATAAGTTATGCAGATACGCTGAGCTGGCAACAGTGGCCAATTTGCAGGAAAGTAGATGATGCTCTTTCTTCACTTGGGTGTGTTTCACTCAAGTATGTAGAATAAAAATAAACACATTTTTAAAGGAACACGGCGTGGCAGCCTGATTTTCTTCCATATTCATACTCTGTGCCTTGAGGCTTTCGAATGAATTGTTCCTTTTAATCTGGATATTTTCCTCACTTTCTCTCCTTGTGCCAGCTAACCTACTCCGTTTTCAGGTTTCAGACAAATGCCATTTCCACTGAGAGGCCTTGCCTGTCTCCAAGGCTAGTTCAGGTCTGCCTTTTTATATGATCTCTTAGCACCCTGATTTCTCTAAGAGAACTTTTAACGATCTTGTAATTAAATACCAATTAGGAAATTACCTGTTCTGCTTCTGCCTTCCCTGTAGGAACCTAGTGTCTGCAGGACAGAGGCTATGTCTGTCTTGGTCATTTCCCTGTCTCCAGGGCTTCAGAGGTGTTTGAAATATATAATGCACTAAAGTTTATAGAGATTAAAATTTTTGTTAGATAAGCATAATTGTAACAAAAGTAAGAGAAAAGATTCAGTACCAGCTACATTTCTATAGTCTTAATCGAAAGATATAAAGTGAACAGGTAATTCAGAAATAAAGTGTTCATAAGTGGGAAGAAAACAAGTTAAATCTCTAGCCGCTGGAAGTACTTAATATCACCTAGTATCTTATTAATACTCTGTCATGCAGATATGATGGAATTAACTTACCTTGCAAAAATAATGAAAATCTGTCATATATCAGCTTCTCTTTCAAGTTATGCTCTGATGCCAACCATGTGTCTCTTTTTAAAGATTGTAATTCTTTATTTTTTATATTGGTTCAGCACAAAGTTATAACAAACTACAGAATCCTGCTACAATTACCACACATGGCATAATTTCTAATTATACAGAACTAATGTACAAACTCTCTGTATTAATAATAAAGCGATTAACCTAAAATACCAAATTGGTGTGAGTTTCTTATTTTCTCATTACCACAGCCTGTTCTCAGTTTGAGCTATTGTACATTGTACTTTATAAATGTTAGCTCCAGATGAAGTTTATTTTTACATCAATCACAATAGCCCTAACACTCATCACCTTCAGTTTTCTCACCTTTCCCCTTTGCCAGATGTGCATGTGCGTGTATGTGAAAGGTGATATCTGTAATAGGAGTTCATTATAAATCAGATGAATTTATGGACAATTAGGAATGCTAGAGACATAATATTATACTATCATAGCCCTCTGAATTTACTTTGCTTCCTTTTTTAATATCAATAGATCTTGTAAGAGACACTTCCATTGTGTCTGACACTTCTGATGCTATGGTGTCAATGGAAGTATGTGTGAAAACCATTACCTTGTCAATTTCGTGATGTCAATGGCAACTTGATGTCAATGAAAATGTATAAGGTTCTTCCATTATCATTGTAACAGCTTCTCTAGTCTTTTCAATGTATCAAGAGACACTAGTCTGTAAGAAAGACTAACTACCTGAAATTGCTGCCTGCATTTCTTGAAATTAAAGCTATGATACTATATTACTTTCTTCTTACAGTTTAGCATTAGCAAAAATATATAGGAACACCAATAACACCAATAAATAAAATAATAAGCAGTTATTTTGTGGCTAAGAATGTAAATAGCTCACAGTTTTGAATTTTTAGAATTCAAATGACTGGTGCACATAACTGGGAAAACTTTTGTTTATAAATGGAAGTAATGAAGAGAACTTTAGTTGTAGACAATATATTATGTTGAACATACACTATGAAACACAAAAGCAGGAAGGTCACTGGAAGTAATTACTTTACCTAGTATTATCCCCATCAAAAGCAGCAATGCTCCTGTTGTGACATTGAACTGTTTCATATAGTGATTTCCTAGGAAGAGAGTAATAATCATGATGTATCACTAATCTTAGGCAAATAACACTTAGGTCCTTATGTAATAAAATAAGTATGGATTGCATTATGCAATTCACACAGTTCGTGTTTCCTTCCCATATGGAGAGTGTGGTTTAACAAGGCTCACTTGCTTTGTTTATGACTCTTTAAGCATAAATTTTGGCCCAATTTACTTGGCAAATATTGAGTATTTTAAAAAGTACTCAAATGTATGCTTTTGCCAGGCAAAATAGTTTCTCCTCCCGTGTGTGTCTGTCTCTCTGTTTTTTTTTTCTCAAATATTGTGGCATCATTTGCTTTAGGTACTTATCATTGGAGATGATAGAATTGGTGCATATGCTTATAAAATATTAGGAAGTTGATTATTTTCAGCAGTTTACTTATTAGTTCTTTGACATATAGAATTTTTAGAATGAGAAGAAATTTGAAAAAATTTAGAAATACATATAATGTGTATGTGTGTGTATATGTGTGTGTGTGTGTGTGTGTGTGCATACTTTCAGCTTCAAAGACCTAACATTGTAAGGGTGTATAAAATACGTTCATAGGTAGATTACACATATTCCAATACATATGCTTTAATTTTTTTTAAAAAAGTTATGTATCCTGAAATATTGAGAGACTACTGAAGAGAATTATGTTATTTGAGCTATCTTAAAGGAAACACTGAATTTTCTAGGTGGAGAATGTGTGGAATGCCATTCCTGAATTGCATGGATGAAATGAATTGATAAATAAAAAATGTTACGGATATACGTGTATATGTATTTGTGTGTATATGTATATAATCACATAACCATGATTTGACTTGGTTCATAGCCCATAAAACACACATCTCACTTTTAATTTGAGGCTTAAATATGTTATGTTAATATTATGTAAACCTAAACTTACCATTTTCCCCTAATCCTTTGATGATCATTATTTCTGGCATTTCAGTGTTTGCACAAAGGACAGAAAGTAATTAAAACTTTCAGACTTCAGACGAATTCGTGTGCTACTTGTGAGCAATTCTGATGAAAATTTGAAGAGAGAAAGTTGAACTCATTGAATAAGAGAAGAGTTTTTAAAATTATCTGTGGATTTCAATTAATTATGCAGATATCCTGACTCCTTATTTGTGGAATAATCACATTTTAAAGCAGATTCTGTCTCTCTTTCTCTCTCTCTCTCTCTCTCTCTCTCTGTGTGTGTGTGTGTAAGCATATTGAAGATTATGAAAACTTTTAAAAATGCTATTTTCTATTATATAATAAAAGAGGATACCATTAAAAACAAAATCATCAAGCTTAATAGACCCTTTCCAAGGTGGAATCCCTGTCAGTTAATTCTGATGGATATGTAATGTACTTCTTTATTTTCACCCAAACACAAGGTTAGGAAGTAGGAAGAGAGGGGCTAAGGAACAGGGAGGATGAACATGTGTGTGCATCTGTCTCTCTCATCTCTCTCTATATATCTATCTGTCTATCTATCTATCTATCTATCTATCTATCTATCTATCTATCATCTATCTACCTACCTATCTTTTACCTATCCATAATCAGATTCACCTGGGAGCTTGTTAGAAATGCAGAATCTTATGTATAGACGGCACACATACGAGAGAGTGCATGTGCTATAGATATCTCTACCTATCAAGAGAGGGAGGGAGAAACTTTTAAAACACAAGAGAGGAGAGAGGAGAAAAAGAAGCTGTTGTTACCTGGAGGAAATAAAATTAAATATTAGGCTGGAAGCTCTGCTTTCAACCATGAGATCTGGTATCTCTCTGACTGGAAAACATGCTTTCTTCATCACGGTGCTCTATTTTTCCATTTGTGAAAGTGAAAATAAAAAACTCCACTAAGGAAGATGTTCTCTAAACTTATTTAACAATCTTCCAATTTGGAATCAGGTACATCCTTACACAGCTGAATCTCATGTTGGCAGCATATCTTCACACCTCAAATCTAAGACCTTGTAGGAAATTCAGACAGTATTTTCATTAGAAAGACAAAATAGTGACGTTGAAAAGAAACCAGACTTGCTCACCTCAAAATGTGAATCAAATTGTGCAGGGGTGGGGGTCAAAAATATCCCCAAAACCTGGCTTGATTTTCCTCAGGAGGGGAGGCTGTCATCTGTTCCCTAGCATGGATAGTTTGGGTAAGGCTGGGAAACTTTTCTTGCTTTAACTCATTGTCTGCTTTCTTAATCTTTCTGTTCTGTTGTTGTCAAAAGGCAGAGATGCTGAAAGACAACACATTCTAAACTAAATGTTGGCTTCCTCAGCTAAGTCAAGTCCCATCCCCCAGGTCAAGGACTGTCTAAATCAATAGCACACCATTCTATATAGTCAAATTTAAATGGTGAGTCAGTTCACATAATCTAAATTCATGTCAGCTGCACAGGAACTATTTAAAAGTACCTTGCTGTCATCTATTTCTTAAAACTGATTAGCAGTAAATTACTGGAGACCATTCTATCAATGCATCAATATATCTTGATGCACTAGTGATTTTGGAGGGAGTTGTTTTTCTTCATATTTAGCTGCTTATCAGGTACTTTTTTGATCCACACATATTTATTTTCAAGCACCATTTAGAAAATATTAACTAGAGTTGCTGCAGCCACAGAAATTTTAAGCCACTTATTTTGTTTCCTATTAACAAATGTATTTCAAAGGCGGTGAAAGCTGATTAAAAAAACCTGCCAGCCACTTTATAATACAAAATAATTTATCTCAAATGAAATTCAAAATTTAAAAATAGACTGTTTGCCAAGCATGTAATAGTTAATACAGCCTTGGTTTTCTTTTTAAAAAGCATTATTTTAATCTTTGATGTATTTTGCACACTGAATTCCAACTTAAAAATAATTTATATAATGTTGAGTAATTCCATTGAGCTGAGTGTATCAAATTACTATTTCCCAACATTTATCAGGAACTTATGTATCACAGGGACTATTTTATGTAATTTTATGTAGGCTTCATAAACACTCTATGATGTAGATATCATTATATTATTATATCCATTTCATGGATGAGAAGACTGACATGAAATTAAATAAATTGTCCTAAAATTGCCTGGCTAGTAAGAGCTGTGATTGGAATGCACACCCAGTTCAGTGTAATTACACAGCCAGTGTATGTTCAACAATTCCATTCTAAGAATTAGAAAACTGTGGAATCAAAGAAATACTCCTTGGATAGTATTTCTGTATTCTATATAAGTCTGGTTCTTTCTGGGTTGAAGTTAAAAAAATAAACTATTAATATAAGCAGGAGAATAAAAATGTGGAAATCCAGGAGAAGTGGGAAAGAAAGGTAGAGAAGAAGGTCAGATAGTGTCTTAGTGGGGTTATGTTTAGGGGTATAGATGATAGTCTGAGTCCTTGTTTGAATAGCAAGTGTGGTCCAGGAGTCAGTAGCATCAGATTCAACTGGGAGCATGTTAGAAATGCATAATCTCATCCCCGGTCCAGACCTACCCAATTAGAATTTGCATTTTCACCAGATCACCAGGTGATTAATGGGCACATAAAATTTTGAGAAGCACTAGTCTAGGTGACTGATTTACTGAATCGAAGCTGAGTTGGTATTTTTACTTACTTTGGAGAGCTTGAATTGACCTGCAGTGCTGTCTATAAACCTGGGGCTCAGTGCTCTAATGAAGAAGGAGACTGCTAGGAGGGGTTGCCATGGGATTTAGAGTGGCTAAGGCACCAGCAATCTTCTAGCCAGACTCAGGGGAAATCACATCAAAATAGTAGAGACTTGGCAAGCTGCCAACATTATCACAATAGCTTCTTTATCTTTCTTTTTCTTTTTCTGTCTAGACCTTTGTCTCATGCCCATATATGCTTTCCCTTCAGCTCCAGTCTGGGCATGAAGGGAACACAGTTGGATGATGTCAAAAGAGCGAATGCACAAAGATAGAATAACTGGCGAGAGAAATTTTAAAAATAAGCAACCTTGGTGAAGCAGTGAACAAGTGTTTCAGAAAGGAAGAGAGAGAGAGGTGGAAGGATAGACTGAGAGAGGGAGAGAGAGAGAGAATATGCACGGGTCAAAATTTAAGAGAATTACCAAGACCCCTGAGAATTGATATCTGTTTAGAATCTAAATTTAATACCTAGTTTTGTCGCTCAAGCCATGAGGTTACTTTTTATCTGAGCAGATAATTTTTACACCATCAAGAGAAAGAAAAGACTTGGCTCGAGTAAATCTTTACTAGTAAAATATTTCTAATATATTAATAACTTTATTGAATTAAAAGGGAGTGACATTAAATTATAACCTTAACTGTCATAATAATATGGCATAATAGCATAATTATGATTAAATTATTATCACTGTTACATCTGTCATGGATGAATCTCCTCGATAGATGAAAAAAATGTAGCATGTTCATTATTTTACCTTCCCAGCAAGTGTCCTACAGTGGTGTCACAAATTCACATAATGTCATTGAGAGCTGGATTTTCTGTTAGAAATTCAGTTACACTGAAGTATGTGAAAACCCACAGATGGCAGAGTAGAATTCCTACTGAATATACATTTGATGAGATTACATGTCTCATTTATTCCAGCCACAAATGAAATATTTTGCACTTATGAACTGTGCCACAGTCAAACTTGTTTTGGTGGCAGTATGTGAATAATGATGAACTGGGTTGAAAACTTTAAAGCTTAGTGAAGCCTTGCCCTTTTAACTTTGTGAACACAGATACTCTACTGTCCCTTGAAGCACACTGCTCTTGATGAGGTACCATCTCTTTTCCTTTTTCCTTTTAAGTTTAGAGAATACATGTTATAATCAAATATATGCCAAGGTCATCATTAATGATTTAAAGAAAGGAAAGAAAAGAAGGCTTACACTTATATAGCATGTACAGAGGAAAAATTACTTCTATATGTGTTATATTTCATTTAATCCTTAAAATAATTTTTAAACTATGTATTATTATGATGATTTGGAGATGAGGAATTCCAACTGAGAACAATTAAATGATTTGCTCAATGTCACATAGCACAATGCCACTTATTAGTGACAAATCAAGGTAGTACTTCACCTACAATTTAGATGTTCAGTTTACTTTTAAAATTTTCACTAATTTACAAAACATTTATTGACTACTTATTCTTTTTAAGTATTGTACTACATACTAGTGTACAATGATGAGCAAAGAGAGACAATATTTGTCATTTCTTGAAGCTTATTGTCTAATGAAAGGAGGGAGAGATGTGGGTGCAGGAAATCAATTAGATACTCACTTAAGAATGGAAAATGGAAAACCAAGTCATTTTCTAAAGGACAGCTCAAACCAGAGGATGGTCATATAGACCTGGAGTCATCAATATCTCCCCTCAGAATAAGTCTCTACCTTTATGAAATAGAAGGTGAGTGTGTGTGTGTGAAAAGGGTGTGGGAACTGGGTGGCAGGATGTTTTTAAACCATGGGAGCAGCATAGCATGTATCAAAACCCCAGTACAACAGGGAGCTTGACATTTTTTAATTAAAACGTGATCAGGCCAGGTGTGGGCTCATGTCTGTAATCCTAGCACTTTGGGAGGCTGAGGCAGGTGGATCACTTGAGATGACAGTTTGAGACCAGCCTAGCCAACATGGTGAAACCCCATCTCTACGAAAAATAAAAAAAAAATTAGCTGGACAAGGTGGCACATGCCTGTAGTTTCAGCTACTTGGGAGGCTGAAGTATGAGAGTCGCTAGAACCAGGGAGGTGGAGGTTGCAGTGAGCCAAGATCATGCCACTGCATTCCAGCCTGGGCCACAGAGCAAGACTCTGCCTAAACAAACAAACAAACAAACAACAACCAAAAAAACCATGGTCAGTGTGGCTGAAGCATAAAAGGTAAGAGGAAGAATAGAGTGAGGAGAAGCGGGAAGGAGGAAGAAACTTTTCTATGCATGGCCTTCCAAGCCTGTGAATGGTCGAAGGCAGTGGGAATCCCCTGAAGAGCTCCATATGGAGTTTAGGAGTTGGATAAAAATACTAAGATGTGCATTTTGAAAACTCGCTGGAGCTGACGTGTAGAATGAATAGGAATGTATGTAGTGGTGGCGATCAAGAAAAATGAGATTTGAGACAGTGCTGGATTATGACTTTTAGATTTCCAAAACTCATTTTACTTTTAAAATTTTAATTAAATAGATTTTTAACTAAAATTAAGGTTTTAATTTTTAACTTTTTAATGTTATCATTGCCACCATATTCATAAATAACATTTATATCCCACGATTTCTTGAATTATTAATTCCTGGTATTGACTTGCTGCTACGGTTTCTGAACATTTTGTATCTTCTATTTTATTTTTCACTATTTTCCCATTTTAATAATATTATAATTTTGGTGTCCAGTGATTGCATTGTTACTTGAATATGATGAGGTAAACATTCTCTTATGATTCACGTAATGAATTATGATTATCGTTTTCATTTCATGGAATTTTTTGCTTTCTATGATAAGTAACTATTTTTGTTTTTCATTTCCTTAGATTTCTATAGACCTACTTTTATAATTTGACAAATGTTTCCATGCATATCTTTAGTTTTCTTCCAAATTCTCAAATACATCAAATGATGCAGTAGTTCAATTTCCCCTCCCTCCATCAAGGACCTTCCCTGTGTTAGACCTCCATTTCCTCATCCCACTTGTACTGGTTGCCCTCTAGGACAGCTGCTTATATGTTGAGGTGGGGTCTTCCTATTACTCCATGGAATTCCTTTCTCTTCTCTCCTCTGGGAAATCTCATGACATTCTGACTTCTCCATATCATATACACTATTTTTTCCCCTCTTTGGAAGCTTTTAGTATCTCATCTGATTGCTATTTTGAAACTCTATGATTATGAGACTATCTGTTTTAAAAGTGTTATTATATATTGTTCTGAGTAAATTGCAGATGCTTTCAATGTATAGGTTCAAATTTCCCTAATATCATTTTTTAATAACTCTCCCTTCTGCTCCCTCTGATCTCTACATTTAGACTGCTATTAGGTGAATGTTCCTCAGGAGCTCAACATTAAACCTCCATTTTATTTATCTAAGTCTTTCATTGTCTTATCTTTTCACTTCCATTTTCTATATATCTTAATTTCTGTTCTTTTGTGAGAGTTCCTGATTTTTAAAATCTTATCCTTGATACTAATTTGATTACTGTGTTGTTGATTTCAAGGATCTTTTTCATTTTCTCTGATTTCCTTTGATTTATACATCCTTCTATTTTATTGGATACAATATCTTGTTATGTCTTTGTATCTCAGAGAAAATAAGTTAGAGAGTTTTAATTTAAATAGTAACTGTTTTCTCTGTGTCCCATCCCCCACTTCACTTTTGATTATGTTTGATGCTATATCTCATACAAAAAGCTTTCCTAAATTATCTTCTAATCTGCTGACATTCATTCCTATTTGCAGAGTGAGTTACTGGTTTCATACCTGTAATGGCAGCCTGTGTGATTTGGATTAACCCTTATATTAAGAACAGCTATAAAAAGGGATATTTCAAACTAATAGAAGTTTAAATTGCAAGGAATTAGAACAATTCTTAATTTATATTAACATAATCACACTACCTAATATATTAAAAAATTAAAATAATTAGAAGAACAATAGACTAGTCAAAAATCTTAGTAAAAAGAATTTATCACCTCTCTAAGTAACAATAGAAAAGGCAGAGAAAAAATCAGGAATATTGATTTTGGAAGAATATAGATTTTTACCAAGTATACAGAAGAGGATTTCAATAGCATGATTAAAATTGGTTATATATATCATTTAAATAGCATCATTAAATTATATATGTGTATGTGTGTGTATATGTATATATATGATATATGTGATATAGATATATATATCCTGACAGCTATAAAATACATTCTTTTCAAGTACACAAGGTATATTTACAGAAATTAACAACATACTGGGCTATAAATATAGTCTCAACAAAATTGAAATTATATAGACTGTATAAGCTCATAATAATGAAATTAAGCTAGAAATTAATATAAGAAAATGACTGGAAAAAATCCCCATTATTAAGAAAATGAAAAAATAAAAATAGTTTTAACTGAATAATAATAAATTCAATACCAAATGGAAAATTTATCTGAAGTCCTGATTAAATAAATGTGCACAGCCTTAAATTTATAAGATAAAAAAGAAGAAAGACTAAAACAAATGATATAAACATCCAAGACATCAGCAAAAGAACAAATCAAACCTAAAGAAAATAAGAAAAAAGGAAGAGAAGATTACATAAATAGAAACAAATATACGATAGAGTGTCAATAAACCCCAAAGTTAGTTTTTGTTTTATTTTACAGATAAACAAAATTAATAAACCCCTCCAAGACTAATGAAGAAAAAATTGAAAGGAGATGAAAAAAAGCTAATGTCAGGAATGACAAAGGGACATCACTCCCTAATTAAAAGGTATCATAAACAACTTTATAAAAATAAAATAAAACATTAGGTAACGTGGACAGATGTCTGCTTCTGGCCAAAGGGCCAGCATTTACTCTTTCACCTTAAACAACTGGGAAACCAGACAAAATCAATGACATGACAGTTTGCAGACATTAGAAAACAGATCATGCCAGATCATGATTCCTGAGAAAAGGAAAAACAAATTGAGGCCCATAACAAATTGAGCCCCTACAAGCAGTTACCAGGTTGAAGTACAAGGTGAGGGAATTCAAATGGCCACTGAATTGATATGGCAGAGATTGAATTTGAGGACCTCAAAGTGGCTAGAATTTGTGTGGCTGAGTACAGTGAGTAGGAATCTGCACACATAGCGATATCCAGAGAGATGCAGAGGCATTCTCTCAAGTCTTTGGCTGAGTACTGACTGGCACGTTTGTGAGAGGAGACAATATGAATAGGGGAAAGATCTGACAGAAAGGAGGAGGGAGAATCATTTCTAGAGTTCATAATGGATTAGGAATTGTTCATGTTCCCACTGCCCTGAGTGCAAAGAACAAATGGGATGCCAGAAAGGAATCTGGTATTATTTAAATAAATATAATCTAAAACTAAAAGGTAAAATTGACAGTATTTGGGATCCGATTAAAAATTACCAGGCATGCCAAGAAACTGGAAAACATGACTCATAACCAAGAGAAGAAACAACCAATAGAACACACCCAGAAATTACTGATAGTGGGATTAGCAGAAAAGAACAGTAATACAGATATAAATATGTCCATGTGTTCAAGAGGTATAAGAAAATATGAACACATTGTGGTGAGAAAGAGAATATTTAAGAAAGACTGAAATTAAGCATCTAGAGTTGAAAAAATATAACACAAATTAAAAATATGCTGGGTGAAATAAAAGCATATCAGACATTAAAGAAGAAAATGTCTGTAAGTATTAAGACATGCTAATAGAAAATAACCAAGATGAAATACAGAGGTAAAAAAGATATAAAAAAAAATCAACAGAGCATCAGTGACCTCTGGAATAATATCAAGTGATATGACATACATGTAATTAAAGTCCTAAGATGGGGGGGGAGTATGATAGAAGAAATATTTGAAAAAATAATGGCCTCAAATTTTCTAAATTTAAGGAAAACTATAAATGTACATAATTGTATTTCTATTGCTGCTGTAACAAATTACCACAAATCCGTGGTTTAAGACAACAAAAATCTATGTCTTACAATTCCAGAGGTCAGAAGTCCACTAAAGGTCTCACTGGGTTAAAATTGAGGCACAGGCTTACTGTGTTTCTTTCTGAAAACTCCAGAGAAGAATTAATTTTCTTGTCTTTTCTAGATGCCAGAAGCTTCCTGCATTGCAGTGGCTGGCTGAGTCTTTCTCACGTGGCATCACTCTGACACTTACTCTCTTGTTTCCTTCTTTAACTTACAAGGACCCTTGTGATTACATCAGGCCCACTTGAATAATCCAGAGTAGTCTCCTCATCTCAAGGTCATCTGATTAGCAGGTTAAATTCTATCTGCCTCCTTAATTTCTCTCTGCTGTTATATAACATATTCACATGTCCTGTGGATGAAAATGGACATATTGGGGGAACACTATTCTGCCTACAAACTACATATCCAAGAAGTTGGATGAACCCATCTAAGAGTAAACATAAAGACAACCATATCAATGCACATTATAAAACAATTATTGAAAATCAGTGGTGAAAAAATATTAAAAGCAGCTAGAGAAGAAAAGACACCTTAATGTTGAGAAAAACAAAAATGTACATAAGAGCACACTTTTTAACAGAAACTCTGCCAACCAGAAGATTATGGAAAGACTTTATATCTAAAGATATAGAAAGGTTAAAAATAAAAGAATAGAAGAAGGTGTACCCTGCAAACTCTAATCACAAAAGCTAGAGTGGCTACGTTAATATCAGACAAAATGTACTTCAGAACAAAGAATATTACCAGGGGTAACAGGAGACACTTCATAAAGTTAAAGGGTTATCAATTCATCAAAAAAGGACTAAAGTTTTAAATGTGTATTAGCATAAAAACAGACTTTTAAAATACATGAAGCAAAAACTGATCAAACTGAAAGGACAAGCAATAAATACACAAGTATAGTTGGAGATTTCAACACTTTCAATAATTAATAGAATAACTAAATGAAAAAATCAATAAAGATATAAAATAACTAAACAGCACTATTACCCAATTTGACCTAATTGACATTTATAGACCACTTCATCAACTACAGCAAAATACACATTCATTTTAATTACGTTGAGAACGTTTGGTAAGGGAGACCATGCGTTAGCCAATAAAACAAGTCTTAGTAATTTTAAGAGGGTTGAAATTACAGGAGGGTTGGATTTTAAAAAGGTTGGTGGTTTTTAAGACTATGCCAAAATTGTGGTAGAAATAGCAGAACAATATGTGGAAAATATCAATATTTAGAATTTAAGCAATAACTCCCTAATAACCCAGAGGTCAAAGAAAAAAACACAAGGGAAATTAGAAAATAGTTTGGACTCAGTGAAAGTATAAACATATCATACCAAAATTTCTGGCATATGAAGCAGTGCCAAAGGGAATGTTATCAAATTATATTCTTAGAAAAGTGGAAAGTTCTCAAATTAATAACTTAGCATTCACATTAAGAAAGTAGAAAAAGAAGAGTAATTTAAATGGATGAAATGGGCAAATTATGTAAAAATACTTAATTTTAACTCTTACCATATATAAACATACACATACATATAGGTGTGTGTATATATACACATATATGTGAGTGTGTGTGTGTGTATATATATGTGTGTGTAGAGATATATATATATATATTTTACCAAAACTGACAGAAGAAGAAATAATGAATCTTAATAGTCCTATCACACTTAGAGACATTAACCTTGTAATTTCAAACCTCTTCACAAAAAAATACCAGGCAAAGATGGCTTCACAAGTGAATTCTGCCGTGTAGTTTTACAATCTCTTCTGGAGAAGAGGAAAACCATGAATATCCCCTAACTCATTCTACAATCCAGGTTTAATCTTGATTTGAAAACTTGACAAGGACATTCAATAAATAAATAATACAGCCTAATATCACTTATAAGTATGGATGCAAAATAGCAAACACAATTATCAAAATATACCTAGCAATAGGTATACTGAGTGGTACAGCACCACCAAATTGCATTTATCCAGGAATGAAAAGTTGTCTTAGTATTTAAAATTCAGTCTATATAATTAATCACATGAGGAGAAGCTTTTATCTGAATAGATGCAGAAAAATAATTTCAAAAAATTTAATGTCTATTCATGCTTAAAGTACATTTGGAAAACTAAGAATAGATGAATGTAGGAAATAATATACAACTAACTTCATAAGAGCAAAAACATTGGCATCTTTTCAACTGAGATCATGAAGATACATAAAGTAGTCAACTTTCACAACTTCTATTCAACATTTTAACAATGGTAGCCTGTGCAGTGAGGTAAGAGAAAAAAAATAAAAGGACAGTAGTCTTCTTTTATTGTGTTTTCACTTTCCACAGTTTCACTTGCTCACAGTCAACTGTAGTCCCAAAATACTAAAAGGAAAATTCCAGAAATAAATGATCAATACATTTTAAATTGTGCACCATTCTTAGTAGGGTGATAAAATCTCACGTTGTCCTTCTCTGTTCAGCCATGAATCTGAATCATTTATTTGTCCTGAGTATCCATGCTGTGTATACCACCTGTCTGTTAGTCATCAAGATCATATGCCGCTGATATCCAACCATCAATATCATCATGGCTTAATGATCCAGGATCACCTGAATCAGATAATCCTCTTTTTAACATAACATCAGAAGGTCAATAATAGTGTAACACTGTATCACATGCCTATGTCATTCACCTTACTTTATCTCATCACAGAGGCATTTTGCCATCTCACATCATCACAAGAAAAGTGACTATGGTACAAATAAGATATTTTGAGGAGGGGAGAGAAAGAGAGACTACAGTCACATAACTTTTATTACAGTGTATTGTTCTAATTGTTCTACTTTTATTATTAGTTATTGTTAATCTCATACTGTGCCTAATTTATAAATAAAACTTTATCATAGGTATGTATGTATGTATAGGGGAAACGTAGTATATATAGGGTTTAGTATTAACTGCAGTTTCTGGTACCCATTTGGGACCTTGAAACGTATGCCCCACAGATAAGCAGGAACTACTGCATTAAGGATTTTGAAGGAAAAAATAAAATGGTCATTATTTGCTTATGATATGATTGTATATGTAGAAAATCTGAAAGAGTTACAGATAAATTATTAGCATCAATGAATTAGCCTAGCAAGTTTTCTGGACACAGATTCAATATCCAAAAATTAACAATATTTCTCTACACAAGGAATAAACAATTCCAAAATGAAACACAAAAAGATGGCATTTATAAAACAACAAATATTCAATTCATAAAAATAATTCTAAGAGAAAAGATACACAATGTTTATAGAAAAATCTATAAAATATTATCGAGAGAAATTAAGGAAGACCTAAACAAATAAAGTCATATGTAATTTTTATGCATGAGAAGGCTATGTTGAAGCAATTGTAATTATTTACCATACTGATCTATAAATGCCAGGCAATCTCAAATGATATTCCACTTATTATCTATTTAACAGAAAATACATTAATTTTAACATTTATTTGGAAATGCAAATGGTCAAAAATAGTCAAGGCATTCTTAATAAGAGTAAAACAAGATAGAAGAATTTATTCTACTAGTTATCAAAATTTTTTTGAATCTATAGCAACTAAAACAATTTGATATTCTCTGAAGAATATAAAACAGACTAGTGGACATAATTTTCAAGATCTAGAAACAGACTTGCACAATATGAAACTCTTGATTTATAAAAAGCTAGTTCTTCTGAGCAATGGTGAAAGGAAAGTCTTTTCAAAAATGGTCTAGGGTCAATTGGACATCCACATTTTATAAAGAGAAACTTGGCCCTTTCTTTGTAGCATACATAAAAATTATATTCAGGTGGATTGTAGATATAAGAATGATAAAATAATAAAGCTACAAGGGTGATTTATTAATCTTATGAGTCCCAGAATAGGATTCCATATCAATATAATTTCTTTTTTTATAATGCTGTGTATTTTATTTTATTCACTTAAATATTCTGAAAAGTGCTCATACTCTTCCTCAGATTCTCAATAGGATCTGTTGAAAAAAAATTTTCAGGAATTTCTATAAGTCAATACAAGAATATAGTCAAGCTATTGGAGGTGGGGGACACTTTCTTAAATAGAACTCAAAAAGCAGAAACCATTAAATACAAACTAATTAACGGACTGTATTAAAATAAGGAACTCTTTTTTTTATCAAAAGGCACCATCAGGAGAGTGAAAATGCAAGCTGCAGATTGGCATACATAATTATAAGAAATTGCTATTTAGGATATATAAACATATTCATTTAAATTAATAAGAAAAATGACATACCAATAGAAAATTGGGCAATAATTTGACCAGACATTGTACATAAGATCCAAATTCATTAACTGTCAAGGAAATACATGTTAAAACAAAAATGAGGTACTAGTACAAACCCTCAAATATTATTGATGGTAGTGTGAATTATTACAAGTGGCTTTCAAAACTAGTATTGTCTATAAAGTTCCACATACGCATACCTTACAACTAGCACAGGCTCACCAATAGATGTGTATAATAATGTTCATAATAACAATACTTGAATCATGAGGCAAAATGGCCAATTATAAGCAGCTGCAGTCCATGGCTCTCACAGAGAGGAAGGAAAAGGGGAAAGTGAATTCAGCACCTTAAAGTGAAATATCCAGGTTCTCACATTGGGAATGATTAGGCAAACAGCTTGACCCATGGAAACAAAGAAAAGCAGGGTGGTGGGGTGATGGCCCACTCGGGAGCAGTACAGAACCAAAGGAACTCCCACCCCTAGCCAAGGGAAGTGGTGAGTGATTGTGTGACCTCACCCAGGAAACCATGCTTCTCCCACAGATCCTTGCAGCCTGCAGATCAGAAGATCCCCTTGTGAGCTCATGCCATGAGGGCCTTAGGTTCAATGTAACCCAATAACTGTGTAGAGCTGTGTGGAGGCTCAGCAGAGCAGCTGCTTGGGCACACACGGAGACACAGGAGTTTTACATATTCTGGCCCCAGGATCCCTGGCAAGGCAAAAAATCCATCTGTACATATCCCGAGGAAGGGAGCTGAATCCAGGGAGCCAAGCAGCATCATTCTGCGGGCCCCACTTCCATGGCCCCTCACAAGTTAAGACCCACTGGCTTGTGATCCCAGGCAGCCAATGGCAGCAGGTTGGAATCTGCCTGAGATAGGACCGAGATCCCAGAGGGAGAGGTGGCCACCATCTCTGTGGTTCACTAGACTCAGCCATTCCAGCCTACTAGTTGTGGAGAATACAGATTGTTCAGACAAGGAATGTCATCCCTGATAATACACCACAGCTGCCTTGCCAGATCATGGCCAGACTGCTTATTTAAGCAGGACACTGACACTTTTCCTCCTCACTGGGTGGGACCTTGGTTTTACAGATAGAGCTCTGATCTTTCCCTGGGACAGAGCTACCATAAGGAGGAGCAGCTGCCATCTCTGCAGTTACATAGACTCAGCCATTCCAGCCTACTGGCTGTGGAGAATACAGGTGGTCCAGATGAGGAAGTGTCCCCTTTGTGCAGCATACCTGCTCTAGCAAGAAGCAGCCAGACTGATTCTTTGGGTGGGTCTCTGATCCTGTTCCTCTTGACTGGGTGAGACCTTCCAGTGGGGGTCCCCAACCACCTCCTACAGGTGCATGCAGGCTGGCAACAGGTCAGTGCCCTCCTGGGATGGAGCTTCCAGAGGAAGAGACTAGCTGGCATATTTGCTGTTTCCCGACCTTCACTGGTGATACCTCCAGGTACATGAGAAGCTGAGGCACTGGGGTATGGAACAGACCCCAGAAAACCGCAGCAACCCTATGGTAAAGTGACCTGTTAAAAGAAAAACAAACAAACAGAAAACAACAACAACAGCAAAAGACCCCACAAAAACCCCATTCAGAGGTACCTCAAAGATCAAAGGTAGATAAGCCCACAAAGATGAGAAAGAATCAATACAAAAATGCTGAAAACTCAAGCAGCCAGATGGCCTCTTCTTTTCCTAATGACTGCATCTCCTCCAGCAAGGGCACAGAATTGGGCTGAGGTTGAGATGGCTGAATTGACAGAAGTAGGTTTCAGAAGGTGGGTAATAACAAAGTTCACTGAGCTAAAGGAAAATGTTGTAACCCAATGCAAAGAAACTAAGAGTCACTGTAGAACAATACAGGAGCTGATAGCCAGAATAGCCAGGTTAGAGGGGAACATAACAGACCTGATGGAGCTGAAAGACACAACAGGAGAACTTCACAATGCAATCACAAGTATCAATAGCAGAAAAGACAAAGCAGAGGAAAGAATCTCAGAGCTGGAAGACTATCTGTCTGAAATCAGACTGGTACACAAGAATAGAGAGAAATGTAATGAATAAAACCTCCAAGAAATATGGGATTATGTAAAAAGACTGAATCTATGGATGATTGGGTTAACTGAAAAAGATGGGGAGAAAGGAACTGAGTTGGAAAACATACTTCAGGATATAATCCAGGAGAACTCTCCAACCTAGCAATGCAGGCCAACATTCAAATTCAGGAAATCCAGAGAACCCCAGTAACATATTCCATGAGAAGATCAACCTCAAGACACATAATCTTCAGATTTTCAAAGGTTGAAATGAAAGAAAAAATGTTAAGGGCAGCCAGAGAGAAAGACCAGGTCACCTACAAAGGGAAACCCATCAAACTAACGTGGACATCTCAGTGGAAACCCTACAAGCCAGAAAAGATTGGGGGCCAATATTCAACATCCTTAAAGAAAAGAATTTCCAACCCAGAATTTCATATCTGGCCAAACTAAACTTCATAAGTGGAGAAGTAAGATTCTTTTAAGACAAGCAAATGCTGAGGGACTTTATCACCACCAGGCCTGCCTTGTAAGAGCTCCTGAAGGAAGCACTAAATATGGAAAGGAAACACCATTACCAGCCACTACAAAAACAAACTGAGGCACACAGACCAGTGACATTATGAAGCAACCACATAAACAAGTCTGAAAAATAACCAGCTACCATCATAATGACAGGATCAAATTCACACATAACAATACTAACCTTAAACGTAAATGGGCTAAATGCCCCAGTTAAAAGACACATAATGGCAAATTGGATAAAGAGCCAAGACCCACACGTATGCTGTCTTCAAGAGACCCATCTCATGAGCAAAGACACACATAGGCTCAAAATAAAGGAATGGAGGAGAATTTACCAAGCAAATGGAAAACAGAAAAAAAGTGGAGGTTGCAATCCAGCTTTCTGACTTTAAACCAACAAAGATCAAAAAAGACAAAGAGGACATTACACAATGAGAAAGGGTTCAGTTCAACAAGAAGACTTAACTATCCTCTATATATAAGTGCCTATTACAGAAGCATCCAGATTCGTAAAGCAAGTTCGTAAAGACCTACAGAGAGACTTAGACCTCCACATAATAATAGTCAGAGATTTTAACACCACACTGACAATATTAGACAGATCATTGAGACAGAAAATTAACAAAGATATTCAGGACATAAACTGAGCTCTGGATAAGTGGACCCAATAGATATCTACAGAACTCTCTACTCAAAAACAACAGAATATACATTCTTCTCATCACCACACAATACTTACTCTAAAATTGATCACATAATTGGAAGTAAAACACTCCTCAGCAAATGCAAAAGAATTGAAATCATAACAGCCTCTCAGACCACAGCACAGTGAAATTAGAACTCAAGGTTAAGAAATTTACTCAAAACCACACAACTATATGGAAATTGAACAACCAGCTCTTGAATGACTCCTGGGTAAATAATGAAATTAAGGCAGAAATCAAGAAGTTATTTGAAACTAAAGAAAACAAAAAGACACCATACTAGAATCTCTGGAATGCAGCTAAGGAAGTGTTAAGAGGGAAACTTATAGCAGTAAATACCCACATCAAAAAGCTAGAAAGATCTCAAGTTAACAAACTAACATCTTAACTAAAAAAAACAGAGAACTAAGAGCAAACAAACCCCAAAGCTAGCAGAAGAAAAGAAATAAGCAAAATCAGAGCCAAACTGAAGGAGACAGAGAGACTAAAAACCTTTCAAAACATCAATGAATCCAGGAGGTGGTGTTTTGAAAAAAAAATAGATAGATGCTAGCTTTACTAATAAAGAAGAAAAGAGAGAAGATCAAATAGACACAGTAAAAAATGTTAAAGGGAATATCACCACTGACCCCACAGAAATACAATCATCAGACAATACCATAAACACTTCTATGCACATAAACTAGAAAACCTAGGAGAAATGGATAAATTCTTGGACACATACACCCTCCCAAGACTGAATCAGGAAGAAACTGAATTCCTGAATAGACCAATAACAAGATCTGAAGTTGAAGCAGTAATAGATAGCCTACCAACCAGAAAAAGCCAAGGACCAGAAAGATTCACAGCTAAACTCTACCAGAGGTACAGAGAAGAGTTGGTACCATTTCTATTGAAACTATTCCAAAAAATTGAAAAGGACGAACTCTTCCTTAAGTCATTCTATGAGGCCAGCATCATCCTGATACCAAAGATACAACAACAAAAACATTAGGCCAATGTCCTTGATGAACATCAGTGCAGAAATCCTCATTATAACACTGGCAAACTGAATCCAGTAGCACATCAAAAAGCTTATCCACCATGATTAAGTTGGCTTCATCCCTGGTATTCAAGGTTGGTTCAACATATGCAAATCAATAACTATGATTCATCACATAAACAGTACTAAAGACAAAAACCACATGATTATTACAATAGATACAGAAAAGACCTTCAATAAATTTCAACATACCTTCATGTTAAAAACTCAATAAACTAAGTATTAAAGGAAAATATCTCAAAATAATAAGAGCCATCTATGACAAATCCACAGCCAATATCATATTGAATGTGCAAAAGCTGGAAGCATTCCCCTTGAAAACCAGCACAAGACAAGAACGCCCTCTCTCATCACTCTTATTAAACATAGTATTTAAAGTTCTGGTCATGACAATCAGGCAAAATAATGAAATAAAGGTATACAAATACAAAGAGAGGAAGTCAAATTATCTGTTGCAGATGACATGATCCTGTATTTAGATAACCCCATCATCTCAGCCCAAAAGCTTCTTAAACTGATAAGCAACTTCAGCAAAGTCTCAGGATATAAAATCAATGTGCAAAAATCACAAGCATTCCTATACACCAACAATTGACAAGCAGGTAGCCAAATCATTAATGAACTGCTGTTTAGAATTGTTACCAAAAGAATAAAATAACTAGGAATACAGCTAACAAAGGAAGTGAAGTACCTCTTTAATGATAACTACAAACCAGTGCTCAAAGAAATCAGAGAGGACACAAACAAATAAAAAACACTTCATGCTCATGGATAGGAAGAATCCAAATTGCGAAAATGGCCATACTGCCCAAAGTAATTTATAGATTAAATGCTATTCCCATTAAATTACAATTTACATTCTTCACAGAAATAGAAAACACTACTTTAAAATTCACATGGAACCAAAAAGGAGCCCATATAGCCAAGACAATCCTAAGCAAATAGAACAAAGCTGGAGACATCACACTACCTGACTTCAAACTATACTACAATGCTGCAGTAACCAAAACAGCATGGTACTGGTACAAAAATAGACACATAGACCAATGCAATGGAATAGAGAACTCTTCTAAGACTGCACACAGGCAACCATCTGATCTCTGAAAAATCCAACAAAAACAAGCAATGAGGAAATGACTCCCTATTTAATAAATGGTGCTGGGAGTTCTGGCTAGCCATATGCAGAAAATTGAAAGTGGACCCTTTCTTATACCATATACAAAAATTATCTCAAGATGGATTAAATACTTAAATGCAAAACCCCAAACTATAAAAACCCTAGAAGGAAATCTAGGCAATACCATTCAGGACATAGGCATGGGCAAAGATTCCATGATGAAAATGCCAAAAGCAATTACAACAAAAGCCAAAATTGACAAATGGGATCTAATTAAACTAAAAAGCCCCTGCACAGCAAAAGAAACTATCATCAGAGTGAACATACAACCTACAGAATGGGAGAAAACTTTTTCAATCTATCCACCTGACAAGGGTCTAATATACAGAGTCTTCAAGGAACTTAAACACATTTACAAGAAAAAGACAACCACTTTAAAAAGTGGGCAAAGGATATGAAAGACCCTTCGCAAAAGACATACATGCAGCCAAGAAATGTACAATAAAAAGCTCAACATCACTAATCAACAGAGAAATGCAAATCAAAACCACAGTGAGATACCATTTCATGCGGGTTAGAATGGCAATTATTAAAAAGTCCAAAAACAGGAGGGGTGCAGTGGCTCACGCCTGTAATCCCAGCAATTTGGGAAGCCGAGGCGGGTGGGTCACTTGAGTTCAGGAGTTTAAGACCAGCCTGACCAAAATGGTAAAACTCCGTCTGTATTAAAAATACAAATAAATTACCTGGGCATGATGGTGCACGCCTGTAGTACCAGCTACTGGGGAGACTGAGACAGGAGAATTGCTTGAACTCTGGAGGTGGAGGTTGCAGTGAGCTGATATCATGCCACTGCACTCCAGCCTGGGAGACAGAGAGAGACTCCATCTCAAAAAAACAAAACAAAACCAAACCAAAAACAACAGATGCTGGCAAGGTTGAGGAGAAAAAGGAACATTTTTATGCTGTTAGTGGGAGTGTAAATTAGTTCAACCATTGTGAAAGAGAGTGTGGTGATTCCTCAAAGATCTAGAGGCAGAAATACCATTTGACCCAGCAATCCCATTCCTGCTTATATACTCAAAGGAATATAAATCATTCTATTATAAAGATAGATGCACACCTAAGTTCATCGCAGCACTATTCACAATAGCAAAAACAGGTAATCAACCTAAATGTCCATCAGTGATAGACTGGATAAAGAAAATGTGGTACACATGCACCATAGAATACAATGCAGCCATAAAAAGGAATGAGATGATGTCCCTTACAGGGACATAGATACAGTTGGAAGCCATTATCCTCAGAAAACTAATGCAAGAACAGTAAACCAAACACCACATGCTCTCACTTATAAGTGGGAGCTGAATGAAGAGAATCCATGGGCACATGGCAGGGAACAACACACATTGGGCACCTGTAGGGGCTGAGGGAAGGGAGTGCATCAGAAAGAATAGCTAATGGATGCTGGGCTTAATCCCAGGTGATGGGATGATCTGTGCAGCAAACCACCATGGCGCATGTTTACCTATTTAACAACCTGCACGCCCTGTGCATGTACCCATAAACTAAAAATAAAAGTTGAAAAAAATTTAAAAAGGGAGAAGTCAACCAAGAGGGCTGCAGAACATGGGGTCATTTTATTTTTATATATAATATGCATATTATTGTATATAATTTATGGTCCTAGTTTTCACATGGGGAAGGATCATGAAAAATGTGCTGTCTTCATTTTCAACCCAACAGTTTTTAGGCTTGAATGTTTCCTAGTCAAGTGTTTATGTTTGTTCTTGTATGTACTATCGAACAGGGTATCAAATGCTTTGTAGCTGTTTGTGCTGAAAAAAAAAATACTCATCCCCAAATCCAAACATCTATCAATTATCAAATGGATAAAGTGAATTAAATTTAAATGTGAATGAAGGAACTGCTATATACAGCAGGATGAATCTCACAAATACATTGAGGGAAACAAGCCAGACACAAAGTAATACATAATATATAATCCCACTTACACAAATTTTAAAATAGATAAAGCTAAAGCTAAACTACAATTTTTATAGTTAGGATAATGGTTACCTTTAAGGAGGTGGGAGTGGCTAAGGAGGGGGTACCAGCAGCACTTCTGGGATCCTGGCAATGATTCATTTCTTAATTTGGTGGTAGTTACATTGGTTTCCTCACTTTGCCATAATTCAGTGAGCCACACACTTGAGTTTGTGTACTTCTTATATGTGCATCATAATTTAATTAAAATGTCTTAAAAAGTGCTAAGAAGCTGACTGGAAACTTTGTGTATAAAAATAGAGCTTGTCAATCAGTAAGCTTTACTGCAGGTGAGTATTCAGTGTGTAGCTGTTTAAATGGGGAAACCCAAGATGTCAGCAATTCAAAGAACCTGTTTTAGGAGGAAATTAATGAGAATAAATTTACAATAGAACCATTTCCAAAAGCCACAGGTACATTAGACAGGAGTGATGGGTTCTACAATTGGCATGATATGGGAGAGTGGAGGCTTAGTAAATATAAACATTCACCTTGCTCCATGGTGAGTGAAGGGGTCAGGATTTATAAAAGAGATCCAAAAGGAAGGTAGAAAATATAGCACTATACCTCAGAACTGCCCTGAATTCTGGGGAGATGTGAGAAATACATTAAAAAAGTCTCAATTTAAAATACTCATGGATTACTTTTTTAAAAAACATACAATTTCTGTGAAAGGCGTATCAATGTGGCCCTCATCTGCTCCTAATTGAGTATTCATAACATTGAAAATTTTAAACAAATAGAAAAGATGTATTCTAAAACTTGCTTTTACCTAAAAATATATATATATTTTATGTTTTTCCTACATAAATACGTGCCTCAGTGATTTGGGGTGGTACATAATTTTCATTTTCATTTTTTTTTCTTTCTGAGATGGAGTCTTGCTCTGTTGCCCAGGCTGGAGTGCAGTGGTGTGATCTCGGCTCACTGCAACTTCTGCTTCCCAGGTCCAAGCAATTCTCCTGCCTCAGCCTCCTGAGAAACTGGGATTAGAGGCACACGCCACCACACACAGCTAATTTTTGAATTCTTAGTAGAGACGGGGTTTCACCATGTAGGCCAGGCTGGTCTCGAACTCCTGAACTCGTGATCCGCCCACCTCAGCCTCCCAAAGTGCTGGGATTACAGGCATGGGCCAGTGCGCCCAGCCCAGGTATATAATTTTCCATTGCATCAGAGTATTTTAATTATTTTAAATAATTTATTAACAGATATTTAATTCATTTATTTATGTACTTATTTCTTCATTCATGTAAAAACACTTCCTCAATTTAAGAATAGATCTGAGTGACTGGAAAATAGTTTAAATAACCACTGTTATTTTACACATGTACACAGCTATTGTGGATAAGCCAGCAGTGTTAACAATCAGGAATGTTAATAATGTGAAGCCAAGCAATGACTTAGAATTAAGAAAAATATTATATTTCAAATCAGAGACTCACTCTGTGGGTGACACTCTTGTGGGAATGGTCTACAGTGATAAAACTTCCCCTTGTGGTATGACAGGAGTGTGGGAAGTAGAAGCCCATGGTAGTAAGAGAAGTGTAGCCTTTCCAATCTTCACCTTTTTACGCATACTTGAGAATTCTAAGCAGCAGTTCTACAAGGGGTTGACTGCTCCCACTCAAAGAAAAAAAAAAAAAGAAAGAAAAAAAAAGCACAAAATAAAGAAAAACCACCCACCCAAATTAAGATCTACCATATGATCAGTAGTGCTACAAATTACTTTGTGCTCTCTTTTTCATCTATTTTGACCCCTGGAAATAATTGCCTTCCTTGATTTTACATTTATTACTCCCTTGTCTTTAAAATATTTTTATCATGTTTTTTAAACAATGTATCATTTATACTATCTTGCTTTTGAAATTTATAAAATTGATAAGAAATGATATATTGTATGAAGTTTTCTGTGGCTTAGTTTTTAAATACAATTTGTTTTTTTCTGAGATTCACCTGTGTTACATGTCGCTATAGTTTATTATACAAAAGTACATTGTGTACAGATGTCATAATTTATTTATGCTTTCTCCTGTTGATGAATGTTTGTGTTGTTTCTATTTTCCATTTTTCATTTAATAAACACTAATGCTATGAACATATATATATATATGTATTTTGATGAACGTGTGAAAGAGTTTCTCTTGCTGTATTCCTAGGGATTTGGGATGGGTGGCCAGCTGTGAAATGAACAAATGGTCACTCTGCAAGCAGGAAGGAGTCTCAGAAAATACAAAGATAGAACTATTTGGTGAAAATTTCAAGGTCAGAGGGAATATTTTCCACTTTCTCAGAGGTATTAGAGTCTGGCAATGTAAATATACTTAATGTTGCTGAACTATACACCAAAAAACTGGGTTAAATGGTAAATTTTATTTATATTTTAGCACAATAAAAATGAGTTACATAACACTAAAATAACTCTAACTTATAACCATATTTATACAATCAGCAGTAATTTCAATTTTTGTTGTTCTTCCCCACTGTTCAAATGTAGTTAAGTATGTAAGTAAAATTTGTAAAAAAGTATAACCAAATATATGTGAGTATGTGTGCATGCACGTGTGTGTGTGTGTGTATATATATATATATATACATATATATTCTCAATACATGCCAGAGTTCCTTATAAGAAACTATGAATAGGATAGACAATAACATTTCTAGTTATATTTGTATTTTGTATGAACTTCTTTGCACATACATATAACCTAATTCAAAAACACAACCTGAAGATCAATTCAGTGAAAAATAGTCGTCAAACTTACTCTAACTTATTACTTATTGATTAGCCAGACATCCTAAGATGATAGTGCCATGGGTAAAAAGAATTATGTTTCTCTATGTCAGATAATACAACTTTAATCAAAGAACATAAAGCCCACTGCTTCCTTTATAAGCATATTATTGCAGGGTTTAATATTGCAAAGACCAGAAATTATTTTCCTTATGTCTGTGTTAAGCAGTTTTGTTTTGAATTAGGCATCTTTATTACTAAGCATTAATTTTTACTAAGTAGAATATAATTTGGGGCTGCTTTTGTCAATAGTTCACTGCCCTCTCCATCTCATTAGATAATTTCTTTGCCATGAGTTGTGTTTGTAACACTACCCAGTCAGCCTCATCAATGAGTTTCATTAAGAACTTGTTTACTTCTCTTTCCAAATCATTAATAATGTTGTTAAATAAAATCAAACTGAACAAAGAACTTCTTGGCAGCCTATGCAACACCAAACCTGAACTGAAAATAGAACCATTTTTTATTCTCTGCTTATAGACTTTCATCCTTTATTCAATCCATTTGATGGTACTTTTATGTAGGGCAATTAGAATTAATTTTGTTAGTTGCATTTCATGATTTTGTGAGCTCCCATCTCATTTAATATAGTAATTTTCCCAGAGTAGGGCTCTGGGAAGTAGCAGTGCAGGAACAGAGGAAATGTTCCATTTTAGAAGGGCAACATATTTCAATGCAAACTAAATTCATGATAGACTGGGTACACCTTGAAGACACCTTGAAGGAGTAGAGAATACACATGATGTCCTCAGACCAAATGTTATGGTGAATAATTTGATGGAAAAATAAGAGCATTGTAGAGGTAGACCTAGGGAGAAGGACAACAGTTGAGGAAGATTATCATTATTGTAAGCAGATATTTTTAGATAGAAAATTATTGGCTCTAGGTTAGGGATGACCCATAGAACTTTTGTGATTATGGAAAAAATCTGTAATCTGCACTGTTCAATACAGAAGACACTGGCTTGCTTATGATTCTCAAGCATTTGTCCTGGGACAATTACAACTAAAGACGTAAATTTTTATTTATTAAACTTTAATTCATCTAAACGTATATAGTGGCTGCACACAGTGGCTCATGCCTGTAATCCCAGCACTTTGAGAGGCCAAGGCTGGAGGATCACTTTAGGCTAGCAGTTTGAAACCAGCTGGGGAAATACAGCAAGCCTCCATCTGCACCTAGAAAAATAAACGAATAAACAAAAATTTAGCCAGGCACGGTGGCATGCGCATCTGTACTCCCGGCTACTTAGGAGGTTGAGATGGGAGGATCACTGGAGCCCAAGTGGTCAAGGCTGTAGTTAGCTATGTTCACTCCACTGCAGTCGCTAAAAAAAAAAAAAAATTCTTTAAATAGCCACATATGACTAGTGGCTACCATATTGGACAGCACAGTTCTAGAACTTTAGGGCAGCTACATTACAGGTCAAAGAGGAGAAAACAGGAACTTCCTGGTAGAGGATATTTCTAATTTAGAACCCAGAATAAGAGCAGCCAGGTAAAGAGCTCTTTAGGGTTCTTCCTCTATGATACAACCATAGTCAACAAATGAATTGGAAGCAAGCACTAATTTTGCCCCCAGTGCAATGAAGTGCAACTTCCTTCATAGCAAACTCATCAGAAACTGAATAATGGTAAATAGAGCAAAGAAAATGATGAATTTTCTTCAAGTAATGATTAAAAATATACTTAAATCAATGATTAGTCACCATGTTTTGCATGTACCTACTAACATTAAATTATATTTGGAAAATATATGCCCATTATACCTTTCTTCTAGATTACGTGCATTCATTCATATTTACTGTAAAATATTAAACTAATATACATTAAATCAACTGTGATTATTGCTTTTAAGGAGCGTTCTTTTTTTTATTACTGTACAGGTGTCTTTTACTTGTTTTCTAATAATTTAATTTAGATTCTTGTTTCCTTTCTCTTTCCCAATTCTGTTCTTAATCCTGCCGCTATGGTGCTGTGATTTCATCCACACCGCCTCAAAAATAGCAGATCTCTTAAGCTTTGTATTTATTAAGGGAGTGCAATTAGTTTAATATGCATGAATTACAAAAGGCTTTGCACTGAACTGAAAGTTTTGTGGAAGAACTTACAAAAAATTATTGCAATTGTTATGTTGGAGAGTCAATCAGTTTCCACAAGGGATAATCTCAGGCCTTGTATTACTCAGTATTTTAATCTCTAGCTACAACAATAGAATTTACAAGGCATTAGTTAATTGACAGTGAACAACAAGTGGAGTTTATATCTGGTCATTTCTGCTATCTAGAATTTGTGGGCGTGATTATAAACATGTACATGAGAATTTTTGTATGTCCATAAGTTGTCTTTTCTTTTGGATAAATAGGCAGGAATGGAATTACTGGGTCTAAGAGTATGCTTAAATGTATAAGACACTGCAAAACTTTTTCTAACATTTCTGAATTATTTTTCATTACCATCAGTAATGTATGAAAGTTCCCATTGCTCTGTCTCCTTAGCAGTACTTGGTTTTGTCAGCTTTTAAGTTTAGCTAATGAGTCTATTGTGATACCTCACTTTGGATTTAATTTGCATTTTCATATGACGAATGATGTTGAGCATCTTTTCATGCCATCAATAGCTCTTTTGTGAAGTGTCTGTTCAATTCTTTTGCCAACATTTTTAAATTGGGCAGTTTGTTTTCCTATTCTCACTTCATGAGCCTTTTTTATGTATTATGACTACAAGTTCTTTTTCAAACACGTGTTTGCAAATATTTTCTCCTAATCTGTGTTTTGCCTTTTCATTTTCTTAATAGTGTCTTTTGAAGAGCAGTTTTAGTTTTTATGGTTCCAATTTACCAATTTTTTAATGAATTGTGATTTTTCTGTCCTCTCTAAAATATTTTGCCTAATTTAAGATCACAGAGATTCTCCTGTCCTAAGTTTTGGGTTTTACATCAAGGTTTATAGTTCATTTTGAGTTCTTTTATAAATATGATATGAGTATTTAAATACTTTTAAAAAATGTATGCCCAATTGTTCTAGCATCATTTGTGGAAAGGTCATTCTTTATACACTGAATTGCCCCGGCAACTTTACTAAGTAATCAATCTATCATATATGTTTGGGTCTATTTCTGGACTCCATTTTGTTCAATTGTTCTATATACCAATGCTTTACAGTCAATCTGGAAATGGAGTAGTGAGGGTTCTTCATCTTTATTCCTTAATTTTGTCTTAAATTGCCTCCATTATTCTAGGTTCTTCGCTCTTTGCACCTAAATTTTAGAATCGGCTTACTGATTTTTACAAAAAACCCCAAACCAAACCAAAACAAAAAAAAGGCCTGTTTGAGATTTTGATTTGGATTGCACTAAATCTATAGACCAAATCAGAGAGAACTGAAATCTTAAGAGTAGTATTTTCTGACTCACGAACATGATATTCTCTTCATTTATTTAGGGTTTTGATTTATTTAAATCAATATGTTATAGTTTTCAGTATAACAAATTTTGTATTTCTTTTGTCAGATATATACGCAGATTATCCTATTAAATACCTAAGTTGTTAATGTTTTCAATGCTATTATATTTATATTTATTGCATTAATTTATATATAAGCATACTATTTTTTTCACATATTTAATCTTATCCAGTGACATTTAGGAATGATTTGTCTTTTTTATGAACTTACCCATTTATCATTATGTAATGTCTTTCTTTATCCCTGGTAATACAACTTGTTGTGAAGTTTATTTCATTGGATGTTAATATTACCACTCCAGCTTTTAAAAATTATTGTTTACAATATTTTTAATACTTTTACTTTTAACTTATACTTGCCTTTATATTTAATATGAATTTCTTGTAGACAACATATAGTTGGATTTTCCTTTATTACCCAATTTTGAAAATCTCTGCTTTTTGATTAGGGAAATTAGACAATTTACACTTAATATGATTATTGATATTATTAGATTTAAATTTACTACCTTACTAATTGCTTTTAATTAATTCCTTTGATTCTTTGTTACTTCTTTCTATCTTATTTTAAATTAAATATTTTAAAATGCTTCTATTTCCATTTTTGGCTAATTATTTATATCCCTCCACCAACTTTCAGTTGTTCCCTAGGGGTTAGCATACGTATTTACCTTATCAGAGGCTACTTTCAAATAATAATGATATAGGCAGGTCGTGGTGGCTCACACTTGTAATCCCAGCACTTTAGGAGGCCAAGATGGTTGGATTGCTTGAGCCCAGGAGTTTGAGACCTGCCTGGACAACATAATGAGACTCCTGTCTCTACAAAAAAAAAAAAAAAAAAATCCAGGCATGGTGGTGTAGCCTGTAGTCCCACCAACTCGAGGCTAAGGCAAGTGGATAGCACGAGCCTGAGACATTGAGGCTGCAGTGAGCTATGATTGTATCACTTGCACTCTACCCTGGGTGACAGAACAAGACTCTGTCTCAAAAAAAAATTATATGTACTCACTCATAAATAGCATCAGAACCTTACAACAGAATATTTCCAAACCCTTTTCCCATCCTTTGTGATATTGTCACATATATTAATGTTATATAGAGTTTAAACTCCATAATATTGTCACAAGTCTTGCATTAAACACTCAAATATTTTAAAGTGATTAAAAATGAGGAATATATGCTTTTTACTTTTACCTCCATTTGCGTAGTTAACACCAATCTTCATTTCTTTGTGTAGATTCAGTTCTAGTGTGGATGCCTAAAGACTTTTGTTTAGCATCTCTTAAAATGCAGTTCTACTGACATAAATTCTCTCAGGCTTTGTTTGACTGAAAAAAAGTCTGTATTTTACCTTCCTTTTGAAAAGTATTTTTCGTGGGTGCAGAATTATGGGTTCATAGTATTTTTTTTGTCTTTCAGTACTTTAAAGATGTTACTCCCTTGACCTCTAACTTGTATAGTAGGGCTAAACATCCTGCTTGGCTTATGCTGAGATTATTACATCTGTGGTTTGATGTCTTCACTCACTTATGAGAAATTCTTGGTCAAATTTCCTTCTGTCTAGGACTTCAATTTCATTTACGTTAGATCATTCAGCATTGTCCCACAGTTCTTGAATTTTCTCTCCCATTCTGTAGGTTTGTCTCTTTATTGATTGCCTACTTTGTGGTACAGTAGCTTTTTCATTCAATATAATCCTATTTGCCTATTTTTGCTTTTGTTCCCTGTGCTTTTGAGGTCTTATTTTAAAAATCCTTGCCCAGTTCAACTCATGAAGCATTTCCCCTAGGCTTTCTTCCAGTAGTTTCATGGTTTTGATTATTACGGTTTAGTCCTTAATCCATTTAGAGTTGACTTTTGTGTAGGGTGAAAAATAGGGATCTAATTTTATTCTTTTGCATGTGGATATCCAGTTTTCACGGTACTGTTTATTGAAAACTGTCCTTCCCCCCATGTGTGTTTTTGTTGACTTTGCTGAAAATCAATTGGCTGTAAATGTGTGGATTTCTTTCTGGGTTCTCTATTATATTCCATCAGTCTATGCATCTGTTTTAATGCCAGTACTATGCTATTTTTGGTTACTATGACTTTGTACTGTATTTTGAACTCAGGTAGTGGGATGCCTTAAGCTTCATTCTTTTCACTTATGATTGCTTTGACTATCTGGCATCTTTTGCATTTGCATATGAATTTAAGATAATTCTTTTCTAGTTATGTGAAGAATGTAATTAGTGTTTTGATAGGGATTGCACTGAATTTGTAGACCAATTTGAGTAATATGGACATTTTAACAGTATTAATTCTTCCAATCTATAAGCATGGGATATCTTTTATTTATGTTCTCTTCAATTTCTTTAATCATCCAATAGCAAAAAAGAAACCCAAATAATCCAATTAAAAATGTGCAGAAGGCTAAAATGGACATTTTTCAAAAGAAGACATGCAAGTGGCTGACAGAGACATGAAAAAATAGTCAACATCACTAATCATCAGGGAAATGCAAGTCAAAACCACAATCAGATATCTCCTTACTCCAGTTAGAATGACTATTATCAAAAAGACAAAAAAGAAATGCTGTCAAGGATGTGAAGAAAAGGGCACTCTTATATACTGTTGATAGGAATGTAAATTACTACAGTCATTATGGAAAATAGTATAAAGTTCCTCAAAAAATTAAAAATAGAACTACCATATGATCCAGCAATCCCATATATTGGGTACACATCCAAAGAAAGTGAAATTAGTATGTTGAAGAGACATCTGCATGCCCAAATTTGTTGCAGCACTGCAGCACTATTAAAAATAGCCAAGCTATTGAATCAACCTTAATGCTCATCTACAGATGAAAGGATGAAAAACTGTAACACACACACACACACGCACAAATGCACTCGTGTGCATGCACAAGAGAGTATTATTCAGCCATTACACAAAATGAAATTTGTTATTTGTGGCAACATGGATGAACGTGGAGGACATGATATTAAGTGAAATAAGCCACCAATAGAAGGACAAACACTGCATTATCTCACTCACATGAGGACTCTAAAATAGCTGATTTTATAAAAATAGAGAGGAGAGTAGTGATTACCAGGGCTGGGGAGGGTAGGGATGAGCAGGGGGGACCAGGAGAGGTTGTTCAATAGGTGCAAAGTTACAGTTAGACAGGAAGAATAAATTTTGGTGTTCTATTACAAAGTAGGGTGAGTATAGCTGATATGGTTTGGGTGTGTCTCCACCCAAATCTCATCTTGAATTCCCATGTGTTGTGGGAGGGACTCAGTAGAAGGTAACTGAATCATAAGAGATGGTCTTTCTTGTGCTTTTCTCATGATAGTGAATAGGTCTCATGAGATCTGATGGTTTTAAACAGGTGGTTTCCCTGCACAAGCCCTCTTCTTTTGTGTGGCACCATGTGAGATGTGCCTTTCACCTTCCACCATGATTGTCAGACCTCCCCAGCCACATGGAACCGTAAGTCCATTAAACCTCTTTATTTTGTAAATTGCCCAGTCTTTGGTATATCTTTACCAGCAACGTGAAAACAGACTAATACAGTACATCGGTACCAGTAGAGTGGGGCACTACTGAAAACATACCCAAAAACGTGGAAGCGACTTTGGAACTGGATAACAGGCAGAGGTTGGAACGGTTTAGAGGACTCAGAAGAAAACAGGAAAATGTGGGAAAGTTTGGAACTTCCTAGAGACTTGTTGAATGTATTTGCACACAATGCTGATAATAATATGAACAATAGAGTCCGGGCTGAGGTGGTCTCAGATAGAAATGAGAAACTCGTTGGGAACTGGAGCAAAGTTGACTCTTGTTATGTTTTAGCAAAGAGACTGGTGGCATTTTTGCCCTTGCCCTAGAGATTTGTGAAACTGAATGTGAGAGAAATGATTTAGGGCATCTGGTGGAAGAAATTTCTAAGCAACAAAGCATTCAAAATGTGACTTGGATGCTGTTAAAGGCATTCAATTTTTTTTTTTTATTATACTTTAAGTTTTAGGGTACATGTGCACAACGTGCAGGTTTGTTACATGTGTATACATGTGCCATGTTGGTGTGCTACACCCATTAACTCGTCATTTAACATTAGGTATATCTCCTAATGCTATCCCTCACCCCTCCCCACCACACCACAACAGGCCCTGGTGTGTGATGTTCCCCTTCCTGAGTCCATGTGTTCTCATTGTTCAGTTCCCACCTATAAGTGAGAACGCGCAGTGTTTGGTTTTTTGTCCTTGCGATAGTTTGCTGAGAATGATGGTTTCCAGCTTCATCCATGTCCCTACAAAGGACATGAACTCATCATTTTTTATGGCTGCATAGTATTCCATGGTGTATATGTGCCACATTTTCTTAATCCAGTCTATCATTGTTGGACATTTGGGTTGGTTCTAAGACTTTGCTATTGTGAATAGTGCCACAATAAACATACGTGTGCATGTGTCTTTAGAGCAGCATGATTTATAATCCTTTGGGTATATACCCAGTAATGGGATGGCTGGGTCAAATGGTATTTCTAGTTCTAGATCCCTGAGGAATCACCACACTGACTTCCACAATGGTTGAACTAGTTTACAGTCCCACCAACAGTGTAAAAGTGTTCCTATTTCTCCACATCCTCTCCAGCACCTGTTGTTTCCTGACTTTTTAATGATCGGCATTCTAACTGGTGTGAGATGGTATCTCATTGTGGTTTTGATTTGCATTTCTCTGATGGCCAGAGATGATGAGCATTTTTTCATGTGTCTTTTGCTTGCATAGATGTCTTCTTTTGAGAAGTGTCTGTTCATATCCGTTGCCCACTTTTTGTTTGTTTTTTTCTTGTAAATTTGTTTGAGTTCATTGTAGATTCTGGATATTTACCCTTTGTCAGATGAGTAGATGGCAAAAATTTTCTTCCATTCTGTAGGTTGCCTGTTCACTCTGATGGTAGTTTATTTTGCTGTGCAGAAGCTCTTTAGTTTAATTAGATCCCATTTGTCAAGTTTAGCTTTTGTTGCTGTGCATTCAATTTTATAAGGGAAGCAGAGTACAAAAGTTGAGAAAATATGCAGCCGACAGTGCAATAGAAAAGAAAATCCCATTTTCTGAGGAGAAATTCAAGCTGGTTGCAGAAATTTGCATAAGTAATGAGGAGACAAATGTTAATCCCCAAAACAACAGGTAAAATATTTCTAGGGCATGTCAGAGGTCTTCACTGCAGCCCCTCCTATCAGGTCCTGAGGTCTAGGAGGAAAAAATGGTTTTGAGTTCTGGGCTCAGGGTCTTTGTGCTACTTGCAGCCTAGGGACTTGGTGACCTGCCTCCCATCCACTTCAGAAGTGGCTGAAAGGGGCCATTGTAGAGATTGGGCCATGGCTTCAGAGGGTGTAAGCCCCAAGCCTTGACAGCTTCCATGTGATGTTGAGCCTGCAAGTGTAAAGAAGTCAAAAATTGAGGTTTGAGAACCTCTGCCTAGAATTTAGAGGATGTATGGAAATATATGGATGCCCAGGCGGGTTTGCTGCTGGGGTGAGCCCCTCATGGATGACTTTTGCTAGTGCAGTGCAGAAAGGAAATGTGGGATCAAAGCCCCCATTCAGAGTCCCTACTGGGGCACCACCTAGTGGAGCTTTGAGAAGAGGGCCACCATCCTCCAGACCCCAGAATGGTAGATCCACCAACAGGTTGCACTGTGTACCTGGAAAAGCCGCAGGCACTCAATGCCAGCCCATGAAAGTAGCCTGGAGGGAGGCTGTACCCTGCAAAGCCACAGGGGTGGAACTGCCCAAGACCATGGGATCCCACCTCTTGTATCAGTGTGACCTGGATGTGAGATATGGAGTCAAAGGAGATCATTTTGGAGCTTTAAGATTTCACTGCCCCACTGGATTTTTGGATTTGCATGGGGCCTGTAGCTCCTTTGTTTTGGCCAATTTCTCCCATTTGGAATAAGTGTATTTACCAAATTCCTATACCCTTATTGTATCTAGGAAGTAATTAACTTGCTTTTGATTTTTCCAGGCTTATAAGCCGAAGAGACTTGCCTTGTCTTGAATGAGACTTTGGGCTATGGACTTTTGAGTTAATGCTGAAATGAGTTAAAATTTTGGGGGACTGCAGGGAAGGCATGACTGGTTTTGAAATATGACGACGTGAGATTTGGGAGGGGTCAGGGGTGAAATGATATGGTTTGGCTGTGTACCCACTCAAATTTCATCTTGAATTCCCATGTGTTGTGGGTGGGACCCAGTGGGAAGTAGTTGAATCATGTCATGCTGTTCTCATGATAGTGAATAAATCTCATGAGACCTGATGGTTTTAAAAAGGGGAGTTTCCCTGTACAAGCTCTCTTCTCTTGTTTGCTGCCATGTGAGACATGCCTTTTACCTTCTGCAAAGATTGTGAGGCCTCCACAGCCACACGGAACTGTAAGTCCATTAAATCTCTTTCCTTTGTAAATTGCCCAGTCTTTCGTATGTCTTTATCAGCATCATGAAAATGGATGAATACAATAGCAAATAACAATGCAGTGTATACTCAAGATAGCTAGAAGATTTTGAATGTTGTCAGAACAAAGAAATTATAGAAGTTTAAAATAACATATGTGTAATTACTCTGATTTGGTCATTATACAATTTATACATGCATTGAAACATCACACTCTACCCCCAAAATATGCATAATTATTGTGTGTCAATTATAAATTAAAAAAATTAATTAAAAATAAAATTGATCAAGGTACATAAGAGTTAAAGGGGATCTTGTGAAAATAGTTACCACAACTGCAATAAAGATAATAACCATAATATTGGTAAAGCAAGTGAACATATCATAGCCATATATTTCAATATTTAAAAAGTTGTATTCTTTATCTATAAATAAAAATTTACTTAGCTAATATGTTCCTATTTTCACTTTATGCAAGGAACCTTAGTTGTAACCAGAAGTGTAACTCAGACTCTGTTAGATTAAAAATCTTTCTAAGGAAATGATAACTCAGTGACATCAAATCCTTGACCTTTCACTTTCCCAGGGTGGTATCTTTTTAGGCATACATAGCATCATGGAAGGGGGTATTCTGGCTTATGACCACCCTCCGGTGTTTTTTGTGATTGTGGTGTACTTTGCTTCAATTGGCTGTTGTCATCATATGCTAACAGGTGTGCTGAGGTTCACAGTTCTGCCATGACCTTCAGCAATCAGCTCTAAGTAATCTGACCTGACTCCTCCTCCTCCTTATTCGTATGCAGGTCTGCCAGTCCTCTATTAGTATTGTCATGCTTCCCTACCATTCTTTGAAGGAAACTGGGGTGTGTCTCAGGCCCATGATTAGTCAAGGGCCTAGTTCAGCCATTGCTACTCTGTTGATCTGGCAACACAAGGAAAATGGGGCTTCAATAAGATAATTGGTGTATCCCGTATGGCTATTACATAGAAAGCAAGGCATATGTTCTCTCTGTTCTCACATCATAAAACAAACTTAAGATCTCTGTATCCCTCTCTCTATCTCATGGTAACCAAGGATAAGAAAGCTAGAGCTTGGGACCTTAAAAGGAGATCCCCTGTGTTTTATATAATTGCTCTCCTATACCAATTCACCTCTTTTTCCATATATCTTGTTGACTGTCTGCTTTTTCTGGAGAGAAAATTAACTTCTACATTATCATGCATTCTTAATTTGTGTGTGTGTGTGTATGTAATTTTATGCTTTGTCTCTGATATTTTATGTTAAACTTGGAATTCAAAATAACTCAAGTCCATTTTTTTAAAGACTATATGTTTAAACAGCATCCAGAAGCTCAATAGAGTTAATTGTTTAGGCTATATCTACTTTCTCTCTGAGAAGATTGTTATTCTTAAGAAAATGTTTAAATAAAGTGAGCGAGATTGCATTGAATCTGTGACAGCACAGGGAATGAAGTTAGAGAAAGACTAACATCCTAAATATTGAGTATTAATCTTACTAACAATTTCGATGCTTCCAACACTAGACCTGTGTCTTATAGAAATTATTTTATTTATTTGTAAAAAAAACAAATAATGCAATTTATATTATTTTAGAAACAGAATTAAGTAGCTTATTAAGGGAGAACTACACTAACTCTTTCATTTTGTAAACATGTACCCTAAAACTTAGAGTATAATAAAAAAAAAAAAAAAAAAAGAACACTGAGATTTGGAATGAGATTAATTTAAATAAGAATATGCTGCTTGTCAATGAAAACCTAGGACCAGAACCTAAGATTCCAGATGCTTTCTCTGCTTTATAGTTAAGTGTCACATAGATCTACTTTAATTTCAGTGAAGTTATTAGCCTTTATGGAGACAGACCTCCACTTCAGAGTGATTTTCACAAACTAATTATGTGATCCCTGAAAGAAATAAATGCCATGTACTAAATAATGATGTGATAAAAATAAATTAACATATAGGAAATAAATTTCTAGGCATTATTGCTTTATGTGCTTAAAATGAGTCAGTGAGAGTACCCCTATTCAAACAACTCACTTGGCAATGAAATATGTTAACAGTAAAGTAACAAGAAATATTTAGAAAGAAATCTTCCTTAAACACTCAGCAGTTACAACTTCATTTTTTATGTCTTATGATAGCAGAGAAATGATAAGAGAATGAGGATGATTCAATACGGGGCAGAAAAAATGGAAGGGTTACTGAGGACAGATGGCATTGATTGATTTTGACTGGAGAAAGTAATGCTGTGGGCAAATTTCACCCTTTTGAAGCTGAGTATTATTCTAACGTGAGGACAACAGAATTTTAAAATTTTTATAATATTTGAACTATACAAAAGAATGCATGTAAGAACAGATGCAGGTTATGATGCAGAATATTAGCAAGAATGTATGTGAACACAATTAAGAACTAGAATATGACAGTGTTACCTCTACCTATACACTGCTTCTGACCTTAGTCTTTCCCCAGATGTAACTTCTATCCCAGATTTTCTTCTCTAATTTTTAACGTTTTGTCTTTTATATTTAAGTTTTTCATTCATTGTGCATTGATTTTTATGTATAATGTGAAGTAGCAATCTAATTTCAGTTCATTCTCGTGGATCACTTCAGGTTTCTTTTTCCTGTAATATTCCATGAAATCTTTCACATATATTAACTTTGTTTACATGTGTGAGTCTGTTTCTGAAGTCTCCAAATTGTACCAGTAGTGAAATAGTCTTACTTCATCATCAATACTAGATGGTTCTAATTATTACAGTTGTATATTAAGTATTTTTTTCTATTTTAACTTTTATTTTAGAATCAGGGGTACATATTAAGGTTTGTTACAAAGGTATACAGAATTAGAAAAAGCTATTATAAAATTACTATAAAATGAAAAAAGAGCCCAAATAGCCAAAGTGATTCTAAGCTAAAAGAACAAAGCTAAAGGCATCATATTATCTAACTTCAAACTATATTCCAAGGCTACAGTAACCAATAGAGCATGGTATTGGTACAAAAACAGGCACATAGATAAATGGAACAGACTAGAGAACCCAGAAATAAAACCACACACCTACAACCATCTGATCTTAGACAAACTCAACAAAAATAAGCAATAGGGAATAGAGTTCCTATTCAATAAATGTTGCTGGAATGTGCAGAAGAATGAAACTGAACCCCTAATTATCACCATATACATAAATTAACTCAAGATGGATTAGAGACTTAAATGTAAGACATGAAACTATAACGCTTCTAGAATAAAACTTAGGAAATACACTTTTTGCTATCAGCCTTGGCAAATAATTTATGGCTAAGTCCTCAAAAGCAATTGCATCAAAAACAAAAATTAACAATTAAACTAAAGAGGTTTTACACAGCAAAACAAACTATCAAAGGAGTAAACAGACAACCTACTTCACAAACTATCCATCTACAAAGGTCTAATATCCAGAATCTATAAATATCCTAAAGTAATAATCAAAAAAGAAATATAATAAATATAGGCCCCTTTCACCCTATACTTTACCAGGACTCTCTTCATTATTCTTTGACTTTTTCTCTTCTATATCAATTTGATGTCAGTTTGTCTAGTTTTTTGAAAAACTCTATTTGGATTGTGATTAAAAGTTATTTAAATCCATGGAAAATGTTTAAAGTCAGGGAAAACCTGACATCTTAAAATATTGAATTATCCTGTCCAGGTATATTGTATCTCATTTTTTAGGTGTTCTGAAGAGATTTTCAAAATTCTATATTTTTTATGGATAGATTGTACACAGTTTTTTGCTATTTTTATTTACTTATATTGTTACTGCTTATAATAAATATTATATTTTTTAAATTATATTTTCTAAATGTATGCTTAGTATATTTGTGTATATTAATTATATATCCAGAAAACTTATTAAACTCCTCAACTTATTTCTGGATAGATGTTCCATGAGTCCTTGAAAAGACTGTTTTGGGTGTTTCCATTATTTGGTGGAGTGTTCTATAAATATGAGTTAAATCAAGTTGTGTCTACTTATTCTATCAATTATTGAGAGAATGGTAATAAAATCTCTGACTTTATGGATTTATTTATCCTTGCAGTTACATCAGTTTTTACTTCAGGTATCATGAAGTTTTATTATTAGGCATATGTATTAGTCCATTTTCATACTGCTATAAAGAACTGCCTGAGACTGGGTGATTTATAAAGAAAAGAAGCTTAATTGACTCAAAGTTCCACATGGCTGGGAAGGCCTCAGGAAACTTACAATTATGGAGGAAGGGGCAGAGACATGTCTTATATGGTGGCAGACGAGAGAGAGTGGGTGTAGGAGGAAATGTCAAACGCTTATGAAACCATCAGATCTCTTGAGAAATCACTATCAGAAGAACAGCATGGGGGAAACCACCCCATGACATAATCACCTCCCACCAGGTCCTGCCCTCACACATGGGGATTATGGGGATTACAATTTGAGGTGAGATTTGAGTGGGGACACACAACCAAACCATATCAGTGTATAAACTTTTAGAATTATTATATTCTCTTAATGAATTGACCTCATCTTCATTTTTAAATTATTCATTCTATTCCTGATAATATTTTGTTCTGAACCCTATTTTGTCTAATATTAGTACAGTTATTGCAGCTTTCTTTGGAAAGGTATGTCTTTTTCATTCTTTGACTTTTGATCAGTTTCTTTATGCTTAAAAAGGATTTCTTATAGGCAACATAAATTTGAATCTTTAAAAAAATACAATTTAACATTTTATATTAATTTGGTTATTTAGACCATTTACATTTAATGTATTTATTAGTATGGTTGGGTATAAATCTGACATCTTTCCATTTTTTTCTATGTGTCACATGTGTTCTTTGTTCCTTTTTTCTCCTTTTCAGACTTCTTTTGAATTTAGCACTTTTATCCTTTTATTATTCCATTTGAGCTCTTAGGTTTGCTTATTCACTCAAATGTTTTATTGCTTTTTATAAAATGTATATAGTGTACAACTTTACACAATTTGTCTTAAAGTATTACCACATAAAACCATATTTTTTAATAAGAATTTTAAAATAATATAGTTGTATTTCTTCACTTTAAGTTTTCATCCTGTGATGTCAGGTATTTTTACTTTTACATATATTATAAACCCCACAGTCCATTGTTATTATTTTCGTTAAACATTTAATTATATTTTAAGGGGATTTTAAATTTAAATTTTAAAAATCTACCCACTTATTTACAATTTTAGGTACTCTATAATCCTTTCTGTGGATTCATATTTATGCCTGGTATCGTTTTGTTCCTGCTTACAGGATATTCCTTAACATTATTTATAGTATAGCTTTGTTGGTGATGAATTATTTTGACTTTGTATACCTACAAATGTTTTCACTTCACCTTAATATTTGAAAGATATTTTTGTAAGATGACAGTATCTTTTTTCTTTCATCACTTTAAAGACGTTCACCCACAGTCTTTTGGTTTGGCCCTGTTTCCCACAAGAAATCTGCTGTCATTCCTGCTAAGAATCCTTCTGTCACAAGAAGCATTTTTTGTACTTGTCAAAAATGAGTAGACACACAAAGAATAAGACTATGTATGGGCATCAGAAAACTCAATAGACAAACATATATACAAAAACTTGATATATAGTATCAAACATAGACTATCAACCATAAATTAAAATAGTAAATTATCTGATTAAGAATGAAAAGAAAGCCAAGTTTGAAAATTATAGCAGGAAACTGAAATTGTATAGACTAAAATGCCAAATTTGAAAAAAAGAAATTCCAGGAATAAAAATGCAGTAACAAAAATGAAAAACTCGGTGGATAGTTTTAGCAGCAGCATAGTTATAGCCAAAGAGAGCATTGGTGAAATGGACAATAGTTAGGAATAAATTATGAAATATGCAGCTAGAGAGACAAAAGGATGGACAACAGACAAGAGTGGAAGAAATATTTTTTTCCAAAAAGTTAAATTGTGAAATCTTTCCAGGGATATTTCAATGATCTCCAGGGAGCACTCATAGCTGGCCTCTCTCATCTGGGGTGCATGTAGCACATGGGTAGCTTCAGTGGCCTATTTACCAGATAGATCATATTCCAAGGAAATCCATGAGCAACATTGGATAAGATGCTAGATTATATCAAAATTTTAATCCAAGTATACAGAAAGAATTTGTAGTACATACACTGACAAAAATAACCCTGATACAGCATCAGAAAGGCTAGCTATGGGCACACTTGACTATAATGGTCAAATGGGAGCCAGGAGTTTGTTTGCAACAATATCTATAGTGTTTTTATAAATTGGCATTTTATAAAAAATAGATATGTTTAACTGACAGTGGATGAACCCAGACCACAGAGGAAAAACTACACAGATTATATTACATGACAATTTATAAATAAATTCAAAACAATATTTTGATATTAACTTCCACTTTTGCAATAGACAATGATAAAACCTTTAGCCAGATGTAGCTAAGGGAATTGTTTCTGTTCTGGTTCTAAGTTTCTCTTCTTTCAGAGTGGTGCCTAAATTCTATGCATGTCAGTGACCTTTGCTCTTATGGTTGTTTCCTTATACTAAAATTTTATTAATAATACTTATTTATTTAGTCAAGCAATTATTTATGGACCCATTATGATAGTCCAAATGTTCTGTTTTCTAATTGTCATCTGAATAGTCTCTATGTCCTTCATATTAACCTGTATTGTAAAGATCAAGAATGGAAAAATATATTGAGATAGTTTATGGAATGAGTTTACCATTATCTGCTCTACATAAAGAGAATCTTTTAATAATTTGATTACCATCAAATGGATTTTAAGTATTTCTTAGATTAAAACTCTTTGAAGGCAGGGATCACATTAAGCTCATTCTTTTGCATTGCTAACACCAAGCATAGTACATAGAAGAGGTACTCAATGTTGAATAAGCAAGAATGAATAAATGAAACAATGTTTTATGAACTTTAAAATGTATAATTAGCATGCTTATATATGCTATTTTTACCTATATGTATGTAAGTTGGAGGCTTGCTCAGTGTTTCCAAAAGGTATTTTGTTATTAATATGTCCTATATAAATACTTAGATATTAAAATTCATACTACATATGTACCTGTGGGGTCACAGGCTTTGTAGGGAGTTGTGTCAGCTCATTTACATATGTCTCACTATCTTTTATGTAGTGAGGGCCACAATTTTAAGGAATCTCATATCTATTTTCATAGCTTAGGACATAAATATGATGTGGATGGTGTCAACCTCATTAACTGCTGCTTTTCAAACCTAAGTAATTTTTTTCTTGTGTTTAGTTCAAAAGAGTTTCAACAAAATTGAAAAATACTGATTAGAGTTTACTTTTTCATTTAAATTGAAACTAATCTAAACCAGACTTCTGTTTAGGGTTTGGTTCCACTCCCAGCTCGAGGATAAATACTAATTTTAGTCAGTAATTTTGAACTGAATTTCAGATAGAAAGCAATTTCAAAGTATTTGTCTGAGGATATTTTTTGTATAAATATGTTTTTTCCTTATTTCATTTTTTTTCAATAAGCATAGGTAAAAATTCTTTACACTCTCCAACGTTCCCTGGATATTTCCATGAATTTTCTTCTGCTTAAAATATGTATTGATTTCTTTAGAACACAATTTTCAGCTTCTGTGTGAGCGATAAAGGAGATTCAACATTACATTTTATAAATAATTTTTGGGGGCTGGTAGAAAGATCATATATTGAAGATATGTTCTTGCACTGTGATCTGGAAAAAACTGAATATAGTCCTTTGTAGATGTTCCTCTTTACAAAGTACTTTCTCTGAGACTTCTAAAAAATACGTTATAGAAATAAAGTAAAATGGCAATCTGCATTGCTGAACAATTTCTATAGTTCTCAAATAGATTGCTCTTGATATATTTTTAAGAACCTTTTGTTGCTTATTCTGTGACTGCGTTATTTTATTTTAATTTAGTACTGTCATGTGAATAATAAGCAGTCAAGGCTAAAAATTTCCTGCTTTGCAATTCTCTGAATGTTAATAATTATACTAATTAGCAATTCACAACAAACAGGTCTCAGTCACAGTGAATCATTTCTGCCACATTCACCACAATTTTAAGATCATGAGTAAATTTCAAGCTACTGTTGTTGTTTTAGAAATTCTCTTCTGTGAACAAAACTCCTCCCTAAATCCATTCAGGTCTAAAAGAATGCACAGATCATTGAGGCTGTAAACAAAAACAAAAATTACCTTATTTGAAGGAATACATTTCTATCCTCAATGGAGTTAAGCCTCTTGTGTTCAGTTTTAATGCAGATAATTTAGCAATCTATAATGTATAAAATAACTTTGCCTGAAGAATTTATTGGCATATATCATTTTTGTTAGACAATTCCATATGGCCGGGAAGGCCGAATGGCCAAGTTATTTAGTCTTCACTATCAACAGCTAAAATGGTAAATAGCTGGGATGCATGTTCTTCCCTTGCTTGTATCTGGGTAACCCCTATTGGTCCTAAGCAGCATAGCAACTGTCATCATGTCTTGAAAAAGTTGTCATCTGGCTGGGTGCGGTGGCTCACGCCTGTAATCCTACACTTTGGGAGGCTGAGGCAGGCGGATCACCTGAGGTCTGGAGTTTGAGACCAGCCTGACCAACATGGTGAAACCCCGTCTTTACTAAAAAATACAAAATTAGCTGGGCATGGTGGCACATACCTGTAGTCCTAGCTACTTGGGAGACTGAGGCAGGAGAATCCCTTGAACCCAGGAGGCAGAGGTTGCAGTGAGCTGAGATAGCATCATTGCACTCCAGCCTGGGCAGCAAGAATGAAACTAAGTCTCAAAAAAAAAAAAAAGTTGCTATCCACTCTAGACTTAGCTAATGCCCTGCTTTTCTCCCCATCTCCCACTCACATAGGAAGTTATATTATGCATTATTCATCACTTACCTCACTACAATTGTGAACCTTGATTTTTCTTTTTCTTTTGAGTTCTGAGCTCTTTGAGACCTATCTGTGTATTTTCAGCACCCAGCAAAACTCCAGGTATAGGCACACAATAAATATTGTTGAATAAATAAACTGGTATAAGTGAACATACCTATAAATATTTCTTCCATTAGTTAACTCATTGTCATTAATTGCACACATATTTGAGTGCCTACTACGTGCCCAAAGGATATTGTGCTACGTAGTGATAGCAACACAAATGGCAGGTTTTGTTAACTAAGTGATATGTCAATTTCGAATGAATAAATATTTCTACCTTTTGATCTTTTCCTTTCAGTATTATGCCCACCATGTCCTCTAACATGCATACTTAAGTTTAAATTTTTTAAATGGGCAAAGTGCACCTAATTTCATTGCACATATTTAAGCAGAGCTTTAGTATTGATTAAAAGTTGTAATGCAGTGCTTCCCTTGCTGACCTCCCAGTCCATTAATACTGTCTGTATTTCATCAGCAGACCTTTGTAAGCATCCACCATGGGTTAGACTCTCACTGTGCTTGGTGCTTAGGAAAGGGCAGAGAAAGGCATATACTATTACTACTGGCCTTATGAGAGTAACAGTCTAGTGGGAGAGGCAAGTGTTTTCCAAATAACTATTCAATGATTACTGTGACTAATATTACAAAGGAGAATAAAATGCTATAAGAACATAAAATATGAGAGTGAATTTAGAAGGACGATGGAGTCTTTGTGCTGTTTCCTATACCTAGAACACTCTTCCCACTATCATTTCTCTAGTCTAATTTTCAGATCTCACTCTAACAGCTACTTTTTAGAGACCTCCTTAGCCTCCTCTCCCACCTCATCTCAGGCTCATCTAAATTAGATCTTTATTTTTTTCTCTCATAGCATTCCATTGTGTCCCTTCAAACCCATTATCATACATGTGTTACATGTGAATTTGTGTAATTATTCATTGTTTGTATTTTCTGTTGTTTTAAGCTCCAAGGAAGTGAGAGCTGCATTTCTTTTGTTCACATACTCAAGGTTTAGCACAGTGCGTGAATTTATCACGGGTTCAATAAATACAGATGGCATACGTAAATGGAGGAATAAATGAATGAGTGAATGTATACATGAATGAACTGATATTTAAGCTAGATTCTGAGCAACAGTCAGTTGGAAGTAGCCACATAGAGAATAGAATGCCTTCCAGACAGATGGAACAGCATGTGTGAAAGTGCCTGAAATGCCAGAGAGATATAGGCTCATTTTTGAAGCAATTCCTGAATATCAGAAGGCAAAGAGTAAAGAGAAAAGGGACACAATATGAAGCTGGAGGCATTGGAACACCCCATAGCTTCCAGAGCCTTTTACACCCTGTTAGGACGTTCAAATTATATTTAATATTATATATAATACTTGTGTGTGTGCATGTATATGGTCAATTGGTACTGAATTACTACACTGCATTCCAGCCCCCCAGATAAGGAAAACTTGATATTTTTGTACCCGCAAACCGTCAAGATGTATACTTAATTCTGCTATATGGAACACTGTTTTTAAAACAGATCACTACTCGAGATTATAGAATAGGCGAACTGACTTAGCACAGAAAAAACATGGTGCACAGCACATTCAAATTAAGTCAGACCCTCCATGTGCCTGAAGAACCTGTTGGTAAACAGCTGTATAATGAGAGGCTGACTGCTCCCTGCCCTTCTTCAAGTTTGCTTGAGTACTGTGGCTTAGTGTTTGTGTGTGTATGTGTGTTTTCCACTATGATTATCCAAAATCAGGAATGCATTTAACAAATAGTAATGATATACTGGAAATAAAATTTTCCACCTAAGACTTCACCTCACTAGTTAGCCTCGTTTTCAGAAGGCTTGAACATACATACACTCATACACATTGTCCATACAATTACTTTGAAATACAAATGAGATTTGAGATTACATTATATTGTGTCTAGACCCTGATGTTCAAAGTCAGAAAATTATACTTTAGAGTATAAGTGACTCAGTGCATTTAGAGTTTGGCCTTAGGTGGGAATATGCTACATTTACACTATCGGCTGCAACTGTGAATGGAGAAATGAAGAAAGGTGATATAAACACAAGGTTTGGCATATCAGGTTTTCCTATTCTTAAAGTCAGCTTATGAGTTCACATAAGTCATTTTGTTAAGGCGTGGACTTTGTGTTTTCTCCATTTTGAATCTGTAAGAGAACAGGGAGCTTTTTATTTAGTGAACTCTTGCAAAGACACAAACCCCTGGACATCTAAAGCATCTCTCATTCATTAGATGCAGTCAGACAGAGGTTTGTGTGCTCTCAGTGACCTTGCTACCACACTCTAGCTTCCTGGAGCAATGCTGGAGTGTGTTCCTTTCTGGCTTGGAGTCTTTCGCATGACAGGCTCTGAACACATTCATCGAATATGTTAAAGAACTCAGATCCTTTCTGGGCATGACCTTATTTGTTGTAAATACTCTCAAGGGAGGGTATTAGTTGTTCCCAGTCCCTGGAATACTCCTAATTTGTGGTATAATGCTAGCTGATGCCAGCTAACATTTATTACAGGCTTATTTTGTTCCATTAGTTTTCATATATTAAATCATTTATTTCTTACAACAAACCTAGAAGGTAAACACAGACGAGGTTCACAGAGTTTATCCAAAGTCACATAACTATGAATCATAAAGCTGGAATTTGGACACGAACAGTCTGACTTCCTCCATCTTTTTTTTTTTTTTTTTTTTTTTTTTAAGACGGAGTTTCGCTCTTATTGCCCAGGCTGGAGTGCAATGGTGCGATCTCGGCTCACCACAACCTCCGCCTCCCAGGTTCAAGCGATTCTCCTGCCTCAGCCTCCCAAGTAGCTGGGATTACAGGCCACCATCACGGCCAGCTAATTTTGTATTTTTAGTAGAGACGGGGTTTCTCCATGTTGAGGCTGGTCTTGAACTCCTGACCTTAGGTGATCCGCCTGCCTCGGCCTCCCAAAGTGCTGGGATTACAGGCGTGAGCCACTGCGCCTGGCCGACTTCCTCCATCTTAATGTCTAGGCTGTGTTGCTACTGAAGTGGAGTGATGTGGCTTTTTAGATGACACATTGATGAACAGTTTTTATTTTAATTACATTAGAAATAGGCAATTTGCACATCAAAGTCATGATTTCATGGTTATTGCTCAGGATAGAGCTAAGGTAAAAAGGTGATTCCATTTAAATGTATATATAAAATATTAAATAAAAAACTAGTAAAACAGATATGACAAAAATATGTGGCAAAATAATGACGAAAATTGTGTAACATATCCCTAATATACTAAAGTACGGAGAAAATCTGTTTGATTTACAGCAGGGTGGACCACATGGCAAAGTCAATGCTTTTCTACAGTTAAGGGTGCTGTTATTTAGACATACCGTGGTTATTACGCTTCATGCTCTGTTACTCCTCAACAAAATGGCAATTACAGAGGCAGGTGTATGCTTTACTGAATGCCAGAAAGGTGGAAAGATTTTTCAGATTTTTTAAATTAGACATAGCTTTCTAATTTTCCAGGAGAATATTACTTATTATTAAGTTTTAATGTTTCCAGTAATTTACTGCGATTTGATGAACAACTTGCAAATTACAATATAGATTGTCATGACTAAATACTCTGTGGGGGCAGGGTTTGTAGCTACAAATCTGTACTCCACGCCGGTAGGGTGCTTGTTAGATTGAATTGGATACATGACTTCCTTTCTAAAATCTGGCAGGACAGAGAATTATTTGTTTCTAACCCATACACCTCCCCACCACATAAGAAATTAGAAAGCCTCAAATCCCCATTTCTCCTTATCTGCTGTTTTCTTCCAAGCTTCAAGAAACCAGAAACTTATCAAGCACCCCTAAATCATGGCAATCCTTTCCCTAGGCATAGAGTTGAAGGCAACTAGTAATAACGTATATTTTTTTCTATCCTGCTATACTTGTTACATAGGGAATAAATTAAAGGATAGAAGAGCTACAAAAATTTAGATCATTGTACTTATTAAAAGGCAGGGATGATCTTTTAGGGCTAAAAGAATAAAGTTTTAATTTGATTCTGCAATATTTCCTATCTGAAAAAGGCCCGCAGCTGTACTACCTGCTCTTGTTTAGCCAACTCTTCTTCCCATCCTAGTTCTAAAGTTTTTTCCCAAATTTCCTCCTTCATGAAGTTTACACATGGAATTAGACAGATGACTTGGATCAAGCTATAAGAAAGATCTTCAGAGAGGTTCCTGTAAGTTCCTTCCAAAGATCCTAAATGATGCTTACAGAGTCAGAAATTTCTTTATTAGGGATTTATTTCTCCACATTAAGTAATCGTGTCTCCAGAAATTCCCTGTCAAAATAATAATGCAAGTAATACAAACAACACTATAATTGGCTGCTAAGATCTTGATATTTTTCTTGGATAGTTAGCAACTAGTGTTAAATCAATAAGGAAACTGTGTAAATTCTTTTAAAAAAGTCTTTTTTCCTTTACAAAGCAAGACAAATTTATTCTAGATAACTTGGAAAATACTACTAAACAAAGGAAAATCAATCAAAATTCTATCATTCCTGGTAATTTTACATTATATTTGATGTATATCCTTCTAAACTTAAATATACATTTATGTGTTTATTTTTTCATATTTTCTCAAATATTTGAATATCTTAATAGTCTTCTACAGCATGTTATTCTTTTCCTTGAAGGTACTATTTTATAATCAATCTCCTCTGTTTGAAAATTGTTGAGTCCATATTTTTTGATACTGTAAACAGCATTGCATTGAAATTTTTAAATAATTAACTCTGAGTTTTTATGATAATTTCCTTAGAATAAATTAGAATGAATTATGAGGTATTTTTGAAAAGTTGCATGCCTAGGTCTGATGTCAGTCTGAGTGGAGGAAGGGCCATTGGTAGTGGCATATGACATGATGTCAATGATAAACTGCCTCTTTGACAATTTCACCAAAGAATTCCTCATCCTTTTTCAAGCAGTGTGCACAGTTAAAATTTGTGTGCTCTGCTCTACAGAGCTTTCCTTTAGTCTTCTTTTGACATTCCATAGGGACTTCTTTACTCTTTCCCATTGGACTGTAAGTAACTTGATGGCTAGAGGGTGTTGTTGTCAAATAAAGACTTAATATTTGCAGAAATGACTTATCAAATATTTAACTCAGAGTTATCTTTGCTAGGATTCTCAATCAGAAGCTTTTCTTTAAGCTGAGGTTGCTTTATTCTGATAAATCAAATGATTTTTGTCTGCTATTGACCCTGCACTTGGCATAGTGCTAACTTTTAATAATCATTGCTACCTTAAAAGGAAGGCTAATATGTTGTGATGGAAATACACAGAGAAATAAGTAATGTGACTTATATTTTTTAAAAGGCTTTTGCTGCAGTGAATATTTTCATGAAGACATCATGGAGGTATATAATATTTCTGTAAAACATAATATAAAATCACCAAGGAACCTAAATTAATGAATCTGCAAGTAGTTTTTTCCTGTACAGGAACACTAACTCAATAGACACCTGTAACCATGGTGTTAACCTGTTCCATGAAATTGAATGAATAAAATGCTCTGTGCACAATGGGTTTTCAGGTATTTGAAGAGTTCATCATGACTACACTGATGGGACAATTTCAACTTAAGCGCTACGAAATTCCTGAGGGAAGAGAGAATCTTAAAGGATTCTCAGACATTAACTAAAAACTTGAAAATGTATGCCAACCTGTTGGCATTGTCTATTTTTGAGAGAAAGAAAATACTGGGAAGCAATGTGTTTGCAATATAGTCCCAAGGTGCAGGCTTAGTTCAATAATTTAAATCTGTGAACGAAAAGCAGAGCTCTTTCTTGGTACATTAATTATACTTTCACTAGACTTTAAAATGGAGGAGTTATGTAGACTTCTCTCCTCAATTCAACAATTTTCTGAGAGGTCACTGAGAGCTTTGTCTTTCCTACAGTATTTTTGAGGGAAAATGTGTTTTAATAAGTAAAATTATTTCTCAAGAGCTTGAGGACTTGACACTGATAGACCAGAGCTGAAGATGCTCAGCTCTGCCAGAACCTTTTGCATTAGTTCATATCCTCAGGAGTTTTGGACTGACAGTGCTGAAGGGTTTGAAATTGGGAAATATATTACTCAAGTTTGCCCATTAAAATATTGGAGGAAAAAAGTACCGAAGTTGCAGCCAGCGTGACGTGCAGTATGTGACACTGGAAAAATGCTGTGAATTTCAGGGGTTGTCTGAGCATAGAATCATGTGATGTGACAAGTGCAGGCAATACTTTTTTTTGTGAACAGCTGATTTAACAGGAAGAGAAAACTCCATGGAAAAGTATCAGTGCATAAACTCCTCCTTTCCTAAACTCAATGCTATTAATTCTTTGATTCAAAGAGTCAAATTTTGTCAGAAAAATGGAATACACTCTGACATTCTCTGCCAAATGGATAGACACCAAAAAATGACATTAAATGATATTTATGTTCGGACCAACTTACTAAAGGCTATGAAGAATTATTATTGGCATGGGACTTTCTTGTTTAAAGTTCAACACACTTTATTGTTGTAGTCACATATTTTGCTATTTTGACTATTTACCATCATTTATATTGAACAAATCATTCTAACATATTATCCTATTTGATATTATAAATAGGCAGGAAAAAAAGCTAAGCTTCCAGAAAGACAATAATGATAATAGTGATTTCACTTGATACGAATGGATGTAGAATTGGCAAGAATAATAATCCTGTCAAACCAAATACATATGTTGAATAGTTTCAGTGATGTTTTAAATGCACTCACTATACAAAAGAACTTTAAAATAAAACAAAGCATAACATTTATTGCCAGGAAACTTGAAGTGTTTCATGAACACTAAGCTCAGTTTTTCCCTATGTATCAGAAAATCGTAAAGAGCAACTCCTTGTCTTTCTTGTACTGTCTTTTAATATCCAGTTGCCTCTGGGCTTTATGGGAAAATCACTAACAGACTGACACCCAGCCAGAAGCCTGTACGACTGAGTGTGTGTTAACATTTCTTTAAATATCTCCTAAAAGACAAAGCAAAATGTGACACAAGAGATTCTGAGAACATGCAATTCCGCCCCTCTGAGCATTCCCCAAGGACATTCTCTTGCTCCTCTTTCACTTATGGTCAAGATAAATCTCTCTTCCTTCTAGGGTATCCCTAATAGAATGCCCTTGTTGAATTAACAATTTCTTACATTTGCAATGACATTTCTAAAGAATTTTTTCATATGTTATGTCATTTGATCTCACAATGACCAATTAAACAGGTAGACCAGATAATAATACCCCAACCCAGTACCCACGTCTTCTGATTCCCAGGGCAGGTGTCCCATCTCTCCTCCAAACTCGAAGTTAGAAAATAGAGAAGGTTGTTTGAAATGTCATGGTAGTGCTTCATGGTGGTACTCATCAGAGAGTATAATTCAAATTATCTGCTAGCCAGCTTCTGTCAAAAGTCTGGCTGAGATGGTGAGAGAATAAATTTCTGGAGATAATTTGGCAGTATGTGACAAAAGATTTAAAAATGCTCCAACACTTCAACACAGAAATTCAATTTTTTATAATTTATCAGAAATGTGTGCAAAGATATAGGTATGATGATGGTAAGGACCTTATTACTTACAATATGGAAAATTTTAAACCTAAATATCTAAATTAAAAAATTGATTACAATACTGTGATATATGTTTACAGTGCAATATGAAATTGAAATGTAAAATTATGTTGTATAACCCTATTCATTGATTAAGAATAGTGTTTCTGATACATCCATAAATTAAATATTAGACAGAAAAACTGTATACAGTATCATTATATTTTTGGAAAAAATATATTTTATGCATGAAAAATTATTGGCTGAAAACACAACAATGTGTAAACAGTTTTCTGGGTAGTAGGATTAGCGATGGTTTATTTCACTTTTTGCTTTATCTGTGTGTGTGTGTGTGTGTGTGTGTGTGTGTGTGTGTGTTTGTCCCCATTTGACATGTATTACCTCTGTGATTAAGGTTAAAATGTCTATGCAAAAAGAAAGCCTGGCTGAGAGAACTGATGCCTGTAGAAGATAGCCTGTAGAAACATGTTCAGCCAGTCCTTTAATCATTCTAAGTTCTAAACTCATGTCAAGATAGAGAACATAAAGATAACATAAAAATATTAGTTTAGCCAGTCTAACCATCACCTCCCATTTATAGTTTATTTTGTACAATTAATGTTGAATTTGTTATTTGTTATGTTCTTCAATGTCCTTTATATACACTTACAAATGATAAATTATTTTTCAAATATAGTAATGGAAAAGAATTTGTCTTTCAGATTTGTAATGTTTGCATCTAAGTTCTAAAATATAAGGGGAAATTTCATAAACCTATTTGATTCTCTCTTTCCATCAATATATATAAAATATTAAAATAAATTGCAATAAATCTATAATTCTTGTGGATAGCATATTTTATTTCTCCATGTTGTTTTTGTTTTTAAAAAATTTTTAATTTGGACAATATTATTAGATATATACTTTTTATTATATTCCTCCCTTTTTTTAAAAAAAAAAAAGTTGTAACAAAATAAATAATTTCCCCAGGGACCCTTCTTCTTACTGTACATCTGAAAAATTTAGAAACAAGGCCCAGTTACATGGCTTTCACGGTACAGTGGAAATTTTAGAGGATAGGGTGAAAAAAAAACCTTTATTTAAGTCCCTAGGATACTGCATATTACCCCTGTGACAACGGAAAAGTCACAATCTATCTGGACATGTGACGTTATCTAAAAAACTTTATGTAATACCTAGGAGTGAAAGAGACCATTCATTGTCTTGTCTCTAAGAGCTACACCTAACTTCCTTTGTCCTTGTTCTGCCTCCCACCGGAGGGACTGTAAGAAGCCAACTTATTACCTTCCCAGTCTCTTTGTTGCTAGGTATGGCCGTGTGACTCACATACCCCTTGATAAGATTTTTGGGATAGGTTTTTGAGAAGCATTGTTTTTCTCTTTGATAAATAAGTAAATTCTGTTTGTTTCACTCCTTTTCCAGCACTTGTCCCAACTACCTGCTTCTGGCTTTGTTTTGCCTAAAGCTGTGAAAAATATTATTCAAACACAAGATGGCAAACTGAAGAATGAAAAATCAACATGTATCAAATGATGAAGGGGAAAGATGGAAGAAGCCTGGGTTCTTGATGGCATCATTGAACCCTCCATGCAAGGCCAGCAACCAAGCTGTCATTAACTAAAGCTAGATGCATTATTATGTTCAAGGAATGAACCCTTATCTGATTAAATTACTGCCATCTAGGTTTTCTGTTACCTGCAGATGAGCCATCCTGATGCTCAATATCATAGAATTATTCTGAAAGTTAAATGAAATAATGCATGCATAATTGCTTAAATAACTACAGATATACTGTTTAAAGAGGTAACACAGGGCAATGGAAAAGGCATTGGACTTGAACTCTGACTAATTTAGCCTGGAATCCTAGAAAGTCACCTTATTAGACCTTCTTCATAGGAAAATGTAAACAATCTCTGTGTGTCAGTTGTGTCATCTCTAAAATGGAAATAATTAGCATCTTGGAGGATTGTTGTAAAGGGTAAGGGAGATAAGATATGGGAAAGCTCATGGCATAGGGCTTGATACATGTTATTCAATAAACATAAGTTAGGGAGAAAAATTAGCAAGTAGCAGTGTGGTCTGCCCCAAGTGAACACACTTCCTTTATCTGAGTCAGATTACACTGCCCCTTGAACCTTTACAACACTAAACAAAATTTAGAGCACTAGGAGATACTTCAGAGTGTCCTATTAATAAAAGTAGTGGAAGGATAGTTTTTTTTTTTCTAATTCTGTGAAGAACATTAATGGTAGTTTAATGGGACTGGCATTGAATCTATAGATTACTTTGAAAAGTATGGCCATTTTCACAATATTGATTCTTCCTATCCATGAGCATGGAATGTTTTTCCTTTTGTTTGTGTCCTCTCTGATTTCTTTGAGGATCAGTTTGTAGTTCTCTTTGAAGAGGTTCCTCACTTTCCTTCTCAGCTGTATTCCTAGGTATCTTTTTTTTTTGTAGCAATTGTGAATGGGAGTTCATTCATGATTCATCTCTCTGCTTGCCTATTGATGGTGTATAGGAATGCTAGAGATTTTGCACATTGATTTTGTATCCTGAGGCTTTGCTGAAGTTGCTTCTCAGCTTAAGAAGCTTTTGGGCTGAGAAAATGGGGTTTTTTTAGGTATAGGATCACGCCATCTGTAAACAAAGATAATTTGACTTCCTCTCTTTCTATTTACCCTTTATTTCTTTATCTTGTCTGATTGCCCTGGCCAGAACTTCCAATACTATATTGAATAAGAGTGGTAAAAGAGGGCATTCTTGTCTTCTACCACTTTAAAAGCCATATGGAACCAAAAATGAGCCCAAATAGCCAAGACAATCCTAAACAAAAAGAACAAACCTGGAGGCACCATACTACCCAACTTCGAACTATGCTACAAGGTTATAGTAACCAAAACAGCATGATACTGGTACAAAAACAGGCACATAGACCAAAGGAATGAAAAGAGAACTCAGAAATAAGACTGCACACCTACAACCATCTGATCTTCAACAAACCTGACAAAAACAAGCAATGGGAAAAGAACTCTTTATTTAATAAATGATACTGGGAGAACTGGTTAGCCATACACAGAAAATTGAAATTGGACCCCTTCCTTACACCTTATACAGAAATTAACTCAAGATGAATTGAAGACTTAAATGTTGATATGGTTTGGCTCTGGATCCCCACCCAAATCTCACCTTGAATTGTAATCTCCATAATCCCCACATGTCAAGGGCAGGACAGGGTGGAGGTAATTGGATCAGGGTGGTGGTTTCCCCCATGCTGTTCTCATGATAATGAGTGAGTTCTCATGAGATCTGATGGTTTTATAAGGGGCTCTTTTCCCTTTGCTTAACACTTCTCCTTCCTTCCACCTTGTGAGGAAACTGCTTTGCTTCCCCTTTACCTTCTGCCATGATTGTAAGTTTCCTGAGGCTTTCCCAGCCATGCTGAACTGTGAGTTAATTAAACCTCTTTCATTTCTATTAATAAATACCCAGTCTCAGCAATTCTATAGTAATATGGAAACAGACTAATACAAATTTAAAACCCAAAACTATAAAAACCCTAGAAGAAAATCTAGGCAATACCTTTCAGGCAAAGATTTTGTTACGAAAATGCAAAAAGCAATTGCAACAAAAGCAAAAATTGACAAATGGGATCTAATTAAATAAACGAATTTTGCAGAGCAAAAGAAACTATCATCAGAGTGAACAAAGTACAGAATTGGAGAAAATTTTTACAATCTATCCATCTGACAAAGGTATAATATCCAGAGTCTACAAGGAACTTAATCAAACTACAGGAAAAACACAAACAACCCCATTAAAAAGTGGGCAAAGGATATGAACAGACACTTCTCAAAAGAAGACATACATGGAGGAGCAAACACGAAAAAAAGCTCAACATCACTGATCATTAGAAAAATGCAAATCAGAACCACAATGAGATACTATCTCACGCCAGTGAGAATGGCGATTATTAAAAAGTCCAAAAATAATAGATGCTGGCAATGTTGTGGAGAAAAAGAAATGCTTTTACACTGTTAGTGGGAGTGTAAATTAGTTCAGCCATTGTGGAAGACAGTGTGGCAATTCCTCAAAGACTTAGAGGCAGAAATACCATTTGACCCAGCAATCCCATTACTGGGTATACACCCAAAGGAATATAAATCATCCTATTATAAAGATGCATACACAGGCATGCTCATTGCAGCACTCTTTACAGCAGCAAAGACAGGGAATCAACCTAAAAGCCCATCAATGATAGACTGGAAAAAGAAAATGTGGTACACATACACCACAGAATACTATGCAGCCATAAAAAGGAACAAGATTTTGTTCTATGCAGGGACATGGATGTAACTGGAAGCTGTTATCCTCAGCAAACTAATGCAAGAAAAGAAAACCAAACACTCCATGTTCTCACTTATAAGTGGGAGCTGAATGATGAGAACACATGGATAAATCAGGGGGAACGACACACACTGGGGGCCATTGGTGGTGGGATTAGGGGGAGGGAGGGCATCAGGAAAAATAGGTCATGGATGCTGGGGTTGATACCTACGTGATAGGATGATCTGTGCAGCAAACCACCATGGCTCACGTTTTACCTGTGTAACAAACCTGCACATCCTGTACATGTACCCCTGAACTTTGGATAAAAAGTTTAAGAAAAAAAAGTAGTAGAAAGAATTTTATTAGTTTATTAAGTGTTATAAAGATCTAGGCACCATTTAAAGAACTTCACATATACTAATTTAATCCTCATAAAAGTTTATGTGGTAGGTGTTACCATTCACTTCATTATACAGATGAGGAAAATGCAGTGCAGAGAGATTAAGATATTAATCCCAGATTAGATATCTAATAAATTGAGCAGCCAGAATTCAAACTCAGGAAGTCTAGCTCCAGAGCTGGTACTCTTAATCTCCGTATTATGTTATCTTCTAACAAAATTACTAACACATTGACCGAACCCTCTATCTGGTCATGAAGAAGTTTGAATCCAACCTATCCCTGCTTACAGGCTTGGATTGTTTGCAAAAGAGAAGGTAGAGCTGCTTCTCATAGTTAGCTTTTGGATAAAACAATATATTGGGCCTGATAGAGTTTGAATATGTGTCCCCTCAAATCTCATGATGAAATGTAATCCCCAGTGTTGGGGGTAGGGCCTGGTGGGAGGTGTTTGGATCATGGGGGCAGATCATAAATGGCTATCATCATCCCCTTGGTGATAAGTGAGTTAATGTGAGATCTGGTTGTTTACAAGTGTGTGGCACCTCCCACTCTCTTTCCCTCCCTCTTGCCCCTGTTCTTGCCATGTGAGATGACTGGCTTCCCTCTTCATGTTCTGCCATAATTGAAAACTCCCTGAGGCTTCACCAGAAGCCAAGCAGATGCTGGCATCATGCTTTCTGTACAGCCTGCAGAACCATAAGCCAATTAAGCCTCTTTTTTTAAAAACAAATAATCCAACTTCAGGTATTCTTTTATAGCAGTACAAGAATGGTCCAACACAGGGCCATTCCATCTATTTTAGTTTCTGGGGAGTTGAGATGACAGAAGGCTCTAAATCTCCATTGGGCATCACCACATTAGGCCTGGCTGAGCAAAATTTCAAGCCCAGGCTTTCTCAGTAGGCTTTTAAATAAAGGGATAAGCTGCTCTCTAAATAAAGGAGCATAGAAGGAACCAAAAGAAGACCTGAAACTTGCCTATGCTGTTCCTTTTTCCTCAGCATAAACTTGCAGGTATCTTAATAGAGGAAATTTGTTAGCATTTTGGCGTACTATCCTAGGAAAATAATAACATTTATTAATGTTCTTTATTCCTATAAATATGAAATTTTCTTTATGGAGATATGGGTGATATGAGACTTATATTTCCATAAGGATGCCCAGAAAATACTCCAGAGTAAGCAGACTTCTTAGTTAGGCATAAATCTATGTAAGGTTATAAGAGTGAGAGTGATTATGGGCTTACTTAAAATGGATATGGTGGTTTCACTCTCTTAGCTTGTCTTCCTGTATTGTAGAAGCTAAAAGCTTAAATTAGATAATTCCCAGACTTTATTGCAGTTAAAATTCTAGACATGAATTAGCTTCTGCCAATTAAATCCATTCACATACCATTAAGAACATGGAAATGTGGAGGGGGCGCTCTTCATTCCACCTGAGTGTTTCAACTGGCTGGTGTGACGGTATTTGCCAGGGAAGCTGGATGGAAGTGAGACAGTTGGGTCCCATGCTGCAAATTCTTGGATTTTGCTAGGGTAAGGGGTGGCTTCAAAGGTTTCCCTGGATCAACCTAGAGGATAATTAAATCAAAGTAAACTTTACAGGCAGCAAGATAAGGTAGAGAGCGAGTCAGATTTATTCCTTAGTTTTTGTAAGAAATTATAAAGGCTCAGATGGTTCTGTAGGAAGGTGTAGAAGGGGTATAGTTGAGGGCTTGTGGTTTTCCCTTGAAGTGTACCAAGGCACCAGGTAATTCAGCTACAGAAGACCTGGGATGACAAGTTTCAGGAAGAAGATGGATAGGGGTTATGACAAATGTTACAAAATGTCTACAGAGCCTTCCAGAACCAAGGTGCCTAATCAAGAGGGAATACAACTGAATCATAGCTGCCTGAGAGAAAAATATGGATCACAGATATATAACCTAAGCATATTATAGTGTCAGAAGTCAACAGAAGTCCTGAGGTAATGCTAGTCAATTTCAACAGGCATCTGGTCCATGGGGAAATCTCAACTGGCTTGTCTTGAGTTGAGATGAGTGAGGCTACGAAATTTGATGCAAGTTCCTGAGCTCCCAAGCCCCATTTTGCTCTCACCAATGCTGTACACCTCACCCATATCCCAAAAGAGCAGAGGAGGGCTCTGGAAGACTAGAAGACTGTCCATTTTAACCTAAAAATTCTAAGTATCATCTAAAGGGAACACTTAAATTATTGCATCAGGCAAAGGTTACCACATAAGGCTAAAATTTAGATTTTCCTTTCCACCTGTTTCCCAGTAGGTGGATTATGCTAATGATCAGATCAGATGAAGAGCATAAAGCTTCCACATTTTTTTCAGTGTGAGGGAAAAAAATATGAGTATCTTTCAGACTCTTCTGCATAGACTATATTTAGTTCATTCTATCTGCAGCCTTAATTACCTGCCCCCAATTCAAGAAATATGCAGTCCACAAAAATGGAAGTTTTTCATAGATTAAATATCTTGCTTCCTTATGAGGGAAGAGTTCTGAGCAGGGAAACAGAAATTTTTCAGCTTTCCCTGTTAAGATATAATGAAATCATTTTATTATTTGTTTTAACTCTAGAATACTTAGAACCTCAGATTAAGCCATATATTCAAATTTATGTACAATGACAATAAGGTTAAATCTACATTGATTTTTGAATAAATTGTGACATGACTCATCTGGGTCAACATGGGTAATCAGCAACTCAATGTATATTCTTTGGATGTCCCTCCCCCACCATCTCCTGCTCCCACCACCTCCATCATAATGGCTGCAGGTAAAGGATTCTTGTAAAAGGCTATCTGTGGTTCACAGACTTGCCTGGGGTGGGTAAGCACTAAATGCACCCTTCGTCAGCTAACATAAGGCTCATTCACTCAGCTTAGCTTCTTTCCCAGCCTCCCAGGTTGGTGCAGTGTAATCCCCCTTTCCTCCTTATTTATTTTTTAAGATTTCCTATAATCCACATACATATGTTCTTTTCTTAAGGTAACGATTGTTTTTCAGATCAAAAAAGAAAAAGTTTTCAATCTATTGATTACAGTAAAACTCACTAATCTTTTTGTTGCATAAATGTGTTTATATGTACATCTATGTCCTAGTTTTAGCATTTCTGCCCTTATTCATTTTAATATCCTTTAAAAAGTGACTCCTGTTTTTTCTTTTGACCTGCAAATAGCTTTGATTACTTTTTCTTTGCATATGTTAGTGGACTCCATAAGGAGATCATCATGCATAGGCACCTGTACCATGTTTAGGGACATTCAGCTATTAGTTAATTAGCCTACGTCTCATGAGTATTTATAGTACTTGTAATATGGTAAAATCATGTGTATTAGAGCTGGTCAGCATGAGTCATCCTTTACCCTAAGTTTGAAATCTACTTCCCTGGTGTGGCAGGCCAGGCCTCACTAATACAGGCCTCCCTAACAACCGTTTCAGTACTGAGTAGTTAAGTTAAATATTAAAAGTTAAAAATGCCAGGGCCCTTATACAAAGGCTGGAATGTAACAAAAGCCCACCAAGAATCTTGCCTATGCTTTTCCTGGGCCTTAAAGCATGACAAAATAATGAAGGAATTCTTAACAGGACTCATTTAGGATTAAACAAGTTTTACTGGGGATCTGAAGAAACTCCTCAGGCCTCCACATACAAGTTGATTAGGGGTCTGAAAGAATACCCAAACCTCTGTGATTTAACAGGAAACAAGATAAGGGTAATCACCCTACCACCTGAACCCCTTTAGACTAAGTAAATTTACTGAGGCTCTAGAGGAAGGTCTTCAGGACTGAGACCTTATAGATTAAAAGAAGTTAATCACTTATGTCTTTAGATGAATGCAGACTTACACGTAGACTTATAGCTTAGGAGGTACATAAGCTCTGGAAAACTTTGTGTTTTGAGTTGGTCTGGTGATAATTTCCAGGTCTTCTCCCTGTAACTGGCTTACAGGAATAAAACTTTCTTCCTCCCCAGTTCGTCCGCATCTTGTTATTGGGACACGAGAAACAGCCCGACCTTCAGTTTGGTTCAGGAACACTGGGACTCTGTTTTGAAAGAGCACTGTGAAAAAATCTCCTCTTTTGTGGAACAGTTATTTAAAAACAACCAACTAAATGGAGATTACTTAAGAGAAATGTGTGTCGAGGACATAATTCCCTACAGCCCTATTAATAGTGGGATTTTGTTGACATGCTTAGAAATGTCAGAGAAATGTTGGCACTTGTATCATATCATCATATCCTCCCTGGTTATGTTGGTCCTACCACTGCCAACATGCTACAAGTCATGGGCACTCTGCATTTGCTCAATGGATGGATTGAATTCTTCCCTCATTTAGTCAGTCAGTCTGCAAACAATGATGACCTCCTGGGTTTTATCCAGATCAAATGCTAAGCACTCTAGGACCGAATGCACAACAATGAATCCTGTAGCTTTAGTTCTCAAAAAACTTTGCAGTCTAATGGTATAAACAAACACACTAGGGGTCTCCAAAGCCAGCTGTGCATACGTATAGGTTGTACTAAACTATCCCATAGAAAAAAGATTTATGCTTATATTTTTACTAAAAATTAAGATACATATTAATTTACTGATAGTCAATGGTCACATGTCACTAAGGTACAAGTTTTCCTTAAGAAAGAGCGGAACTTCTGCAATATGGAAAGACTAGAGGCTTGCATTCTCACCTGTTTGTTCACGTTCAATTTATTTTTATGCCTGTAAGCAGAGAACAAATTATAAAGTGACTTGCATCATACAAATTTACACTGATGATTTTAAGAATCCCTGAGATTTAAATCATAAAGAAACATTATCAAATTTGTATTCAGAACTTTCTATAACAGTGTAATGGAGGGCATTTTGGAGTATTGGAACAAGATAACCCATGAGAAAGCTACAGGACTCTGTTTTACTTAAGTTCCATAGCACTTAGAACAATTTATATTTATTGTATTTTATTTTTGTTTGCTTGTTTTTGCCTGCTTTCTCTAGTAAATGGCAAACTCCATGAAGGTAGAAACAAACTACTCTACCTTGTCTCATTCATATCCTAGTACCTAGCACAATGTCTGGCACAAAGAAGGGGTTAAATCAATATTTGTAGAGTGAATGAATGAAGTGGAGGGAGAAGATATTTGAGAGATATTTAGGATATGTAAACATATGCATTGTATAAGATATCTTTGAGACACTTGTCTTCAAGTGGGTATAGCAATTGTGGCCTCAGTGAGGTGTCTGAAGAAGATTAAGTAAAATTACATAGGAAAAGATCCCAGTAGAAAGTAGGACACAGTCATTTCTTTCAGTTCACTACTATTTTCTCCAAAACACATTTCAAACAGCTCCAAATATTGTACAAGTAGAGTGATCATACAAATTTATTATCTAAACTGTAACTCTTTTCAGAAAGTAAACTGTCAAAGTAGAAAGGACAGAGATTAGAATCATAATTGAGATTGTTTGGTTTAGAATAAATGGTTATCTTATGGATAAAGGATAATCAATTCAAAAGAACTTCTGCTCTTCCAAATTAATAATGCTGTGAGTTGTTCTGTTGATTAGAAAGAAAAAGGCAAACATGTTTTTATGGGTGTATCTTGTTGAAAGTATAATCTACACATGCCAAATAAATGTGAAACAAATGGATGAGCAGAGTTATTAATGCTGGAATAAGAATAATATTTATACATACTTTGTTCTTCATAATAATTACTACAATTTGCTGTTTATTTCCCACTTACTTGTTTAAAGTTTTTGCTCCCACAGAGCTGTAAGCACCATGAACACAGGGAGCATGTCCATTTAGTTTACCACAGGTCCTGGTACATGGTATCCAAAATAAAATATCAGTTAGGTGAACAGAAAGATTCACTATAAGGTTTTTTCTAACAGTGGTTCTGCCACCTATTGGCTTTGAGATTCTGGATAGTTACTTCAACTCTCTGAGCCCCATTTCTTTCATGTGCAAAATGGAGATAAATTGTTCATCATGCTGGTATAAGGATTAAATAAAAACAATGCTTAAAACACGAATCCTAGTACAGCCACATAATATATGTTCAATAAATGTTACCTGTTAGTAGGGCCTGTTTGAGGAAGTCAAATGAAAATTAAGACAAACAGTTTTGCAGAATGTTTATATTTGCAGGGACTTTTCGGGAACCCACAGAAAACACACAATAATTGCCTCACTTAGAGTTGGGATTCTGACTTGCAGCTTTGTACTAGTGACTTTTCTGTGGACGATATATTCATCAGAGATAAATTACCTCCGACTACAGTTGGACAGAGTAGGGGGCTCCACAGTGGTGGAGATCAATAGATGGGGGTGGCCAGAGGCTTTAGTGCTGGGCCGATTTAATGAGTCTTGGAAAGAGCTGTATTAAAAGCTTTTAGGGGAAAGCTCCCTGTTGCTGCTTTTTGTGCTCTGTCTAGTACTTTAATGAATGCTGCTATAAAGAGTGTTTTATCTGTGCATTATGAGCCCAGGTTTGACTGTTCAGGCTCTCAGAAGGATTTTAGCTGTCTTGGGATAAGATTTTATGAAGGGAAGAAAAACTCATATAGAAATATGATTTTCATAATGAGTACTAATCTGAAGAAATTAACAGCAATCACTGGTATTAAATCCCCAAATCAGAAATTTTGGACTGATTAAAAATATGCACCAATCAAACAACAGAATTTCACACCAGATTTTGATAGTATACTTATCTTTGTATTATTATTAACACTTTGGGCTGGATTATGGATTTGTTCTCCATGATATGTAAAAAAGCTTTGGGAACTTAAAACACTAGTAAAATTCTGTTTCTTCAACGTCACTCATATCTTTTGAATCCCAATGCTTACCCTTTATAATTACATGTGATATGTTATTGAATATTGATTCAATTTTAAAAATATGAGGGTAATATTTGTACCAAATGCACATTAACATAACTTGACCGGCTTCTAGAGTGGAATGACATTTCAAAATAGCAAAGCAGAAGGCACTTCCTTTACATGTGTCTAAACCTCACAGTGTCATACATACAGTACACAATTTGCTTTGTGAGAATTTTTCTATTTCATCTTAGATTTTTCTTCTGGGTTTTAAAAATAATTATACTTATATGTGGAGTTAGCACTTTAGCAGAGATTTAAAGCCCGTTTCGATACCTGCTTATGATAAGCTTAATAAGGCTAGGAAAGGAAGTGTAGTACTGAATGTATTGAATCCATTGAAAGTGTTCCCCCTCTCCTTTCCTATGAGTTGTTTCAAAAAGCATAAGATCCAGAGCCATTAGCAGGTGCAACCCAGTTAAATTCTTTGGTAGAAATGGATTATAGGGGGATGATTTCTGAAGATATTACTGATAAATTGAAATTTTCAAACTAAGTTAAAATATATTATTACATTCTGCTTTTATTAATAGCCTGCACAGGCCAGGCCCAGTGGCACGTGCCTGTAATCCTAGCACTTTGGGGGGCCGAGGCAAGGGGATCACCTAAGGTCAGGAGTTCAAGACCAGCCTGGCCAACATAGTGAAACCCCGTCTATATTAAAAATACAAAAATTAGTTGGGTGTGCTGGCCCATGCCTGTAGTTCCAGCTACTTGGAAGGTTGAGGCAGAAGAATCGCTTAAACTATTAAAAATACAAAAATTATTGGGGTGTGCTGGCCCATGCCTGTAGTTCCAGCTACGTGGGAGGTTGAGGCAGAAGAATCACTTAAACCAGAAAGGCCAAGGTTGCAGTGAGCTGAAAACCCACTACTGTACTCCAACATGGGTGACAGAGTGAGACTCCGTCTAAAAAAAAAAAAAGCCTGTACAAATGTAAACCATATACATACAGTTATTATATCTCAAAATATTTTTTATTTGAAAAGATCAATTTCTGAAATATTTTATTTGCTTTTTAGACTTATTATGGTAGTGAATTTTAATTCATTGATTCATTTCATTTTGCTTTCTTATCATTATCCTGTAGAAAGATGGTAATAACATCATTTTTAAAATTTGTTTATTCACTAATGTTATTTATTCATTTGCTAGGTTACACATACTTTCATTGAGCATTTATTATGAGCTTTGATTGAGACCATAAAAAGGAATAAAACAATGGCTGCTTTCCGTAAGTCGCTTTGTGGTAAGGGAAGAGTCAGTGAAATAAACTGAATATTACCAGACACTGATAAGAAGTTTGTGTAGCTTCACAAAAGTTTACTGAAATGACTAAATATGTGCTTGATACAGTTTGAATACATGTCCTTGCCAATCTCATGTTGAATTCTAATCCCCAACGTTGGAGGTGGGGCCTGGTGGGAGGTGTTTGAGTCATGACAGCTGATCCCTTATGGATTGGTGCTGGTTTCCTGATGGTCAGTGAGTTCTTGGGAGATTTGGTTGCTTGAAAGTGTGTGGCATTTTCTCCTTTGCACTCTCTTGCTTCCACTCAGGCCCTGTAACATGCCTGTTCTCACTTGGACTTCTGCCATGTGTAAAAGCTCCCTATGGCCTCCCCAAAAGCCAAGCAGATGTTGGTGCCAAACTTGTACAGCCTGCAGAACTGTGAGCCAATTAAACCTCTTTTCTTTATAAATTACCCAGTCTCAGGTATTTCTTTTTTCCTTTTATGTTTTATCCTCTCAGGGAGGAAGGTTTTATAGCAGTACAAGAACAGCCTAACACAGTGCTTTTAAAAATAGCATTTTCCATTTTTGTTTTCTGATTATAAAACTAACATATCAATTTTAAGAAATTCATATTTTTAGTATTTTTGTGTATACACTTCCCATCTTTTATCTGCATGAAATTATATCTGTACGTGTTTTACACATCTGAGTATATACTGCTTAGTGCCTGTTTTTGTGTGTTTTACTTAACACTCTACCATAAATATTTTCCCATGTCAATATTTATTTTATAATTTTAATTTTAATAGATATTCTTTGCTCCATTATTAGATGTACCATAATTTAGTTCAATTCTTCCCAATTGGTTATTTAAAGATTTTTAAAATGCCATTGTAAATAAAGTTCCAATGAAAAATTTATAAACAAATCTGATTATTTCCTTAGAAAAATCTCCTAGACCTTGAATGGTTATTTATATATTTATTTATTTATTTATTTATTTATTTATTTATTTGAGACGGAGTCTTGCTCTGTAGCCCAGGCTGGAATGCAGTGGTGCAATCTCGGCTCACTGCAAGCTCTGCCTCCCAGGTTCACGCCATTCTCCTGCCTCAGCCTCCTGAGTAGCTGAGAGTACAGGCACCAGCCACCACTGCCAGCTAATTTTTTGTATTTTTAGTAGAGAAGGGGTTTCACCGTGTTAGCCAGGATGGTCTCGATCTCCTGACCTCATGATGCGCCTGCCTCGGCCTCCCAAAGTGCTGGGATTACCGGCGTGAGCCACCGCGCCCAGTCTAAATAGTTATTTATTAACGTATTCATATTTAAAGTATCATATTTATATAGATAAATGTTCTTCAGAAATTGTGCATTATATAAGGGTGCCCTGCATTTTTACACTTTACCATTCTTTTTGGTCTTCTCTGTTTTGATGAGTGAACAAGTAGCATTGAATATTTTCCATTTTTATTAGCCATGTGTTCTACTCATTAGTAAGTTACAATTAATGACCTTTACCTGTTTTTTAATTTCAAAGAACTCAGAGTTCTAGTTTTGTAAAATAGTTGGTTATACTAGCTTTTTAAACCTTCTACCTTTATATTTGTGATAAAATAATAAATAGATAATGAGAATGGTTGACCTTATCAAGCATGCAAGAAAGGGAAACCTTATTTACCAGAAGCAGAGAGGTAGCTAAGAGGCAAACAATGATTATGCCAGCCGATGCTATGGCAGGCCAAATGTGATGGTGATTGTGTACAGGATACTGCATTGCCACGCAATTCAACTTCTATGGTCTTGCTGTGGAATCAGACTGGTTACAAAAGGCAACACTTAAACTGGGTTTTGCCTTGACTCTGGGTGGCACAGAACATCTATTTTGAGAACTCAAAATCCAAGTTTGTGCTTACAATTAATTTGGAGTCCAATTTAAGCTACTTGGGTATTAAAACACATGCACACACACCACACACACTGAGAAATAAACATGGGAATTGGTCTCTGGCCACTGATACATCTCTGGTGTCTGTTGGAATCAAATGCAAAGCTTTCTGGGGAGACACTTCAAAAACCAAGATGCACAGAATTTCCATAATAACGGCATGCTTTGCATAAGATAAGATAATATAAAAAATGACAAAACGCTAAATGAAACAATCCACCGTGAATAAGACTTAGGAAAACAAGAGAAATAACACCTACAAAACATGAGGTAATAGAATAATACTATTACAGGGATTGTAAAGTGAGATATTTAAAACTATTGATGTGATGAAATAAGTTATAGAAAACAAAAGAAGAGGACAGGAGATTGGTTTAAAAACAAAAACAAATTCAGTTTTGAAAAGGTACAAAATACACAGTCTAAATACTTAAAAAGAAACAAATCATCATTAAAAAAATGGACAATCTAAACAGCAGATTGGAGATCACTAAAGAGTGAGAGCGTAAGTGAGCTAGATGAGAAATCTGTTGTGGGAAAAAACTATAATACAGTACAGAAAGACAGAGATAGGGAGTGCGTTCAATTTGGGTTAATAAGAATTCCAGGAAGAAGTAAAAAGAATGGCTCAGAATTTTTGAGAATTAATAAAAGTCATATATCTCCAATCCTAAGCTATGCAATTTCCAGGAATAATAATAGTAATAATTCTAGGAATAACATCAAAGAAAAAGAGAAATTTTAACAATCAAAAAAATGCAAATTCATTACAAAGGACCAATAATTAGACTAAAACCAGACTTTTTTTTTTGTTATACTTTAAGTTCTAGGGTACATGTGCACAACATGCAGGTTTGTTACATAGGTATACATGTGCCACGTTGGTTTGCTGCACCCATCAACTCGTCATTTACATTAGGTATTTCTCCTAATGCTATCACTCCCCCAGCCCCCCAGCCCCGGACAGGCCCCAGTGTGTGATGTTCACTGCCCTGTGTCCATGTGTTTTCATTGTTTAACTCCCACCTATGAGTGAGAACATGCGGTGTTTGGTTTTCTGTCCATGTGATAGTTTGCTTAGAATGATCATTTCCAGCTTCATCCATGTCCCTGCAAAGGACATGAACTCATCATTTTTTATGGCTGCATAGTATTCCATGGTGTATATGTGCCACATATTCTTAATCCAGTCTATCATTGATGGACATTTGGGTTGGTTCCAAGTCCTAGCTATTGTGATTAGTGCCATAATAAACATACATGTGCATGTGTCTTTATAGCAGCATGATTTATAATCCTTTGGGTATATACCCAGTAATAGGATGGCTGGGTCAAATGGTATTTCTAGTTCTAGATCCTTGAGGAATTGCCACATTGTCTTTCACAATGGTTGAACTAATTTACACTCCCAAGAACAGTGTAAAAGCATTCCTATTTCGCCACATCCTCTCCAGCATCTGTTGTTTCCTGACTGTTTAATGATTACCATCCTAGCTGGCATGAGATGGTATCTCATCGTGGTTTTTGGCTAGGGCAATCAGGCAAGAGAAAGAAATAAAGGGTATTCAATTAGGAAAAGAGGAAGTCAAACTGTCTCTGTTTGCAGATGACATGATTGTATATTTAGAAAACCCCATCATCTCAGTCAAAAATCTCCTTAAGTTGATAAGCAACTTCAGCAGTCTCAGGATACAATATCAATATGCAAAAATCACAAGCATTCCTATACACCAATAATAGACAAACAGAGAGCCAAATCATGAGTGAACTCCCACTCACAATTACTACAAAGAGAATAAAATACCTAGGAATCCAACAAGAGATGCGAAAGACTTCTTCAAGGAGAATTACAAGTCACTGCTCAACAAAATAAAAGAGGACACACACAAATGGAAGAACATTCCATGCTCATGGATAGGAAGAATCAATATTGGGAAAACGGCCATACTGCCCAACGTAATTTACAGATTCAGTGCTATCCCCATCAAGCTACCACTGACTTTCTTCACAGAATTGAAAAAAAAAAAAACTGCTTTAAAGTTCATGTGGAACCAAAAAAGAGCCTGCATAGCCAAGACAATCCTAAGCAAAAAGAACAAAACTGGAGGCATCACGCTACCTGACTTCAAACTATACTACAAGGCTACAGTAACCAAAACGCATGATACTGGTAGAAAAACAGATATATAGACCAATGGGACAGAACAGAGGCCTCAGAAATAACAGCACACATCTGCAACCATCTGATCTTTGACAAACCTGACAAAAACAAGCAATGGGGAAAGGATTCCCTATTTAATAAATGGTGCTGGGAAAACTGGCTAGCCATATGTAGAAAGCTGAAACTGGATCCCTTCCTTACCCCGTATATAAAAATTAACTCAAGCTGGATTAAAGATTTAAATGTAAGACCTAACAGCATAAAAACCCTAGAAGAAAACCTAGGCAATACCCTTCAGGACATAGGCATGGGCAAAGACTTCATGACTCAAACACCAAAAGCAATGGCAACAAAAACCAAAATAGACAAACGGGATCGAAGTAAACTAAAGAGCTTCTGCACAGCAAAAGAAACTATCGTCAGAGTGAACAGGCAACCTGCAGAATGGGAGAAAATCTTTGCAATCTACCCATCTGACAAAGGGCTAATATCCAGAATCTACAAAGAATTTCAACAAATTTACAAGAAAAAAAACCCATCAAAAAGTGGGCAAAGGATATGAACAGACACTTCTTAAAAGAAGACATTTATGCATCCAACAGACATGAAAAAATGGTCATCATCACTGGTCGTCAGAGAAATGCAAATATAAACAGACTTTCAACCTCAACCATAGAAGCTGAAAAATAGTACAGTTAGAGGTTGGTGCAAAAGTGATTGCAGTTTTTGCCATTGAAAGTGATAGCAAAACTGAAATTACTTTTGCACCAGCCTAATACTTCAAAGTGCTAGAGTAGAAAAAAGCCATTAGCATAGATGCCTAAAACTATATAAACTATCCTTCAAGAATGAATTCCAAATGATGTTTTTGGCAAACAGAAACAAAGTGCCACTTGCAGGACCTACTAGAATTATAAAGTATGTTCTTCATTAAGAAAGAAGTTGAACCAAGAAGGAAGGAATAATAGTCAAGAGGCAATGTTGAGTGAAGAACTGACAAGTATATAGATAAATCTAAATTTGTATTAACTATAAAATCAATATTAATAATAACCAATTTGAGTGGTTAAAAACAAAGTACGCCTAATTTATAGACAATAATGAAAAATGGGAATGAAGAAGATTTGGATTTTAAGAAGGTGCAAAAAGCATTAACTTTAGCTATTTCAAATATATGTGTTAAACATTTAAGAGTAATAACTGAAAAAAATAGAAGTGATATTCAGAACTTTCATACCAGTAAAACTTGAAAAAGGGATTAGAAAAATGTCATTGAGCCAAGAAATTAAAGGAAAAGAAATGAAAAAGAAGCACAGAAAGGACATTGTGATTAATCATCACATATTATGATAGGCATGTATCTGAATATCAGCAATCACATTATTATAAACTTAAAAGAAACTTGCTAGCTAAAACTAAACACTGTCAGACTGCATACCTATATGTTTATACCCAGGTCTATGTGATTAACAGAAGATGCAATTTAAAAAATAATGACTGGAAGGACTGAAATGAAAGTAAAAGGATCAGAAAAAATGTACAAGGCAAGTATTGACTAAAATGAAGCAGGTGTGGTTACATAAACAAAACAAAAATTTAAGGCAGAATTCTTTAATAGGAATAAAGAAGTAGGTCATTGAGAAATAGATTGATTCATCAGAAAGATGCAATAGTACTGAGCTCATAGACAGCTCACAATACAGCCTTAAATATAGAAAATCAAAACTGACATAATCACAAGGAGGAATTGAAAATACCCAGTCAGATATTTTAACCCACCTCTCTCAAATATTGACAAATGAAGTGCACACAAAGCGATGTCTGAACAAAACTTGCATAACAAACCGAATCTAACTGGACATATATGAACATCCTTGGAACAATTATAGAATGTTTAGTCTATTTAAATTTGCAGGAAATGAGGACAGAACAATTGACCACCTTATAGGCCCAAAGCAAGTATTTGTAAATGAAAAGAAAAAAAGCATATCATGTAGGTCGTGTTCTAAGACACTGATGCAATAAAGTTGAATTAATTGCTAAGAATTGACATAAATGCACAGAAGTAGGAACTTGTGCATTGCTGGTGAGGGTAGAAGTTTTTATAACTATGTTAGAAGACCGATTTTAGGTGTCAGTACCTATTAAAGCTGACATTATACACCAACTGTGCCACTAATTTTACTTCTGCACAGAGGGAGGATTGACCAGTATTATTCATGGCAGCTCTGTAGGTAACGGCAAAAAAAGTGAACAGTTAAGTTCACTGTTCCTTAGTAGGGTACTGGGGTAACCTATTTTTTTAGTACAATAGATTATTGGGCAAAAATTCAAATGAATAAATTGTATCTACATGTGTGGATATGAATAACTCCAAAACATAAGCATTATTGGAAAGAAGAAAGTTACAATTATTGTATACGTTGTCTTAACATTTACATTATTGAAACAGTTTTGGATATGTATACAAACTGAGACAAGCATAAAAACATTTATTGGAATGATGGCATGCATACTAACCATGGTAATGGCTGCCTCTGAAGAAGAGGAAGTGATAAGGGCTGTGTGAATTGGAGTTTCACTTGAAGCTCTAATGCTTCCCCCAGCCCCCTATACTGTCAACAATAAAGAAATCGGAAACAAATATGAGAAAAATGGTAACATTTTAAAAAATGAGTGATAAGTACATGGGTCTATATTTCCTGTAAACACAGGAAATCTGTTATCTATATTTTCCTATAAATTGAAAAAATATGAAATACATAAAAATTTATAGCAATTAACTTAAAATATGTATTTGTAAGCACTCTGTATTAAATTGTCATGTGTCAAAAATATTATAAATACTTTTCTCAACTTGCCTAATTTTGTTTTCAGTACTTTTAAACATTGAGAAGTTTTAACTTTTTCATTAAATCTATCATTTGCATTTTTATTAGTTCTACACTTACTTTTATACTTATGAAATTCTTTTCATCTCCAGGAATCAATAAGCATTGAAGTTTATTTTATTCTAGTTCTTTTTTTTTTACCTTCAACTTAATACATTAACTAGAATTAAGTTTACTCTCACTTATGTGCTAGGTATCTCTAAATTCCTATTTTATATTGAATTTCAATAATTATTCAATATCTCTGAATCATATTCTAAATGATCCTTTCATTCTCACTGACTAGAAATGAACTTTTCTCATACACTAATTTTATATTATCTCATATGCTAGCTTTTATTTTTAAGATTTCATATTCTATGTCTCAATATCTGGTAATAGCTTTCTTCCTGTCCTCTCCTTCAGCTCCCAACTATGCATATGTTTAATATTTTTTGTCTTGGCTAGTCTCAAACATTTTTCTTACTGATGAACTCTAAAATCATTTTTGTTAGGTTCCAAATAAAACATTAAAATTGTGACTGGAATTGCACTGACTCTGTAAGTTAATTTGAGAAAGAACTGGCATTTTTCCATAAGTAACTAAATTTTCCATTTAGTAACATATTACATTTCGCATTTATTTAAGTTTTACTTTTGAGACTCATAATATTTTTCTCATTAGCTCTAAAAAATTTCTAAATTTCCTATATCTTAACATTTTTGTTAACTATTTCTTTTTGTTTTTCTGTTACTATTTAGTTATATTTTTATGATTATTTGTAGCATAAAAGAAAGCTATTGTTTTGCATATTTACTCTGTATCTGGACATTGCATAACATCCTCACACACTTGGTTTTTCTAGCTTGGCTTTAATATCTTTTGAAAATACCTGTAGAGTGGTTTTATTTTATTATTTTGTATTATTGTTTTTTTCTTTTTTAATGTGTATTTTAGAGTCAGGGTATATGTGTGCAGGTTTGTTATAAAGGTATATTGCATGATGCTAAAGTTTGGGGTATGATTGGACCTGTCACCCAGGTAGTGAGCATAGTACCAAATAGGTAGGTTTTCAACCCTTTCCTCCTTCTCATCCTCCCCTGTCTTACAGACCCCAGGGTCTATTGTTCCCATCTTTAGGTTAATGTGTACCCAGTGTTTAGCTCCCACTTATAAGTGAGAACATGTGACATTTAGTTTTCTGTTCCTGTTTTAGTTTGCTTAGGATAATGGCTTCCAGCTTCATCCATGTTGCTACAAAGGACATGACTTCATAGTCATGGCTGGGTAGTATTCCATGGTATAAATGTATATTTTCTTTATCTAGTCCACCATTGATGGGCTCCTGAGTTGATTCCCTCCCTGTCTTAGCTATTTTGAATAGTGCTGCAATGAATATATAGGTGCATGCATCTCTTTGGTAGAAAAATTTATTTTCCTTGGGGAATATACCCAGTAATGGGATTGCTGGGTTGAATGGTAGTTCTATTTTCAGTTCTTTGAGAAATCTCCAAATTGCTTTCCAGAGTGGCTGAACTTATTTACATCTCCCCAACAGTGTATAAGCATTCTCTTTTTGCCATAACCTTGCTAACATTTGTCGTTGTTGGTTTTTTGACTTTTTAATAATAGCTATCCTGACTGGTGTGAGATGGCACTAAAGAGCTTCTGCATAGCAAAATAAATTATCAATAGAGTAAACAGACAACCTCCAGAATGGGAGAAAATATTAACAAACTATGCGTATGACAAAGGTCTAAGTCCAGAATGTCCAAGGTACTTAAACAAATCAACAAGCAGTAAACAAACAATCCCATTCAAAAGCAAGCAAAGTACATGAACAGACACTTCTGAAAAGAAGGCATACAAGCAGCCAACACATGAAAACATGCTCATCATCACTAATCATCAGAGAAAGGCAAATTATTTTCTATTATTTCACTTCAGCTATACCAGGGGTCTTCAAAAAGTTCATGGAAAATGCATATTATGAAAAACTATGCATAGATTTCAAACTAGTTTGAGGCCCTAAGAAGGGCAAGATACCAGTTTGAAAAGAACCTCTATCAGAGCAACATGAATTCTGCTAAAATTGAAGAAAGAAAAAACATCAAATTTATGGTGAAGTTTTGGTAAAAAGATGGTGAAATGGTGATGCTTTACAGAAAGCTTATGGAGAAAATGCCCCAAAGAAATTAGTAATTTATAAATGGATAACTTGTTTTAAGAAAGGACTAATGACATTGAAGATGAAACCCACAACAATAGACCATCCACATTAATTTGCAAGAAAAAATTCATTTTTTTCATGCCCTAATTGAAGAGGACTGATGACTAACAGCAAAAACAATCCCCAACACCATAGACATCTTAAATGGTTCAGTTTACACTATTCTGACTTAAAAATTAAAGTTAAGCAAGCTTTCCACTCAGTGGATATCAAAATGGTTGTGCTCAGATCAGCTGCAGACAAGAGCAGAGCTTTCAATGGAAACTTTAAACAAGTGGGATAAGATCCTGAAGCATTTCTTCGAAGAATTATGACAGGAGGTGAAACATAGTTTTACCACTATGATCCTGAGGACAAGGCACAATCAAAGCAATGGCTACCAAGAGGTGGAGGTGGTCCAGTCAAAAAGCAAAAGGAGACCATCCAGAGCAAAGGTCATGGCAACAGGTTTTTAGGGCGCTAAAAGCATTTTGGATGTTGACTTTCTGGAGAGCCAAAGAACAATAGCATCTGTTTAAATGAGAGTGTTTTGAGAATGTTAGCAAAAGCTTTAACAGAAAACACCCAGGAAAGCTTCACCAGAGTCCTTCTCCACCATGACAGTGCTCCTGCTTATTCACAAGGACAATTTTGTGAGAGTTTCGATGGGAAATCTTTAGGCATCTACCTTACAGTCCTGATTTGACTCCTTGTGACTTTTTTTTTTTTTTTTTTTTTTTTGCTAATCTTAAAAACTCTGTAAAGGACACCCATTTTTCTTCAGTTAATAATGTAAAAATAAAAAAACAAAAAACAAAAAAACTGCCTTGACATGATTAAATCCCCAGGACCCTCAATTCTTTATGGATGGATTAAATGGCTGGTATCATCACTAACAAAAGTGTCTTGAACTTGGAACTTATGTTGAGAAATAAAATTTATATTTTTATTTCTATCTTTTGTTTTAATTTTTCCATGAACTTTTTGAAGTCCCCTCATACTTTTATTATGCCTTGTTGAGAGATTTTAGACTAATAGCAAATATTTGTAGTAATAGTGGGCATCCTTCTTGTATTACTAACTTAAATATGTGATGTCAGCTATTGGCCAGAAATATATATTATTATTTTTCTGAGAAATTAATGTTAAATTCATAGTTTATTGAAAAATTTTGATCCAGCATGAATAAGTTAGATTTTATGATATTAATTCAGATTATCTGATTTTGATTTTTAAGATATGGCAATCAGCGTACTTTGCTCACCACCCACATTTCAACCTAAAATATGACTGTTTTCTTTTTTCTTTAAGAAACCAGATATTATTACAGGTGAGTTTTCTCAGTGTTAAAACAGTTTAAGTGCATCAGTTTGGGGAAAAATACTTGACTTGTTGATGACCGTACTCACTAACTTCTTTGATTGTCAGGTACAAAAAATTCCATCAAATATTTAAGGAAAACATTAACGGTTTGGGAAAATCACTATTTTAGAAACTTTTTATTAATATTAATAATATATTATACACTATGCACTATGCAAGGCACTCTGAGGAACACAGACATAAACATTAAATTGTGAAACAAAAATGAATTCTCTTAGGCTTACTGTGTTTAAAAAAGAATAGAAGAAAAAAATTCCAACAGATCTATAAAATGGAATTTCCTGGACTGAAAAATCATTGAGCTTACCTAAAAAAAGTGTTTCTTTTATAGACTACACTTTGATTATAATAAAGGTCTTATTCCTTTTGCAATAGAAAACCAGCAGAGATGATTACTCCAAATATAGCATTAAATGTCTAATATTTTTAAAACAGAAAGAATACATGAAAATTTTATACAGAGAATTATCTACCTCCTGCTACTGGCAGTTTCCTGGTTTATTAATGTGTCATTGCTGATTTTCTGTATAATAAGGCACACTTGACTTTGTTTGATTAGTTGATTCATTGCTAAAATAGTCCCACAGACACTGAACTGTGATAGACAGTTTGGAGAGCCTGGCCACTCTCTATGTAACAGCATCCAGCACCATGACTAGGACACCTTCTCTCTCACATACACACATGTATAAATTGTTTCTTATTAAAGAATATATTCCCAAGTAGGATATTGAATTATAATAATAGAATTGTAGAGTAAGTCAATTTCTGCATTTTGAAGATGCAGAAACTGGGGTTCAGGGAGGTTAAGCAATATCCCTAAGATGATATAACTACATAGAAGGTTCTCTACAGTGGAAATAATCCTCTGACTGCTTGTCCAGTACTTTCTCAGCCACACCATACCAGTGAATAGTAGAGGCAGGCTGTTAGTTTTTAAAATTTGAATTATGATTCAAAAAAGAAGGAACTAAGTTTATTTACTGGTTTTTGGAGTCTCCTTATGTAAGTATTCCATTCTGGTGAAAGCTATACCAACGGTGGTTAGGTAAATTACCAAAGACAGTCTCTACACTACACAGAATGTGTGAAGTGAGAATCTATCTCGGACTTGAATCTGCTGAAAGCTTTATATTTGACAGATGGTTTGAATTTATATTGAAAGTTTGGAGAGAGAGAAAGAATGAGAGAGAGGAGAGAGAAGAGAAAAAGGGGGAATGGAAAAAGAGAGGAAGAAAGGAAGGGATAAAAGAAGAGAAAAAATCTGGCATTGGAAGCATTTTTAAGAACTGGATATTAGATACAATACATCACTTCAGAAATAACTGTTAGAAAGTTATCTAATGCATGGAGAAGCTGTATTTACTGTTGAACTCCATTTACTTTAAAACCCATATTGTAATAATTTTTGGATTATTTTACATTTTTATTTGTAATTTAGTGTGTTCTCCTTTGTTAGCAGGCTACCATCTATCTTTATTCTCTTAATGTTCAACTAAACAGAGATACAGCTCAAAGGATACAAACAGGATGTTAGTCAAAGGATACAAAATTTCAGTTAGACCGAAGGAATGAATTCAAAATATCTATTGTACAGCAAGGTGACTATACTTCATATCAATGTATTGTGTACTTGAAAATTGCTGAGAATAGATTTTAAGTGTTTACACTACAGATAAATATGTGAGGTAATGCATAAGTTAATTAGATCATTTAACTATTGCACAATGTATATATTTCAAAACATCATATTGTACACACATATTTGTACAGTTTTTGTCAATGAAAAAAGAAAGAATAATAAGAAAAAGTAATAATAAATGAAGCCTTGAGGACTTGTGATATCCATTCAGATTTTTCCATCTGTGCAGGCCAGGCGTATTTGGTGTTTTGGTGGGAGTGGTTTTTAGATGTATGATATTGCCTTGTGATTGCTGTGGTCATGTGCAGAAGACATCATTTTAGACTGAAAAATTTTATAATAAAAATCATTACATATTAAATAAATACTTCGCCACTTTAAATTTCCAGTTGAGTTGGAGTGATTTTTTTCTGTTCTGTTTTCTTTTTACTTTTTTTTTTTTTTTTTTTTTTTTGAGACGGAGTCTCGCTCTGTCGCCCAGGCTGGAGTGCAGTGGCGCGATCTCGGCTCACTGCAAGCTCCGCCTCCCGGGTTCACGCCATTCTCCTGCCTCAGCCTCCCGAGTAGCTGGGACTACAGGCGCCCGCTACCACGCCCGGCTAATTTTTTGTATTTTTAGTAGAGACGGGTTTCACCGTGTTAGCCAGGATGGTCTCGATCTCCTGACCTCGTGATCCGCCCGCCTCGGCCTCCCAAAGTGCTGGGATTACAGGCGTGAGCCACCGCGCCCGGCCTTCTTTTTACTTTTGATTAATTTTATTTGTTCTGAAAAGTATATATGCATTATTAAATATTCTGAATTTTAAAAGAAACCTACCAGGATTTATTTGTGTAAATTAATCTTGAGTATTAATTTTGGGTGGATGGTTCCATTATGAATTCTAGCAATACTCATTTTTTAAGCACAATTTTAAAAAATATCTTCACAGGTGAAAATATTCATTTATAAATTTTATGATGAGTTTTGTAAGATTTTCCTCTATATTTTATCTCTCTTTATTTTCTATAGAATCTTAGCTGGGGAAATCTCAGGTGGAAGCTTCTGGGAATTTTCTTTATGTAGGGTAATTCTATAACAGAAGTTTCAGGAGGGCAGATATTTTTATCTGCTTCCCTTACTGCTATATCATCAGAGGTTAAAATCAGGTTTGACACATAGGAGGTACATAATAAGTATTTGATGAAATGAAAGCAAACACTTGCATGCATACTTGCCTCTTCTTGGCCCTCCATCTAGTGCTTGGAACATGGATGTGACAACGGGAGTCCATTCTGAGACATGAATCCTAGGGCCACAGAATGGGAAGCTGAAAGAGGTATGAATCTCAGAGCCACAGAATAGCTTGACATAAACTCTAACTTTTGATCAAAAAGAAATACAATGATCTCTTCTTAATGTCATTGTTATCTGGAGATTTATGGTACTCATGAGTGAAACTCATCCAAACCCCGAAACTTTGCTTTTTAGAAAACAATAGAAAAGTAATGAGTCAAATTTGATAGAAAAGTCTGTTGACTCTGAGGTAATTTTTTAAATCAAAACAATTTAATAAACACTTGATGAACCTTGTCAATTTTACGCATATCTTTAATTTTTTTTATTTCAGTAGCTTTAGGGGTACAAGTGGTTTTTGGGTACATGGATGAATTGTAGAGTGGAGAAGTCTGGCATTTTAGTGCACCCATCACTGGAGTACTGCACACTGTACACAAAAGGTAGTTTTTCATCCCTTACTCCCCACCATTCTGCTCACTTCTGAGTCTTCAATGTCCATTACACCACTCTATGCTTTTGTGTATCCAGAACTTAGCTCCCATTTATAAGTGAGAATATGTGAATGATAGATGGAAATCCTAGTCAAAACTTAATCCTAGGCCAGGTGCGGTGGCTCATGCCTGCAATCCCAGCACGTTGGGAGGCCAAGGCAGGAGGATTGCTTGAGTGCAGGAGTTCAAGACTACCCTAGGCAACATAGTGAGACCCTATTTCTAAAAAAAAAAAAAAAATTAGCAGGTGTGGTGGTGCACACCTATAGTCCCAGCTACTCGGGAGCTAAGGTGGGAGAATTGCTTGAGCCTGGAGGTCAAAGATGCAGTGAGGTGTGAGGGTGACAGAGTGAGACCCTGTCTCAGAACAAACAACAAACCAAAAGCTTAATCATTTGTAAACAATGAGGAACTATTTATTGAAACTGGACTGAAAGAAACTTTGGAAAGAATGAAGTAGAAGTAAACTGCCATTTGTTATATTTTTGATATATAAGAGGTATGTGTTTGTGTGTGTGTGTGTGTATTTTTTTCAAATAGAGATATAATGTGTATCTTGAAGGACTTCATACGAGATATATATATATATATATATATATATATATATATATAAAACACTGATATATAGATATAGATATCGATATCTCAAGTCCTTCAAGATATACACTATATTTGTATTTGAACAAAAGTAAGAAAGGAATACTCATAATATTTAAGTAACAGCTTAAAGTCATTCAGGTAGTAAGAGGCAAGTTCAACTGACCTGTGGCTTTGAAGCTATTCTCTTCCCACTCATTCATGGTAAGAGTGTGTGATAACCAGTAAAAGGTAGACACTGAAGCCATCTAAACCCTGTTTTCACCTTAGAAACATAACATCCTCAGATTACATCACAATTAATAATCTCCTGTGTGTACACATTATATGACTCAAATTCAATGAATTTCATTTACAACATATAGGAATGTATTATGTTAATGGTGAAACATTGCATAAAAAAGATGAAGCCCATTCACACCGTCAGACCTAAGCCCATTTTATCAATGGCTAGCAGATTCCAGAATAAAGAAACAAACAAACAAATTTTCAGCAAGCAGTTAACTGAGAAACAGCATGCCTTAACTACACCACTGAAAACAACCCAAATGAGATTCAACAAATTACTGTTGGTTAGGGTGACTAAATTTGTAGATAGAAAAATTCTATAGACATAGTGTGTTTGGATTTTAGCAAGTCACTGCTCAAAGCATGTGAGAAAGAAGGAAGGATAACAATGAAATAGTAGTAGAGAATGGATGGGTTCAAAAGTGGTAGGTGGACTATATCCATACTGTTGGCTAGTGGACTGATACAAATCTGAACCACTAACATTGCTTTGTGGTCACATCCCATATATACTTCCACATTGTTCCAATTAGTAGAGTACTAATCTTAGACCTATAAGTTGGATTTGCATTATGAATCTTATAAGATTACAAGATTCATAATGCAAGTTTCATAATGCATTCATAAGATTACAAGATTCATAATGCAAATCCAACTTATAGGTAGAGATTATTCTGTTCTTTAAAATATTTTATAATTTCAACCTTAATATGTTGAATAAATAATCTTTTACAGCAAGTGTCTTTTGAAACAAAAACTAATATTAGGAAAAAATAACATTTTGCTAAAAAATATTACATGGCAAAATTGTTAAAAAGTAGATTAGAATTATTCCTTTGTTGCAGATTTCATTATTCTCAAAGGTGCAGATAGTGTGATCTCTGACATTAAACTCCGGTGACCCGATCCTGTGTACACAATTTGCCTTTGAATATATAGCTAAGGAAACATATACGGAGCAGGTACACAGGTTGGAAATCACAGGATGTTTTCCTAACTGCTAAGGCAGTGACTAGCATGTTTCTGTAGGGGCTGAAAGAGGGTTGGGCTATTGGAGGCTGATCAATCTTCTTAGTCTGCTATTGTTTTAGGAACAGTGAGAGGAACACCAGAAACCTTGAACATTGCCAGCATTGTACATAATGCAGGGCAGACAACAATTGTCTTAATATTCACAGATGTCACTGAGAGACTACATGAGATTTAGGGATAAATGATCATAATCATTACAGTTTTATATTTATTCCTGCCCCTTCATTATTAGTTCTGGATATGGCATATTTATCTCTTAAATTAAGAATGATTTGTTCCCATGTAGTGCCTATCACTTGAGAATTTCAACGTGCTTCATGAGCACTGGGCTGAGTTTACATCTAGCCCGGAACTTCTGCCAGAGCTCTTCTGAATCCCCCTGGAGCTCTTCTGAGTGTGCTACTATTTCCTTAATGGCACTTCTCACTCAGATCAGCTCTGTTGGGATGACAAAGAATTCTGCTGAGGTTTAGAGGAAAATGTGAATTTGAATTTGGAACGCTAGCTCTTTAATCCTCCCAGCCCTCTTTGAAATAGAGAAGTGATGAGTATTATTACATCCATTTTCTAGACTGAGTTTCAATGGGTTGCCACTGAAACCACCTCTGCAGAGGTGACTTGCAGGCCTTCGGCTGTCCTCCACCATATGCTGCCTCCCTGCTATAAATTGAAGTGGGAAGAGAACAGAGAGATTTGGATCCCAGAGCTTGTTTCCATGAAATTAAGTAATGTTTGATTTTTAGGCACTTAAAATGGATGAGTTAGTTTCCTCTTTGTGAGGTGTGGGTACACACACAAGATAGTTGGAAAATAGTTTGAGCTCTATCCATCTAATCTATTATTGTAAGATTTGTTTTTTAAAAACACCTATTAATTTGACTCACTTTTTTATTTTTGAGTGAATTTGTGTTACCTCTATTTCATACTCATGCATAAATTATTATTTCATAGCCTTCTATTCTTGAACAAACATTATTGGAGCAATTCCCTGAAAAATACTGCACTAGAAGCTGCATTGGGTAGGTAAGGGAAGGAAAAAGTGATTTGTTTGTTTGTTTCGGAAGCCAGAGTATACATTAAATAATGCTTCATATGCCATCTCAAAGATGCATAATAAATAAGTTGATTTTTATATTTCACACACTTTTTCATCTTAGAAAAGTTTTCAGATATATCCTCCCAACATAAATACACACAGACACACTCACACACACACAAAGTTAAAAAAAAAAAAAGTATTCTTGGAACTCTAGAGATAATCAGCACCAAAATCCTGACATTTTTTCCCACTGTTTTCTTGTGTTAAAAACACACCACTTCTGTCAGTTATTGCAAAAGATATTTTTTTTCAAATGCAGACGTATCCTGCTACCAAGATGGAAATGTCATTATAAAAACTTTAGTTTTTCAAAAATCAACAGGATGGATTTTTAAATGCCAATTCATCAATAATGCCCTATCACTGGGACAGCACTGAAAAAGCATAAAATTCTCTGTGTTTGGGACTGCTGGATCCCATAATGGCTCAATGGCTAATTGCTTTATAAAAACCAGAGGCAGTATTCTTTCCACACCTCATTCTCAGGATGCAGAATTTGATTAATTGATGTTGGATGATTGGCCATCATAAGGTATGACATTTAGCCCAGACAAATGAAAGCTGGTTGAAAAAAATTGTGTGCAAAAGCATTGAAAAATAAGATCTGGAAGGGTCAAAGGGCAACAGGAAAAAGCTATTTGATGGTTAGCTCATATTTACCTTATAAATTTTTTAATAATGGTCAATGCATTTTAATCTGACTGTCTTATAGTCTGAAGTGTAAGTCAATGTATAAGCTAATTGCAGTAAGCAAAAGTGGTATTTAATGCACTGGACACTTTAACTATCAAAGTATTGTATCTCTAATTAGTGTTTGTAACTGATGTGACAGCAGTTTATAGAGCACCAAAATAGTTCCTAATTTGTCAAGTGGGTCTGAAGCTTATGGCAGCTTTCTGATCATCTCCCTTGCCGCAGGACCTGAAAGCACCTTCAAAAAGCTTTCTCTCATTGATCTTTAGTCAGATGCTGACTGAAAAGCAGACAGCCCTGCCAGAAAGAAGATAGATAGGTGCTGCACTAGCATGAAAAACACCGCACCCTTAATGAAAAAGGTTCCTGCATATAACTCATGTGTGTGTACAAACACATCCACACAGGGGGTTTCGACAGGGATAGCAGTCCCTGGAAATTAAGGGGGAATGCATTTGTCATTTATTTTTTCATTCTTCTCACATATAAATGCCCACCATGAATGTCTGGCATGCACTAAGCAGGCTATTTGTTAATTCCTGCATAGTGTCCCTTTTTGTTTCTCACTAAGGTTGGTAGTTTTAATGTTTAGCTTACAATTTTCAGAGTCAGTAAGCTAATGCAGCCACATAAGATAAATACGAAGTTGTGGTGTTGTCCTCAGGATAGACAAAGGATTATTTGATATTAATTTTGAACTTGTTTAAGAAAAACTACAGTTTCAAATCTCATCAATGTTTTGTGACAATCCCTTGCTATTTATCTGGTGCTAAGTGATGCTGCTGACCATAATAACCTATCAGTAGTGTATCATAATTGTATTTTGAAATATTTTATATAATTTGCAAAAGGAAAGTTACCAGCAGTGTGAATTTGTCAGCTATTCATTTAATTTGTCAGGATAACAGAATACATTACTAAAGATAACACAATGATTATCCCACCCACATTGTATCTCATGGTCAGAATGTCAAAAGAGCACACTCTCAGCAGTTGTGGGGGAAAGTTCATTGAAAAAATGTAAGAACTACATAATTAATGAGAAAATGTTTTATGGCTAACAAGTCCAACTAGCAATTTTTACCACTTACTAGCCTCGGCACTCAAAATGTTTTATCTTTTATAAACAAATCTTCAGAATTGCAAGTTGCATTGCTGTATCTGTTAACTCAAGGCCCTTTCCAAGTAAATTTTGGTTTGATATCCATTATGGGGGAAAGTGTATACAATTTAGATAGCTAAACAGGGGAAATTCAAATGAAATATAACAAAAATTAAAATCTCTCTCCCATTCCTTATTTTTTTTTCTCTTTTTTTAATTATTATTAACTTTAAGTTTTAGGGTACATGTGCACAATGTGCAGGTTAGTTACATATGTATACATGTGTCATGTTGGTGTGCTGCACCCATTAACTCGTCATTTAGCATTAGGTATATCTCCTAATGCTACCCCTCCCCCCTCTCCCCACCCCACAACAGTCCCCGGAGTGTGATGTTCCCCTTCCTGTGTCCATGTGTTCTCATTGTTCAATTCCCACCTATGAGTGAGAACATGCGGTGTTTGGTTTTTTGTCTTTGCGATAGTTTGCTGAGAATGATGGTTTCCAGTTTCATCCATGTCCCTGCAAAGGACATGAACTCTTCATTTTTATGGCTGCATAGCATTCCATGGTGTATATGTGCCACATTTTCTTAATCCAGTCTATCATTGTTGGACATTTGGGTTGGTTCCAAGTCTTTGCTATTGTGAATAGTGCCACAATAAACATACGTGTGCATGTGTCTTTAGAGCAGCATGATTTATAATCCTTTGGGTATATACCCAGTAATGGGATGGCTGGGTCAAATGGTATTTCTAGTTCTAGATCCCTGAGGAATCGCCACACTGACTTCCACAATGGTTGAACTAGTTTACAGTCCCACTAACAGTGTAAAAGTGTTCCTATTTCTCCACATCCTCTCCAGCACCTGTTGTTTCCTGACTTTTTAAAGATTGCCATTCTAACTGGTGTGAGATGTTATCTTATTGTGGTTTTGATTTGCCTTTCTCTGATGGCCAGTGATGATGAGCATTTTTTCATGTGTTTTTTTGGCTGCATAAATGTTTTCTTTTGAGAAGTGTCTGTTCATATCCTTCGCCCAAACACCTCTACGCAAATAAACTAGAAAATCTAGAAGAAATGGATAAATTCCTCAACACATACATCCTCCCATGACTAAACCAGGAAGAAGTTGAATCTCTGAATAGACCAATAACGGGCTCTAAAATTGTGGCAATAATCAATAGCTTACCAACCAAAAAGAGTCTGGGACCAGATGGATTCACAGCCGAATTCTACCAGAGGTACAAGGAGGAACTGGTACCATTCCTTCTGAAACTATTCCAATCAATAGAAAAAGAGGGAATCCTCACTAACTCATTTTATGAGGCCAGCATCATCCTGATACCAAAGCCTGGCAGAGACATAACCAAAAAAGAGAATTTTAAACCAATATCCTTGATGAACATTGATGCAAAAATCCTCAATAAAATACTGGCAAACCGAATCCAGCAGCACATCAAAAAGCTTATCCACCATGATCAAGTGGGCTTCATCCCTGGGATGCAAGGCTGGTTCAACATACGCAAATCAATAAATGTAATCCAGCATATAAACAGAACCAAAGACCCATTCCTTATTCTTGTTCGCTTCCTGTGTTTTGTAGATTGAAAGATGGTCCGTTCTCTTAGGAAAATCGCAAACCTGAGAGTATTTCCTCAACACGGTGCCTTCCTCAACCATGTTCCTTTATCAGTCCATATCCTGTCCTTCTCCAAGTGTTAGACTTATCACTTAGTAGTTTTCAAATCTGTCTGCTACTCTCAGTCTCCACAAACAACAACCTAATTTATTTTCATCTCTTAATGGGATACTGCCAGGGCCTCTTAATGAGTATTCCTTAATCCCACTCTATCTCACATAAACTTATTCTTACATGAGATTCCCTTGTATAAAAAGTTTAATGCATCAGTTTCTAAATGATTTGGTCTCAGGAGTCCTTCATACTCTTAAAATTATTGAGAGACACCAAAACCTTTTCGTTTTTGTGGATGTATCTATTGATAGTTACCATATTAGAAATTGAAACTGGGAAGTTTAAAAAGCTATTTATTAATTCATTTTAAAATAGCAATAAGCACATCACAAATTAGAAATACTTTTTGAATGAAAAACAACTGTATTTTCCAAAACTGGTAGTGACAAGTGCAGCATTGTTTTACATATTTTGCAAATATTATTAAGCTCTAGATTGACAGAAGATAGCTGGATTCCCATATGAATGCAGAATCAGAGAGATTTCAATATATTGTTTTATTTATTATTTCAATATATTGTTATTTCAATATATTGTTTTAGGTGAAGCATATGAAGAAAATCCAGTTTCTGAAAGATAGTTTGACAATAGTGGAGTATTTTAATAGCCTTTTCAGGTATTCTTTATTGATATTACACCAAAACTTGACAAATGTTTCTTAAAAGGTAGTTGCATTGTGGAATCTGGAAACACATCAATGAACTTTTTGTCCTCTCTTGTATTAAAATTCATTGGTCTGTCTAGCATTTTGAATGGATCCTTTACTTATGAATGATTTTATATCATGCATTCATTTGGAAAAGACTAGCTTACTGAGTTACATAGATCTCCCAAACATTGATACATTTCATTATACAACATCAAAATCATCATGTGCATTAATATTACTACCATACATATGAAAAGTCATTACATATTAGGAAGTTGTCAAGCTCATGGTAGTAGATATACATTTTCCAACATTCACTTGAAACTGCTAATTTTATCATTTATAACAATTAGTATTTTTCTTGAAATGATGGGCTCAGTGCATTTTTGTAAAATATATGTCACATACCAATTCTAAATAACCATAGTGTGACCATCAATCTTTCTTTCAAGTAAAAATTGAGTTTGTGAAAAGATCAGCTAGTTCAGCTTGCAACTCAAATAATTGCACAAATGCTTGTCCTCAAGGCAACAATCATACTTTGCTAAAAAAACAAAAACAAAAAACAAACAAAAAAAACCACAGCTTAATGGTTGATATTTAATGG